>NC_000001.11:35178835-35803835 GCF_000001405.40 Homo sapiens
CCCCATTCTCCACATTGTCCTATCTTAAGTCCAAGCCCTTTTCACTCTCAAAAAAAAAAAAAAAAATATTTTTTTCAGCACTGGTGTTCAAAAGCAACGTTTTTATGGTTAATGGTTTACCAGCAACTGTTGAGATTTCCAGTTGAGTCTTAAAAATTGCCAATCATTATCTAGCAGCAATGACAGATGATTAGGAGCAGTCAAATCCTCTGAATTCTTTCCCTAATAGGCAGCCATTTGAGAACTGCACTAGCTGACATCACTAAAACATTATCAGCTAAAGCCAAAACCAAATAAAGGCCCAGACCAACATCCTGGCTCTCTAAAACCTGTCCAAAATCATTAAGTGAAAGGCAGTAAATGCAGGACTGTGGATCATGTCACTGCAGCTGACAATGATTAACAATAGGAGACATGCAACCCCCATTAAGGTTAAAAGTCCAAAACTAGTCACACGCATCTCTTTATTGGGGAAAAGTGAGACTATTATGCATTCTTGGTAGGTTTGCAACCTTGCATGAAGAGCACCCATTGCATTTCTTTCATCTTTCAGAAAGCACCGGTATCTGTTCCAAGGGCCTAACAGTACGAAAATACATTCTGGCATCACACCTCTGAACCCAAGACTGTTCTCATTAAAAATAATTTTGGTTTGTAACAAAATTATGAAATACAATGCAAGCACCTCGGTATAGCATTATTACTGAAACCACTTAATTCCCAGCTTTTTGAGTTTTTTAAAAAAACCCACTGCACTAAGATTCACAATTCATTGCTACATACAAATTAAAGCTAGTAAGAACACACTAACGTCACAAGTTTCTCATTCTAAAGTGCAAAAGCCTAATCATCTGAAAGTGAACAGGGTAAGGCAAAATTAACCCCCCACCCCAATAAAGTTCCTGAAGTCCATATATTATATACCAAGTACATTCTCTAAAAATTGTTACTGACTGGTAAGAAATAGACCTGAGTTTTTATTTCTAACACCCAATCACTAAACCACGGCAGCAAGCACTGGCCACCGATTTAATGGATTACGACACAGGAAACCCCATCAGGGTTCTATGTAATTTAGTGATACTCATGTCACTAATATTGAGCATTATACTTGATCTGCATTATATTGTTGATATGCAGAGGCTAAACTAGTCATCATTTGCTCTTTCATCTATCAGTAGAGTCCAAAGTTGTTTGCTTGAATGGACTACATGTTAAAGTACAAGTCTGTCCCCACCTTGTGAATTGCTTGCCAACGAGCAAGCTTTTTCTTGATACACAGAAGAAAAGTCTCATAGTCATGAAGTTTTCATCAGCATTTATGCAAAGTAAACCACTTTCCAGTTACAGAGCAGAAACATTATACATGAAAACTGTCTCTCATGCATGCTAGCTAAAACCAGTTCAGAGACCAAGAAGTTGAAGTGAGGTCTGGAACAACAGTTGATGCAAAGTCCTAAGCAACAAAAGTTGTGCTTTTGAAGACTTAGGTTTTCTTGTAAACATTTTGGACTATAACATCACATCCCTAAAGCTAAGGGAACCAAATTCAAAAAGCTACTCTGAACATATGCAGTCATCCTACAGAAACGACGATGTCTTATGATTGGGAATGATTCCCAACATGTATTCGACTGTAGTCAAGTCAATGTTCCACACCACCTTCCCCCAGGTTTAGAGTATAGACACATTTAGACAAGTCCCATAACTTGAACTATTCACATTAGATTCCCATCTAAGCCCAAGTTAGTAACAATGGTGTTTTCATGAAGCCCATGTTTTTAAAAATTTTAAATCGCATTACAAAAAAACCTGTACTTTTAGTTCAACTCAACTTGTAGAATTACCAAGATTGCATAATGAAATTACTGATATTGCCGATCTATGGGCAGGTCAGTTTGCTACAATAGAGACTAATTATCACATGCTATACGGTCCATGTCAAGGTGCTAAAAGCACCCTAGTTCCCAAGTATAGTTTAGTTCCCTCTCCCCCACACCACTGATGTGTTCCATGTTATCTTCAGTTACAATGCAACTAAAGGAAACCACACAACTGAGTCAGATATACCAAAGAATCAAGTTTGCACTTTTTATCTGAGAACTGCAACAGCACTGAATTCTGCCTGACAAATTACAGCTCTAACCCCACACCCACACAGTTTTGATGTAAGCTAGCTTTACCATACAAGTGTTAGGTGCTGCACTGTAATTTCATTGTCAGAAATGTGATGCCAGAATGCCCACGGAATAAAAGTACATACAAGTCACCAAGTTAGATTATATTGCTTGTTACCTACCTGTATGCAGTCGGCAATGAGAATCTTGGAGCAAGCAGGAATACTACATCCGGGTCCTAATGTCCATTGCCATTTGCGGTACTACGTTCCTCACAGTTACGCACTGCAGAAATGCTGGCTAAATGCAGTTATGTAGCAGGCCACTACTTTAATAGTGCATAATTGCAGTCCAAGAACACCAGAAAACATTCCGCCACAACTTAGTGGCTTGCCCAAGAAAAGCCAAGTATCTAAATTTTAATCTGCCATAATATGCCACTTAAAAATTGCACAGGCGTAACATTACAATTTCCCCATTTTTTAGCTGTTTATATTAGTGGTACAATACATCTATAAAGAGTGGTGGGGTTTGTAGTACTTCTTATGAGTTTAATGTTCTAAGCAAAGAGGATTATGGTTTCACTAACATGAGCCAATGGGCTATGCTTATAAAATACCTATTAAATACACTGGGGTCTTAACAATATGCAGTTTTTAAAGATTAGGAGAAGTATAAAAAACAACCAGTGTTCCTCTTAAAACAAAATTATGAGAAAGTGGAGAAGAGGAAATGGGGACAAGTGGTTTCTTTAAATGAAAAAAATGGCTAAAATACTTCAAAAATTGCTACCTCCCCTTTCCCACCCCAAGTTTCAGATCGACTTTTAGGAAACTATTAAGATTATTTAAATTCACATTAGGCTAAAAACTATCATATATACATTGAAGACTTATTGAAAGTCTATTTGAGTAAGCTTACAACCCTGAGTACATTGCTGTTTTAGTGATGAAAGTCAAATGTCATTTGAAACTAAGCAACATTATTTGCTAAACAACGTTTAGCAACTCTACAGTCCACAGTAAGGGTATCAAAAGCCACAACTTTCAGGAGATTATCCATTAGCATCCTTCACCACTCTTCAAAGGTACAGTACTACCAAAAGCTTATTTTAGGGGGTCTGTGCCAGCATCCCTTATAAAGAAAGGCATGTAATCTGAAAAATAAACTGAAACATTAATTTTATAGGCAGATTTTCCCATTTCCCGACCAGCCCCCACCCACACACATTCAAAGTTCACCCTCTGTGGGTGTCCCATGGAACACCCCTTATTTTCTTGTCTTTAGTAGAGTCCCTACTATATAATTCAACCAAACTGTAATGGATTCCTTTCTAATCAAGACCCTTGTTTCCGTACAGAAAATCTCTTATGTATCACCAATTAATAACCTGTTTGGGGACAAAACTTCCTCACTGATATAATCATGGTAAAACTACTCATATTTCCGAGTGTGCTGGTGAATGATATAATGAGCATTACTTTCTAATGAGATTCTCTCCCTTAGCACACCATGTACCTGTCAGTCATACAACCAGTATTTGGTGAGATGCTTTTATACACTAGTGTTTACTTTCAGCATTATCCTGTTTCCTATGCAGAAAGTGCTCAGATTGTTCCAACAATAGGTCTCCTTTTGTACACAGGCACAATACTAAACTTCAGCATGTTAATAAAGGTTTGACTTAGAATTTTTCTTTTGCCAATTAGCACCAAGAAAAGAGGTGAAAAGGAGGAAGACACATTCCATAGTAAGAATTCTACAATGTACAGATTTGAATGGAACGTAACTCAGAACAAAGCCAAACCATTCAATTACTTTACCTACTGTTAGGAAGCTGTTCCTCTAACATATTTACACTGGGAAATCAGGCTCCCATTATACTAACAGGCAACAATAAACAATCTACTTTAATAGTCAAAGTCTCTTGTTCTAATGGAAGGGGGTTCAATGAAGTTGACAATTAACTGACAACACCATGGAAACATTCCAAGCCTTTATGGTGGGAGGAAGGGATATTTGTACTGTGTAGCATGAGCAACTTTCTCCAGATTTAGTGCTACATGAAAACGAAACTATGTGAAAACAAGTTAAATTTACAATAAGAATGATTATCTGCAACCCTATTTGTTAACAATCACCACTAGCTCTTAGAAGAGAACCAATAGATTTTTATAGTCCTATAGATTTTGCCCAACAGAAGTAGCACAAGGAGATGTAAAAGTTACAGAGTACAAATGTATATATAACTAAACCTACTTCAGTACTAAACCTTTTTTTTTTTTTGAGACAGAGTCTCGCTCTGTTGTCCAGGCTGGAGTGCAGTGGCAGTCTCAGCTCACTGCAACCTCCATCTCCAGGTTCAAGCAATTCTCCTGGCTCAGCCTCCCGAGTAGCTGGGATTACAGGCGCCTGCCACCACGCCCAGCTAATTTTTTGTATTTTTAGTAGAGACGGGGTTTCACCATGTTGGCCAGGCTGGTCTTGAACTCCTGATCTCATGATTTGCCCACCTCAGCCTCCCAAAGTGCTGGGATTACAGGCGTGAGCCACCGCGCCCGGCCCAGTTACTAAACCTTCTTACTTTCAAGTTTTGTTTTTTAGACTACACCCCATCTTTATAAATCACTTGAATACATGAAAAGACTTCATGTTTAACATCTTTAATTCAAATGTAAAAGTTCAATACAAGCCATTTATAGGGCTTGAGATTTGTTGGTCTTTTAAAAACAAGAAATGGGGAAATGCAACAAAATGACCTTTCCACTTTTCAAAAGCTTTCAAGTAAAGGATAGATCATAGGGCCATAAAAGATCCATTTAATCAAACCCACTTTCACCCCCTACCAATTGTCTTACACCCATTCCACAATCTTAATACATATTCCTGAAGATTTACAGTTCAGCTTTGCTTACATAACCATTTAAAAAATACTTAGCACCAGCGTGCTTCCTATATGCCAAACAAATCATCAAACTACTTCAATATGCATTTCTTCTTTTTAAAACAAAGGGGGCAATTATTTGTAGAAAGCAATACTTAGCCTCCAGATGCATTTCCCAGAAATGGCATATGCCATTCAAAGGCCTAGACACTCTCATGCTTTCAATGTGGAATACGTAGCCTAATATGCATAGAAGCATGAATGGCAAAGTTGAAGATCAATATTATAACTATTTTTCTATTTATTTGAAGCACAGTAAAAAAAAAAAAATTGGTACACTTTGGAAATTCAGTGGCACAAGGTACACTGCCATAAACTTGAGGGACATTATACAGTAAAAAAGAAAAAATAAAGAAATAAAAAGGAAAAAAAAATTCTCCTGTTCCAAACACTGCATTACATAATTTTACCTGCCCAAACAGACCATTTACAAATATTAGGTCAATAAACTGCTAACATCCATAAAAAGATAGCTTTCTTACTAAAATGCAAGAATTTAAAAGATTGGTATCTAAACAAAAAAACAAAACAAACTGGAATGAAAGCCTAAATATCACATCTAAAATCGGGGTTTTTTGTTTGGGCCTTCGTACTCTTCTCTCCCTCTACCATATCCTGCTGGAGTTCCAGGCCCCATTCCTCTAGGACCCTGTCCACCCACAGGCCCCGCACCTCCCTGCCCAAAGCGCTCAGTACGCTATTGGAACAGTAATTAACAGTTCATTATAAGTAGTTGATGTCCATGTGTGTTAAGTAAATATTTTAGAAGGTTCCGTAGTCAACGTTCGTCGATACAATCACCAATGAGTCGATCCACAGGTACCGGGAACATAGAAAGGAAAAAAGGGTAATTTGAAAATTAGTTTACGGTAATACATGCCTTGTGGTATGTTCCCACTTGAGCCATTCTCATACACCTGTTTCAAAGAACAGATCTTCCCTGTAGTGCTAAAAAATTTAAGAATTAGTGCAGATGTGAAAATCCATTCCAAAATGAGTTCTAAGAAATTTCACATCAGATTAACCCACTGAAAAACTTGCAAACTCTCACTTTCAACGTCTGAACGGAAATTTAATTTCCAAGTAAGCCTAACAAGCCCAACCAGAGATTCAATTCACTCAATGAAGTGACAAAGACCTACTCACCAGTTAGTGGCATGTGCTGCTTAAGAAACCTTGTGCTTTTCAAGATCTTAAGACACATCTGCTAAGTTGCAGAAATCTTAAAAGGTTGAAAGTTTTAATAAAATGCTACCAGACTACAAAAAGAAAAAGCATAAGACTATAGATTTAGTCACTTAACCGGCACAGTAACTTGATCAAAAAAACTTATGTTGCCAAATTCTCACAGGCACACTACCTTCCGAGCCATCACTATATAACCAGAGACAATTACGTTCTCAGTACTATTCTATATTGTTGCAAACTAAATGAACAAACCCCACCCACCTTCATCAGTCCATCTTTTCCCTTAGGTCTTTGAAAAGTGCAGACACTTTGCTGTAATTCCATGTTTTAGACACTTCCCGAACAGTGAAACACGAAGCTAAAGTAACTGCAATAAAGCAGTGAGTGACTTCACTATTCCCATCTAGTTTTAGGTAATTCTGGAGATAGAAGTTTTCAATAGAAACATATGTGCCTAAATAGCAGACCCCTCAGGTATGCAAACACAGCAGCCTACACTTTTTCTCATTCCATTTATAATAGACCAGTTACTAAGAGTATTACTCCAAATAAAAAACTAAAAGGGCATCAGGGTTTAACTGTTCCTATACACAATTTCAACATTCTTTTAAACAAAATACTATTGAGCTACTCAACATGACTAAACTTTTATCCTTTGTTTTTCAAAATCTTATAAATTACAGGGTTTTTGGCTCATTGTTCTGTGTTCTACCTCTAAGAACTTAAAAAAAAGAAAAAGTTGGGGCTTTCATAATTATGTTAATTACACCAGCTGAGAACCCAGGAGCTATCAGCTACCTGTTATCTAGAATATAAACCTTTAATTGTGAGAACATAAGGTCAAATTAGATTTTACACATTACCTAACAATCTGTCTTTAGGAAGAATATAAACCAAAATGTTACCCACATACTCTGAAAAATCTAAAGAAAGCCCATAGTATTACATTTTACCCAACCAGCCATTTATAATTCTAACTTTAATTCCCAAAAAGTCTTAGGTAGATTATAAACAGGTGAGGCCTTATACAAAATCCTTATGTTTCTATTTATAAAATGAATCTTATGAGCTACTCACTGCAGCTCCCCTCCTTTGCCAAAAGCCTGTAGTGAACTCATCACATTCAACTCAGCTATAAAAATGCACTCTCTAAACCCACCAAAATTCAGTCCTAACGATTTGTAAAGCCCTAATGCAGCCACTCATACCAGTTCAACTGATTGTTCTAAGCATCTGACAGGCTATATTCACAGCTGAAACATGATAGCATCAAGAAGGTTCAGATCAAATGCACACCATTAGTATGCTTAAAAATTGTTGATTTTTGCTACTCTGTAGCAAAATGGAGATGTCAGTTGATTTTAGAAGGTATACCTACAGACAGGCCCAACAGGTGGGAAACGACGAGTCAAAACACTCAATTCCCTTTTCATAGGATAGAAGCCACACCAAATATAGGTCAAAGTCCTACACATCACTAAAACGTGCCTAAAGCTTCAAACTACAAGTCTGATTCCTACTTATGGCAAATACCAGCTTAAAGAATGAGTTTGCCATTTGATTATTCTCACTTGGATGTAGAATAATCAGATACATTATCTAGCATCTAGAATTTGGATTTGCCATGCACTAGAGTTCAAAAGCACCTAAATCTACTTATTGCCAAAGGTAATTCCACATAATACTAACAGCATTGACTCCTTGTTGGCAACCGTTATCTGTTTAGGTTACCACACACCGAGTTCTTCTATGTTGCCAAAGTATTCCTCAATATTACATATTTATGTATGAAATTGGTAGGGGAAACTAAAAGAGGTCCAGTCACCTACTTAAAAAAACAAAACAAAACAAAACAAACACACCTAAGTTGTGAAAATGAGAATTTCCTTGGTACTACGTCCCACAGGATACATTACCATGTCACTTCCCATCATGGAACCACTCATGGTTGCTGGTGGAACGCCAGGATTAGCTTCATAACCTATGCCACCACCACCTCCTAGAGGTGGAAATTTCTGGCCTCCTGAACCATAGGGATCTAGAAAACAAAAATAGTGGTTACAACTCCACCAGGATACTACTCTCTACTTATATCATTAATTTAAATTTCACACTTACCTCCCATGTTCATTGCTCCTCCGCCACCCATTCGCATGTCTCTTTCCCGCTGCAAGAAAAAAATTCCTTTCAATATACCTGCACTATACCCACAGCAAGCATTCTTAAGAACTGAGAAATTTTCAAGAGTTAAATAAAAAACATGGTAAAGTTCAAAAGTTCATCATGTGAATTATTTTTGAAATCAATATTCTGAAAACTAAGTTAGACTCAATTATCCAAAGACCTACAAAACTTCCTATTCAAGGCCGGGAGCAGTGGCTCACGCCTGTAATCACAGCACTTTGGAAGGCCGAGGCAGGCAGATCACCTGAGGTCAGGAGTTCAAGACCAGCCTGGCCAACAAGGCGAAACGCCATTTCTACTAAAAATACAAAAATTAGCCGAGCCTGATGGCAGGCACTTGTAATCCCACCTACTCAAGAGGCTGAGGCAGGAGAATCACTTGAACCCAGAAGGCAGATGCTGCAGTGAGCCAAGATCAAGCCACTGCACTCCAGCCTGGGTGACAAGAGCAAAACTCTCTCCAAAAAAAAAACCAAACAAACAAAAAAACAAAACAAAACAAAAAAACCAAGAAACAAAACACAAAAAAACTTCCTATTCAATTAAATCCTCTGACCCATACAAGGAAATCAAACATAATATACTTTGTTAGAAAAAAAGCAGAAAATAACTGTAATTTGATATTAAAATTTCCTGTAATTCCTTCTAGGTACCTGCAAGTTCTATAGACAACTCCAATTGGAAGGCAGTAAAGGCTGACTTACTGGATCCATGTAGCCCATTCGGCTGTAACTTTCCTCTCTTTGGCGCCTCATTTGTTCTTCCATCTCACGTTGACGAATCATCATCTCTTCCTCTCTTCTACGTCGTTCCTCCTCTTGCCTAGAAATACCCATCAGGTACATAACTGAAGTGTTATCCACATCTTTTAGAATTCAATGTGAAGAAACCTAGCAGTTGACCTAAGAACTAGGTTAGCACTAAAAAACACAAAGGCTTAGAGTGAGCCTAGGGGCATAGTACTAAAGACATTCTGGCAAATAATGTAGGCTTTATTAAGGATAATCTTACACTGTATTCGATTTTAAGTGTTAAACCAACACTGACATATTTAACCTTTGTATTTTGCCTGACTGACCTGAAAAACTAAGTACATCTTTTCCCTAAATGTCAGAATATAAATGTTAGTGCATAAGTCAAGGATTAAGGCCAGGGTTGGTAGTTCATGCCTGTAATCTCAGTACTTTAGGAGGCCAGGAGTTTGACACCAGCCTAGGCAATATAGGAAGACTCCATCTCCACAAATACAAAAAAAATTAAAAAATTAGCTGGGGGTGGTGGCCTGTGCCTCTAGTCCCAGCTACTCAGGAGGACTGCTAGAGCTGAGGAGTTTGAGACTGCAGTGAGCTATGATCATGCCACTGCACTTCAGCCTGGGCCCATCTCAAAAAAGGAAGAAAAAAAATGGCCAAGCGTGGCGGCTCATGCCTGTAATCCTAGCACTTTGGGAGGCAGAGACAGGTGGATCACTTGAGCTCAGGAGTTCAAGGCCAGCCTGGCCAACATGGCGAAACCCCGTTATCTACTACAAATACAGGAAGAATTAGCCAGGTGTCGTGGCGCATGCCTGTAATCCCAGCTGATCGGGAGGCTGAGGCAAGAGAATCGCTTGAACCCAGGAAGCGGAGGTTGTGGTGAGCTGAGACTGCACCACTGCACTCCAGCCCGGGCAACAGAATGATACGTTTCAAAGAAAAAAATAAATGAAGGCTTAAACCTTAAACACAATTTTACCTCAATTGCATTTCTTTACGTTTCTGCATTTCTTGATTGTGAAGTTCTTCCATGCGTCTTAATTCTTCCTGTCGTCTCATCAGATCTGAACATTGGAAAATATTTGGATTCACATTAACAAGGTTCTAATAAGGTGAAAAACAATTGACCTTAGCAATGATGTTCACGCACAGGTCTTTTTACCTTGGCGCAAAAGATTTGCCTGATGTTCATGATAGGCATCTTCCATTTCACTTTCCAATTTGTCTTTTGCATCTTTCATGTTTTTTTCAACTTGTTCCCTTTGCTGTTTTTCCATTTCATCCAAAGACTTCCATCGCTGAGAATATTCGTACTCAAACGTGCCATGCTGGGCAAAACGAGGAGGGGTTTCTCTCTCCCTAACAATACACAAAATTTTAACATGAACCGATTTGTGAATGCATACCAGAAAATACTTGCCCTAGTACTGATCTTTTTCCTGTTCTATTTCTTGTAAAGAGTACAAAAGGCAAAAATTTTCCTGATTCATCTATAAATATCTTCACAGCAAAAATACTCAGAACACTCAGTAAAAGAATGCAGGCACTGGAGATAAATCCTACCTTCCTCGTTTTCTAATTGTTTTCCTCTAGCCAAATTCCTTACCGAGGCTTATTTTTTCCACCCATAAAAATGTACTGTAGGCCACACGCGGTGGCTCACCCCTGTAATCCCTGCACTTTGAGAGGCCAAGGCAGGTGGATCACCTGAGGTCATGAGTTTAAGACCCATCTGGCCAACATGATGAAACCCCGTCTCCACTAAATATACAAAAAATTAGCTGGGCATGGTGGCAGGCACCTGTAATCCCAGCTATTCTGGAACCCTGAGGCAGGAGAATCACTTGAACCCGGGAGGCAAAGATTGCAGTGAGCTGAAATCACACCACTGCACTCCAGCCTGGGAAACAACAGCGAAACTCCAGCTCAAAAACAAAACAAAAAAAAACGTACTTCAGCCAGGCACGGTGCATCATGCCTGTATCCCAGCACTTTGAGAGGCCGAGGTGGGCGACTCACCTGAGGTCAGGAGTTCGAGATCAGCCTAGTCAACATGGTGAAAGCCCATCTCTACTAAAAATAGAAAACGAGCCAGGCATGGTGGCACATGCCTGTAATCCCAGCTACCTGGGAGGCTGAGGCAGGAGAATCGCTTGAACCTGGGAGGCAGAGGTTGCAGAGAGCTGAGGTCATGCCACTGCACTCTGGCCTGGGCAACAGAGACTCAGTCACACACGTGACTTTATGCCATTATTGCAGGGACAAAACAGGACTGCATGTGAATGTATCCACCTTAGAAGCAAACAGCTATCTGAATAACAGCTTCAAATCTTTCTCAGCCTGAGATTTTTTACTAATAAGCATATCCACATCAAATAATTTTGCATATTTTAAGCAAAATTGGAAAATCACTAAAATAAATTTAACCTTTACACTTGATTTAAAAACTGCCAAAAAAGTTTAATCAATCTTACTTTTGATACATTGGATTCTTCTGGGCAAGTTTTTCAGGAAGACCATCTTCATCATCTAGTTGTTCAAGTGGTTCCACAATGACTGGACGAGGAGTTCTAATAACAAAAATGGTTCCATCTTAGCTTTGTTCCAGTTTTATTGCCACCATTCTCATATAAGTTGATAGAAATTATTAGAATAAACAAGACAACTTACGTCGTCAGTAAGAAAACACCTTCACTGCATCGTTCAAATGCCTTTCTTGCTGCTGGCTTAGAAGCAAATTCAACAATGCCTTTCCCTGTAGATCTTCCACGATCATCCACTATTACAACAGCCCTTTCAATAGGACCAAATTGGCTAAAGGCTTCTTCCAACAGTTCATTGGAAACATAAGGTGAAAGATTACGAACAGAAAGGGCAGCAGCATGTGTGGCAAAGCGAACTCGAAGCTGTCTACCTCTCATGGGTGTATCATCCAGTTCGGCTTTGGCAATTTCAGCCAAAGCTCTAGATTCCTGTGTATCAGAGACACTCATGTTAATGACCTCAAAATTGGATGATGTCTACTCTTAAATTGTCATAGGCCTACTTCCTACTCCCTTTCTTCCTTCAGCTCAGTTCGACCATTACCTTTAGGCAGCACCCACTAACACCACTTAGTTTACCCACCCCACCCCTCTTTTCTCTTAGGTAGCAACAATTATGCATTATACCGCAAGCATTTTTCCTGTAAGAATGGTGAAAAATCTAAAAGATCAATTTATCCTCCCCAGTTTAAAAACCAAGCCTTCAGCGTTTGTAGTGACAAAAAAATCCCCCACCCTTTTTAATTCTACGTAAAATCAAACAATTACACTCACAAGCTTAATAAATCCGAATCCTTTGCCTTTGTTGATAAAAACTTCTCCTGGTTCTCCATATTTAGCAAATAGTCTTTTGAATTCATCCTCCGTGATATCAGCAGGTAGATTCCCAACAAACAACCGACATCGCTGTGTGTAAGTTTTCTCTCCAGGCCTCCTCAAGAGAGACAAATTGGCTTTAAACCCCTAATGAAAAAGGAAAGAAGTTTTCAAACACCAGAGACCTCTGCAAGTGAAAATCCCCAAGATAGTATTTGCTTATCTGAAACCTATCAGTTGCCTTTCTGTTCCGTTTGGTCAAAATCAAGGTTTTACTATGTGAGATTTCTAACATGAGCACTATCTTAACATTGAAAAAGGAGCCCCATCATCCAGAATGTTCGAGAATAGACACACTTCCCCAAAGAGTAGACGTCCATCAGCAACTGTCACCCACATATGTTGAGTGTCCCTAAAAAAATCTAAATAGTATGAAAATTAAAATAGGAAAATAACACAAATCCAAATGCCACTGTAACCTACACGATCTGCGCCTGCGCTTTTATGGAACTTCCCGGTTCTCTCCAAACCTACGCCGCATGCTCTGCATTACGCCAGTCCCAGGGACAGGATACCTTCTGCAGGGCCGACCACCGCGGCCCCGCGCTTCCTTCCGAAAGGAAACCTCCCCTAGCCTTCCGCCCGCCGGGAGAGCAAGGCCCGGCGGCGGCCAATCCCCCGCCGACCGACGGCCCCGCAGGCCGCCCCGCCCCCGCAGCGGCGCGCGCAAGCGCCCCTTCCGGCAGCCGACAAAATGGAAGCCCAGCGCGGGGGCGGGGGCGAGGAGGGGGCCGCCGCCATCTTAGGGGAGCCGACGCGTCGCTCCCATAGACACTCACCTCCGAGTCCGAGATCTTCTCCTCGCTGCGGCCGCCGGGCCCGCCGGGCGGGGGCCCCTGGTGATGCTGCTGGTGGTAGGGCGGGTGGTGCTGGCGGCCCCCGCGGGGCTCCCCGCCGCCTCGATGCGGCGGCTTGGGGTGGCCGCCAGGCGTACTTAGGCCCGGGCCGCCACCTGGCTTCGGCCCGCCAGGCATTTTGCCGCCTTTGGGACCACCCGGACCTGGGCCCTGCTTAGGCCCTGGACCCGGGCCCGGGACTGCCGCGGGCGGAGGCGGCGGGCCTCCGGCCTGAGGAGGTGTGGTAGGGACCCCGCTGCTTGGCGGGGTGGGTGGCGGCGCCCCGGGAGGGGCCGAGGTGACTGCAGGCGGCGGGGTCGGAGTCGGGCCTGGCCCGGACCCTGGCGGGGCCCCCGAGGTTGGTGGAGTGGCGGGCGGGGCCGAGCTGGAGGCTGGTGGTGCGCTGCCTACTCCGGGAGCGGGGCCGGGTCCCTGAGCAACGACGGGCTTGGAAGAGTCCTGCGGCGGTGGCGGCGGCTGCTGCTGCTGATGCGGCTGTGGATGCGGCGGCGGCTGATGCGGTGGCGGCTGCTGCGGCGGTGGCTGCTGCGGTGGTGGCTGTTGCTGCTGTTGGTGTGGAGGCGGTGGCGGGATCGGAGGCTTAGGGCCGCTCTGGCCCGGGCCAGGACCCATGGGGCCGCGATTCTGATTGAGGCCCATGCCGGGCGGCGGAGAACGGAAGTCGTGGAGGCCGCCGCGGCCGCCGCCTCCTCCACGCCTGTGGAAGCCACCACCGCCACCGCCACGACTCCGGAACCGATCCCGAGACATGTCTGTGGTCAAGGGGCGGTCGAGGCAAAAGCGAAGAAGACGCTCAGGAAACGTGGAGGCCACCTTGCTTCTCACAAAATGGCGGATGACACAGGCGGCGCGCCGCCTTTGTCCTCGTCTTATATAGGCCAGCTGGCACGGCCCCGCCTACTCCACGATCGACAGCTCCAATAGCCAATTGCAATTACTATGCTTGATGACACTAAGTTGCGAACCTCTGATCATTCCTATTGGCCCCTGGGTGAGAGGCGGGAGGCATGGGGGGACTGAAGTTTCCAGTTGGCCAGTGAGCGAAGAAGGCGTTGGCTGTAGGCCACTATGATTTGCTAGGAGAAATTTGAATGGGTATGCCAGGGCAATTTTCACTTGCGAGCAAATAACCAGGGCTCTATCCGCTCCTGCAGAGAAGCGTTGGAGGTCTCTTTTCTTTCTTGATTGTCCCTAGGAGCAATCTACTGATATCCTTGCCCAGAAAAACAGATGTTTTCCGATTCAAAATCAGAAATTGAGTGCCTGCTGTCTACCCTACCTCGTGCCAACTCAATGAAAGTAGAGAAGTAAAATCTTACCGATTTCAAACATACGCAGTCTTAACTGATTTCATTATGGAACCTCATAGGAATACAGATTTATTGTAGCAGCATAAACTTTTCAATAGGCTTCTGTGGGTGCGCGCTTTGTTCAAAAAGAGCCCTTGTGTGTATGTGTGTATATATACACGTTTACAAACACCAATCACAGGAGGAATGTAAATATTCCACTCAACACTTTACGAACAGACTAAGGTACTTTTAAAAAATTACAATGTTAGGCTGGGCACTGTGGCTCACGCCTGTAATCCTAGCACTTTGGGACACCGAGTCGGGCAGATCACCTGAGGTCAGGAGTTCTAGACCAGCCTGGCCAACATGGCGAAACCCCGTCTTTACTAAAAAATACAAAAATTTGGCTGGGTGGGGTGGCTGACGCCTGTAATCCCAGCACTTACTTTGGGCGCCGAGGTGGGTGGATCACGAGGTCAGGAATTCGATACCAGCCTGGCCAATATGGTGAAACCCCGTCTCTACTAAAAATACAAAAATTAGCTGGGCGTGGTGGTGCACGTCTGTAGTCCCAGCTACTCGGGAGGCTGAGGCAGGAGAATTGCTTGAACCCGGGAGGCAGAGGTTGCAGTGAGCCGAGATTGTGCCACTGCACTCCAGCCTGGGCGACAGAGCAAGACTCAGTCTCAAAAAAAAAAAAAAAAAATTGCTGAGCTTGATAGTGCACACCTATAATCCCAGCCACCTGGGAGGCTGAGGCAGGAGAATTGCTTGAGCCCAGGAGGCGGAGGTTGCAGTGAGCCGAGATCGCGCTATTGCACTCCAGCCTGGGCGACAAGTGCCAGACTGTCTCAAAAAAAAAAAAAAAAAAAAATTACAATGTTACAATGTCTATAGGGTATTAACCAGTCAGATGCATCAATTATTTTTCTCTTATTTTCTTTGACACAGAGTCTTATTTTTTTTGACACAGAGTCTCGCTCTGTTGCCCAGGCTGGAGAGCAGTGGCACTATCTCAGCTCACTGCAACCTCTGCCTCCCAGGTTCAAGTGATTCTCCTGCCTCAGCCTTCCGAGTAGCTGGGACCACAGGCGCGAGCCATCATACCCAGCCAATTTTTGTATTTTTAGTAGAGACAGGGTTTTGCCATGTTGGCCAGGCTGGTTTCAAACTCCTGACCTCAAGTGATCCACCCACCTAGGCCTCCCAAAGTGCTGGGATTATGGGAGTGAGCAACCACGCCCAGCCTGTATTTCACAATCTCCAGTTTCTTTGAGGTCCACAGACCTTTTGCGGAATAATTCCTCCCTCAACATTAGCTCATAGCTTCTATCTTCTTTTCTGCATCTAACTCTCTTCATTCAAGATCCAGGCGGGACCGGGTGCGGTGGCTCACGGCTGTAATCCCAACACTTTGGGACCCAAGGCTGAGGCAGTAGGGTCACTTGAGGTCAGGAGTTCGAGACCAGCCTGTCCAACATGACAAAACCCCCTCTCTAGTAAAGATACAAAAATTAGCAGGGCGTGGTGGCATGCACCTGTAATCCCAGCTACTCGGGAGGCCGAGGCAGGAGAATCGCTTGAACCCAGGAGGCAGAGATTGCAGTGAGCCGAGATCACACCATTGCACTCCAGCCTGGGCACAGAGTGAGACTCCGTCTCATAAAAACCAAAAAAAGATCCAGGCAGATGACCCACCCAACACCCTAATGGCTCAGTTCCTTACCTCCTCCATTAGTATTTTCTTCTACCCTGTATCACCATCCAGTCTCCCATCCTCCCCTCATCACACTCACTCCTGATTGTTATTACCAGTAACTGCACTATCTCTGAAATCTTTAGTTCAAGCATGCCTCTTACTGATCATCCCTTTTCTTTCTGACTCACATAACATAGTAACCTCATGATTCCTTTCATTATTTTTTTTTTTTTGAGACGGAGTCTCGCTCTGTCACCCAGGCTGCAGTGCAGTGGTGCAATCTCGGCTCACTGCAACCTCCACCTCCCAGGTTCAAGCTATTCTGCTGCCTCAGCCTCCCGAGTAGCTGGGACTACAGGCACGTGCCATCACGCCCGGCTAATTTTTTTATTTTTAATAGAGGCGGGGGTTTCACCATATTGGCCAGGCTGGTCTTGAAATCCTGACCTCAGATGATCCACCCGCCTCAGCCTCCCAAAGTGCTAGGATTACGGATGTGAGCCACCATGCCCTGCCCCTCTCCTCATATTTCTTTGAGAATATAACAGTCATCGGAGAGGAACTTTCCAACCCAACTGGAAAAGCCATGAGCCTACTTAAATTTGCCTTGTCTTTTTAAATCTTTTTCCCTGATACCACGAAAAATGTGTCTTTGCCCTTATCAAAGGGCAAACCCATGGCTGGTCTGAGTGCGGCGGTGTTTACAACTAATTGATCACAACCAGTTACAGATTTATTTGTTCCTTCTCCATTCCCACTTGACTGGCACTATTTAAAAAAAAAAAAAAAGCAAATCCTCTTCTTGTGCTATGGATTCCATCTACACAAGCCTTCACCAGAATTTTTCTTTAGTCTATCAATTACTTCTATTGAATCATCACCATCCCGTTTCTTTTATGCTATCTCATCTTTGCTCCTTTTTGTAACAAAACTTTTTTTTTTTTTTTTTTTGCGACAGAGTCTCACTCTGTCTCAAAAAATCCTGGCTGGAGTGCAGTGGCATCAGCTTGCCTCACTGCAACCTCCGCCTCCTGGGTTCAAGTGATTCTCCTGCCTCAGCCTCCTGAATAGATGGGACCACAGGCACGTGCCACCATGCCTGGCTAATTTTTGTATTTTTAGTAGAAATAGGGTTTCATCGTATGGCCAGGCTGGTCTCAAACTCCTGACCTCATGATCCGCCTGCCTCAGCATCCCAAAGTGCTGGGATTACAGGCATAAGCCACCACGCCTGGCTTTTTTTTTTTTTTTTTTTTTTGAGACGGAGCCTTGCTCTATACCCCAGGCTGGAGTGCAGTGGCCGATCTTGGCTCACTGCAACTTCTGCCTTTTGGGTTCAAGCGATTCTCCTACTTCAGCCTCCTGAGTAGCTGGGATTACAGGCATGTGCCACCATACCCAGCTAATTTTTTTTTTGTATTTTTAACAGAGACAGGGTTTTGCTATGTTGGCCTGGCTGGTCTCAAACTCCTGGCCTCAAGTGATCCACCCGCCTAAGCCTCCTGAAGTGCTAGGGTTATGGGGGTGAGCCACCGCACCCGGCCATGTTTGTAACAACACTTTTAAAACAAGTTGTCTACACTCACAGTCTCCATTTCCTCACTTCTCTTTCCTCTTCAATCCACCCCAGTCTGTCCACACTACTCCTCCTAAACTGTTGGGGAGGATACCAATGATTTCCATGTTGCCAAATCCAGTAAACACTTATCTATAGTCATCTTTTTTTTACCTGTTAGCAACATTCAACATATATAGTAATCTGTCTTTTTTGAAGCACTTTTTCTTCACTGGCATTCTGTGACACCACACTCAGGATTTTTCTCTTCCTGCCTCACTGATCATCCCATTTCCTCCTTGTAGGACCTCCAAACATTGAAATATTTTAGGACTCAGTTCTCGCCGGGCGCAGTGGCTCACGCCTGTAATCCCACTACTTTGGGAGGCCGAGGCAGGCGGATCACGAGGTCAGGAGATCGAGACCTTCCTGGCCAACACGGTGAAACCTCGTCTCTACTAAAAATACAAAAACTTAGCCAGACGTGATGGCGGGCGCTTGTAGTCCCAGGTACTTGGGAGGCTGAGGCAGAAGAATGACGTGAACCTGGGAGGCGGAGCTTGCAGAGCCGAGATCGCGCCACTGCACTCCAGCCTGGGCGACAGAGCGAGATTCCGTCTCAAAAAAAAAAAAAAAAAAGGACCCAGTTCTGAGATATCCAGCTGTTTATTAGACATAGCCGCCTGGAGACTACTTAGTTGATGTATCAGATTTTTTTTTTTTTTTTTTTTGAGACGGAGTCTCACCCTGTCGCCCAGGCTGGAATGCAGTGGCGTGATCTCCGCTCACTGAAACCTCCACCTCATGGGTTCAAGTGATTCTCCTGCCTCAGCCTCCCGAGTAGCTGGGACTACAGGCACGTGCCACCACGCTAATTTTTTTTTTTTTTTAATAGAGACGGGTTTTTGCCGTGTCGGCTAGGCTGGTCTCAAACTCCTGACCTCGAACAGCCTCCCAAAGTGCTGGAATTACAGGCATGAGCCACAGCATGCAGCCTGTTTCTTCACTTGTCTATTGTCTGTCTCCTCTGTTGGACTGAAACTCTGAGTTCTTTAAGGCTGTATCACTGGCACCTAAAACAGACACTAGCACAGAGATAATAAACATTTGTTGAGTGAATGAATAAATAAAAGCATAATGGTGAAGAACAGGCTGTTTCCATCTGAGCAGGGTATTGTTCCAAGATCTTTCACTTTTCTGACACACTTGCTTTTTGGGGACATTGTAAGGATTGTGTGAAATGTTTAGTACTTTCTAAGTGCTCAGTAAAGCCAGGTGCACTGGTTTGAGCCTGTAATTGAGCTCCTGGTCTCGAACTCCTGACCTCAAGTGATCCTCCCACCTCACCCTCCCAAAGTGTTGGGAATACAGGCATGAGCCACTACGTCTGACCGATATATCAGATTTAATATGTCCAACTTGGAGCTATTGATTTTATCAACTGAACCTATTCCTTCCCTCAAACTCTCCCAGCATAGTAAATAGTACCACCTGGTTGTTCAAAACAAAAACCTAGAATTGGTCCTCTTTATAAAAATCCAAAGATTGGTTCTACCTCCAAAGTATATCTTGAATCCTCCCCCTCTACCACTACATCCTAATCTTCTCCATCTCTATGTCTCACGTAAAGTCCTGCAACCACTAATATTTCGGTCTTCTGATCCATTCTTCACATGGCAGCTAGAGTGTTATTTGTTTATTTATCTATTTATTTTTTCTTTTTGAGATGGAGTCTCACTCTGTCACCTAGGCTGGAGTGCAATAGAGCGATCTCAGCTCACTCAAAAAAAAAAAATCAAATAATGTAATTTGTTTCCCCTATTTAAAGGCCCTCAATGGCTTCCCATTGTTGTTAGAATAAAATCCAAATACCTTAGCAAGGTCTACACGTCCTGACTTGGTCTGACCCCTGCCTGCCTTCCCAGTCTTACCTCCCTAATTCCCTACTCTATTTGCACTAAGCCCTAGCTATTTTTTTTTTTTTTTTTTTTTTTTTTTTTTTTTTTTTTTCTGAGATGGAGTCTCACTCTGTCGCCCAGGCTGGAGTGCAGTGGCACGACCTCGGTTCACTGCAAGCTCCGCCTCCCGGGTTCACGCCATTCTCCTGCCTCAGCCTCACAAGTAGCTGGGACTACAGGTACCCACCAGCACGCCCAGCTAATTTTTTGTATTTTTAGTAGAAACAGGGTTTCACCGCGTTAGCCAGGATGGACTTGATCTCCTGACCTTGTGATCTGCCCGCCTCGGCCTCCCAAAGTGCTGGGATTACAGGCGTGAGCCACCGGCGCTAGCTATTCTTAAGATTTATCAAGTTACTTTACCTGTATGTTTTGCCTCAGGGCATTTGCACTTGCTCTTTACTCAGCCTGCAGTGTTCTCCCCACTCGCCCCGCCCCGGCTCTTTGCACAGATATCTTTTCTTAATCTTTTTTTTTCCTTCGCTGCTTTATGGAATGATCTCTTCATCCTTCTATCTGAGCTTGAAAATCACCTCAGAGAAGTCTTCTGTGCTCATCATCACATCCAAAGTAGGCTCCTCCTCTCTGTTATAACATCCTGTATGTAATATACATTATAGCTGTCTTCACAACTTGTGTTTTCTTGTTTATTTCTTTTTTCTCTTTCTTTTTTCTTTTTTTTCTTTTTTTTTTTTTTTTTTTTTTGAGACAGATTCTCACTGTGTCACCCAGGCTGGAGTGCAGTGGCACGATCTTGGCTCACACACCCAGCTAATTTTTGTATTTTTAGTGGAAATGGGATTTCACCATGTTGGCCAGGCTGATCTCAAACTCCTGACCTTAAGTGACCTGCCAGCCTCAGCCTCCCAAAGTGCTGGAATTACAGGCATGAGCCACCGCATGCAGCCTATTTCTTCATTTGTCCATTGTCTGTCTCCTCTGTTGGACTGAAACTCTGACTTCTTTAAGGCTGTATCACTGGCACCTAAAACAGACACTAGCACAGAAATAAACATTTGTTGAGTGAATGAATAAATAAAAGCATAATGGTGAAGAACAGGCTGTTTCCATCTGAGCAGGGTATTGTCCCAAGATCTTTCACTTTTCTGACACACTTGCTTTTTGGGGACATTGTGAGGATCGTGTGAAGTGTTTAGTACTTTCTAAGTGCTCAGTAAAGCCAGGTGCACTGGTTTGAGCCTGTAATCCCAGCTATTCAAAAGGCTGAGACAGGAGGACCACTTCAGGCCAGGAGTTTGAGACCAGCCTGGGCAACATAGCAAGACCCCATATCTAAAAAAGTAATAAGAAGAAGTTATCTGGGCGTGGTGGCAGGTGCCTGTAGTCCTAGCTACTTGGGAGACTGAAGTGGAGGGATCTCTTGAAGCCAGGACCCAGGAGTTGGAGGTTGCAGTGAGTTGTGATGGTGCCACTAAACTCTATCCTGGGTGACAGAGCAAGATTCTGTCTCTAAATAAAAGTTAAAAGTTTGGTATGTGTACCAAAAGAGTAATTATTTAATACTGTGAGTAATATCTACTTCAAATAATAGCCAGTATCAAAATAGCCAAAATCAACTGATCATTTAGTTTATGCCATACAATGTAGTAAATACTTAATATTGAATTGTGTTTTTGTTTTTGGTATTGTTTTGTTTTGTTTTGTTTTGTTGAGATGGAGTCTTGCTCTGTCGCCCAGGCTGGAGTGCAGTATTGCGATCTTGGCTCACTGCAACCTCCGCCTCCTGGGTTCAAGCAATTCTCCTGCCTCAGCCTCCCAAGTACCTGGGACTACAGGTACCTACCACCAGGCCCACCTAATTTTTGTATTTTTAGTAGAGACAGGGTTTCATCATGTTGGCCAGGCTGGTCTCGAACTCCTGACATCAGGTGATCCACCCACCTTGGCCTCCCAAAGTGCTGGGATTATAGCCGTGAGCCACTGTACTCGGCCTTAATATTGAATTCTTATTACAACTCTGAGATTTATAGTATTATTTGCTCATCTTTCAGATTAAAAAACCACCATTACTGTAATCCAAGGTAACATTATTCTTTCTCTCTCTTTTTTATTTCTTGAGAGGTGGAGTCTCATTATGTTGCCCAGGCTGGTCTCAAACTTCTGTGCTCAAGTGATCCTCCCACCTCAGCCTCCTGAGTCTACAGGCACAGGTCACTATGCCCAGCCAAGCTAACGTTGTTTTATTACATCCAGGATACACACTGGAAACTAACAATGTAACATGATTTCTCACCTAGACTTCTGCAAAAGCTTTCTGACTGGTCATCCCAATTGCCTTCCTCCTTCCTATTTTCCAGGCAGCAAGCAAATTATCATTTTTAAAGGCAAATCTGATGCTTCAGTTCCCCTCTTTTAAATTCCTTATTGTCTTCCTATTGCCCTTAGGAGAAAAAACAACCTCCTTAACTCCTATGATGTCCCTCCATTCCCTGGCCATCGCATTCCTCCCCAGCCTCATCCCTGACTCCTGAATTCTTTGCTGTAGTCACACTGACTGCCTTTAGTTCTTTTAACTTCTCACGTTCTCACCTGAAATAGTATCTTCCTGGTCACCGTCTCCCTCCTTTATGGTTAGCTCTTATCCATCTTTCAGGACTTGACTTACACTTGCCCTTCTCTGGAGGCCTTCTGTGACCCCAAGGACCAAGTTGCTGCATTTCATTAGCATCCTGTACTTTCACTCCTATAGTATTCATCCCACTTTATTATAGAGACTTGCAAAATTGTACACTTTAGCCTGTAAGATCATGAGGACAATGACTGAGATTCTCTTTTAAGCACCAAATCCTCAGGGCCTAGTGCTGTGATACTCTATATTTGAACAAATGAATAAGTGAATGAGCCCATTAATCTTTCCTTTTCTGAACCATTGAAGAATGTCCTCAACATAAATGACAAATTTCAGATATTAAACACAACTCTGTAGTTCACATCTGTGGTCAATTATCATGCCTGAATAATATGTAGAACAATCTTTACCTTGTAATACTCTGAATGTGGGTGAACTTACAGTTCAAACACTATAATTACAATAAAATGAAAATTATAATTATCCTCTTGTTTGAGTATTTATAAGGCCTAGAAGGGTAGGGGATGGAAATAATATGCTTGATGAAACACGCTGCCGCTCTCTAATGAATATTAATTCAATTGACTAAATTTACATCTTCAGCTGTCCCCCAGGGCTTGAGAAACCATGTTGGTCAGCAGGTGTTAATTTAGCTTCGTAGTTCTCTTTTCCAACTTTGAAGAGGCTATTCAGTTTTCAGATCTATCAGCGCTTGTCTCTGAGGCTTCATGCACACAATAGAGAGCTCAAATTATTTTGCTGGGGGCAGAAAAGGAGAGCTAAAAGAAGGACATCTAAGCTCCTCAAATGCACACTGCCTCCCCCAAGGAAGTGGCTCTTAGATGAGCCCAACTGGCAAACTCTAACCGTGCAGTAAAACCCTCACCACTAGGTGTCTCAGTGGCTGTGCCACTTCCTCCATCTCCTTGGAAAGCAAATAGCGGCATACACTCCATTACTCTATTGTTATTGAGCCTCCAAGCAAAGAACCTTTTGGAAGGGTTGATTTCAATACCTGGGTAAATTTTCCAGTAGATCTAATCAGTATCTAGATTGCCTCTCTTAATGAGAGAAACATTGGATTAACTGCAGTGTCTTCCTCTGTTACTGCCTTCCTTTATTTAGGGAAAACGTGCTCTGTTTGTAGTACCTTTATTTATTTAATTATTTCTCCATCTAATTTATTTCTTTATTGTGTTGGGGGATGGGGAGAGGTCTTCCTTAGTCATGATGAGCGACCCCATATTCATCACCTGTCACCCCCACACTGAACTAAATATCTTTCCAGGTTTTTTCCACACAGTTACTTTAGTCTTGAAGGCATTTATTTTCAGCTGCCCCTAAGTTTACCACTTGAACTGATTTTAAAGGTAAAAAAAAAAAAAATGGAGTTTAAAGACTCATCAAATGGAGGAAGATAGCTCAGAGGTAGGTATAAATTTTTACCATAAGTGTACTTCAGAAATTAATGAGAAAGGAAAGAAATATTCAACAAATGGTATTAGAGTATTTAATTTGCTATATATGTATATATATGTATATATATGTATATATGTATATATATGTATATATGTATATATATGTATATATGTATATATGTATATATGTATATATATGTGTATATATATGTATATATGTATATATATATAATCAAACTGATTCTAGATGGATAAAAGAAATATGTGTATTTTTTAAACAAACCCAGAAAGAATGAGAAGAAAATAGAAGTGAATATCAGATCTTTGTCAGGAAGGGCAATTTTTAAGATTTACTCTGATAGAATAAATCACAAAACAAAATATTAGTAAATTTCCCTGCATGAAGATTAGAAACCACCAGGTTAAAAACCAAGACGATAATAAAAATTAAAAGTTAAATTGAAAAAATAATTGCAAGAAAAAATTATAATAAGTGGTTAATATCTTTCCTATGTAAAGGATGTGTACAATTTTATAAGAAAAATAATCAAGATCCCAATTAATAGCCAAAATAAATGAACTAACACATGGAAAATATTCATCCTCTGATGATAATTACAGAACTAGAAATAAAAATGAGAGACTATTTTTCATCTAAGTTAACACAAATTTAAACAGCCACTACTGACATAATTCTTTTGAAAAATAATTTGGCAAATTCATTTTCTCCCTCTCTCTCTCCTTTTCCCTCCCCCTCTCCCTCCCTCTCTGCATCCTCCCCGCTTTCATTCATTCATTTATTTAACAAATACCCTCTGTGTGCCTGCCAGGTGCTGGAATCTAGCCTAAATTCTAAATACAGAAAAATTTTATGTATAAATTTGTTCATCTCCACATGATTACTAATAGCATTAAATCAAAAACATCCTACATTGTCTACATTGTCATCCAGAGGCAAGGTCTTCTTTTGCTTAAGACAATCTTAGTTTATGTTTGATATCCCAGTATAATTAATAAATAGTGCCCCCCCCCCCCCCCACTAAGACAGCTTTCTGGCTGATAGCAGTCAAGTATCTTGAGGAAGGGCCAGTTTTTCTAATTTGTACAAAAGCACCATTGGGATTAGCCACTGTCCATTAAGTTACTAAGGTTGGATGATTTCTGGTTTCCTATTTTTCTGCAATTTCTAGATTTTCTAAAATGGATTTTACGTGTGTGGGCTTTACGTGCATTAACTCATTTAATTTTCACAACCCCGTAATTATTTATTTTTCTTATTTCACCCCCTTTTTTTAAGATAAGGGATTAAGTCACCGAGAGTCACATAGTTATGAAGTGATAGAACCAAGATTTACACCTGCATAGTCCATATCCAGACCTTTAAACAGCAAGTTATCCTGTCCATAGGGATAACTATATCCAGTTGGACTTCTTATTCATTTATGGGGGGATAAAGATTACCTATGCTCACAAATGTTATTTGGAAAGTACATACAAATAGTAGCCCCAAAATGTGTCTATCTCTTACAAACAAAATATGTTCTCTTAAGTCCACTAATTATAAATACATTGTAAATACAGTAATTGAAAATAAAATGCAAGAATTCATTAACAAATAAAATGGAAGAATCCCAAATACCCAATTATGAATTATCTTTTTGATGTATAGTTATATCTGTTTAAATTTCTTTTTATTGGCCAGGCGTGGTGGCTCATGCCTGTAATCCCAGCATTTTGGGAGGTGGATCACTTGAGGTCAGGAGTCCAAGACCAGCCTGGCCAACATGGTGAAACCTCGTCTCTACTAAAAATTTAAAAAAACAGCCAGGTGTGGTGGCGCACGCCTGTAATCACAGCTACTTGGGAGGCTGAGGAGGAGAATTGTTTGAACCTGGGAGGCAGAGGTTACAGTGAGCTGAGATCCAGCCACCGCACTCCAGCCTGGGGAACACAGCGGGACTCTATCTCAAAAAAATAAATTAATAAAAACTTATTTATATTTATTTTTTTATTTATTTATTTCACTCTGGGCTCATTTCTCGATCTGTTTAAATTTCAACATATGAGGCTGGGCGCAGTGGCTCATTCCTGTAATACCAGCACTTTGGGAGGCTGAGGTGGGCGGATCACCTGAGGTCAGGAGTTGCAGACCAGCCTGGCCAACATGGTGAAACCCTGTCTCTACTAAAAATACAAAAATGAGCTGGGTATGTGGCACAGGCCTGTAATCCCAACTATTCAGGAGGCTGAGGCAGGAGAATCTCTTGAGCCCAGGAGGCAGAGATTGCAGTGAGCTGAGATCGTGCCACTGTACTCCAGCCTGGGTGACAGATCATGGCTCATTACAACCTCTGCCTGCCAGGTTCAAGCGATTCTCCTGCCTCAGTCTCCTGAGTAGCTGGAACTACAGGCGTGTGCCACCATGCCCTGCTGATTTTTTGTATTTTTAGTAGAGACAGCGTTTCACCATGTTGGCCAGGCTGGTCTCAAATTCCTGACCTCAGGTGATCCACCCGCCTTGGTCTCCCAAAGTGCTGGGATTACAGGCGTGAGCCACCATGCTTGGGCCACATACCACTTTTAAATGGATTGATGGAAAAATAATATTTTTTGTAGGTCATGTGTGGTGGCTCATGCCTGTAATCCTAGCACTTTGGGAGGCTGAAGCAGGTGGATCGCTTGAAGCCAGTTCAAGACCAACCTGGGCAACATGGCGAAACCCCTATCTCTACAAAAAATACAAAATTTAACCGAGAGTCATGGCATGTGCCTGTAGTCCCAGCTACTGGGGAGGCTGAGGTGGGAGGCTTGCTTTAAGACAGGAGAGCCCCCTGGACCACTTCACAGGACTTGCAACAGGAGTGTGGCTCACTTACTCGGCTGCCATCCTGAAACCCTTTGTGGGAGGGGGAGCATGCAGGCAAGTGGGTGCTGGGGCTCTGACGAGAGCTTTTGGGCTCCATCTCCATGGTAGCATCTAAGGGTATGCTACAATTAATGTTCTTTTAGCAGTTTCTGTCTGCAGACAGCTAAGTGTTAACCAGCTCAGTGGAGAGTCAGGGTGACAGCCTTTTACACCTTTCCTTCTTGGTACCCAGGTCCTTTTCTGGTGCCCAAGAAGAATCTGGCCACATGGACTTGAAGGATGGTGAATGTGGAGGTTTCATTGAGTGATAGAGGTGGCTGTCAGTGGGACAGGGAGCTAGAAAGGGTGTGGAGTGGGAAAATAATCTTCCCCTGGATTTCAGCCATCCCCAGCTGACCTCCTTTCTGATAGTCCAGCTGTCTCTTCAACATTCAGACGCTTCTTCTCTTCTCTCCTTCTCTGCCATGCTACTCTGCTCCTCTGCCAGTGGAGTTTGGGGTTTTTATGCATACAGGATGGTGGGCATGGCAAGCCAGGGTGGTTTTGGAAAAAGCAACGTGTGGGTGGGAAAAGAGAGATGTAAAGCTCTTATTTAGGGCTGCAGCCCCAGGCTTGTGGGTGGGGCTTTTGCGGGGAACCACCCTCTTCTACCCAGTATTTCCCTGCCTCTGGTCCATATCAACATGACCCCAAGAGGTTGAGGCTGCAGTGAGCCAAGATCACACCACTGCACTCCAGCCTGGGTAACACAGTGAGACCCTGTCTCAAAATACACACACACACACACACACACATACACACACACATATATATACATACACACAAATATATATATAGATGTTTTTGTTACATGATTTATTGAAATTAAACATGTATCACTAATTAAATGGGCAAGTGTAAAAAATTACAGTTTATGAGTGTTATTAAAGATTTATAAATACAGGCCAGGCACAGTGGCTTGCGTCTGTAATCCTAGCACTTTGGAAGGCAGAGGTGGGCAGATTAACTGAGGTCAGGAGTTCAAGACCATTCTGGCCAACATGGTGAAACCCCGTCTCTACTAAAAATACAAGAGTTAGCCAGGCGTGGTGGTGCATGCCTGTAATCCCAGCGACTTGGGAGGCTGAGGCAAAAGAACTGCTTGATCCCGGGAGGCGGAAGTTGCAGTGAGCTGAGATGGCACCACTGCACTCCAGCCTGGGTGATAAAGCAAAACTCTAGTTCAAAAAAAAAAAAAAGGCCAGGTGCCGTGGCTCACGCCTGTAATACCAGCACTTTGGGAAGCCAAGGTGGGCGGATCATGAGGTCAGGAGATCGAGACCATCCTGGCTAACACGGTGAGACCCCGTCTCTACTAAAAACACACAAAAAATTAGCCAGGCGTGGTGGCGGGCACCTGTAGTTCCAGCTACTCGGGAGGCTGAAGCAGGAGAATGGCATGAACCAGGGAGGCGGAGCTTGCAGTGAGCCAAGATCATGCCACTGCACTCCAGCTTGGACGACAGAGCGAGACTCCGTCTCAAAAAAAAAAAAAACTAATAAAAAAAGAAGTTTTTTTGTTTTTGTTTTTGTTTTTTTGAGGCGGAGTCTCGCTCTGTCGCCAAGCTGGAGTGCAGTGGCCCCATCTCAGCTCACTGCAACCTCTGCCTCCCGGGTTCAAGCAATTCTCCTGCCTCAGCCTCCCGAGTAGCTGGGACTACAGGCACACACCACCACGTTTGGCTAATTTTTTTTTTTTTTTTTTTGCATTTTAGTAGATACAGGGTTTCACCATGTTGCCCAGGCTGGTCTCGAGCTCCTGAGCTCGGGCAATCTGACCACCTCGGCCTCCCAAAGTGCTAGGATAACAGGCGTGAACCACCACGTCTGGCAAAGAAAAGAAAAAAGCTTTATAAATACAACTGTATAATGTTGCCTTTAACTATATGCTAATCTAAAATAAATTATTTTGGTTGGGTGTGGTGGCTCATGCCTGTAAATAAAATAAAATAAGAAAATAAAATAAAATAAGAAAATAAAATAAACTTTTGGCCGGGTGTGGTGCCTCACGCCTGTAGTCCCAGCTATTCGGAAGGCTGAGGCAGGAGAATTGCTTGAACCCGGGAGGCAGAGGTTGCAGTGAGCCAAGATCATGCCACTGCACTCCAGCCTGGGCAACAGAGTGAGACTCTGTGCCAAATAAATAAATAAGATAAAATAAAATAAAATAAAATAAACTTGTAATTAGCTGGGCATGGTGGCAGGCGCCTGTAATCCCAGCACTTTGGGAGCCTGAGGCAGGTGGATCACCTGATGTCAGGAGTTCAAGACCATCCTGGCCAACACGGTGAAACCCCGTCTCTACAAAAATACACAAATTAGCCGGGCATGATGGTGAGTGCCTGTAATCCCAGCTACTCAGGAGGCTGAGGTGGGAGAATCGCTTGAACCCAGGAGGTGGAGGTTGCAATGAGCTGAGATCATGCCACTGCACTCCTGCCTGGGTGACAGAGCAAGACTCCATCTCAAAAAAAAAAAAAAAAAAAAAAAAAAAAATATATATATATATATATATATATATATATATATATACACAATACATATATATATCACTCATGCCATGCTTCCGTTGGGTTCTTCTCTGCTTAAGCAGGTGAGACTATATATATAAAACATAAAAATACATATATTATATATAAAAATATATGTATTGTATATGTATAATATATATGTATATATGTATAATATATAATATATAATAATACATGTTATATAGATAGATAGATAGACAGATATAATCTCACCTGCTTAAGCAGAGAAGAACACAATGGAAGCATGGCATGAGTGATATTTCCTGAGAAGACAAGGAAACAATCTGGAAGGTCAGGGCCAAGCAGGCAAAATCACCTAGTCTGGTTGGTTTTTGGCAGGCATTCTGTGCACTGCAGGGGAGTGTTTGGGGCAAGCAGGATTAGCTTTCAATATTCTTCAGACCACAAAGGGGATAAGACACTGTGGTGGAAGCCAGGTTGGACACTGGCACTGCAGTAAACACAGTAAAAGAGCCTCGTCTCACCTGCTTCCCCCCAGACAGGCCCAGACTGAGGACTTAGCTCCAGGCTTACTGCCACTCTTCAAGGCTCTCATTATTATTGAATAACCTACCTTGGGCTCCATGAGCACCTTACTAACACAGGGGGCATGCCTATAAATCCTTTTGCCATCCTTCATTGCCCTATTCAGGATCAAGGTTGTGAGGATTAAGTGAAATAATGCATATTTAGTAAAATGCCCGCCAAGAAATGTCAGCTATTTTTTCTTCAGCACCTCCATGCTCATGTGACCAGGAATGCAGTGGGCATGGGTTGATTAAAGGCCGCCTTCCTGGGACTTCCTTGGGCAGAGCCCATAATTTCTCCTTTGGGCTCCTAAATCTCCTGTTCTTTGTTTGTCACTATACTTACCACTCTACATTCTGTTTCAATTGTCTGCTTACTTGTGTGTTTCCTCCACATGGTTGTGAGTTCTCTGAAGGCAGAGATCACGTTTATCTTTTTTTTTTTTTTTTTTTTGAGATGGAGTCTCGCTCTGTTGCCCAGGCTGGAGTGCAGTGGCACCATCTCGGCTCACTGCAACCTCTGCCTCTCGGGTTCAAGCGATTTCCTGCTTCAGCCTCCCGAGTAGCTGGGATTACAGATGCCTGCTACTGCACCTGGCTAATTTTTGTATTTTTAGTAGAGATGAGGTTTCACCATGTTGGTCAGGCTGGTCTCGAACTACTGACCTCAAGAGATCCACCCATCTCAGCCTCCCAAAGTGCTGGGATTACAGGTGTGAGCCACCATGCTCAGCCCGGGATCACGTTTTTCATCTGTGAATTCATATCTTAGGTGCTTGATGAATGTTTCATGACTGTTAAATAAAGTGAAGTATGTTGAAAAAAGTGTGCATTTTAGAGTCTTTTTTATTTTCTTTTCTGGTGACTTTTTTTTTTTTTTTTTTGAGACAGAGTCTCACTCTGTGGCCCAGGCTGGAGTGCAATGGTGCAATCTTGGCTCGCTGCAATCTCAGCCTCCTGAGTAGCTGGGACTACAGGTGCATGCCACCATGTCCAGCTAAGTTTTGTATTTTTTGTAGAGACAGGGTTTCACCATGTTGCCTAGGCTGATCTCAAACTCCTGAGCTCAAGCGATCCACCAGCCTCAGCCTCCCAAAGTGCTGGGATGACAGGTGTGACCCACCACACCTGGCTGCATTTTAGAATCTTTATAGGCCTGGATTTGAATCCCAGCCTCATCATTATAGCTGTGTAACCATAGTAAGTTGCTTCTCTCAGAGTTTCGTCACCTAAAAACGGGGGCAATCATGACTCCCTTGTGGCATTGTTGTGAGGATTAACAAGGATAGAATAAGAAAACATGTATCCCCAGGACCTGGCCAATTTTAGGTGCTCAGTAAATGTGTTCCTTTCTAATAAGCAAAAGAGATGGAAACACAAATCTGGAGGCTGAGTTTCCTTCACTTGTAAAATTCTCATGGAGTCAGAATACATGAGGTCAATGTAAAGTACTCTGATGTCTTTGGCTAAGCAATGGTGCATTAGTTGAAGGGAAAGTCGTGTGTTTTGTTCCTGTGCTTAATGAAGCCCTCTCTGATAGTCTGACCTTACGGATGTAAATACATTCTCCTTGGAGTTCATTCAAGGAATGCCACTCACAGGAGGGAGGGCCCAGGGAGGGAGTCATCAGGGAGGCCTGGGGCCAATCCCCCACCCCAGGCAGCTGCATTTTTTCCCAGTCCTCTATGTGGACACCAATAGACCCTGCTAAGTGCATCCTCCTCCTCCCCCCGGAGCTTCTTATGAGCCACCCCAACAAGACCAAGCCTGGAAACAGGACTCAGGATTCACCAGGCCTGGCGGATGGCTGACAGCAAGGGCTGAGTCTGACAGAGGAGACTGTCTTTTAAACAGACACACATCTGAGGCAGAGAGTGAAAGATGATGAGAAGGAGAAAGAAACCAGAAGGGTAAGTGGAGAGATTTTCCTACGAACGCCGATGTAAGCCAGATTCTGAGGTTGCCAGTACCTCCTCTGCAGTCCGGCATCGCCCACCTTGCAGCCCTCCCCCACTGCCTTTGTACTGCGTGCTGAATTTAGACCACAAGCCACGTGCCTGCTGCCTCTTCAGAGCCCACCTGGGAGTGAGGATCTGATGCTTCTGCAGCAGCCCGGTAATCCACTGCACAAAGTTAAACAGCCTGCGCCCTCTCTTCTCTGCAGCTGGCCTCCATTATCTGGAGTTAATGGCCAAAACTATGAACAGCATATTCATAACGCTGGATTAAATCCCGCAGCAACCCCTTTGGGCCATCATTTCAGCACCCGTCCACCACCGGCCACTGCCTTCTTTCCAAATGCCTTCCCACTGTTGCCTACTCTGGGGAGAATGGCCTCTTTTACTCCCTCTGTCTCCCCCGAGTTAACAAGTTTTTTTCAGAAAATTACCTCAGCCTCACAAGTCTGAAATCCTTGATTCTGAAAAAAGCTCAAAACCCTTATTTCTAAAACTTTAGCACCTCCCACCTCTTTTCTTGGGATCTCTTATCCAACTCTGTAAGAAAATTCCCCTATGCTATTTTCTCATGCTCTCAACATTCTCAAGGAATTGCCTACCTCCAGATGTCTGAAACCAGTTTCTTGGTCATGAAAGAAAAAATAAATAAATAACAAAAAACATGTCAGGCAATAAAAACAAATTTACTCTTGAGAGGCAATATAGCGTAGCTATTAAGAAGGACAGAGACTCTAAGGCCAGGCAGGATGGCACATGTCTGTAATCCCAGTGCTTTGGGAGGCTGAGGCTGGGGGATTGCTTGAGCCCAAGAGTTCAAGATCAGCCTGGGAAACATAGCAAGATCCTGTCTCTACAAAAATTTTAAAGATTAGCCGAGCATGGTGGTGTACACCTGTAGTCCTAGCTACTCTTGAGAGGCTGAGTTGGGAGGATCACTTGAGCCCAGGAGGTCAAGGCTGCAGTGAGCTATGATCACATCATCACTGCATTCCAGCATGGCAACAGAGTGAAATGCTGTCTCAAAAAAAAAAAAAAAAAAGTGGTGCGTAGACTCTAGATTGTCTAGGTTTTGAATCCTGGGTCTGCCGGTTACTAACTAGTTGTAAATGTTTTGTTAAGTCTCCCTTTTTGTTGTTTCTCTCTCTCTCTCTCTCTCTGTGGGTGGGTGTGTGTGTGTGTGTGTGTGTGTGTGTGTGTGTGTGTGTGTGTTTCTTTTGTTTTTTTTAGAGACAAGTTCTTTCACTCTGTCACCCAGGCTGGAGTGCAGTGGTGCAATTATAGCTCACTGTAGTCTCAAACTCCTGGGTTCAAGGGATCATCCTTACTCAGCTTTCCAAGCAGTTAGGACTACAGGTATGCATCACCACACCCGGCTAATTTCAAAATGTTTTGTAGAGATGAGGCCTTGTTATGGCTGGTTTCAAACTCCTGGCCTCAAGCAATCCTCCCACCTCAAGCAATCCTCTCCGCTCAGCCTCCCAAAGTGCTGGGATTGCAGGCCTGAGCCACCATATCCAGCCTGGCTTTGTTAAATCTCTTAACCTCTCAGGGCTTCAGTTTCTTCAATATGAAATGCAAGAATACCGATAATATTTACCTTTATCATCAGGAAGATTAAATGATTGTTTAAAGCACATAGAACAGCAGATAGCACATAAAACATACTGGAAAAATGCATGCTATTGTTTTACTGGAATGTAGACTTGAACACCAGTAAATAGATGGCAACTGGAACTTACATCCCAGATCATTCTGAGAAGCCATTATTCCCGGTCTATTTTATTTATTGAGACTGAGTTTCGTTCGGTCGCCCAGGCTGGAGTGAAGTGGCATGATCTCAGCTCACTGCCACCTCCGCCCCCAGGGTTCAAGCAATTCTCCTGCCTTAGCCTCCCAAGTAGCTGGGATTACGGGTGTGTGCCACCACGCCTAGCCAATTTTTGTAGTTTTAGTAGAGATAGGGTTTCGCCATGTTGGCCAGGCTGGTCTCAAACTCCTGACCTCAGGTGATCCACCTGCCTTGGCCTCCCAAATTGCTGGGATTACAGGCATGAGCCACCGTGCCTGGCCATTCCCAGTCTATTTAAACCCTATTGCAACCTTATCCCACTCTCCGATCTGGTCACCTGAATGCTTAATCTTACAAGGGTAAAGTACCTCTCATCAGTGAAAGAGGCTAAATGAACCCATCTGGTCAGAACTTTTTTGGTGAAACAGCAGTGGCTCAATTTCTGGATTTGAAAATATTTCAACTCGTGGAAATGAGAATGTCTGCAGAGTTGAATGAAGGAAGAGCAGGCCTCAAGAAGGAGAACAAGGACTGATTCAGAGGTTAGAAGGGTTGGCAGTGTCCACAAGCACAACTAAAGACGAGCTCAAATGCCTTGAAATTTTGCCCTTGTCTCAAACATGTTACGGTAGTTGTTACTCTGGAAGTCACCGATATCCCCTTTGAGCCAGTCCAGGCCTTTCTTCAGCCTTCATCCTTCTTGCAGAGGCCAGCTGTCACTTCTTGCTCCACACCGAAGCCTTTAAGTCCTAAGAGGTATGTTAAGGGCACAATGGCAAGGACACAGTCAAAAGGTTACAGGAAAGCTCTACAATGCCACAGAACCATGGAGATAATACCCAGGCCACAGAAAATGGAGGAAAAGGAATATAACTGTACCAAAAGTGGCTGGGACAGCTTTATTGCCTTCTCCCTTTTTTCTTTTGTATTTGTTTTCCCTACATTAGATTGGGGAGAGACTTTTCTCGGGAGGAGGTAACAGATTATAAATATATAGAGAAGTTTATAATGTTTTTGTTTCATGGCACTTACTGAATTTATCATTTTACTGATTGTTTTCTTGGGTTTTTTTGTTTGTTTGTTTGTTTGCTTTTGTTTTTGTTTTTTGAGACAGAGTCTCACTCTGTCACCCAGGCTGGAGTGCAGTGGCACAATCTCGGCTCGCTGCAACCTCCACCTCCTGGGTTCAAGGGATTCTCCTGCCTCAGCCTCCTAAGTAGCTAGGATTACAGGTGCCCACCACCACGCCCGGCTAACTTTTGTATTTTTGGTAGAGATGGGTTTTCACCATGTTGGCCAGGCTGGTCTCGAACTCCTGACCTCAGATAAACTACCTGCCTTGGCCTCTCAAAGTACTGGGATTACAAGTGTGAGCCACTGCGCCCGGTTTCTTGTTTTTTTGTCTGTTACCCCACTACAATGTAAGCTCCAGGAGGGGCAAGAACAGGCCCCTCTGTCTTGCTCATCCTTCTATCCCCTGCAACCAACAGAATGCCTGGCATATTGTTATAGATACTAACATAGAAAACAAACTATGCAAATGCTAGAAGGAGATATTAGGAAACATTTATTTTTCTATTCTTGGGGTTCATAAAACCTTCCTTAACAAAAGAGAAGATCAAGAAGCCATGAAGAAAAAGATCACTAGATCTGACTACATAAAAAATGTAGGGCCAGGCACGGTGGCTCACACCTGTAATCCCAGCACTTTGGAAGGCCGAGGCAGGTGGATCACCTGAGGTCAGGAGTTCAGACCAGCCCTGCCCAACATGGTGAAACCCCGTCTCTACTAAAAATACAAAAATTAGCTGGGCGTGGTGGCAGGCACCTGTAATCTCAGCTACTTGGAAGGCTGAGGCACGAGAATCACTTGAACCAGGAGGCAGAGGTTGCAGTAAGCCAAGATTGCCTCATTGCTCTCCAGCCTGGGCAACAAGAGCGAAACTCTGTTTCAAAACAAAAAAAAATTTTTTTAGACATTCTATCTGAAGAGTAATAACATAATAACCAGCAATTATTTATCACTTTATACATGCCAATTTCTGTTCTAAGCAATTTACATGTCTTAACTCATTTAAGCATCCTAGTGATCTTATGGTGCAAGCATTATGATTATCTGCCTTTTATAGATAGGAAATGGAGGCACAACAAGATTAAATACTTTGACCAGGTGTGGTGGCTCATGCCTGTAATCCCAGCACTTTGGGAGGCCGAGGCGGGTGGATCACAAGGTCAGGAGTTCAAGACCAGCCTGGCCAACATGGTGAAACCCTGTCTCTACTAAAAATATGAAAATTATCCAGGCATGGTGGTGGGTGCGTGTAATCCCAGTTACTTGGGAGGCTGAGATAGGAGAATCACTTGAACCTGGGAGGCAGAGGTTGCAGTGAGCCGAGATTGCACCATTGCATTCCAGCTCGGGTGAGGAGAGTGAAACTTCGGCTCCAAAAAAAAAAAAAAAAGATTAAATCTTTTGCTAGAGATCAAATAGCTATTAAGTGGTGGAGCCCAGTTTTGAACTCATCCAGTCTGGTTCCAGGGTTCATACTCTTGACCATTACATTATAGTTGCCCCTGAAATAAACATATGGCAAACAAAAAGGTAGTCTTCATAATGTGTATGAATTTTCACATATTAATAAGAAAATTACAAATAACCCAGTTGAAATATTTGGCAAGTAATAGGAGTCAAAAATTCACTGAAGAAGAAACACATATGGTCAATAAATTTTCCTGCTTAATAAATAGCAATTCCTAAAACCATAACAATAGTAAGATACTGCTTTTTACCCTTTAGATTAGCAAAAAGTAAACTGTTGCTAATATCTAGTATTGGCAAGAGTGTAGGGAAGAGTAAACTGGTACAATTGCTTTCTTATTTTATTCAATGTGTTATTTTTCATTACACTTTCTATTGATGTTGATTCTCAAGTTGTCCCAGATTTGGCCAGTGGAGCCTGTTCGAGCTAACTCATGTGTCCTCTTGACTTATGCCGTCATTCTTTGAGCACTATTTACTGTCTGGCACACAATATCCACAGGCTCATTCTGTCCCAACTCTGGAATCGGTCATTTCTCTAGGGGGCTCTGTTCCTTTTGGAAACCAACTGTATTAATTGCTGTTATATGTCATTGATTTCAGGTCCTCTTGAAAAGCTAGGAAATGAATGTATATACAAATGCTTAAGGATAAATTTTAATTAACATAAGACAGAAATTGTATATACAGTATGGTAGTTTTCATTTAAAGCACACATGCAGATATAGCAAATTGCTGAATTATGGTGTTTGGGGTGATTTTTTTTTTTTCATTTCAATTTGTATTCTAAAATTTTCAAAGTGTGGCCAGGCGCGGTGGCTCATGCCTGTAATCCCAGCACTTTGGGTGGCCGAGGCGGGTGGATCCTGAGGTCAGGAGATCGAGACCATCCTGGCTAACACGGTGAAATACCGTCTCTACTAAAAATACAAAAGGTTAGCTGGGCGTGGTGGTGGGCGCCTGTAGTCCCAGCTACTCCGGAGGCTGAGGCAGGAGAATGGCGTGAACCCAGGAGGCGGAGCTTGCAGTGAGCCGAGATCGCACCACTGCGCTCCAGCCTGGGTGACAGAGCAAGATTCTGTCTCAAAAAAAAACAAAAACAAACAAAAAACAAACAAAAAATTCAAAGTGTAATATTTTCTTTCTTTCTTTCTTTCTTTCTTTCTTTCTTTCTTTCTTTCTTTCTTTCTTTCTTTCTCTCTCTCTCCCTTCCTTCCTTCTCTCTCTCTCTTTCTTTCTTTTTTGAAATGGAGTCTCACTCTGTCACCAGGCTTGAGTGCTGTGGCATGATCTCAGCTCACTGCAACCTCCGACTCCCTGGTTCAAGCGATTCTCCTGCCTCAGCCTCCTGAGAAGCTAGGATTACAGGCACGCGCCACCACGCCCGGCTAATTTTGTATGTTTAGTAGAGATGGGGTTTCGCCATGTTGGCCAGGCCAGGCTTGAACTCCTGTCCTCAAGTGATCCACCCGCCTCGGCCTCCCAAAGTGCTGGGATTATAGGCATGAGCCACCGCGCCCCGCCTCTTTCTCTTTTCTCTTCTCTTCTCTTCTCTTTTCTTCTCCTTTTCTCTTGCTCTGTCACTCACACTGGAGCGCAGTGGTGTGATCTTGGGTTACTACTACCTCCACCCCCCCGGGTTCAAGCAGTTCTCGTACCTCAGCCTCCCAAGAAGCTGGGATTACAGGTATGCGCCACCATGCCCAGCTAATTTTTTTTTTTGGTAAGATGGAGTCTCGCTCTTGTCACCTAGGCTGGAGTGCAGTGTCATGATCTCAGCTCACTACAACCTCCACTTCCTGGGTTCAAGTGATTCTCCTGCCTCAGCCCCCCCAAGTAGCTGGGATTACAGGCGCCCACCACTATGCCAGGCCAATTTTTGTATTTTTAATGGAGACACGTTTTCACCAAGTTGGCCAGGCTGATCTCGAACTTGTGACCTTAGGTGATCCGCCCGCCTCGGCCTCCCAAAGTGCTGGGATTACAGGCGTGACCCATTGCACCCAGCCAATTTTTGTATTTTTAGTAGAGACAGGGTTTTGCTATGTTGGCCAGGCTGGTCTCCAACTCCCGGCCTCAAGCAATCTGCCTGCCTCAGCCTCCCAAAGTGATGAGATTACAGGCGTGAGGCACCACACCCAGCCTATTTTTTCAATAAATTTTTTATTTTAGAAGAAATTTAGATTAAAGAGAAGTTGCAAACATAGAACAGAGTTCCCTTATACCTCATACCCAATTTTCCCTACTGTTAACATCTTTTGTCATAATTGATGAGCCAATATTAAATTATTATTGAATCATTATTATTTTTTTTTTTTGAGATGGAGTCTCACTCTGTCGCCCAGGCTGGAGTGCAGTGGTGCGATCTTGGCTCACTGCAACCTCTGCCTCCCAGGTTCAAGCGATTCTCCTACCTCAGCCTCCTGAGAACCTGGGATTACAGGCACTTGCCACCATGCCTAGCTAATTTTTTGTATTTTTAGTAGAGATGGGGTTCACCATGTTGGCCAGGCTGGTCTCAAACTCCTGACCTCAAGAGATCCACCTGCCTTGGTCTCCCAAAGTGCTGGGCCTGAATCATTATTGACGTAATAAAAATCAATAAAATTATTGAATTTTATTATTAAATAAATAAAAGTCCACACTTTATTCAGATTTCTTTGGTTTTTATCTAATGTCCTTCTACTGTTCCAGAATCCCTCAGAGGACACCACATTACATTTAGTTGTCCTGTCTCCTTAAGCTCCCGTTGGTTGTGAGTTTCTTGGGCTTCCTTCTTTTTGATGACTTTCATAGTTTTGAGGAGCACTGGCCAGGTATTTTGTAGGATAAACCTCAATTTGGACTTATCTGATGTTTTTCTCATGATTAGACTGGAGTTATGGGTTTTGGGGAAGAAGACCACAGAAATCAGGTACCATGCTCATCACATCATATCAAGAGTATTGTTGGTAGGTTTGTTTGTTTGTTTGTTTACTTACTTATTTATTTATTTATTTATTTTTTCTGGAGTCTCGCTCTTTCACCCAGGCTAGAGTGAAGTGGCGTGATCTCGGCTCACTGCAACCTCCTCCCCCTGGGTTCAAGACATTCTTCTGCCTCAGCCTCTGGAATAGCTGGGATTATAGGCGCCCACCACCACACCCAGCTAATTTTTGTATTTGTGGTAGGGATGGGGTTTTGCCACATTGGCCAGGCTGGTCTACAACTCCTGACCTTAGGTGATCCACCCACCTTTGCTTCCCAAAGCCCTAGGATTATAGGCATGAGCCACCACGCCCGGCCAGGTTCTTTTTATAATGAAGAAATAAATGTGTGCTTTTTAAAGTTCTGCTCAAGAACAAATCCAGTGCATTTTCTTATATATTAGCTTAGGTTGGAAGTTTGACTGCAATAACAAAAAGAAACAAAACCAAATTTCAAACATGATAGAAGTTCTTTCTCTAAAAAGAGTCTAGACAGGCCAGTTCCATTGGCTCACACCTGTAATTCAAGTGTTTAGGGAGGCTGAGGCAGGAGGATCACCTGAGGCCAGGAGTTCAAAACCACCCTAGGCAACATAGTGGGACCCCCATGTCTACAAAAAATTTAAAAAATTTAAAAAATTAATGGGGCGTGGTGGCATGTGCCTGTAATTCAAGCTATTTGGGTGGCTGCAGTGGGAGGATCTCTTGAGCCCAGGTGTTCAAGATTACCGTAACTTGTGATTGCACCATTGCACTCCAGTCTGGGGACAGAGCAAGACCCTGTCTCTAAAATAACAACAGCCAGGCACGGTGGCTCACGCCTGTAATCCCAGCACTTTGGGAGGCCGAGGCGGGTGGATCACGAGGTCAGGAGATCGAGACCATCCTGGCTAACACGGTGAAACCCCGTCTCTACTAAAAATACAAAAAATTAGCCGGGCGTGGTAGCGGGCGCCTGTAGTCCCAGCTACTCGGGAGGCTGAGGCAGGAGAATGGCGTGAACCCGGGAGGCGGAGCTTGCAGTGAGCCGAGATCGCGCCACTGCACTCCAGCCTGGGCGACAGAGCGAGACTCCGTCTCAAAAAAAAAAAAAAAAAAAATTAGCCGGGTGTAGTGGAGGGCACTTGTAGTCCCAGCTACTCAGGAGGCTGAGGCAAGAGAATGGCGTGAACCCGGAAAGCGGAGCTTGCAGTGAGCCGAGATCGCGCCGCTGCACTCCAACCTGGGCAACAGAGCGAGACTCTGTCTCAAAAAAAAAAAAAATAATAATAATAATAAAATAAATAAATACATAAAATAACAACAAAAAAAGAAAAACAAAAACAAAAGGTCTAGACAAAGCAGTTGGGGCCTGGTTGGGCAATCTGCTTCACAAGATTAGTAAGAGGTCCAGGTTTCTTCTATCCTATAGTTCTGTGTTCCTTAGCAAGTAGCTTCCCTAGCTATTATGGAAGTTTCCGTGGTTGCATAGGTATAGGTACTCTAGCACCTGCCATCACATGCACATCCACTGCAAAAGGGAGGATATACTCTTTGCTTCTAAAGACACACCTGGAAGTTGGACATTTCACTCATCCTGCTCATATTCCATTGGCCAGAACCTAGTCACATGGCCACGTCTAGTTACAAGGAAGACCGAAAAATGTGGTCTTTTACTAGGCAGCTCTATGCTCAGCTAAAATTTCTATAGCTATCGGCCAGGCGCGGTGGCTCACGCCTGTAATCCCAGCATTTTGGGAGGCCGAGGCGGGCAGACCACGAGGTCAGGAGATCGAGACCATCCTGGCTAACACGGTGAAACCCCGTCTCTACCAAAAAAGTACAAAAAATTAGCTGGGCGCGTTGGCGGGCGCCTGCAGTGCCAGCTACTGGGGAGACTGAGGCGAGAATGGCGTGAACCCAGGAGGCGGAGCTTGCAGTGAGCAGAGATCGTGCCACTGCACTCCAGCCTGGGCAACATTGCAAGACTCCATCTCAAAATAATAATAATAATAATAACAATTTCTATAACTATCAAGGAAGAGGAGGCTGCCTTTGGGGGAGCCAGTCAACAATCTCTGCCAAAGCTGGATTGCAATTATCCAGCCATGAAAGATGGACATGGAAAACCCAGAAATCTCACACTCTAGTGGCCATTAACTATTACCTCCATATTACTATCAAAAATGTCAATGTGAACACCAGACATTCCTTTCTTTCTTTTCTTTTCTTTTTTCTTTTTTTTTTTTTTTTGAGACAGAATTTCACTCTTGTTGCCCAGGCTGGAATGCAGTGGTGCAATCTCAGCTCACTGCAACCTCCACTTCCTGGGTTCAAGCAATTCTCCTGCTTCAGCCTCCAGAGTAGCTGGGATTACAGGTGGCCACTACCACGCCCAGCTAATTTTTGTATTTTTAGTAGAGACGAGGCTTCACCATGTTGGCCAGGCTGGTCTCAAACTCCTGACCTCAGGTGATCCACCCACCTCGCCCTCCCAAAGTGTTGGGATTACAAGCGTGAGCCACCACGCCCAGCCAGACATTCCTTTCTAATGTCATCTGGCTGCCCACTGCTAAGGATTTTACACCAATAATTTTCACTCCACAGAGTCACCACCTTCATGCCATTTCCACCTTTCTTTTTCCAACCCCACTCTCCATTACCCTTCCACTCAGGAGAAAAACTAAACTCTTCAACTCAAAGTAGTTTAGCCACAGTCATGCCCTTAAGGTTTCGCCTTCACTCCAAGAGGATTTTACCAAGATATTTTTCCAAAGAAATACCTTCCCTTACAAAAATGGTTTGTTTTTTGAGATGGAGTCTCACTCTGCCCCCTGGGTTGCAGTGCAGTGGCAGGATCCAGGATCACTGTAACCTCCACCTCCTGGGTTCAAGCAATTCTCTTGCTTGAACCCCTAGAGTACCTGGGATTACAGGCATGTGCCACCACGCCTTGCTAATTTTTTGTATTTTTAGTAGAGATCAGGATTCACCATGTTGGCCAGGCTGGTCTCAAACTCCTGACCTCAAGTGATCCACTCACCATGGCCTCCCAAAATGCTGGGATTACAGGCGTGAGCCACCACACCTGGCCACAAAAATTGCTAACATTTTCAGCACCTCTTCACTAAAACGTCCTCCCCACCAACAGACCCCTTGTGTTTCTTCACATGGCCACTAGGAGCATAGGCTGAAAATCATTGTTCACAGCAGGCTTCCTGGCCCCATATGAGACTATAAACATTTGAAGAGTGCCTACAGTTTTTCCCCTACATCCTTCTCCTCTCCCTCAACCTCTTCCCTCTCTCTTTTCCCACCATAGGCTGCTCACCCCCCAAGCCTTCTTCTTGCCTTTGCTTTCCCAAAACAATTCAGCAACTGCATTTAACTAAGATATAAATAACAATGGGATGTCTGGTTACTAATTTCAGAGCCATATACATTTTAACAAGAATTAAAGACTGAAGCCTAGGAAGTGAATGTCTAAATGGGAGAATTCCATGGTTCTTGGGGGAAATTCCTTCATCTTTCATATCATTCAGGCAAAAGAATGAGGTAAAAAATGAGCTTTTACTGAACAGCTTTGTATGGAAGGCTTGTATGCACTAGCATTCTACACAAGACTTTCACATGTCAGTGTATTTAGTTCTCACAATAATTATGGTGGCATTATTATGCCTATTTTGCACATTAATTGAGGCTCAGAGAGATTAAACAATTTGAACCCAGATCTGTCTGATTTCTCAAACCTGTATTGTTTCCACTATAGCAGCTGTTAACATTTATGTACAGAAAAGAAATTAAGGATTGCTACAATCTCAAGGGACCAAACTTCTAGAACCACCCCCAGACAGAATGGTTGCAAGAGATCAGTAAATTCTTTTTTTATTTATTTATTTTTTTTTCAGATGGGGTCTCGCTCTGTCACCCAGGCTGGAGTGCAGTGGCAAGATCTTGGCTCATGGCAGCCTCCACCTCCTGGGCTCTAGTGATTCTCCTGCCTCAGCCCCCCAAATAGTTGGGACTACAGGCATGTACCACCATGCCCAGCTAAGTTTTGTATTTCTTTGTAGAGACAGGGTTTTGCCAAGTTGCTCAGGCTGGTCTCAAATTCCTGAGCTCAGGCAATTTGCTTGCTTTAGCCTCCCAAAGTGCTGGGATTACAGGTGTGAGCCACTGCTTTTGGTGAGATCAGTAAATTCTGTACCTAGACAGACCCAGTCATTTTTTTCAGTGTTTCTCAAAAAGTGGCCTACAATCAGAATCACCAGTGTTCATTAACAAAAATGTGGCTTCCTGAATCCCTTCCTAGACCACCGAATCTGACCTCTGGGGGCAGGGCCTGTGAATCTGGACTTTAAATATGACTTTCTAAAACACACTAAGTTTGCAAATCGCTGCTTTAGTGAATAAACAGAAAAGAAAAGCTGTCATCCTACTTCCTACGACTGCCCATATTTTTGTAATTTTACAGCTTATTCACACTCTTGTCAGAGGCTGGGAACCAGAAAGGCTAGGATTCATTCTCCTAAATTATTCATTTAACAATTATTTATTGCATGCTTTCAAATGTGCCAGGCATAGGAAAGCAAACACATTGCTTTTGAAATGTATTACAAGGGAGGGCAAAAGACTGTTGGAAGAAGATTTGAAAGCAATGGTTAAGAAGAGATTAGTTTTGAGAAATTATCTGAATAGCTGGTCGTTCGCATGGACTATCAGGGTCCCCAGAGAGGTAGCTGCAATAATCTGGGACTACACTGGAATTGTTGGTTACACATGTGCTCTCATGTTACAGGCCTGGCCTGGAGGATATTTGTCCACATATGCTGGTCAAAGATGGAGAGGCAGTAAAACTGTTTCTCTTCTGCTACCAGTGAATAAGCCAGATCTTTAGCTTTTATCTTGCTGGGAGGAGATGCATTTCTATATTTGGAGTGGATCCAGGTTTTGTAGGGCCTGAGCTTTTGCAATTCCTGAGGCCCTTTCCAAGAAAGAGAATACAAAATTATGACTACAGTATTAAGTATGCATGCGAATATTTGTTTGGAATGAGAAAAGACATCAAGACAAATTATTGAAGACAGAGATTCAGATCCCTCTTTTCTGAGATATTCCAGGCAATTTTTCGGAAATGCTTATGCAGAAATTCTTCTTGATTGCAAACCGCTTCCTCTCCTTCTCTAGAGCAGACTACAACTCCTAGCAACACCCATCTCTCAGAGGAGCCCCTGCAAGTGAGGGGCCCTGAAACTTAAGCTCCATTAACTTCAAAATAAATCCTCCTTCCCTCCTTCTCTCCTTACAGGGCTTGGTGCTAATTTTTTTTTTTTTTTTTTTTTTAAGACAGCCCAGGCTGGAGTGCATTAGCACCATCTCAGCTCACTGTAGCCTCGACCTACCAAGCTCAAGCCATCCTCTTGCCTCAAAACCCTCCTCCACCCACTTCCTTGAGTAGCTGGGATTACAGGCTAGAGTCATCATGCCCAGCCTTGGTGCTAATCTTTGCTTCACTGGCCTTTGCTGTAGGCTAGCTTCCGTAAATATGTACAAGGCCAGTTGTTTAACTGATTTATCTAGACAGCAGTCTCTTTTCTTTTTAATTAAAAAAAAATTCTTTTTAAATGTAGAGATGGAGTCTGGCTACAGCCTAGGCTGGTCTCGACCTCCTGGGCTCCAGCAATCCTCCCGCCTCAGCCTCCCAAAGTGCTGGGATTACAGGTGTGAGCCATAGCACCTGGCCTGGGCAGCGGTCTTGACAGAATAAACTCTGATGATGGTGGGGCATAGGTAGAGAAAATTGATTACTGAATCTGAGACAGTTATCTCACCCCATTCACCCTGGGGAATCTACAAGCAGCAAAGGGAGCTAACATAGTTTACATTATTTGCTACAGTCAGGCTGTGCAAGCTGGAAAATAATATTCTTTTGGCTTAAATTTATTAATTCAGTTAGGTTGCAAGGGGTGTCTCTCCCCTGCTATCCAGAAGTTCTCATAGACTGTTATCTTTTTTTTTTTTTTTTTTGAGACAGAGTCTCCCTCTGTTGCCCAGGCCGGAGTGCAGTGGCACGACCCCGGCTCACTGCAACCTCGCCTCCTGGGCTCAAGTGATTCTCCTGCCTCATCCTCCTAAGTAGCTGGAATTATAGGCACCTGCCACCACACTTGGCTAATTTTTATGTTTTTAGTAGAGACAGGATTTCACCATTTTGGCCAGGCTGGTCTTGAACTACTGGCCTCAAGAGATCCACCTGCCTTGGCCTCCCAAAGGGCTGGGATGACAGGCGTGAGCCACTGCGCCTGGTCAACTGTCATCTTATGTGAGTAATACATACCAGGAAGGAGAATAAATAATTTCTTAGTAAACGCATTTTGTTTAATAGATAAAAACATGCTGTTCAAGAGAGGGGTAGTAAAAACGTTGAGAAGTAATAATCTGGTCCACGCACCTCACTTTAGACATGATAAAACTGAGGCCAGAGAAAGGAAGAGAGGTGTTCAAAACCATATAGACAGGCAGTAGCGTAGCCAAAATAGTATTTCTCACCCAGGCTTCTTGTTTGACCAGACAACCTTCCCAGTTCAAAATTCTGGTTTCTAATAAAAGGCAGAGGAATGAGTCAGAAAGCCAAGGAGAATAATCTGTTAATTTAGCTTTGGAGCTATTGACAATCTGGTTGGGAGATGACAGGCCAGGCTACTTCTCTGCTGAGAGAAGTTATTTTTCTGCTGGAGAGTTATTTCTGTAACTTGTATCAAAAGCCTTTAACATATGTATGTGTCCTGACCCGGAAATTCCATTTCTTGGAATTTATTGTAAGGACATAATCAGAATGAGCACGATGATGTATATACATTGATGTTTATTGTAGCATCATTTTCAATTTTTAAAATATAGTCCAGGCGTGGTGGCACATGCCTGTAATCCCAGCATTTTGGGAGGCCGAGGCAGGCAGATCACGAGGTCAAGAGATTGAGACCATCCCAGCCAATGTGGTGAAACCCTATCTCTACTAAAAATGCAAAAATTAGCTGGGCATGGTGGCGCATGCCCGCAGTCCCAGCTACTCGGGAGGCTGAGGCAGGAGAATTATTTGAACCAGGGAGGCAGAGGTTGCAGTGAGCCAAGATCATGCCACTGCATTCCAGCCTGGTGACAGAGCAAGACTCTGTCTCAAATAAATAAATAAATAAATAAATAATAAAATAAAATATAAATATATTGGCCCGGCACAGTGGCTCACACCTGTAATCCCAGCACTGTGGGAGGCTGAGGCAGGCAGATCACTTGAGGTCAGGAGTTTGAGACCAGCCTGGTCTACATGGTAACACTCCATCTCTACTAAAAATATGAAAATTAGCTGGACGTGGTGGCGGGCACCTGTAATCCCAGCTACTTGGGAGGCTGAGGTAGGAGAATCGCTTGATCCCAGGAGGCAGAGGTTGAAGTGAGCCAAGATTGCACCACTACACTGTCCAGCCTGGGAGATAGAGCAAGACTCACTCTCAAAATAAATAAATAAATATAAATGTAAATATAAACACTTTTAAATATTACATAAAACTAATATATAAATTAATATAAGTAGAATTATCAAGAAACCCAGTGATCCTTTTCCTACCAGTCCCTGCCCACTAGCTTCACTTCCCAGGATGTCAACTATATTACCTATATATTTTTTCTGAAATCTACTTTCATATCTCTTAATCATATACTGATACACTATTTTTTATTCCTCTTCCTCTTTTATTTTTATTTACTTTAAATTATTATTTTTTTTTTTGAGATGGAGTCTCACTCTGTTGCCCAGGCTGGAGTGCAGTGGCACAATCTCAGCTCAGGGCAACCTCCACCTCCCAGGTTCAAGTGATTTTCCTGCCTCAGTCTCCTGAGTAGCTGGGATCACAGGCACCTGCCACCATACCAGGCTAATTATGTTTTGTATTTTTAATAGAGACGGGGTTTCACCATGTTGGCCAGGCTGGTCTCAAACTCCTGACCTCAGGTGATCCACCTGCCTTGGCCTCCCAAAGTGCAGGGATTACAGGTGTGAGCCACAGCGCCTGGCCTTTATTTATTTATTTATTTATTTATTTATGAGATGGAGTTTCGCTCTTGTTGGCCAGGCTGGAGTGAAGTGGCGCAATCTCAGCTCACTACTATCTCCACCTCCTGGGTTCAAGTGATTTTCCTGCCTCAGCCTCCCAAGTATCTGGAATTACAGGCATGCCCCACCACGCCCAGCTAATTTTGTATTTGTAGTAGAGATGGGATTTCACCATGTTGGCCAGGCTGTTCTCGAACTCCTGACCTCAGGTGATCTGCCTGCCTTGGCCTCCCAAAGTCCCAGCCTTGTTCTTCTTTTTAGAAACAGGACCTTATTTTGTCATCCATGCTGGATGGAATACCATGGTGTAATCCTGGCTCACTGCAGCCTCAACCTCTTGGGCTCAAGCAATTCTCCCTCTTCAGCCTCCTGAGTAGCTGGAACTATAGGTACACACCATCATGCCCAGCTAATTTTTAAATTTTTGTGTAGAGATTGGGGAGGGGAGGGGGGAATGGATCTCACTATTTTGCCCAGGCTGGTCTTGAACTCCTGACCTCATGAGATCCTCCAGCCTTGGCCTCCCAAAGTGCTAACATTGTAGGCATGAGCCATCGCTTCCCAGCCATGATTTCTAAACTTTAAACATTATTCATTGACTTCTTAAGGTAAGTGATAATTTAGCTCCTAACACCCACCACTCCCTCTTCCTCTTTTCATTCTCCCAGTATCACAATTGTTCGTTGAATCAGTAATCAATATTTGCATTATTATGGTTTCATAAGCATTATTTACTTCTATGCCAATGAGTATACTATGCAATTTAGTTTTTGTCCTATTGTATTTTCCTACAGGTATTGCTTCACTTTTAAATTTGCTTAGTTTCCCTTATTCATACGATCAGCTTTCCTTATGTGTTCCACGATACACTGTATGCCTATCAATACTATTTTTCAACTGATCAAATCAATTCCATTTCCCTGCCCCCCACCGACATTGCTGTTCCATAGCCCGCTACTACTACATTCTGCAGTAAGAGCTAGATGTCTAGGTCTGCAACAAGATGTTACCACTGGACTTCTTTTCACCATTTTCTTGTGTTGTGTCTTCTGCTTCCTTGATCTTATTTCATTATCTTTGTAGGATTATTCCCTTATTTTACTGCAGCACATCTCCCAGTTGCTTCTCTATTGAAGAGAGTTTCTAAGGTAAATCTACTGAATCTTTATAAAATGAAAATGTTTTGGCCAGGTGCAGGGGCTCACACCTGTAATCCCAGCACTTTGGGAAGCCAAAGCAGGTGGAATATGAGCTCAGGAGTTCAAGATCAGGCTGGGCAACATGGCAAAACCGTGTCTCTACCAAAAAAAAAAAAAGAAAAAAAAATTGCCAGTTATAGTGGTGCATACCTGTAGTCCCAGCTACTGAGGAGGTTGAGGTGGGAGGATCACTTGAGCCCAGGAGGTGGAGGTTGTGATGAGTCAAGATCCACTGCACTGCACTCCACTGCACTCCAGCCTGGGCATCAGAGTGAGACCTTGACTAAAAAAAAAAAAAAAAAGAAAAGAAAAGAAAAAGAAAGAAAATGTCTTAATTCTATTCTCACACTTACTAGTATGGCTAGTTGAAGAAAATTAGATTGATCAGCCTGTTTCTCCCCCTCAATGTTTGAAAAGATTTGTTCGATTGTCTTTCAGCTTTCAATGTTACATTCTGCTTTCAGAATGTCATCTGTTTTCTCTCTCTGGAGACTTTGAGGGATTTTTTTTTTTTAATATCTTGCAGTTTGAAATTTTTAGATGACGTGCCTTAGGCTGTAGAGATGGGGTCTCACTGTGATTCCAGGCTTTTAAAATTCATATGCTGGGCCCATTGGTAAGCTCTTTCAATCTGGAAACAATTTATCTTAAAAAAAAGTATATAAAATGTCAATTGTTTACAAATTTCTTGACACAGAAATATTAATAATATGGCTTGATTCCCTTAAACTTTTCTATATTACGTTATAAAACTTTCCAGAGTTTCAAGATGTAGACTAGAAAAGGAAACATTGATTGAGATTACGAATGACCAAAGACATACTGAAAACTCTTTAAAATTATTATATCATGGCTCATGCCTGTAGTCCTAGCACCTTGGGAGGTTGAGGTGGGTAGATCACGAGGTCAGGAGATCAGGACCATCCTGGCTAACACGGTGAAACCCTGTCTCTACTAAAATTAAAAAATTAGCCGGGTGTGGTGGCGGGTGCCTGTGGTCCCACCTACTTGGGAGGCTGAGGCAGCAGAATGGCGTGAACCTGGGAGGCAGAGGTTGCAGTGAGCCAGGATTGAGCCACTGCACTCCAGCCTGGGTGACAGAGCGAGACTCTGTCTCAAAAAAAAAAAAAAAATTATATTGATGAATCAGTAACATCAAGTGGAGTTATAACACAATGATACCACAGCCCACGTCAAATATACCCATTTCCTAATTTATCTTTTTCTCACATTCTTGTCATGTTAATTAATTAATTGATTTTGCATTTCTTTGGTTCTTCAGATGTGTACATGTCTTTTTTTTTCAAATTCTTAAAACCATTTAATTTGATGAGATCCTATAATATATTAGTATCTTCCATTTAAAATGTTTTGAGTTTTAAAGACTGGAGCTTAGAGGAATCTTAGAATCTTGCATTCTTACATATTACCAGAGTGAAACAATTCCTTTGAATATTTGATACCTCACTTAATTTTGAATATCTCATAGATTTTGTCTGACTTGCACTTACAGCCTAAAAGATCATTCTAACTTTTTTTTTTTTTTTGAGTTGGAATCTCACTCTGTTCCCTGGGCTGGAGTTCAGTGGCACGATCTTGGCTCACTGCAATCTCCACCTCCCGGGCTCAAGCGATTCTCCTGCCTCAGCCTCCCTAGTAGCTGGGACTATAGGCACCTGCCACCACGCCTAGCTAATTTTTGTATTTCTAGTAGAGATGGGGTTTCACCATGTTGGCCAGGCTGGTCTCAAACTCCTGACCTCGTGATCTGCCACCTCAGCCTCCCAAAGTGCTGGGATTACAGGTGTGAGCCATTGTGCCCGGCCTATTCTACTAACTTTTGAGTGGTAGTGTTCCCTGGGGGAGTATGAAAAGGCTCATGAGATCAAACCTGGATGATAAAGTCAGAAGGCTATGGAGAAAAGACTAGATTTCCCTTGTAACAAATTTTCTCCAGGTATTGGTAGCAACAACTGTTAGGACATCATAATACTAGTATTGTTTATTAATAACCATTCTGAGATTTGTCTAAATCCCCTTGTTGTATTTTATAATGCTTCCCTATTCAAATCTGTTCACTAAATACGTACTAAGGAAAGGGAAGGCTTTCCCATTTATTGTGGTCCTCCTACCGGATAGAAAGTCTTGACTACCAATTGTCCAGGTTCTTGGCACATTGAACAAAGAATGGAACAAAATGCACAAACAAAGCAGCAAAAGAATGAAGCAATGAAAGCACAGATTTATTGAAGTGAAAGTACACTCCACAGAGTTGGAGACCACTGGAGCAAGAGCCCTGATTGTAATGTTCCTTGGGATTTTTATTGAATTAAAAGAGCATGGTAACACCCCTAAGTACCCTTTAGAGACCTCTGATTTGTATAGGTTATATCCTACACAAATGAAGACTTCTGCCCAGGACCAGTCAGAGGGAGGATTCTGCCCAGGACCAATCAGAGGCATCCTGCCTGTGATGCATATGCAAATGAAGGTTTCAGAATAGACCAATTACAGACATTCCTGTTCAGGATGTAGGGGAGGAGAGGTTCAGAAAGTGGGGGACATTTGGTCCCTCATTACTTTGTTGTGGAAAGGTGGGGTTTTCCTCTTAGTCCACTTCCAAGAAGGCAACCATGGGTTGGCCTTAGGCTTCCTGTCTCCAGACCCTATTCTCCCACCTCAGTCCTACAATGTCCCTGGAACTAGGCTAGACATCAACAGATATGATCTTACTGAATCTTCCCAGGAACTTACAAGATGGGTGTCGTTGTTCCTACTTTACAGATGAGGAAACAGAAGTTAGGAGAACAGCTAACTTGCCCAGCTCACCCAAGGAGGCACTGTGCTAAGTATGCAGCAAGGGAAACAGGTTACCTGTTTCCTGTAAAAATCACCCTGGGAATTTTTACAATCTAGTGAAAACACAGACACACAAATGACTAAATAGAGAACAAAGAAAATAAGTAGAAAGGTAAAGGGACAAATAAAATGCCCAGAGAGCCTACAGAAAGGGACATTTTATCCTGACTTGGTGAGGGACAGGTGTTTGTGCTGAATCCTAAAGGACAAGTAGGATTTTTTTTGTTTTGTTTTTTGAGACAGAGTTTTGTTCTGTCACCCAGGCTGGTGTGCAGTGGCGCCATCTCAGCTCACTGCAACCTTCGCCTCCTGAGACCAAGCGATTCAGGCACCCACCATCACGCCTTGCTAATTTTTGTATTTTTAGTAGAGATGGGGTTTCACCATGTTGGCCAGGCTGATCTTGAACTCCTGACCTCAGGTGATCCGCCTGTCTTGGCCTCCCAAAGTGCTGAAATTATAGGTGTGAGCCACTGCGCCTGGCCCAACAAGTAGGATTTTAACAGAATGAAAAGGGGTTCCCAGAATGTGGCTTGAGCAAAATCATAGAAGTGTGAAAGTGTATTTTGTGTGCGGAGTACAACAAATGTCATTGTGGTTAGAACACAGAGAAGGCAGAACAAAAAGGGGTAATACCGCCAGATCATGAATGGTCTTGAAGGCCATGTTGTGGAGTGTAGACTTGTTTCTGAATGCAGGAAATATATAAGCAGAAATGAGGACAAAAATATTATGTCAATGCCTGGTTTAGAGCAATGATTCTCAAGGATTCCTGATTCTGGAGAATCCTTGAGACCTTTTCAGAGGGTTTATGAGGTCAAAACTATTCTTACAGTAATGATGATAATAGTTATACTACCTTATTTGCCTTTAAAAATTGTGATAAAAATAACAAAATGTACCATCTTTGTACATTGAAAAATTTTAAATTTTATTTATTTATTTTTTTAGAGATGGGGTCTTGCTATGTTTACTAAGCTAGGGTACAGGCATGATCATAGTGCACTACAGCTCCAAACTTCTGGCCTCAAGTGATCTTCCTGCCTCAGCCTCCCGCGTAGCTGGGACTACAGACAGTATTTGTTGCCAATAATAAATCCAAGCTTTCACATAAAATTAGAAGTTTGGAAAAGTTGTATTTGCCATCATGAGGTTGACAGCTTTGTGATACTGAAGGTTTTTATTATATTAATAAGGTTGATTGTGATATTAATGAATAACACTTTTAAACATCTATAATGATATATGCACCACTGCATCCAGCCTACGTTTGTACATTTTTAAGTGTATAATTCAGTAGTGTCAAGTAGATTCACATTATTGCACAACAGATCTCTAGAACTTTTTTCATCTTCCAAAACTGAAAATCTATACCCATTAAACAACTCTTCATTTTCCCCCTCTGCAAGCCTCTGGCAGCCACAATCCTACTTTATCTTTCTGGGTATTTTACTACTTTGGACACCTTTTAAAAGGAGCCTTTCTGAACCTATTCTGGTTTGGGGCTTCCTTGCTACATTTGTGTTTTGTTTTGTTTTGTTTTGTTTTGAGACAGTCTTACATTGTTGCCCAGACTGGAGTGCAGTGATGTGATCTTGGCTCACTGCAACCTCTGCCTCCCAAGTTCAAGTGATTCTTCTGCCTCTGCCTCCCAAGTAGCTGAGATTACAGGTGCCTGCCACCACGACTGGCAAGTTTTTGTATTTTTAGTAGAGATGGGGTTTCACCATGTGGGTCAGGCTGGTCTCGAACTCCTGACTTCAAGCAATCCACCTGCCGCGGCTTCTTAAAGTGCTAGGATTACAGACTTTTTTTATTATGCTTGGATATACAGCATATACAGATATATAGTTTATTTGAGATTGATAAACTTTTTTAAAAAAATCTCATATAATTGGAATCATATAGAAGCTGTCTTTTTGTAGCTGGCTTATTTCACTTAGCATAATGTCCTCAAGATTCATCCATGTTGTAGCATGTGTCAGAATTTCCTTTTTAGGCCAGACACAGTGGCTCATGCCTGTAATCCCAGCACTTTGGGAGGCCGAGGCGGGTGGATAACCTGAGGCCAGGAGTTCGAGGCCAGCCTGGCCAACGTGGAGAAACCCTGTCTCTACTAAAAACACAAAAATTAGCAGGACATGGTGGCAGGTGCCTGTAATCTCAGCTACTTGGGAGGCTGAAGCAGGAGAATCACTGGAACCTGGGAAGCAGAGGTTGCTATCAGCCGAGATGGCACCACTGCACTCTATCCTGGGTGACAGAGCGAGACTCTGTTTAAAAAAAAAAAAAAAAAAGAAAAAAAATTCCTTCTTTTTAAAGTCTGAGTAATATTCCATTGCATATATATACACCACATTTTGTTTACCCATTTATCTGTGATGAACATTTGGATTGCTTCCACTTCTTGGCTATTGTAAATAATGCTGCTATGAACATGGGTATGCGTATATCTCTTTAAGATCCTGCTTTCAATTTCTTTGAGTATATACTCAGCAGTGGGATTGCTGGATCATACAGTATTTTCGTTTTTAATTTTTGGAGGAACCACCATACTGTTTTCCATAGCAGGTACACCATTTTCTATTCTGTTATTAGCCTTTTTAACTGGGCTGACATTTGCATTGATGCTGCAAATCAATGGCAGGTTTATCTGCTGGACCTTACTTAACACAGTGGTGCCAGGCTGACCTTGTACTCATTGCACTCTTTTTTTTTTTGAGATGGAGTCTCACTCTGTCGCCCAGGCTGCAGTGCAGTGGCACGTGATCTCGGCTCACTACAAGCTCCGCCTCCCAGGTTCACACCATTCTCCTGCCTCAGCCTCCCGAGTAGCTGGGACTACAGGCGCCCGCCACCATGCCTGGCTAATTTTTGTATTTTAGTAGAGACGAGGTTTCACCCTGTTAGCCAGGATGGTCTCGATCTCCTGACCTTGTGATCTGCCCGCCTTGGCCTACCAAAGTGCTGGGATTACAGGCATGAGCCACTGCGGCCGGCCCTCATTACACTCTTTACCGACACCTTTACTGACACAGTAAAACAAATGTTCTTGGTGAAGCAGTAAAAATTATTAATTTTAATTTTATCAAATCACAACCCTCAAGGCATGTCTTTTTTTTTTTTTTTTTTTTTTTGAGACTGAGTTTCACTCTGTCACCCAGGCTGGAGTGCAGTGGCTCAATCCTGGTTGACTGCAACCTCCGCCTCCCAGATTCAAGCAATTCTCCTGCCTCAGCCTCCTGAGTAGCTGGGACTACAGGCATGCACCACCACGCTCAACTAATTTTTGTATTTTCAGTAGAAACGGGGTTTCACCATGTTGGCCAGGCCTGTCTCAAACTCCTGACCTCAGGTGATTCACCTGCCTTGGCTTCCCAAAGTGCTGGGATTATAGGCGTGAGCCACCACGCCTGGCCAAGACATGTCTTCTTAATAAAGCACTTCTGCTGTACATCCAAGCATAATAACTACTTCAAGGAAAAGCACTTGTGGGATTGGATCTAGTTCTAGGAACAGAATAGCTCCTTTTTTTTTTCTTTTCTTTTCTTTTTTTTTTTTTTTTGAGACGGAGTTTCACTCTTGTCACCCAGGCTGGAGTGCAATGACGCGATCTCCGGTCACTGTAACCTCTGCCTCCTGGGTTCAGGAGAGTCTCCAGCCTCAGCCTCCCAAGTAGCTGGGATTACAGGCTCCCGCTACCATGCCCAGCTAATTTTTGTATTTTTAGTAGAGACAGGGTTTCACCATGTTGGCCAGGCTGGTCTCAAACTCCTAACCTCAGGTGATCCACTGGCCTTGGCCTCCCAAAGTTCTGGGATTACAAGCATGAGCCACCTTGCTGGGCCCTTTTTTTCATAAAATGCCATTTTTGCTTGGAAGAATGACTGACAGATAAACTATGGTTATACAGACGGGTATTTGGCATTTTTCTCAAAAGTGAGTGAAGTGAGACCATTAATTCATGGAAAACAACCGATAGTATTCACTGCCAATAATAAATCCAAGCTTTCACATAAAATGAGAATTTTGGAAAAGTTGTATTTGCCATCTTGAGCTTGACAACTTTGCAATACTGAAGGTTTTTATTATAAGATTGGTTGTGATATTATGAATGGGATTTTTTAATGTTTATAATGATATTAATGAATGAGATCTTTTATTTGAAAGATTGGCATAACTTCGTGAATCAATATTTTCCAAATGCATGGTGTTACAAAATTATTCATAGGTAGAACAGTCACTCGTTACAAGACAGACTGAGGGATTTTGATGTAACAGAATACCAAAAATTCATTGGTGTGGTTTCAGATTCCACATTGAAACTACCCTTTAAGAAACTACAATTTGTTGGCCAGGCACGGTGGCTCACTCCTCTAATCCCAGCACTTTAGGAGGCCGAGGCAGGTGGATCACTTGAGGTCAGGAGTTCAAGACCAGCCTGGCTGGCTGGGCACAATAGCTCATGCCTGTAATCCCAGCACTTTGGGAGGCTGAGGCGGGTGGATCACCTGAGGTCAGAGGTTCGAGACCAACCTGACCAACGTGGTGAAACCCTGTCTGTGCTAAAAATACAAAAACTTAGCCAGGCATGGTGGTGGATGACTGGAATCCCAGCTACACGGGAGGCTGAGATAGGAGAATCACTTGAACCTGGCAGGCGGATGTTGCAGTGAGCTGAGATCACACCATTGCACTCCAGCCTAGGCAACAAGAGTGAAACTCTGTCTCAAAAAATAAAATAAAATAAAAAGACTAGCCTGACCAACATGATGAAACCTGAAACCCTGTCTCTACTAAAAATATAAAAAATTAGCCAGGCATGGTGGCACGCACCTGTAATTCCAGTTACTCAGGAGGCTGAGGCAAAAGAATAGCTTGAATCCAGGAGGTGGAAGTTGCAGAGAGCCGAGATCATGCCACTGCACTCCAGCCTGGGTGACAGAGTGAGATCCTATTAAAAAAAACAGAAGGAAACTACAATTTGTTGATTATGGTATAATACCAAAGAAAAATATTCACAATTATTTTAAAAAAGACTTTTAAAATACTCTTCCCTTTTCCAATAACATATCTGCATGAGACCAGATTTTCTTCATATGCTTCAACCAAAACAGCATATCTCAGTAGACTGAAAGCAGAAGATATGAGAATCCAGCTCTTTTCTATTAAGCAAGACATGAAAGAACTTCACAAAACATGGCTGGGCACGGTGGCTCACGCCAGTAATCCCAGCGCTTTGGGAGGCCAAGGCAGGCAGATCACCTGAGGTCAGGAGTTTGAGACCAGCCTGGCCAACATGGCAAAACCTCATCTCTACTGAAAATACAAAAATTAGCTGGGCTTGGTAGTGGCTGCCTGTAATCCCAGCTACTCAGGAGGCTGAGGCAGGAGAATTGCTTGAACCTGAGGCAGGAGAATCAGCCACTGCACTCCGACCTGGTGACAGAGTCAGACTCCATCTCAAAAAAAAAAACAACAAAAAAAGTAAAACATGCCATTTTTTTCACTAATTGTTATTTTAGAAAATATAATTATTTTTCATGTAGTATGTTAGTTATATAAACATACAATGGGTTTATTGCTATAATTTTAACTGAAGTAATAAACATTTTTAAACTTTCTCAGTTTTAATTTCAAATATGGTAAATATGCATAAACAAAAGTGCTACAGTTTTTTGTTTTTTAATTTTTAATTTTTGTGGGTACATAGTAGGTGTATATATTTATGGGGTATATGGGAGATATTTTGATACAGACATACAATGTGTAATAATCACATCAAGGTAAATGAGGTATCCATTAATCTCAGCCTTTATCCTTTGTTTTACAAACAATACAATTATATGTATATGTAGATAGATAGATAGATTTTTTTTTTGAGACGGAGTTTTGCTCTTGTTGCCTGGGCTGGAGTGCAATGGCACAATCTCAACTCACTGCAACATCTGCCTCCCTGGTTCAAGTGATTCTCCTGCCTGAGCCTCCCGAGTAGCTGGGATTACAGGCATGCGCCAACACACCCCGCTAATTTTTTTTTTGTATTTTTAGTAGAGATGGGGTTTCTCCATGTTGGTCAGGCTGGTCTTGAACTCCCGACCTCAGGTGACCTGCCCGCCTCAGCCTCCCAAAGTGCTGGGGTTACAGGTGTGAGCCACTGCGCCTGGCCTACAGTTATATTCTTTAAGTTATTTTTAAATGTACAATTAAATTATTATTGACTAGTCGCTCTATTGTGCTATTGAATACTGGATCTTATTCATTCTTTCTATTTCTTTGTACTCATTAGTCATCTCCCTCCCCATCCTCACCCCACGATTACCCTTTCCAGCCTCTAGTAAGCATCATTCTATTCTCTATCTCCATGTGTCCAGTTGTTTATTTATTTATACGTTTATTTTGAGACAGAGTCTTGCTCTGTCGCCCAGGCTGGAGTACACTGGCGGGATCTCTGCTCACTGCAACCTCCACCTCTGGGGTTCAAGTGATTCTCTTTCCAGGAGGCAGAGGTTGCAGTGAGCCGAGACCAGGCCATTGCACTCCAGCCTGGACGACAGAGCAAGACTCCATCTCAAAAAAAAAAGCAAAAGAAAAGAAATGCTACTGATTTTTTGTATGTTGATTTTGTATCCTGAAACTTTACTGAATTTGTTTATCAGTTCTAACAGTTTTTTTGGTGTAGTGTTTGGGATCTTCCAAATATCAGATCATAACATCTGCAAACAAGGATAATTTAACTTCTTCCTTTCCAATTTGTATGTCCTTTATTTCTTATTTCTTTCTCTTGTTTGATTGTAAAGCTCTACAGTTTTTTTTGTTTGCTTGATTGTTTGTTTGTTTGTTTGTTTTTTAGGTGGAGTTTCACTCTTTTGCCCAGGCTGGAGTGAAGTGGTACAATCTCTGCTCACTGCAACCTCTGCCCCCTGGGTTCAAGTGATTCTCCTGCCTCAGCCTCCCAAATTGCTGGGATTACAGGCACCTGCCACCACGCCCGGCTATTTTTTGTATTTTTAGTGCAGACGGGTTTCACCGTGTTGGCCAGGCTGGTCTCAAACTCCTGACCTCAGGTGATCCACTCACCTTGGCTTCCCAAAGTGCTGGGATTACAGGCAAGAGCCACCGTGCCCAGCCAGCTCCAAAGTTTTTAAGAGTGCTAAGGAGTCCTGATACAAAACAGCTTGAAAACCAGTGATTTAGAGACCAGGTGCCACATACTGAGAACCGTTTGGTTTTTTGAAAAAAATAATTATAAAGGTGGTGTACAGAAAGGCTGAAAGGTAAAAAAACAAACAAACAAACAAACAAAACTGGAGGCAGGGAGACCAGTGAGGAAGCCATTGAAATAATTCTAACGAACATTCTACAATTTCAATGTAAAGTAGAGGCAAAAGGTTTCAACTTGGTAGAAACTTTAAGAATACTCAAAACTACAAGAAGAACCATTTTTCACCTAATTGATGATTGGCAATACTCAAGAAGTCTGGTAATAAATTTTGTCAGTGAAGGTGCAGAGAAACAGTCACTTTCATGCATAGCTGGTATAGTTATATACCTTTACAAAACATTAGTATCTATAGTAGTTAAAATGTACATGTATGTTGAATCAGAAATTCCATTTTTAGAAATTTATAATACAAATTGTTCAGAATTACATTATATATATATATATATATATATATATATATATATATATATATATATGAATGTCGGTTGCAAAAAATGGAGGCATTCTAAAGGTCCATAGAGGATGTTTAAATAAATAATGATAATGCATAAGTGATATAATAGGAAGCCCCTGAAAAGAATGAATCAGTTTTATGGGTACTAATATAGAATTATCTTCAAAAGATATTGTTACTGGGGCCAGGCATGTGGCTTATGATTGTAATCCCAGTACTTTGTGAAGCTAAGGTAGGAGGATAGCTAGGGTCCTGCAGTTTCAGACTAGCCTGGGTAACATAGTGAGACCCAGATTCTTAAAAAAAAAAAAAAAAAAAAAAAGCCGGGTGTGGTGGTGCATGCCTGTGGTCCTAGCTACTTGGAAGGCTGAGGTGGAAGGATTGCTTGAGCCTGGGAGGTCGAGGCTTCAGTGTGCTGTGATCGCACCACTGCATTCTAGCTTGGGCAACAGAACAAGACCTTGTCTCCAAAAATATACATATATATTGTTGGTGAAAAAAACAAGGTTGAAAACAATATGCATTATATGTTATCATCTATGAAAAATTGTGTGTGTGGGCCGGGCGTGGTGGCTGACGCCTGTAATCCCAGCACTTTGGGAGCCCGAAGCGGGCGGATCACGAGGTCAGGAGATCAAGACCATCCTGGCTAACACGGTGAAACACCGTCTCTACTAAAAATACAACAACAACAACAACAAATTAGCTAGGCGTGGTGGCGGGCGCCTGTAGTCCCAGCTATTCGGGAGGCTGACAAAGGAGGATGGCGTGAACTTGGGAGGCGGAGCTTGCGGTGAGTCGAGATCGCGCCACTACACTCCAGCCTGGGCGACAGAGCGAGACTCCGTCTTAAAAAAAAAAAAAAAAAAAAAAAAAGGGAAAATTGTGTGTGAGTGTGTGTGTGTGTGTGTGTGTGTGTGTGTGTGTGTGTGTTAGATGTGTAGCTTCTGGTAAGATACACAAGCAACTCTTAACAGTGGCTGCCTGTGGAGAGGAGAACTAGATTCCTGGGAGACAGTAATGGGAGACTTACCTTTCACTGTATAACCTTTTGTATCCTTAAAAATTTCACATCACGTGTATGTATTATTATTGAATGTTTTAACTTAAATAATTAAGACACAAATAGTTCCAATGACCATTGATGAGGCTCTTAGCCATGGCAGATGCAGTGAAAGAACTGCTGGAAACAGGTATGAAAGACATTGCAAGGCAGAATTACTTGGTCTTGATAATGAATTTGATTTTGAAGGTGTGGGTGGTGACAGGGTTCAAAGAAAAGAAAAAGAGAACTTAATCATGATTTAATTTTCCAGATAGAGTGGCTTAAGATGCCATAACCATGAAAGAAAAACAAAGACAGAAGCAGGTTTATTTGTGGTGCTGGGAGGGGGAAAAGAGATTATGAGTTTCAGACCCAAATTCTCCTACCATTTATGGAGGCTGCATCTATAATTTAGGAAATGCTGCTAAACATATTTTCACAAACATAGTCTCTTTTCATTTACTTATTTTTGAGACAGGGTCTCGCTCTGTTGCCCAGAGTGGAGTGCAGTGGGATAATCACAGCTCACTGCAGCCTCTACCTCCTGGGCTCAGGTGATCCTCCTGCTTCAGCCTCCCAAGTAGCTGGGACTGCAGGCAAGTGCCACCAAATCCAGCTAATTTTTTTTTTTTTTTTAGAGACAGGGTCTTGTCATGTTGCCCAGGCTGGTCTCCAACTTCTGGGTTCAAGCAATCCTCCTGCTATGTGCATATATTTGTATTATAATCCCAAAGTGCTGGGATTACAGGTGTGAGCCACCGTAAGCAGCCTGTCTCTTTAATTCATACAAAAAGAAATAAACGAACGAACAAACAAGCAAACAAAACAGTCTTATGAGGTAGGAATTACTATCCCCATTTTACAGATGACAAAATAGCCTCATAGATGTTAAGAAACTTGTACAAGGTTGATAAGCTATGTAAGTGGCAGAGGCTGGACTTTAATGGAAGCTGATCTTTTTGTTGCTGTTGTTTTTCATCAAGACGGAGTCTCTCTCTGTTACCCAGGCTGGAGTGCAGTGCTGCAATTTCAGCTCACTGCAACATCTGCCTCCTGGGTTCAAGCAATTCTCCTGCCTCAGCCTCCCGAGTAGCTGGGATTACATGCATGCACCATGACGCCTGTCTAATTTTTGAATTTAGTAGAGATGGGGTTTCATCATGTTGGCCAGGCTGGTCTCGAACTCCTAACCTCAAGTGATCCACCTGCCTTGGCCTCCAAACTGATTTTAGACTGGCAGAAGTGGAGGCTGTGGAAACAGGATTTGGAGTGGAACAGACTTGGGTTCAATTCCCAACTCTGTTCATTTCCAGCTTTATGACCTTAGCAAGTTACTTCGCCTTTCTAAATCTCAATTTCATCCTCAGTATTTAGTAATAAGGTTTGAATTAAATCATGTATCTAAAGCTTGGGCAGATACACGATTGCTTAGTAAACAGCCGCTAAATGGTTGTATTGATTGGACATGGGACATGTCAGATCAGTAAATTTACATTAAGAACTTTGGATCTGGGCCGGGCACAGTGGCTCACACCTGTAATCCCAAAAATTTGAGAGGCTGACTCGTGGATCACTTGGGGGTGGGAGTTCAAGACCAGCCTGGCCAACGTGGCAAAACCTTGCCTCTACTAAAAATACAAAAAAATTAGCGGGCATAGTGACGCATGCCTGTAATCCCAGCTATTTGGGAGACTAAGGCATGAGAATCGCTGAACCTGGGAGGCAGAGGTTGCAGTGAACAGAGATCGCACCACTGCATTCCAGTCTGGGCAACAGAAGGAGACTCTGTCTCAAAAATAAATAAAAAAAAACAAAACAAAACAAAACAAAAACTTCAGATCTGTAATTAATGAGAGAGGAATATAGACTTTTTTTTTTTTTAAATGGAGTCTTGCTCTGTCGCCAGGCTGGAGTGCAGTGGCATGATCTCGGCTCACTGCAACCTCTGCCTCCCGGGTTCAAGCGATTCTCCTACCTCAGCCTCCCAGCCTCCCGAGTAGCTGGGACTACAGGCATGTGCCACCATGCCCAGCTAATTTTTGTATTTTTAGTAGAGACGGGGTTTCAACATGTTGACCAGGATGGTCTTGATCTCTTGACCTCCTGATCTGCCCGCCTCGGCCTCCCAAAGTGCTGTGATTACAGGTGTGGGCCATCGCGCCTGGCCATGGTATATAGACTTAACTCACATAATGACCATTCAGCTTATGACTTTTTGCCATAATGGCTCTTGAAAAATTATTTCACCTTTCAGTCAGTAATTGATTTTTCCCCTAGTGTTATTACTTTTTCACTTAAAAATGCACTAAATATATGCTATAAGAAGTAATATTTCTTTTTCTTTTTTCTTTTTTTTGTAGCGTCAGGGGTCTTGGTTTGTTGCCCAGACTGGCTTCAAGGAATCCTCCCATGTCTACCTCCCAAAATGCTGAGATTATTGGCATCAGCCTCTGTGCCCAGCCAGAAGTGATATTTCAGTACAGGCAAAGATACATTCACTACTTGGTGCTGCAGATTTTAGTCAGAGAATATCATATGAACAAGTTTAAATTGTGCTTTATGTTTGGATAAACACAAAATGTTTTGTTTTGCTTATATATGCCAAGTGAGAGAAATGAGGAGATACTATCTTCTATGACTCTTCAGTCAATTTTACATGCATGTCATTTCCATTTCTTAAGACACTTTTGTATTTAGACTTTATTTTGCTCTTGAGGAGTTTTTCTGTGTAATAAATTTATTTTTAAGTGCAGTTTAAGGGCAAGACAACCATGAGCCCTTAAAAGATTTAAAAATTAGTGAAAATGGGCCAGGCGTGGTGGCTCACGCCTGTAATCCCAGCACATTGGGAGGCCGAGGCAGGCGGATCACAAGGTCAGGAGATCGAGACCATCCTGGCTAACACGGTGAAACTCCATCTCTACTAAAAAATACAAAAAATTAGCCGGGCGTGTTGGCGGGCGCCTGTAGTCCCAGCTACTCGGGAGACTGAGGCAGGAGAATGGCCTGAAACCAGGAGGCAGAGCTTGCAGTGAGCCAAGATTGCACCACTGCACTCCAGCCTGGGTGACAGAGCGAGACTCCGAATCAAAAAAAAAAAAAAAAAAAAAAGTTAGTGAAAATGGACCCCCCCAAAAAAGGATGTACCTTCCACAGAATAACTCCCTTCACATTTCTTCACCCGCTACTTTCCATAATCAAGTCTTCCTATGGTCAGTTTAATAGAGCTAATTGAATTACATGTTATGCACAGATGATACTAACCTTCAAATAGCTGCTTATTTGAAGGTTAACATGATATCTTATATGGCACACTGTATATTATATAAATTTATCTTCAGTGCTCAACAAATATATTTCTTTTCTCTCTCTTTCTTTTTTAGAGACAGAGTCTTGCTCTGTCACCCAGGCTGGAGGGTAGTGGTGCCATCAGAGCTCACTGCAGCCTTGAACTCCTGGGTTCAAGTGATCCTCTCACTTCAGCCTCCCAAGTAGCTAGCACCTTAGGTGTGTGCCACCATATCTGGCTAATTTTTATTTTTTTTCTAGAGACAGGGTCCTGCTATATTGCCCAGACTGGTCTCCAACTCCTGGGCTCAAGCGATCCTCTAACTTCTACCTCCCAAAGTGCTGGGATTACAGGCATGAGCCACTGTCCTGGCACAATAAATGTATTTCTTTCTCTTTAAAAATTGATTATGTATTTTGGTTTGGGACATTGAGGTAGGCAGAATTCTAAGATGGCCCCCAAGATTTCCATTTTTTGGTGTACACATCCTGTAAAGTCTCCTCCCCATAAATATGGGTGGGACCTGTGATTATTATGGGATATCTTTTTGTGATTAGTTTATCTCTTATGGAAAAAGTGGGGAGATTTTGGAGGTATAATAAGGCCCCTAACCAGTTGGCTTAACTTATTCAAAAGGAAGATTATCCTGGGTAGGCGTGACCTAATCAGCTGACTCTTTAAAAGAGGAGTCTAGAGGTCAGAGTCAGACAGAAGTCAGAAAAATTTGAAGTGCCAGAGATGCTCACTCTTGGCCTTGAGGAAACAAACTGCCACTCTCTAGGGAGGCTGAGGCAGGAGAATTGCTTGACCCAAGGGGGCAGAGGTTGTAGTGAGCCGAGATTGTACTGCTGCACTCCAGCCTGGGCAAAAGAGAGACACCATCTCAAAAATAAAATAAAATAAAACAAACTGCCACCCTGTAGAGAGGGCCACGTGGCAAGGAATGATGTGTGGCTGCTAAGTGCTGAGGTGCTCAGTCCTACAACTGCAACAAATTAAATTCTATCAATAACCAGTGAACTTGGAAGAGGACCCCAAACCTAAGATGAGATCACAGGCCTGGCTGATATCTTGATTTCAGGTAATTTGTTATGCATGCATAGAAAAATGATACATGTGGCCAGGCACAGTGGCTCACGCCTGTAATCCTAGCACTTTGGGAGACCGAGGTGGGCAGATCACTTGTGGTCAGGAGTTCAAGACCAGCCTGGCCAACATGGTGAAACCCCATCAATACTAAAAATACAAAAATTAGCTGGACATCGTGTCACACACCCGTAATCCCAGGTACTCAGGAGACTGAGGCAGGAGAATCACTTGAACCCAGGAGGCGGAGATTGCAGTGAGCCGAGATGGCGCCACTGCACTCCAGCCTGGGTGACAGAGACTCTGTCTCAAAAAAAAAGAAAAAAAATATATATATATATGTGTGTGTGTGTGTGAGTGTGTGTGTGTGTGTGTGTGTATAAATTATCTATTGCCACGATAATGCTGTATAACAAACCATCCCAAAACCCAATGACTTAAAGGATCCACCATTTGTTATTTGTCATGACTTCATGGGTTACCTGGGTAATTCTGTTGATCTGAGCTGGGCTAAGCTAATCTCACCTGGACTTTGTAATGAATCTGCAAGCAGCTACAGGGTTGACTGGCAGCTGGCTGGTCTAGGATGGCCTCAGCTGGGTTGACTTGGCTCCATTCCACATGATCTCTCATCTTCCAGCAGGCTAGTCTGTGTTTGTTCTCATGATAGTGGCAAGGTTTAAAAAGAGGAAGAAAAAACGGGTAATTTTTCAAAACTGCTTGCATCAAGTTTGCTACTGTCCCATTGGCTGAACCAAGTCACAAGAGAAGAGAAATGAAAATGTATTCCTACAAAGACTTCTGCAAAAATGTTCATAGTCACTTTATTCATAATAGCCAACAACTGGAAACAACCTAAATATCCATCAGTTCGATAAAGAATAAACAAATTGTGGGAGAGTCGCAAAATAGTATATTATTCAGCAATCAAAAAATGAATTACTAATCCAAGCAACAATGTGGATGAATATCAAACACATTTTGCTGAGCCAAAGGAGTCAGACAGAAAATAGTACATCCTGAATGATTCTTTTTGTCTGAAGTTGAAGAATGGGTAAAACTCATCTATGGTGATAGAAATCAGGATGATGGTTGTCAATAGGGGATGGAGATCGAGTGGAACAGGATATGAGGGTGCTCTCTTGGTTCATGGAAATATCTTTTATCTTAATTGAGTTGGTGGTGACACTGGTGTATTGATTTATCAAAAATCTTTAAATTGTACTCTTTAGATCTATGCATTCCACTGTATCTAAATTATACTTAAAAAAAAAAACTCTAATACAGTACAAAGAACAAAGAACATTGGTGTTAAAACACTCATGTTAAAAGCCTTAGATTTTGATATTTCTAGTTACTAGCTGTGTAAAGTCATGTACACAGGCCTTAAATTTTTCATCTATAAAATGGGAAAGTTATTTACCTCACTGGGTCTTTTTTTTACTGTGACAAAATATATTTAACAAAATTTAGGCCAGGTGCGGTGGCTCACACCTGTAATCCCAGCACTTTGGGAGGCCAAGGTGGGTGGATTGCCTGAGCTCAGGAGTTCGAGACCAGCCTGGGCAATAGGGTGAAACCCCGTATCTACTAAAATACAAGAAATTAGCCAGGTGTGGCGGCATGTGCCTGTAATCTCAGCTACTCGTGAGGATGAGACAGGAGAATCGCTTGAACCTGGGAAGTGGAGATTGCAGTAAGCTGAGATCGCACCATTGCACTCCGGCCTGGGCGACAGAGTGAGACTCTGTCTCAAAAAAAAAAAAAAAAAAAAAAAAAAAAAAACATAAAATTTTCCCTTATAACCATATTTAAGTATACGGTTCTGTAGCATTAAGTACATTTACATTGTTGTGCAACCATCATCACCATCCATTTCCAGAACTTTTTACTCTTTCCAACTGAAACTTTGTACCCATTAAATATTAAATCTTCATCCCTAGCCCCTGGCAACCACCATTCTACTTCCTGTCTCTATGAAATTAACTAAACTAGGAACCTCATATAAATGGAATTCTAAAATATTTGTCATTTTGTGACTGGTTTATTTCACTTAACTTACTATCTTCAAGGTTCATTCATGTTGTAATGTGTTAAAATTTCCTTTTCTTTTTCTTTTTCTTTTTTTTTTTTAGACAGAGTTTCACTCTTGTTGCCCAGGCTGGAGTGCAATGGCATGATCTCGGCTCACTGCAACCTCTGCCTCCTGGGTCCCAGTTGAAGCAATTCTCCTGCTTCAGCCTCCCGAGTAGCTGGGATTACAGGCACATGACACCATGCCCAGCTAATTTTTTTATTTTTAGTAGAGACGGGGTTTCACCATTTTGGCCAGGCTGGTCTCGAACTCCTGACCTCGTGATCCACCCGCCTCTGCCTCCCAAAGTGCTGGGATTACAGGCATGACCCACTGCGCCCAACCCAAAATTTCCTTTTTATTTTTAAGGCTGAATATTCCGCTGTATGTATATATCACATTTTGTCTATTCATCCACTGGTAGACACTTGGATTGCTTTCACCTTTTGGCTATTGTGAATAATGCTTCTGTGGACATGGGTGTACACATATCTGTTCAGGTCCCTGCTTTCATTTCTTTTGGATGTATACCCAGAAGTGGATATACTGCATTATACAGTAATTCTGTGTATAATTTTTTTATGACTGTCCATACCATTTTCCGTAGTGGCTGTACCATTTTACATTCCCACCAACAATGCTCGAGGATTCCAATTTCTTCACATCCTTGCTAACACTTATTTTCTCTCTCTCTCTCTCTGTGTGTTTGTGTGTGTGATAATTGCCATCTTAATGGCTGTAAAGTGGTATCTCATAGTGGTTTGATTTACATTTCCCTACTAATTAGGAGGAAAAAAGATGATGAGCATCTTTTCCTATGTTTATTCGCTAATTGTATATCTTGGGATAAATGTCTGTTTAAGTCATTTGCTTTTTTTTTTTTTTTTTTTTTGATACAGAGTCTCCCTCTGGTTGCCCAGGCTGGAGTGCAGTGGTGTGATCTTGACTCAATGCAACCTCCACCTCCCGGGTTCAAGCGATTCTCCTGTCTCAGGCTCCCGAGTAGCTGGAATTACAGGCGTGTGCCACCATGCCTGGCTAATATTTGTATTTTTAGTGGAGATGGGGTTTCATCATGTTGACCAGGCTGGTCTTGAACTCCTGACCTCAGGTGATCCTCCCACCTTGGCCTTTCAAAGTGCTGGGATTACAGGCATGAGCCACCTCACCAGACCCATTTGCTCATTTTTAATTTTTAAATTTTTTACTTTTTTGAGGCAGAGTCTCTGTTACCAAGGCTGGAGTGCTGTGGCTCGATCTCTGCTCACTACAACCTCTGCCTCCTGGGTTCCAGCAATTCTCCTGCCTCAGCCTCCCGAGTAGAGTAGCTGGGACTACAAGCACGTGCCACGATGCCCGGCTAATTTTTGTATTTTTAGTAGAGATGAAGTTTCACCATATTTGCCAGGCTGGTCTTGAACTCCTGACCTCAAGTGATCCACCTGCCTTGGCATCCCAAAATGTTGGGATTATAGATGTGAGCCACTGTGCTGGGCCTCATTTGCTCATTTTTTTTTTTTTTTTTTTTTTTTTTTTTTTTTTTTGAGATGGAGTCTCACTCTGTTACCCAGGCTGGAGTGCAGTGGCATGATCTCAGCTCACTGCAACCTCCACCCCCCGAGTTCAAGCTATTCTCCTGCCTCAGCCTCCCAAGTAATTGGGATTACAGGCACCTGCCACTAGGGTCGGCTAATTTTTTCATATTTTTAGTAGAGACGGGGTTTCACCATCTTGGCCAGGCTGGTCTTGAACTCCTGACCTCATGATCCACCCGTCTTGGCCTCCCAAAGCTCTGGGATTACAGGCGTGAGCCACCGTGCCCGGCCCCATTTGCTCATTTTTTAATTGTTCATTTTTTGTAGTTGAACAACAACAAAGAAAGTTGTTACTATATTTTAATATATTCTTTATATATTTTGGATAGTAATTATTTACCAAAATATACAATTTACAAATATTTTCTCCTATCCTGTGGGCTGCCTTTTTTTTTTTCTGTTAATAACATTCTTTGATGCACAAAAGTTGTAATTAATTAATTACGTTTTTCAGAGACAGGGCCTTGCTCTGTCGCCCAGGCTGGAGCGCAGTGATGCAATCTCTGCTCACCACAATCTCTGACTCCTGAGCTCAAGCAATCCTCCTACCTCAGCCTCCCCAGTAGCTGGGACTACAGGCACATGTCATCACACCCAGCTAATTTTCGTATTTTTTGTAGAGATGAGGTTCCACCATGTTGCAAAGGCTGGTCTCAAACTCCTGAGCTCAAGTGAAATACCTTCCTTGACCTCCCGAAGTGCTGGGATTATAGTGTGAACCACCATGCCTGCCTATTTAATTTTTTTTTTTTTTTTTTTTTTTTTTTTGTAGAGATGGGTTGGGGGTCCGTCTCACTATGTTGCCCAGGCTGGTCTTAAACTCATGGCCTCAAGTGATCCTCCCACCTTGGCTTCTGAAAGTGCTGGGGTTACAGGCATCAGGCCACCATGCCTGGTCAAAAGACTTAATTATGATGAAGTTCAACTTAACTATTTTTGATTTTGTTGTCTGTGCTTTGGTGTCATATCTACGAAATCATTGGCAAACCAATGTTGTGAAGCTGTTGCCCTTATTTTTTCTTTTAAGAGTTTTATCGTGGCCGGGTGCGGTGGCTCAAGCCTGTAATCCAAGCACTTTGGGAGACCGAGGCGGGCGGATCACAAGGTCAGATCAAGACCATCCTGGCTAACACGGTGAAACCCCGTCTCTACTAAAAATACAAAAAAAATTAGCCGGGCGTGGTGGTGGGCGCCTGTAGTCCCAGCTACTCGGGAGGCTGAGGCGGGAGAATGGCGTGAACCCGGGAGGCGGAGCTTGCAGTGAGCAGAGATTGCGCCACTGCACTCCAGCCTGGGCGACAGAGCGAGACTCTGTTTCAAAAAAAAAAAAGAAAAGAAAGTATATATATATATAAAGAGTTTTATCGTTTTAGCTCTTATGTTTAGGTCTTTCATTCATTTTGAGTTAATGTTTCTGTATAGTGTAAGATAAGGATCCAGCTTCATTCTTTTTTTTTTTTTTTTTTTTTTTTTTTTGAGACGGAGTCTCGCTCTGTCGCCCAGGCTGGAGTACAGGGGCGCCATCTGGGCTCACTGCAACCTCTGCCTCCTGGGTTCAAGCAATTCTCCTGCCTAGCTGGGACTACGGGCGCGCGCCACCACACCCAGCTAATTTTTGTATTTTTAGTAGATACGGGGTTTCACCATGTTGACCAGGATGGTCTCCATCTCTTGACCTCGTGATCCGCACGCCTCAGCCTCCCAAAGTGCCTCCGAAGTGCTGGAATTACAGGTGTGAGCCACTGTGCCCAGCCCAGCTTCATTCTTTTGCCCTGCGGATATCCAGATTTTCCAACAGCATTTGTTGAAAAGACTGTCCTTTCCCATATTGAATGATCTTGACGCTCTTGTTGAAAATCATTTAACCATATACGTAAGGGTTTATGCCTGACCTCTCTATTCCATTTCGTTGGTCTGCCTGTCTGTCTTTATGCCAATACCACACTCTTTTGATTACAATGGCTTGTAACAAGTTTTGAAATCAGAAAGTATGAAAACTCCAATTCTGCAGTTTTGTTCTTCTTTTGAAGATCGTTTTGGCTATTCAGGGTCTCTTGAAATTCCATATGAATTTCAGGATAATTTTTTTATTTCTATAAAACAGTCATTGGGGTTTTGATAGGGAGTGCACTGAATTTGTATATGACTTTGGGTAGTATTGTCATCTTAACAAAATTAAATCTTTCAATCCATGAGTACAGGATGTTGTTTGTGTTTTCTTTAATTTCTTTCAGCAACCTTTTGTAATTTTCAATGTGCAAGTCTCCTGCCTCCTTGGTTAAGTTTATATTTAAGTATTTTATTATTTTTGATGCTACTTTATTTTATTTTTATTTATTTATTTATTTATTTATTTATTTATTTATTTATTTATTTGAGACAGAGTCTGTCTCTGTCACCCAGGCTGGAGTGCAGTGGCGCAATCTTGGCTCACTGCAACCTCTGCCTCCCGGGTTCAAGCTATTCTCCTGCCTCAGCCTCCTGAATAGCTGGGTCTACAGGCACCTGCCACCACATCCGGCTAATTTTTGCATTTTTAGTAGAGATGGGGTTTCACCACATTGGCCAGGTGGGCAGATCAGAAGGTCAGGAGTTTGATACTATTTTAAGTGAAATTGTTTTCTTAATTTATTTTTTGGATTATTCATTTTTAGTGTATAGTAACAAAACTGATCTTTATGTGTTGATTTTGTATCCTTCAACTTTGCTGAATTCACTTATGAGTTTTAACTTTTTTTTGTGGAATCTTTAGGGTTCTGTATATCTGAGATCATGTCATCTGCAAACAAAGCTAATTTTACTTCTTTGTTTTCAATTTGGAAGTCTTTTATTTATTTTTCTTGCTCAATTGCTCTAGCTAGGACTTCCATTGCTACATGTAAGTGGTAAAAGCAGGCATCTTTGTTTTGTTCCTGATTTTAGACGAAAAGATTTTAGTCCTTCACCAGTGAGTATTATGTTGGCTGTGGGTTTTCATATATGCTCTTTATTGTATTGAGGTAATTTCCTTCTATTCCTGGCTTGTTGAGTGTTTTTATCACAAAAAAGTGTTAAATTTTATAAAATGGGCCAGGCTCATTGGCTCATGCTTGTAATCCCAGCACTTCGGGAGGCCAAGGTGAGTGGATCACTTAAGCTCAAGAGTTTAAGACCAGCCTGGGCAACATGGTGAAACCCCACCTCTACAAAAAATACAAAAATTAGCCAGCATGGTGGCACATGCCTGTAATCCCAGCCTCTTGGGAGGCTGATGTGGGAGATTGTTTTAGCCTGGGAGGCAGAGGTTGCAGTAAGGCAAGATCATGTCACTGCACTGCACTCCAGCCTGGGTGACAGAGTGAGACCCTGTCTCAAAAAAAAAAAATTATAAAATGATTCTTGATTTTCTTTTTTTTGTGTGTCGTTGAAATAATTATGCTTTTTTTTCCTCCTTCATTCTGTTGATGTGGTATACTACATTGATTGATTTTCTTTTCTTTTTTTTTTTGTTTTGTTCTGTTTTGTTTTGTTTCTTTGAAACAGGGTCTCGCTCTGTCTCCCAGGCTGGAGTGCAGTGGCACAGTCATGGCTCACTGCAGCCTCATACTTCTGGGCTCAAGCAATCCTTCCACCTCAGCCTCCCAAAGTGTTGGTATTACAGGCATGAGCCACTATACCTGGCCTGATTTATTTTCATATGTTGAGCTATTCTTGCATTCCAGGAATAAATCCCACTTGCTCATTATAATGCCTTATTTTAGGTATCAACTTTTGGCAAAAAAGGCATTGTGGCATGCACCTGTGATTCTAGCTAATTGGGAGGCTGAGGCAGGAGGATTGCTTGAGTTCAAGAGTTTAAGGCTATAGTATGCTATGATTGTGACTATGAATAACTACTGGACTCTAGTCTGTGGAACATAGGGAGACCCTGTCTCAAAAAGAAAGAAAGAAAAAGGAAGGAAGGAAGGAAGGAAGGAAAAAGAAGAAAAAAGGAAAAGAAAGAAAGAGAAGAAAGAGAAAGAAAGAAAAGCAAGCAAGCAAGCAAGCGAGCTGGTAAAAGATTATTTCTAGGTGTGTCTGTAAGGGTGTTTCCAAATGAGATTGTCATGTAAGTCAGTGGACTGAGTGGGAAAGAAGCAATCTCAATGTAGACAGGTACCATCTAATCAGATGGGGATCTAGATACAACAAAAAAGAAGAGAAATATACTGTATTTTTTTATTTTTATTTTTTAATTTATTTTATTTTATTTTATTTTTTTTTTTGAGACGGAGTCTCTCTCTGTCGCCCAGACTGAAGTGCAGTGGCGCGATCTCGGCTCACTGCAAGCTCCGCCTCTCGGGTTCACGCCATTCTCCCGCCTCAGCCTCCCGAGTAGCTGGGACTATAGGCGCCCGCCACCACGCCCGTCTAATTTTTTTGTATTTTTAGTAGAGACGGGGTTTCACCGTGTTAGCCAGGATGGTCTCGATCTCCTGACCTCGTGATCCGCCCGCCTCGGCCTCCCAAAGTGCTGGGATTACAGGAGTGAGTCACCGCGCCCGGCCGAGAAATATACTTTCTGGAGCTGGGACACTCTCCTTCTCCTGCCCTTGGATATCAGAACTCCAGGCTGTCCAGCCTTGGGATTCCAGAACTTACACTAATGGCCCCCTGCGTTCTCAGGTCTTTGGCCTTGGATAAGAATAATACCACTGGCTTCCCTGATTTTGGGGCTTTAGAACTTGGACTGAACCACACTCTGGCATCCCAGGGTCTCCAGCTTGCAGACAGCCTGTTGTGGACTTCTAAGCTTTCATAATCACATGAATCAATTCTTCTAATAAATCCATTTTCTCTCTTCCTCATATATATCTGGAGAACTCTGACTAATATAGTCATGATGTATAATCCTTTTAATATGCTGCTGAATTTGGCTTGCCATTATTTTGTTGAGATGTTGGCATCAATATTCATAAGGGATATATAGCTGTGGTTTTCTTGTACCTCTGTCTAGTTTTGGTATCAGAGTAACACTGGCTTATAGAATGAGTTAGGAAGTATACCCTTCTCTCCAATTTTTTAGAAGAGTTTGAGCAGGACTGGTGTTAATTCTTCTGTAAACACTTGATGGAATTAATCTAAAGCAAGTAAGTAGTGATAAACAGAAAAAAAAAATGTTTGGTGGAATTCACCAGGGAAGGCATCTAACTGGTCCTGGGATTTCCTTTGTTGGGAGGTTTTTTATTATCGATTCTTTTTTTTTTTTTAACTAGTTATATGGCTGTTCAGATTTTCTATTTCTTCATGATTCATTCTTGGTAGGTTGTATATTTCTGGGAATTTGTCCATTTCCTCTAGGTTATGCAAGTTTTTGGCATATAATTGTTCATAATTCTCTCATAATTCTTTTTACTTTTGCAAAATTGCTAGTAGTGCCCTGCTTTTATTATTGATTTTAGTTATTTGAGTCTTGTCCTTTTTTTTCTTAGTCAATTTAGCTAAAGGTTTGTCACTTTCATTGATGTTTTTGAAGAAGTAACTCTTGGTTTTTTGATTCTCTCATTAGGTTAGTGTGAAGATTAAATAAGATAATGAGCTACAATTCCTAACAAAGAATGCAAATGGTCATGGTCATAGTTTAAAGAGTTGTTCCTATTAAAATAGTTTTTTAAACTTTATTTTAAAAATTATTTATTTATTTACCAGGTTCATAGCTTCAACTAAAATAATTTAAAGAAATGAACAGAACAGTAAGATACTATTATTCTATCAAATTGTCATAGTTAGAAAAAGCCCCAGTTAGAAATTACCCTCTAAGGACTGGGCGCAGTGGCTCATGCCTGTAATCCCAGCATGTTTTGAGGCCAAGGTGGGCAGATTACCTAGGTCAGGAGTTCAAGACCAGCCTGGCCAACATGGTGAAACCCCATCTCTACTTAAAATACAAAAATTAGCCAGGAGTGGTGGCACGTGCCTGTAATCCCAGCTACTGGGGAGGCTGAGGCAGGAGAATCGCTTGAGCCCAGGAGGCAGAGGTTGCAACGAGCTGAGATAGCACCATTGCACTCCAGCCTGGGCGACAGAGCGAGACTCCAAAAGAAGTCACCCTCTTGTGGGTGCATATAGTTACTGGAAGGCGGCTTCTGGGATGTTGCTAATATTTTATTTATTAACCTGGGAACGGGTTTCGTGTTTTAAAAATTAATTGACCAATGGGGAGTTATTGTTTACTGGGTAGAGAAGTTCTGTTTTGCAAGATGAAGAGAGTTATGAAGATGGGTGGTGACGGTTGCACAACAATGTGAATGTACTTAATGCCACTGAACTATATACTTAAAAATAGTTGAACGGCCGGGCGCGGTGGCTCACGCCTGTAATCCTAGCACTTTGGGAGGCCGAGGCGGGTGGATCACGAGGTCAGGAGATGGAGACCATCCTGGCTAACACGGTGAAACCCCGTCTCTACTAAAAATACAAAAAATTAGCCGGGCGAGGAGGCGGGCGCCTGTAGTCCCAGCTATTCGGGAGGCTGAGGCAGGAGAATGGTGTTAACCCGCGAGGAGCGGAACCTGCAGTGAGCCGAGATCTCGCCACTGCACTCCAACCTGGGCGACAGCGAGACTGCGTCTCAAAAAAAAAAAAAAGTTGAATGATAAGTTTTATGTTATGTATATTTCACCACAGTTTTAAAAAATCCATTAAGCATCTGGCTGCTGTGGCTCACACCTGTAATCCCAGCACTTTGGGAGGCCGAGGTGGGTGGATAGCAAGGTCAGGAGTTTGAGACCAGCCTGGCCAATATGGTAAAACCCCATCTCTACTAAAAATACAAAAATTAGCCGGGCATGGTGGCGGGTGCCTGTAGTCCCAGCTACTCGGGAGGCTGAGGCAGGAGAATAGCTTGAACCCGGGAGGCAGAGGTTGCAGTGAGCAGAGATAGCACCACTGCACTTCAGATTTTCTGTTTCTTCATGCACTCCAGCCTGGGCGACAGAGCGAGACTCTGTCTCAAAAAAAAAAAAAAAAAAAAAAAAAAAAAATCCATTAAGCCATACACTTGTGATTTGTGCCCTATTCTGTGTGTAAATTATATTTTAATTATATTTTAAAACTACAGTACCCAGAAATGGAAGCCTGCAGTAAGCAGACACCGCTAATGAAAGTGTAAATTGGTATCTTTTTGGAAGGCAATCTGGCAACATGTATCAAAAGCTACAATCTTTGACTCAGCAATTCTACTTCTAGAAATTTATCCTAAGGAAATATTTAAGAAATTTGCAGAAGTCTGTGTACAAGGAAATTTACTGTAACATTGCTTATATAGGGTACAAGGACATTTATTGTAACGTTATCACAGCAAGAAACTGGAAACCACCTAAATATCCCACAAAAAGAGTCTGGTTAAATATATATATCTATATATGCCAGACATGGTGGCTCATGCCTATAATCCCAGAGCTTTGGGAGGCCGAGGAAGGTGGATCACGAGGTCAGGAGTTTGAGACCAGCCTGGGCAACATAGTGAAACCCCGTCTCTACTAAAAATACAAAAATTAGCCCAGTGTGGTGGTGGGCGCCTGTAGTCCCAGCTACTCAGGAGGCTGAGGCAGGAGAATCGCTTGAACCTGGGAGGCGGAGGTTGCAGTGAGCCAAGACGGTGCCATTGCACTCCAGCCTGGGTGAGAGAGGGAGACTCCATCTCAAAAAACAAAACAAAACAAAACAAAACAAATATATGTATATAGTTTAGCCACACAATGGAATATGTAATGCTATCAAAAATGCTGCACATTAATCTTTATCATCAGGCAATATGTTTTGCTGCATTAAGTGGAGAAAAGGGAGAGATTAAATATGAAATGTATAAAAAGCACAAAAAATTTACCAGCAGTGTTTTGCAGTGGGCAGGCCTATGCAAACCTACCCCCAAGGTCCAAGGAAGCTAAGAGGCCAAAGAAAGAGGATGACAAATCCAGTTTTTTTAGACAGAAACATTTCTTTATTTATATATTTCTTTTTCAAAAGAAATAGGGTCTCACTCTGTTGCCCAGGCTGGAGTGCAGTGGTGCAATCATAGCTCACTGTAGCCTCAAATTCCTGGGCTCAAGCAAACCTCCCTCTTTGGCTGCTCAAGTGCTGGGATTATAGGTGTGAGGCACTGCACCCAGCCTGGAAAGAAACATTTCTCAGATACTTAGGAATAGAAGCCACGTCTCTGTCTCAGGCACTGACAAGACAAGATGGTGGATCCTCACCATTACCCCTCAGACCTAGGGCTCATGGTATGGGTAATTATTACTTGTTTTAGTGTAAGTTGAACTAATTATTGTTGAATGGAAATCAATTGGTTACTGATTAGATGATTAGAAGTTGGAAATAGTATAGTGGGGAATAAAATGATTAATACTACTACGGGTAGACCATCAAGTAATACGTTTATATCATAAGGAAGGGGTATATGTGATTCAGAAAGGACATGTAGGACAACTGAAGTATGATACAATCAAGATTGCTTTGACCTAAGGGGTAGGATTTATGGTAAGTACGTGCTGTTACCCAAGAAACTATAGATAAACTGGAAATCTTAGAGGCCTTCTAGGAACAAGGGTTAATCAGAAGTCAACATGAAGGATTAGCATCCAAGATGGAATTGTTTTGGCTTCCACAAGAAGTCATGTACTTTGAGCAATGGAAATATATTGGCTTTTAATTTTCTTCCTCTTTTATTTGTTGTGTTGTATATTTTCTTTGAGAAACGTGATACCCTTTGTAATAATAAAATGTATAAGTTATCAGTAATTAGAAGAAAATAAAATGCTTGGCAAACAGTAGGTGCTCAAAAATGTTAGTGCCCCTTCCTTTCTTTGGAAAAGTAATTGCTGGGTGCTCATTATATGTGTTAGTCAGGGTTCTTCAGAGAAACAGAACCAAGAGAATGTGCAAACATATAGAGAGATTTATTTTAAGGAATTGGCTCATACTATTATGGAGGTTGGCAAGTCCAAAACCTTCAGAGTGGGTTGGCAGGATGGAGACCCAGGGAAGAGCCAATGTTGCAATTCAAGACCAAAGGCCATCTTCTGGGAGAATTCCTTCTTGCTCAGGGATAGGGGGGTGATGAGGCAGTCAGTCTTTGTTCTATTAAGGCCTTCAACTGATCGGATGAGGCCAGCCCACAAACATTATGGAGAGCAATCTAATTTATTCAAAGTCCATTGATTGATTGATTGAGACAGAGTCTCACTCTATTGCCCAAGCTAGAGTGCAGTTGTGTGATCTTGGCTCACTGCAACCTCTGTCTCCCTGCTTCAAGCGATTCTCGTGCCTCAGCCTCCCAAGTAGCTGGTATTATGTACAGGTGTGTGCCATTACACCTGGCTAATTTTTGTATTTTTAGTAGAGATGGGGTTTCACCATGTTGGCCAGGCTGGTCTTGAACTCCTGGCCTCAGGTGATCCACCCACCTCAGCTTCTCAAAGTGCTGGGATTAAAGGTGTGAGCCACCACCCCCGGCCCAAAGTCCACTTACTTAAATGTTAATTAAGCTCATCCAAAAAATACTCTCACAGAAACATTCAGAATAATGTTTGACCAAATATCCGAGCACTATGGCCCAGACAGGTTGACACATAAAATTAACCCTCACGTTCCCCTTTCTATAAGGTTTGCCTGTGGGCACCTGGTGAGAGGTAGCAGAAAAAGAAAAAAGGACTTAGCTCCTTGGACCAATTGAGTGTTTCCAAGAGACATGAACTTAACCATGAAAACCAGCATACCCACAAATTCTTTATTTTTTATTTATTTAATTATTATTATTTGAGACAGAGTCTCTGTCTCCCAGGCCATAGTACAGTGGCATGATGACAGCTCACTGCAGCCTCAACCTTCCGGGATCAATCGATTCTTCTGCCTCAGCCTCCAAGTAGCTGGTACTACAGGCATGTGCCCTCACACCAGCTAATTTTTATATTTTTTGTAGATATATTGTCCAGCTGCAAACTTGTTAAATCTGCTTTAAGGTTTTCACAAACTATAAAATGACGCCGTTGGCCTCACTCTAGGAAGTGGTCACTTTAGGTTTGTTCATACATGAAGATGCCCGAGATAGAGTGATCGAAACTGAATAGGACAGACCCCTGTGTCTGGGAGAAAATTAACACTCTTTTCCATGTTACTTCCCATTTTCATCCTAGGAGCTGGAGCTTGCTGTGTCTCTAGGCTACCACTGCTGTTCCTGTGAGGCCACAAAGGGAACCGATTGTGTTGACCTGGCTTGACCTGTGCTGCTATTGGTTTTAAATATTTTTTTCTTCCAATGTTTGCCCGCATACCTTCCCTTATTGCTGTTTTTTTATTTTGTACAATGCTGTTAGGAGATATTAATTTGAAGTTTATGTAAAGGTTGCAAATTGGGGGCATTGCAGATATTTATTGTTGGCTTATATGGAAAGTTTAAAACTATTTTACTTAATTGACAGCACTCAAAAACTGAGAAATTCCATGCTATATCCATACAATGGAATATTACTCAGCCATAAAAGGAAATGAAGGTCAGGTGTGGTGGCTCACGCCTGTAATCCCAGCACTTTGGGAGGCCGAGGGTGGGCAGATCATGAGGTCAGGAGATCAAGACCACCCTGGCCAACATGGTGAAACTCCGTCTCTACTAAAAAATACAAAAATTAGCTGGGCATGGTGGCACGTGCCTGTAGTCCCAGCTACTTGGGAGGCTGAGGCAGGAGAATCACTTGAACCCGGGAGGCGGGTTGCAGTGAGCTGAGATGGCACCACTGCACTCCAGCCTGGTGACAGAGTGAGACTAGGTCCCCCTCACCAAAAAAAGAAAAAGGAAATGAAGTACTGATACATGTTACAACATGGCTGAACCTTGAAAACAGTATCCTAAGTGAAAGAAGTCAGTCATGAAAAATCACATATTGTATGAATCCATTAGTGTGAAATGTCTAGAACAGGGAAATCTATAGAGACAGGAAGTAGATTAGAGGTTGCTTAGGAATGCAGGGGGAGTAGGGGCCACGGAGACAGGAGAGCAATAGCTTTAAGTGTATTTTTTTGAGGTGATGAAAATATTCTAAAAGTGACTGTGGTGACTGTGGTAGCTCACACCCGTAATCCCAGCACTTTAGGGGGCTGAGGCGGGCAGATCGCCTGAGGAAGGGGTTCGAGGCCAGCCTGGCCAACATAATGAAATCCTGTCTCTACTAAAAATATACAAATTAGCTGAGCGTGGTGGTGTGCGCCTGTAATCCCAGCTACTTGGGAGGCTGAGGCAGAAGAATCACTTGAACCCAGGAGGTGGAGGTTGCAGTGAGCCGAGACTGCACCACTACGTTCCAGCCTGGGCAACAGAGCGAGACTCCATCTCGAAAAACAAACAAACAAACAAATACCCACTGAATCATACATGTTAAATGGGTGACTTGTATGGTATGTAAGTTATAGCTCAGTAAAGCTATTTTTTAAAAATTGGGTTCTGAGTACATATCCAAAATAATTGAAAGCAGGGTCTCAACGAGATGTTTGCACACTCATGTTCATAGCAGCATTATTCACAATAACCAATAGGCAGACAACTCAAGTGTCCATTGATGGATGAATGGATAAACAAATGTGGTATATACATGCAATGTAATATCATTCAGCCTTAAAAAGGAAGGAAATTCTGACACATGTTGCAACTGGATGAACCTTGAAGACTTTATGCTAAGTGAAACAAACCTGTCACAAAAGGACAAAATATTGTATGATTTATTTATATGAGGTATTTAGACTAGTCAAATTCATAGAAACAGAAAGAATGTTGATGGCCAGGGGCTGGGGGGAGGGAAAATAGAATTATTGTTTATTGGGTATTGAGGTTCAGTTTTGCAAGATAAAAAAGTTCTGGAGAGTGACTGCCCAACAAAGTGAATATTCTTTTTTTTTTTTTTTTTTTTTTTTTTTGAGACGGAGTCTCGTTCTGTCGCCCAGGCGGGAGTGCTGTGGCGCGATCTCCGCTCACTGCAAGCTCCGCCTTCCGGGTTCACGCCATTCTCCTGCCTCAGCCTCCCGAGTAGCTGGGACTACAGGCGCCCGCCACTGCGCCCGGCTAATTTTTTGTATTTTTTAGTAGAGACGGGGTTTCACCGTGGTCTCGATCTCCTGACCTCGTGATCCGCCCGCCTCGGCCTCCCAAAGTGCTGGGATTACAGGCGTGAGCCACCGCGTCCGGCGAATATTCTTAACATGACTGAAATGTAAGCTTAGGCCAGCTGGTGGCTCAAGCCTGTAATCCAGCACTTTGGGAGGCTGAGGCAGGTGGATCACTTGAGTTCAGGAGTTCGAGACCAGCCTGGCCAACATGGTGAAACCCCATCTCTACTAAAAATTAAAAAAAATTAGCCGGGCGTGGTGGCATGCGCCTATAATCCCAGCTACTAGGGAGGCTGAGGCAGGAGAATCGCTTGAACCCATGAGGTGGAGGAGCCAAGATCATATCACTGCACTCCAGCCCAGGCAACAGAACAAGACTCTGTCTTAAAAAAAAAAAAAAAAAAAAAAAAAAAAATTAAATACATTGGGAAATTTCAAATACAGTCCAATTTCTGAGTTAGCAATGTGAAGATCTGACAAGGCTGGGCTGGCATTCCCTCTTGGGAAGAATATCCTGGAATGAGTAGTGGCTGCCCCGCCAGAGAGGGCATGAGCTTTCTGCTATTCCACTTGGGGTTTTTTACTCATTTATGCTGCATGCTAACTCCTGTAAGCATTTACATTTGCAACCTTGGTTCTGGGGTAAGTATTTGCATTTGTAACCTTTGTCCTGAAATTGTCTAAACTTGGAGTCAGACAGCCTAAACATCTATCAGGTTCCTCCTTTTATTAGCTATGTGGCCTTGGTGACAACCTATGGTCACTTAACCTATGAGAGTCTGTGTCCAATCCTGTAAAATAATGTGGATAAAATGTTCTCTAACAGGCAAGATGAAAATGTGTGTGAAAATACCTTGTAAGCAATAAATTGCTGTTCATACAGAAAGCATGATAAGTAACACTTGTTCCAATCCTGTTATTTAATGTGTGCTGCATGTTTTATTGATGATAACATTATTTTTTCATTTATTTCAGCTCTTTACTATTTTAATCAGAATTCTGAGGGAACTAGTTTAAAAGTTATTTGATTTGAAAAATAAGTAATATATTTGCATAGTTCAAAAACTAAAAACGTATAGAAGGAAGGTTATTCCCTCAATCTTCCTTTATCTTGGAAGTTACAAATTGTAGTAGTTACATTTGTAACTTACTACATATGTAGTAGAAGTTACATATGTAACTTCTACTTCTGTAGTAGAAGTTACATATGTAACTTACTACTTCTGTAGTAGAAAGTTACATATGTAACTTACTACTTCTGTAGTAGAAAGTTACATATGTAACTTACTACTTCTGTAGTAGAAAGTTACATATGTAACTTACTACTTCTGTAGTAGAAAGTTACATATGTAACTTACTACTTCTGTAGTAGAAAGTTACATATGTAACTTACTACTTCTGTAGTAGAAAGTTACATATGTAACTTACTACTTCTGTAGTAGAAAGTTACATATGTAACTTACTACTTCTGTAGTAGTAAGTTACATATGTAACTTACTACTTCTGTAGTAGAAGTTACATATGTAACTACTACTATGACATGTAAGTACTACTACCTATGTAGCAGAAGTTACAAATATGTAACTACTGTTTTTTTTGTATCTTTCCAGAATTTTAAAGTGCATATTCTGGGCCCCTCACGGTGGCTCACACCTGTAATCCCAGCACTTTGGGAGGCCGAGGCTGGTGGATCACCTGAGGTCAGGAGTTCAATACCAGCCTAGCTAACATATAGTGAAATCCCATCTCTGCTTAAAAAAACACAAAATGTGCTGGGTGTGGTGGTGTGCACCTGTAGTCCCAGCTCCTTGGGAAGCTGAGGCAGGTGAACCGCTTGAACCCGGGAGGTGGAGATTGCAGTGAGCCAAGATTGTGCCACTGCACTCCAGCCGGGCAAGAGAGCAAGACTTGGTCTCTCTCTAAAAAAAGTAAATAAATAAAATTTAAAAAGTGGATATTCTGTTTTTCTTTCTTTGTGGGGGGGGGGGTGAATTTTTTTTTTTTTTTTTTTTTTTTTGAGATGGAGTTTTGCTCTTGTTGCCCAGGCTGGAGTGCAATGGTGTGATCTCGGCTCACTGAAACCTCCACCTCCCAGGATCAAGCGATTTTCCTGTCTCAGCCTCCGGAGTAACTGTGACCATAGGCGCATGCCACCATGCCCGGTTAGTTTTTGTATTTTTAGTAGAGATGGGGTTTTATCATATGGTCAGGCTGGTCTCCAACACCTGGCCTCAGGCGATCCGCCTGCCTCGGCCTCCCAAAGTGCTAGGATTACAGGCATGAGCCACTGCACCCAGCCGGCGGGAATGATTTTTAATATAAAACTTTTTAAAACTTTACTTTTGAAAATAATTTCTGCATTACTGAAAGCAATGTTGCTGTTATTATTGTCATTATTTTAGGAGCTGAAAACCACTCATGATTATTCAGCTGGGTTACAATACTGTTACTTGCCAGGCTACGTTCTTTACCTTTTCTTTCTGCCATGCAAAATATCTAACTCACCAGCATTAACTGTGCTCATCTTTCATCTTTTCTCTTTCTCTTTCTTTCTTTCTTTCTTTTTCTTTCTTTCCTTCTTCCTCCTCCTCTCTTCCTTCTCCTTCTTCTCCTTCTTCTCCTCCTCCTCCTTCTTCTCCTCCTCCTTCTTCCTCCTTCCTCCTCTTCTTCCTCTTCTCCTTCTTCCTCCTTTTTCTCCTTCTCCTTTTTTTTGGACAGGATCTCACTATTTGCCCAGGAGACTGGAGTGCACTGGCTATCCACAGGAACAATCATAGTTCACTACAGCCTCCCAAGAAGCTGGGACTACAAGCGCATGCTGCCACGCCCAGCTTCAATGTGCTCATCTTTAATATATCCTGGTTAGTACTGAATTGTATCTCATCCAGTAGAACTTGAAGAACAAGGTTTATAGAAGAAGTACACTGAATTTACTGGCTGGGCGCAGTGGCTCATGCCCAGCACTTTGGGAGGTAAAGGTGGGAGGACTGCTTGAGGCCAGGAGTTCAAGACCAGCTTGGACAACATAGAGAGACCCCATCTCTAAAAAATATTTTAAAAATTAGCCTGGAGTGGTGGTACAGGCCTGTAGCCCTAGCTACTTAGGATGCTGAGGTGGGAGGATCCCTTTAGCCCAAGAGTTTCAGGTTATAGTGAGCCATGATCACACCACCATACTCCAGTCTGGGCAACAGAACAAGACCCTGTCTCTAATATAAATAAATAAATAATCAATCAATGAACTGATATTTAGCTTCCTTTGCAGAAAAAAACAATAATTATGATAATTCTAAAGAATGCATGTCCGAGGGACTAAATACCAGATGGAGAACTGACTTCTAGAGTTGGATTTACCCCAGGATGCGTGATTTCTTTTTGACCTGCCTGGTTATCTACTTCCTGGCTCTTCTCTACTGTCTCAGCCTCATCTCCATGGTTTGTCTCAGCTTGGAGGGAGAGGTTTTGGAAGCCATGTCCTTTATTTTATTTTATTTATTTATTTATTTATTTATTTATTTATTTTTGAGATGGAGTTTTGCTCTTGTCGCCCAGGCTGGGGTGCAATGGTGCAATCTCAGTTCACTGCAACCTCTGTCTCCCAGGTTCAACCGATTCTCCTGCCTCAGCCTCCCGGGTTCAAGTAGCTGGGATTACAGATGCCTGCCACCATGCCCAGCTAATTTTTGTATTTTTAGTAGAGACAGGGTTTCACCATGTTGGCCAGGCTGGTCTCAAACTCCTGACCTCAGGTGATCCACCTGCCTCAGCCTCCCAAAGTGCTGGGATTACAGGCATGAGCCACCGCGCCTGGCCCATGTCATTTATTTGACCTTTCCAATGTATTTGGTCATGGTTTACTATTTTTAATGTGCATTAGTGATTCCCATCTTTTAAAAAAAGATTTCTTGGGCCACATTCCTCTCCAATAGCACTCTATCTCTCTAATCTTTTTCAAAGTGAAACTTCTTGAAAGAATTGTTCACATTCACTGTTTCTATGTCTTCATCTCTTATTCTCTCTTCCAGCCACTCCAATCATGCTTATGTTTAAACAAATCCACTGAAATAATTCTAGTCCAGATCACTAAAGATCTTTCAATCGTATCATCAATTCTTGGGCCTCATCTTACTTGTCCTCTCAGTGACATCTGAAAAATTAGTAATTGAGCCTCTCCCAAAACAGTCTTTATTTGGTTACTGAGACCACAAATTCTCCTGACTTTCCTGCTACTTGGCTGATTCTCTTTCTCTTCCTGAGCTGTAAATGTCGGGGTGCCTCCGGATTCATTTCAATATACGTGCTCTTGGTAACTCTATCAAGTCTATGGCTTATATCAATGACTCTCATATTTCTATCTCTAGCCCTGTTATCTCTCCTAAGCTTCAGATTTGAATATCTAACTGCTATTCGACATTTCCACTTGGATGTCTAGAGGCATCTCAAATTTATCATGTCCAAGACATCTTCCTTCTTTCTCTGCCCACTTTCTCACATCTGCTCTCTTTTTTTGCATTTCAAATAATGGGCAACAGCATTAACCTATCTATTCAGGCTAAAAAGCTAAGAATCATCCCTAAATCACTTTTTCTTTCACTCCCAGCACCCAATTCATTAGCAGCAATTCCATGGGCTACGCCTTCAAAATACATATATTCTGAATCTAATTTTTACTATCTCCAACGCCAATGCCCTAGGCTAAGTCATTGTTATCTCTTACCTGGACTGCCACAAAGCCTCGTAACTTACATCCACCCTTGCTCCTTTATGGCTTATTCTGCAATGCACATGGTATCCAGAGGGTTCACATCATTTTTTTTTTTTTCAAAGACTTCAATGGCTTTACATCATACACAGAAAATTACAAATCCTTACCATGGCATCCAAGGATCTTCATAATTTGTCTTTGTCTGCTTCTCTGACTTCATCTTCTGCCCCATCTCACTTGGTCCTAGTAACATCGGCACCTTGCTTTTCTTGAACACTTCAAGTTTGTTCCTGCCAAGGGGTTTTACACTTGCTGCTCCCTTTGACTGGAATGCTCTGACCCAGACATTTGCACAGATGGCTCTCAGTCATGAGGTCATGATTTAAGTTTCAGTTCAAATGTCACCTCCTAGCCAGGTGCGATGGCTCACAGCTGTAATCTCAGCACTTTGGGAGGCCGAGGTAGAAGAATCACTTGAGCCCAGGAGTTTGAGGCTCCAGTGAGCTATGAAGGTGACACTGCACTCCAGCCTGGATGACAGAGCAAGATCCTGCCTCTTTTTTTTTTTTTTTTTTTGATACAGCGTCTCACTTTGTCGCCCAGACTGGAGTGCAGTGGCACGATCTTGGCTCACTACAACCTCTGCCTCCTGGGTTCAAGCAATTCTCCTGCCTCAGCCTCCCGAGTAGCTGGGATTACAGGCATGTGCCACCATGCCCAGCTAATTTTTGTATTTTTAGTAGAGACAGGGTTTCACCATGTTGGCCAGGCTGGTCTGGAACTCCCGACTTCAAGTGATCCACCTGCCTCGGCTCCCAAAGTGCGGGGATTACAGGCATGACCCACCGTGCCCAGCCAAAACCCTGCCTCCAAAAGAAAAGAAAAAGAAAAACAAAGTCACCTCCTCGGAAAATATTCACTGACTAACATATCTAAAGTAGCCCCACTACAGTTATTTTTTATCCCACTTGTTTTACTTTCTTCCTAACATTTTCTGAATGGATCTACCTAAATGTCCAATGTAGTTTAAAACATATTTGAATCTAATGGTTAGAATTCTGTTAGTTAATAATTTCTTTTGGAAAGAAACACTGTATCTTTCCTGTGGCTGCCCTCTCCCTCTGAGTGAGTATCTAAAATAACGTCTGCATTTATGAGGCATTATGACTTTGGGGAAGCCTGAGACCTTGAATCTATTCGGAGTCCCTGACCTCTCAGGATGCTCTACAGCCTGTTGTTAAGAGAGTGGAATGTTTTGTAGCCTGGCCTCGCTAAGTTTGCTCAGAGCCTGAAGGCAAACCACACAGCTCTTCCTGAGGTCTGGCTGTTACTACTTTTTGTTCCTGGCCCAGTGTAATTTACAGAGCTACTTCCTCCTATACTTGCCAGCCAGCATTCTTGGCTACTTTCCGTATTCTTCTACAGGGTATGTGGGAACTTCTGGATATCTTCTCTCGCAGGAGCTAAGGACCACTCACTTGCAGAGCTCCGCCCAAAACCCTGTACCTAATTTTGTGTATGTAATTCTGTGTTCTTTTTCTTAAAAACAAAACAAAACAAACAAACAAAAAAACCCTCCCTCTCCCCCCATCATGTAAGCTTCAAGATCTGTAAAACCTGGATTCATCTCTGGCTGAGAGACACTCTGAGGAGCTAAATGCAGACCTGCTCTTTTTTCCCAACTACATCAGGGCATGACTTTTGCTCATATGTGGCTGTCTGCTTGTTGGTATGGGCATAGTCTGCAAGTCATCTCTACTTGGAATCTTAAACAGGAGCAGAGTAAGAATCCTCTCTGCCTTGAAGAGCTGGAATGGGAAGACAGGAGCACATGTCTCTCAATGATGCCTCTCTTACTTTTCTCTTTGTTCTTCTTCTCTCTACCCTTTTATTAAAAGAGTCAGACTTTTCTTTTATTTCCCTATATGCAGCCTCATGGCTTAGCTGTCCTGGATGGAAGGATATTTGGGTGGAAGGCATTTCCTGTGGAGTATGTAAAAACTCTATGAAATTATTATGTGCTGAGCTTCATAGATTAAATGGAACTAAGAAAATTTAGCAAATTCTTTTTCTCTCCATTCTGTTCTCTCCTGATTGGGAAAATAAGTCTCAAGGCTACATTTCAAGCAAGAGTCTATGACAGAAGATGACTTAAGAAAGTTAAAAGAAATCTGTTTGATATTTGCAAGATACTAGCCCCATTATAGTCTAGTTTTTTTTTTTTTTTTTTTTTGAAACAAGTCAGAGCACTGAACTTGTAGGTGAAATATCCCATTTAAAATGTTGATATATGATTTAACTTTTTTTTTTTAAAAAAAAGATAATGGCCGGGCGCGGTGGCTCACGCCTGTAATCCCAGCACTTTGGGAGGCCGAGGCAGGCGGATCACAAGGTCAGGGGATCAAGACCCTCCTGGCTAACACAGTGAAACCCAGTCTGTACTAAAAATACAAAAAGTTAGCCGGGCATGGTGGCGGGTGCCTGTAGTTCCAGCTACTCGGGAGGCTGAGGCAGAAGAATGGTGTGAACCCGGGAGGCGGAGCTTGCAGTGAGCCCAGATCGCGCCACTGCACTCTAGCTCGATGACAGAGTGAGACTCTGTCTCAAAAAATAATAATAATAATAATAATGATACTCATATGGTATTAGGAACCAACAGTGTTCTAGGAGATTTAGAGATGTTAACTAATTTAATCCTCTTGGTGTCCCATTTTACAGATAAGGAAAGTGAGGCACAGGACAATTACCTTGACCAAGATCATATAGCTATACACAATACAAATCAAATGCATTTCTGTGGGACAGATTTGGTCACAAGGCCACCAATTTACAATGTCTACTTTACGATATTTCAAATAAGTCAGAAAGAACAAGGCTTTGAATTCTGACTTGGCCTCTGTGCTGAATGATCTTGGACTAGTCACTTAAGCTCTGTGAATCCTTCTATAAAATTATGATTAACTTTTCAGTGCTCACTAAATGGTTTTCTCTTGTCTTATTCCTCCATATGGATGACTGCCCTGAACATTCATGTTATGCTTGTATATTATCTGAAATGCACAAATCCCACCTATTATTCGAGACCTAACACATTGCTAATACCTCCAGAAACAGTCTGTGTAGGACAGAGCCCTGAGGATCAAGATGTCTGTTTCAGTCTTGATACTGTTACTAATCCTGTGTGTGATCTCAAGCAAATCATATCTTCTCTAAGCCTCAGAGGCTTCATCTTGAAAATGTGGAGTTAGACTAAACTAATAAGTTTAAACTGTGATCTGAGAAACTCAACATTTCTGTAATGATGGGAGGGGGCATGAAAGGAGAGAGAGTGCAAGGGTGAAGCTGGGTGAATAGACTAGTGGGTTCCCCACTTACACTCCCAACTTAGCAGCTCCACATTTTAAACCACCAGATTTTATTAGAAGGGAGTATTCCACTGCCAATAAAACAGGTGGAAACCACTACAAGTTTTATGTAGCCACATTCCCTGGAATTATCTTTTCTTGGCTCCTCTTTTCTTTCTTGTCCTGGACATGGAACTAAAGGGAACATGTTTTTAAAATTCTGGCTGAAATGAACATATTTCTTTGTCCTTCTTTCTTCTCTCCTACCGAGGAGTGAAATTAAAGACAGTGCTAAAGGCATAAGCAAGGCCAGTATGGAAACTTCCAGCAATTTCACCAAAAGTTTTCAGCAAAATATTACAGATTAGAAAACATCTGTTTCAGAATAGCTACCAAGTGCTAAATAAAACAGAAAACAGAAGTTACATCTCATTATCCTGTGACTTCAGGAGTTATCATTCCCACTTGAATATGTCTTGTCATGGGAAATGACCTTCAGGAGGCATCTTCTTTGTATTTCTTACTATATGTCTCCCCACTGTCCCTGAACTATCATTATAAACTTAATTTTTTCTGCACCCAAAGCTTGTGGGAACTAGAATGAACAGAAGAGGAATGAATGAAGCCCTCATTCTTTTCAGCGATTTTCAGCTTAGGACCCAGTTTTGGAACAAGATAGACCCAAATCTACTTCCTGGTTTCCTGCTTAGAAATAAGATGCTTATCCTTTAAGGCAGATTGTCAAGCTCCTTCAATAGAGGTGAATGAGGACACCCATCATCTGCAAATCATTACATCTTCACAAGAGAATTATGATATTCTCCAAATACCATGAAACTTCAATTTTTAATCTTCTAGGGATATCAAATTAAACCAAATTTATCTCTCGCCTGAAGACAGCCTGGAGGACTGAGACTGTAATCTTGATTCCAACTCCACACCAGCCATTAGTTACATTGGGACAAATTCCTTCCCATGATCAGGCTGCAATTTTATCATTGGGAGCACTGGAGTAAATGGTTCCCTAAGATCCTTCTCCATTTTGATGTTCTAAGGATAAATTACTATTGAAGAAATTATTTCCAGTTGTTGGTTCAATCTTCAAAATCACCAAAAGCTTTGATTTTAAGGTGAGGTTATAGGAGTTGGCTCTTGATATTCTATGCCTTGTGCTTCAGAACAGGCAGTCGAAAGGGAGGAAAGTTGGTTTTCCTTGAGATGACTGTCTTGTTCCCTCATTGGTTTGGGATTCTTCATGTTCAGAGGTCCACTGAGAACTTCAGCTTACCATGACTTTCCCTCTTCAATGGTACCACTGTAGTCAGGTGTAAGATGGTGATGTGGAACCCTTCACTGACATTGCACCCAATTCTCCAGATTGTCTTTCCAGTAATTTCTTTCATTTCTCCTTCATCCCTGCGTCATGGTCCCTTTAAGGGAGCGGCCATAGTTGAGTGGTGGGAGCAGCTGCTGGCAGCAAAGAGACTTGCAGGATTTGGCCTACCCATGGCCACTTACCGCGCACGCTCAGGACCGGGGGCTTGGTGGGAAAGGAAGGAGGGACTTAGGGTGCGCCTGCGCATCAGGGGCGCGCGCAAGGGGCTGATTTGGTGATCCCTTTAAGAAACCGCAGGCGGAGGAATTTCTCTGAGAGAAAATAATCCTACTCACGGGGCCCCTTGGAGGCCATTAACCCCCCGAGTCCCGGCCCCCACCCCGTCCCCGGGCAGGCCCTCCCGCCCACGCGCGGACCCGTGGGATCTCAGAAGCTGCGGCCCGGCGCGCGGCATCCGCCCCCTCCCCACTCTCGGCGCAAGGCCCGGCCGGGTCCGGGGAAGCTGCCGCGAGGCGGCCGTGCCTGCAGTGTGGGCGGGGGCCGGGGGGCCGAGAGGTACCGCCGCCACCGCGCGGGGAGCCGCAGCGGTTCCGAGCGGGGCCCAACATGGCGGAGAGAGAGGTGGAGTCCGGCCCCCGAAAGAGGGTAGGTGAGGTGAGGCAGAACTCGGGCGGCGGGGGGCGGGGCGCGGCCCGGGGCCGGGAATGGGCCATACTCAGGTTCGTGGAGGGGTCGCCGAGGCCCAGTTAGGACAAGGTTGCGGGCAGGTCTGAGGCAGCCTTGGGTCCGGAGCGCGCTGGCGAGCGGTCCCTCGGCAGGTGGGACAAAGATTTGGTGCTGGGTGGGGGGGAGGGGAGGGGGCCGTTGTTTGCCTTCCTCCCCCCGACGTTCCCCAGCACTGGGGTGGGATATCTAGGCCCAGGGAGGGGAGGTGTCAGATTCTTAAGTGCATCTTTAGTGCATCTTTAGTACATCAGAGTCTGGAAGTTAACTGGGGAGAGGTCAGGTGGGGGTGGTGGTGGCGGGAATAAGTCGTGGAGGGGTCTCAGGAGAAATAACCGGAGGGTTCTTCAGTAACACCATCGCGAATTCATTTTCCTGCCTCCTTTCCCCTCCCCCCATAGCCGTTATCTAGACCAAAGTCGGGGTGGTGGTCTTACCTGTGAAGAAGTGGGATCGTTGGCATGTCCTGATTTAGGAGAAAGATTTTGGCTACTATGAATGTCATGTTCTAGCCTAGCCTCTTACTCGCAATTAGGGACTTGGAAGAATACGACAAGTTTTCTCATAACAGGGATGTACCCAATCAACCTGCAGAGGTGAAGCCAATTCTACATAGGAGTTGTTTGAATACCTTTTAAAGTTTGTCTGGAAACTTTCCTTATTTAATTCTGAGTGGTTTTTTTCAGATGGCGAACAATACTGTACTATCGATTGAGCAATATCCCTCACTTTTCTTTTACTTCCTCCCCGCTTAGCATGATAAGAAGTAAGTTTCCTTTTAGGAGTCTTCCTTTTGGGAATGGTTTCAGAAACGATCAATTAGCAAAAGGGCAAAAAATTACTACTTTATGAAGAATGCCCTTTCAGCTTAGCGTAAAATTAGTAATCTCGTAATGATGCTACAGCTGATGTTTTGAGTGCTTACTGTGTGCCTGGCACTGAGCTAAGACCTTTATGTGAAGAATTTAACTTCATAGTAACTCCTCCTAGAACCTATTTGCAGATGAGGAAATTTAGGTGTTGAGGGCTTAAGTAATTTACTTAGATCACACAGCTAGTTGCAAGGTTGAGGTAGGATTTGAATCCAGGTTTGTCCCAACTATAGTGCCTGTGTGGGATGCCACAGAGGAGTTTCTTTAATCTGTGTTTCTCTCCTTAAAAGCTTAAATTGTAAATGACCAAAGAAGTGTCAAGTATTATTTTTTCCAACAATTTATTAGGAAAATATTTTGAACTATCCGTCAATATTATAAAACTTACGGGGAGCAGTCATACACCCAACCGCCTAGATCCTACTGTTAACATTGCATTCCGGACATGCACAGCGGCTCACGCCTGTAATCCCAGCACTTTGGGAGGCCGAGGCGGCAGGATCACTTGAGGCCAGGAGTTCGAGACCAGCCTGGCCAACATGGTGAAACCCCGTCTCTACTAAAAATACAAAAAATTAACCCGGCGTGGTGGCGGGTGCCTGTAATCCCAGCTATTCGGGAGGCTGAGGCAGGGGAATCGCTTGAACCTGGGAGGCGGTGGTAGCAGGGAGGCGGTGGTAGCAGTGAGCCGAGATCGTGCTACTGCACTCTAGCCTAGGTGACAGAGGGAGGCACTGTCTCAAAACCCCCTCCAAAAAAAAAATTGCATTCCACTTGTTTTATCATATATTTACCCCTCTATCCCTCTTTCTGTTCATCAGTCGTGTTATTTTAATGCATTTCATCGTAGTGTTTTGAACAATAAATTTTTACCATTGATAAGTTTACGAAATGTTGGATTCACCTAATGCAATAATTAGTCATAGAGCAAGTTAAGCTGTATGATGGTATGTCCAAATAGTTTTGTAAGTATAAATGTTGTGTATGGAATGCATGTGTTTTGAAATTTTAAAATTTTCAAGTTGTGTTCAGTTTTGAACTAGATCCTTACTGTGCTTGGATGAAGGCATATGGCATATAGTCCACCAATGAAAATATACAGGGTAAATTACTTAAGATATGTAATGTTAATTCAGGGAGATTTCTGCATCCAGTTGCTGTGAATGTTGTCATTCACCTTCTGTACTAGGATGTTCTAGGATATTCTAGAAAACATTGATGTGTGTTGACAACAAATTCAACTAGATTTTAAATATATTCTGCCTCTTGTCGTACACTTAAAAGATGTTACTGGTCTTGTGAATCTTCTGCTAAAGGAATGCTGGAAAAAAAAAAAAAGATACCATACTGGTAGCAGTAAAAACTTTATTATTATTATTATTTTTGAGACAGAGTCTTGCTCTGTTGCCCAGGCTAGAGTGCGGTGGCGCAATCTCGGCTCGTTGCAACCTCCGCCTCCCGGGTTCAATTAATTCTCCTGCTTCAGCCTCCCAAGTAGCTGGGATTACAGGCAAGCACCACCATGCCTGGCTAATTTTTGTATTTTTAGTAAAGATGGGATTTTGCCATGTTGGCCAGGCTGATCTCGAACTCCTGACCTCTGGTGATCAGCACACCTCGGCTTCCCAAAGTGCTGGGATTACAGGTGTGAGCTACCGGGCCTGGCCCAAAAGTTAATTTTATTTTTAACAACCTATAACATACGCAGGACTTGTATAGGTTTCCCCCATTATTTTGCCAGTTTCATCACAGAGGAAAATTACATTCATTGATTTTTGGAATTAATGGTGTGGTGGCACATGCTTCTAGTCCTCGCTATTCAGAGGTTGAGGTGGGAGCATTGCTTGAGCCCAGGAGTTGGAGGTTGCAGTGAGCTATGATATTGCCACTGCTCTCCAGCCTGGGTGACAGAGGGAAACCCCCTCTCTAGAAAAAGTAAAAATAATACATAAATAATATTTTTTGATCCATAATTCATTTTGTTTTTGATATTTCATTAGAATGTTCGGTATGATTGTCTTAAATGATATAAGTACTTTTTTCCACTTTTTTTTGGTGTGTGCCAAATTACATGTGGATTCCATATGTATACTCCAAGCCGATTAATGGGGACTATGCAGTACCATGTCTTTGGAAATTGACTGCCTTGAGGGAGTTGAAACAAACTATCCACATAGACTTAGATAGTAACTTTAGGCTATTCAATCTGAAATTGCATTGATGACATGGTATTGTACTTAATGATGCTTACTGCTTTTGACCTTTGTAATCATGTCACAAAAAAGTTGCTAAGCACCTGTGCTATTTCATAAGCTACATGCTAGGCATTGTGCTTTGTTACTTAGGGTCATTTAGGATAATATATGCTGGCTCTCTTGATAAATTGTGAACTCCTTTAACATAGTATCTATTTCATTGCTTTTTGCGTCTGGACATCTTGTGACCTCTACACAGTAGGAACTCAAAAGACTTGCTGACTTATTTTTGTAAGAATAGCTTACCTAGTACAGCAGAGGCTCTATGGGTTGAGTACCAAGTTCTCTGCTTTGTAATTTTGAGGGGCTCTGTAAATCTTTCATAGCGTCCTTTACTCCCCAGAGTTCTCTCCTATGGATCCAGATTTAGGGATCTTCTGATTGTTCTGGATTATGGTTAGATGGGCAGGTGACTGCATTTTTTGTTGTTGTTTTTGAGATGGAGTCTTGCTCTGTCGCCCATGCTGGAGTGCAGTGGCGCTATCTCAGCTCACTGCAAGCTCCGCCTCCCGGGTTCACGCCATTCCTTCGCCTCAGCCTCCCGAGTAGCTGGGACTACAGGCTCCCACCACCATGCCCGGCTAATTTTTTGTTTCTGTATTTTTAGTAGAGACGGGGTTTCACCATGTTAGCCAGGATGGTCTCGATCTCCTGACCTCGTGATCCACCCGCCTCGGCCTCCCAAAGTGCTAGGATTACAGGCGTGAGCCACCACGCCCAGCCGGTGACTGCATTTTAAGACCATTGGGTTAACAACCTTAAATTCTAGGTAGGCCTGCCTGATGTCTTGTTTTTATATTTGTGGGCAGTCGGAACACTTGTATTCAGAATATGCTGGAATGCTAGTCTCTCAATTTGTGAACACGGGGGAGCTGAGTATGTGGGTGGATCAGCGCTATATTCATCTATCATCTCTAGTATAGAGAGAATTAAGTTCATATCCTAGTGCCTATACATGAAGGCGTTACAGCAAGCATCACACCCACACAAATACATACACACACACACACTTTAAAGTTGGCATATTATTTAATTTTTTTAGATGATAAAATTTTTGTTTTCTCAAATAGCTTTTAAGACTCATTAGGTAGGCTTATTATAAATGATTGAATTATTTATGCATGGCTATTATAATAACCAGTATGTTATGAAGTATGAGGTCTAACTAAATCGGGCGGCCATATTTTGTTGTAAAATCCTTGTCTTTTCAAAGTTTACATACAAAATAATAACTTTTGTAAATGTAAATATTACCCGGTCTAGTAAATTGTATTCATTTTCATACTTAAAATTCTGTGTGTATTAAATTTGAGATGTATATACCTGGTATGCTTAAAAAAGAGAGAAAGCATATGTATAAGTAGTATGCTTCCATTTTTTGTGAAAAACAAAACAAAACGACCTTTCTTGCCTCCCCACATTTGTGTCTGTATATGCTTGTACATGTATGAACTTAGAGAAAATTGTGGAGGACACAGTTTGGGATATTACCACTGATTACCTTCAGTGGGTAGGGAGGAGAAACGAAAGAGAGTATAAGGGTGCAAATTTCACAAAGTGGAAAAAGTATTCATGGTATAATGCTAAGTGAAAATGTAGACTATAAAATGTTATCTATTAATATATAAATCTGTGAAAATTGAACACACATATAGACAGTAGAAAATACGAACAAATGAAAGCATTGACTTCATGATGTGATGGGATATGGAGAAGTTTTATTTTGAATTTCTGTTATTTTAATATTTTATAATAAAATAATTGCAAAAGATTGATCCCTCTTAATTCCTTAATTAACTTTTTCTCTTTTCTGTCTTTTTGCTAAATGTATTACTTAAAAACATGGCGGTACATATCATTACAATATTTGCGGTTTATATGTATGCAATGTGAATAATTTGCTTTTAGAAAGTATTGACTCTTTGTTTAGAGACCATTTGAAGAGGCCATTCAAATACAGTGATTCTGCATTGTTTTCACACTGCTTCCCATCTTGTAACACACAGAGGGATCTGTAAATAATAATACTTGTGGCTGGGTACAGTGGTTCATGCTTGTAATCCTAGCACTTTGGGAGGCCGAGGCAGGAGGATGGCATGAGGCCAGGAGTTTGAGACCATCCTGGACAACATAGCAAGACCCCATCTCTACAATAAATTAAAAAAATTACCCGAGGTTTAGTAGCCTCGTCTACTCATGAGGCTGAGGTGGGAGGATTGCTTGGAGGATTGCTTGAGCCTAGGATTTCGAGATTGCATTGAACTATGATTGTGCCACTGCACTTTAGCCTGGGTGACAGAGCAAGAGAGACACTGTTTTTTTTTTTAAAAAAAAAAAAAAAAAAGGAGAGGCCATTCTAATACTGAGAATGATTCTGAGTTGTTTTCACACGCTGGTTCTTCCCATCTTGTAATAAGCAGAGACATCTATAAATAATGATAATACTTGGTATTATAAACCCTTAAGTGCCAGTCATTTTTCTAAGTATTTTACATGTGATGTATTTTTCAACCACAATTATTGTCCCATTTTATAAATTAGGAAATTAAGGCACAGAGAGATTTGCTGGAGATATGATGGCTAAATCAGGATCAATTATTACTTGAACTGGTCCTGTTCGATCATATAGGTTAGAACTTTTGTTTATCCAGAAATATTATGGTTAGTGTTTATATTCTCATTTGTAAAATAAAGCACATAATTCTTTATCTGGAATGTATGGATGTTAGAATAATTTGAATTACATTCAAACAAAGTTGATGTAAGTTACTTCTTAGGAATCATTAAGTTAACTTGTTCCCTAAGAAATACATTTTTGTTTGAGATCATCTTAAAATATGTATTCACAGCTCACATTTATTTTTTAGAAAATATACACTAAATATTTTGAAGCTGTGATTTACTTTAAAGATTATGTTTGTACTTTTTTTGACAATGGAAAGATTTTCTTTTTTCTTTTCTTTTTTTTTGAGACAGAGTCTTGCTCTGTCGCCTAGGCTGGAGTACAGTGGTGCCATCTCAGCTCACTACAACCTCCACCTCCTGGGTTCAAGCAATTCTCCTGCCTCAGTCCCCCGAGTAGCTAGGATTACAGGCGTGCACCACAATGCCCAGCTAATTTTTAGACAGGGTTTCACCATGTTGGCCAGGCTGGTCTTGAACTCCTGACCTCATGATCTGCCCGCCTCAGCCTCCCAAAGTGCTGGGATTACAGGCGTGAGCCACTGTGCCTTGCCAGAAAGGTTTTCTTACTAAAGAATATGTAAGTAGATAAATATAAAATTTCAGTTTCTATGGATACTTAAGAGGTATTTTTGAATTCTGTATTAGGAGAACAGCCACTATTTAAAGAAAAGTGATATTTCCCTTAAAAATTCTGATTATTTTACTATGAGCTAACTGTATGTACTTACTTTAGCAAAGGAGAAAGGCAAGTATTGTATAAATGTACTGTATTCAACCCAACAAAATTGCTAATACTTGACCATTTGACTTAAAAAAAAATGACACTTTTATGTGGCTTAGCCATTAGCAGGAGCATGGGTTTTTCAAAGTCAGTTTATGGTATAATCTCTGGAATTTAGCAATTTTGGGGTAGTAATAGTTCTTATCCAACCTTCTCATACCTATACCCACTTTCTTGTACTTAGGAAATATTTATATTGTTATTTTAATTTCATTCATATCATCTTTCTGGCCTCCTAGAAGCTTTAATTAGCTGCCTTTGACCAAAGATAGTCCTTTTTTTTGTTTTGTTTTGGTCTATCCAGCGTATAGAACCCAGCACTGTCAGTTCTTTGAGAACCCAGCACATATCAAGAATCATATGTGTTTTTCTTTCTTTACACTTCCCAATATGTCTTACAAATGTATTTTAATACTGACATGCATATTATACATTTATAAGCCAAAAATTAATCTACTATTCCTGTCTCATCTAACTACTCATTTCTGTCCCTCCCTCCCTCCCTCCTTCCCTCCCTCCCTCCCTTCTTTCTTCCCTCCTTTCCTTTCCTTCCTCCTTCCTTCCTTTTTTTCCATAGTTGAAATAATTTCAAAGAAATAACACACATCACATCATTTAATCTATAAATACTTCCGTGTGTATTTCTAACAGATAAGAATTTTTAACAAGCACAACCACAATACTGTTACGACCTAACAAAAGAGTTCCTTAATCCAGTCTGTGTTCAGACTTCTCTTATTCTTTAAGTGTCTTTTTACACTGATTTGTTTAAATCATCCAACTAAGAGTTACACATTTCATTTAGTTTATATGTTTCTTAAGTTTTTCTTAACCTTAATCACCTCCCCCCACCTTTTTTTTTCTTTTTGAAATGGAGTTTTGCCCTTGTTGCCCAGGCTGGAGTGCAGTGGCGTGATCTTGGCTCACTGCATCGTCCGTCTCCTGGGTTCAAGCGATTTTCCTGCTTCAGCCTCCCGAGTAGCTGGGATTATAGGCATGCACCACCAGCCTTGGCTTATTTTGTGTTTTTAGTAGCGACAGGGTTTTGCCATGTTGGCCAAGCTGGTCTCAAGCTCCTGATTTCAAGTGATCCACCCGCCTCCGCCTCCCAAAGTGCTGGGATTATAGGCATGAGCCACTGCACCCAGCCAATAATCCCCTTTCTTAACTCATACCCCCTGTGCTCCTTTCCCATGCTATTTATTTGTTGAAAAAAATAGGTTATTGTTCCAGGATAATTTTCCACATTTTGGATTTGGCTGATTGAATCCTTGTTATGGTATTTAACATGTTCCTTTACCCCTCATATTTCCCACAAATTAGTAGTTAAATACAGAGCAGTGGTTCTGAACTTTGGCTAAAACTTTAGAATTATCTGGAGAGCTTTTAGTTATCCTGATCCCTAGGCCACATCTCCGATAAATTAATCAGAGCCCATGAGGTAAAATGTCATCATCAATATTTTAAAAAATTTACCAAGTGATTTCAGTCTGTAGCCAAGATTGAGAGCCCTAGTTGGTAGAGCTTGATGAGTTTAGGTTCAGTTTCTTTGGCAAGAAATATTTATAAAGAGTGGTTATATAATTTATTTGCAATCAGACAATTTTGAGAATGAAAGGGGGTGCTATAATGATTACACAGAAGGAATAGTTTAAACTGGAATTGTTCTAGACAAATTAGGATTTATAGTCATTCCATTAGATGGGGCTGTGAATTCTTGTTGGATCGTTCTAGGAGGTAACTTAAGTGGTGGTTCTACTTTTAGTGATACTAAATGGATCATTTGGTTTAGGTTCTGTCAGTGGGATCCAAATGTAATTTATTTTTAACTTTTCACTTAATGATAATTCTTGCCTATATCCATTATTTCATTAGAAGAGTGATTTTTTTTGGTCATTTCTTTTGTATTTATTAACTGGAATTCTTTCATAAAGAATTCCCTCATCAATTATTTGGTTACCTTGTAATACGGTTTGTAAAGAAAAAGCAGGATAAATGCTTATTTTTTTCCCCTTTATCAGTAATTTTCAGAAAAATGAATTGATGCCCGCCCTCACAACTCCCAAAGGTGAGGTTTGGGAGGGAGTATCATTAGGAACTCATGAGTTTTACCATATGTGATACATTCTAATTTATCATAGTCATTATTTTTGGTGTTCAATTTGTTGTATCTTTGATGATTGGCGGTCTCTTAAATTAGTTTCCTAAGGCTGCCAAAAAACTGCTACATACTTGGTAGCTTAAAACATCAGAAATTATCTCACAGTTTTGGAGGCTAGAAGTCCAAAATCAAGGCTCTAGGGAAGAATCTTTGCTTGTCTCTTCTATCTTCTTGTGGCTTGGTTGGTATTCCTTGACTTGTGGCGGCAAAACTCCTGTCTTTGCCTTCATCTTCCCTTGGTCTTCTTTCTGCATCTTCTTTTCTGTCTCTTAGGGTCTACCTTATTCCTGGATGTTCTCAGCTCAAGATCCTTACCATAATTACCTCTCCAAAGATCTAGTCTGCTCACATACTGTGGTTCTGGGTGGACATAACTTTTGGGAGCCACAGTTTAATACACTACAGTTCTTTTTTTGACCCCTAAAACTTCATTTACATCCCATATGCAAAATAAATTCACCTCATCCCAACATCCTCAAAAGTCTCGACCTATTACAGCATGAACTCTGTTTTTTTTTTTTTTTTTTAGATGGAATTTCACTCTCTCGCCCAGGCTGGAGTGTAGTGGCAGAATCTTGGCTCACTGCAACCTCTGCCTCCTGGGTTCAAGCCATTTTCCTGCCTCAGTCTCCCAAGTAGCTGGGACTACAGGAGCGTGCCGCCATGCCTGGCTAATTTTTTGTATTTTTAGTGGAGACGGGGTTTCACTATGTTAGGATGGGCTCCATCTCCTGACCTCGTGATCTGCCCGCCTCGGCCTCCCAAAGTGCTGGGATTACAGGCATGAGCCACCATGCCCAGCTACAGCATGAACTCTTAAGTCCAAAATCTCCAAATATTATAACCTCAAAAAGTTTGAAATCTCATTGTCTTAAATCATCTAAATTAGGTAAGAGTATGGACTCGGCATGATTCATTTGGGATAAAATTCTCCATCTGTGGACCTGTGAAACTGGAAAACAACTTATCTGCTTCCAAAATACAATGATGAGAGGATGAGACAGCTGTTAAGATAGACATTCCCATTCAAAAGGAAGAAAATGGAAAGAATAAAGGATCTCCGGTTTCAAGCAAGTTCAAAACTCAGCAGGACAAATTTCTCTAGGTTTCAGGGCCTGAGAATAATCCTCTGTGGCTTGATCCTCTGCCCTCTGGGCCCATGGAGGCTCTGTCTGCAGCTGGTGTGGGCCTGTTTCTCCCCTACCCCCAACCCCCACTATGCTGCTCGCCTTCAGTCATTTTTACTTTTCCCTGAAGGGTTGCACATGTTTGTAGTTGAGTAACTGTATTAGCCCATTTCTTGCCTATAAAATCCCAGAAGTAAGACACTTTAAAAAATTTTGTCCCATCTCTGTTCCTTTCAGTACAGGCTGACAGCATTTTTGTTGGTATGATATTCTTTAAAACCTTGTCAGTCTCCTTACATATCAAGGGGGTCCATATCATTAGACGAGAGGATTCTTCACAGTTCCTTACTGATAACCCCATCTCCATTCCTCGTTTCTGTTGAGATGATTGATGGGATCCATGAGTCACACTGCTAGTATCTTCAGCATATGGTTGTCCAGCCACGTGGCCTGCTCTCTAGAACACACTTTTCTAACAGTGAATTTCCTAATTTCCGCATCCTTTGTATTCTGAATAATCTGAGAACCTCCCAGTTAATCGTTGTTTCCTTTTGCTTAAAGTTCCTTCTTCAATTTATCTCTTTCTTCTTGTATTTTACTATAAATATCAAGGAGGAACCAAGCTGTACCTTCAGCACTTTGCTTGGAAATCTCCTAGGCTAAATATTCAAGTTCATGGCTTCCAGATTCTCCTTTCTATCCCACAGTAGAACATAGTTCAGCCACTTTATAACATAGCTCACCTTTCTTCCAGTTCCCAGTCACATATTCTTTATTTACTTCTGAGACAGCAACAGAAGCATCCTTAACCAAAATATTGATATGAACCAAAATGTTCACAATTCTGTGTATGTATTCTCTAAGACTACAGAAGCTTTCTCTTAGTTGCTCATCACATCCTTCTAAACCCTAACCAGAATTGCCTTTGACATCAGTATTTCTACCACCATGTCTTTAAGGCAGTCTGTACTTTTCTAAAATCATGCATCTCAAAACTCTTTCAGCCCATTACCCAATTTCAAAGCCACCTTTACATTTTTTTTTCTCTCTTTCTCTTTCTTTTTGTTACTTTCTTTTCTTTCTTTGTCTCTCTCTCTCTCTTTCTTTCTTCCTTCCTCCCTTCCTCCCTTCCCCCCTTCCCTTCCCTTCCCTTCCTTTCTTCCCTTCCTTTCTCTTCCTTTCCCTTTCTCTTTCTTTCTCTCTTTCTTTCTCTCTTTCTCTCTCTCTCTCTCTCTCCCTCTCTCTCTCTTCTTTCTTTGTTTAAAAGTTTTTTAATAGAGATGGTGTTTTACCATGTTGCACAGGCTGATCTCGAACTCATGAGCTCAAGCAGTCCTCACACCTTGGCCTCCCAAAGTGTTGGGACTACAGGCATAAGCCATCATGCCTGGCCCACCTTCACATTTTTAGATATTAAAGCAGCACTCCACTTCCATGTACTAAAATCTGAATTAGTTTCCTGGGTTTGCCATAAGAAATTACCACAAACTTGGTGGTTTAAAATTAAAGAAATTTATCATCTCACAGTTCTGGAGGCTAAAAGTTTGAAATCAGGATGTTGGCAAGGCCATGCTTTCTCTGAAGCCTTTAGGGAAGAATTCTTCCTCCTCTCTTTGAGCCTCTGGTGGTCCCACGTGTTCCTTGATTTGTGGTAGATTACTCCAGTTTTTGCCTCTGTCTTTACATGGCATTATCTCTTTGTCTCTCTTGTCTTCATTTCTGTCTCTTCTAAGGACACTCTTCATTGGATTTAGGGCCTACTCTAATTCAGGATGATCTCATTTCAAGACCCTTACATTAACTACACCAGCAAAGAACTTTATTCCAAATGAAGTCATATTCTGAGGATCTGGGTGGACATATCTCTTGGGGACCACAATTTAACCCACAACATGGTCTTCAAGGTCGGCACCTCGATCCTTTTTAAAAATTGATTTTTTTATATTTAAAAAATCACAGGTCGGGTGCGATGGCTCACGCACGTAATCCCAGCACATTGAGAGGCCACTGCGGGCGGAACACGAGGTCAGGAGATCGAGACCATCCTGGCTAACACAGTGAAACCCTGTCTCTACTAAAAATACAAAAAATTAGCCAGGCGTGGTGGCACGTGCCTGTAATCCCAGCTACTCGGGAGGCTGAGGCAGGAGAATCACTTGAACCCAGGAGGCGGAGGTTGCAGTGAGCCAAGATTGTGCCACTGCACTCCAGCCTGGGTGACAGAGCGAGACTCCATCTCAAAAAAAAAAAAAAATTACCTTAAGTTTAAAAAAATGTGTTAAAATGTACATAACAAAGTGCAGTAAGCCAGGCACAGGAAGACAAAAACTGCATCTTGTCACTTAATGTGGAATCTAAAACAATAGAACTCATAGAAGCAGAGAGTAGAATTATAGTTACCAGAGCATGGGGGATGGAAGGGAGGGACAGGAAGATATTGGTCCAAGAGTAGAAAGTTGTAGTTAGGTGGTGTGAATAAGTATTTAAGGTGATGGATATGCTAATTTGCTTGATTCAGTCATTCCACACCGTATACATACGTGTGTATCAAAACACCACTGTGTACCCCCTTAATTTTGTGCAATTATAACTTCTCAAAAAGCAAATCATATAATAAATATATATATATATATATAATATAACATTTACCATTTTAACAACTTTAAGTGTATAATTCAGTGGCATTAAGTACATAAACAATATTGTGCAATCATTACCATTATTCATTTCACCCACAATAGAAACTCTACATGTTATGCAGTAACCCTGCATGGTCCCTTGCGCCAGCCTCTGGTAAACTTTAAATTACTTTCTGTGTCTATGAAGTTGCCTATTCTAGATATTTCATGTAAGTGGACTCATACAATATTTATCCTTTGGTGTCTGACATTTCACTTAGCATATTTTCAAGGTTCATCCAGTTATAGTATGTATCAGAACTTCTCATTCCTTTTTATGGCTGCAAAATATTCCATTGTGTGCATATACATTTTGTTTATCCATTCATCCATCAATAGACACCTTTTGGCTATTGTAAGTAATGTTGCTATAAACATTGGTATGTAAGTATTTGTTTGAGTCCTTGCTTTCACTTCCTTCTGGTATTGTGATGGTTTTAATGAGTGTCTTTTAAAATTCATGTTGAAATTTGATTCCCAATATGGCAGTATTAGGAGGTGGGCCCTAGTGGGAGGTGTTTGGATAGTGGGGACACTGCCCTAATGAGTTGTTACAAGCAAGGTTCTACCTTTTGTAAGTCTCTTTGCCCCCTTGCCTTTTTGCTTTTCCATGCTGTGGTGCAGCACATAGCCCTCACCAAAAGCTAAGCAGACACCAGTGCCATGCTTTTGGACTTCCCAGCCACCAGAATTGTGAGCTACATAAACCTCTTTTCTTTATAAGTTACTCAACCTCAGGTATTCTGTTACAGCAAGACTAAACAGACTAGTACAGGTATGTACCTAGAAATGGATTTGCTGGGTTATATAGGAATTCTGTTTATCCTTATTTATTTATTTATTCATTTTTTGAGACAGGGTCTCACTTTGTTGTCCAGGCTGGAGTACAGTGGTGTGATCATGGGTCAGTGCAGCCTCTACCTCCCTGGTTTAAGCTGTCCTCCCACCTCAGCCCCACAAGTAGCTGGGACTGCAGATGTGCAACACTATGCCCAGCTAATTTTAGTTTTTCTTATAGAGATGGGGTTTGGCCATGTTACCAAGGCTGGTCTTGAACTCCTGAGCTCAAGCGATGCACCTGCCTTGGCATCTCAAAGTGCTGGGATTACAGGTGTGAGCCACCATGCCCAGCCTGTGTTTATCTTTTTGAGGAACCTTTTGCACAGGGGCTATAACATTTTCCATTTGCACCAGCAATGCATGAGGATTCCAGCTTTTCTGCATCCTCACCAATACTTGTTGTTTTCTGTGTGTGTGGTTTTTTTTTTTTTTTTTTTTTTTTTTTTTTTTTTTTGAGACAGAGTGTTACTCTGTTGCCCAGGCCGGAGTGCAGTGGTGCCATCTCACCACACTGTAACCTCCACCCTTCACCTTCTGGGTTCAGGTGATTCTTCTGCCTCAGCCTCCCAAGTAGCTGGGATTACAGGTGTGTGCCATCATGCCTGGCTAATTTTTTTTTTTTTTGTACTTTTAGTAGAGATGGGGTTTCACTGTGTTGGCCAGACTAGTCTTGAACTCCTGACCTCAAGCGATCTACCTACCTCGGCCTTTCAAAGTCTTTTATTTTTGGTTAATAACTGTCCTAGTGGGTGTGAAGTGGTATCTTTTTTTTTTTTTTTTTTTTTTTTTTTTTGAGACGGAGTCTTGCTCAGTCGCCCAGGCTGGAGTGCAGTGGCGCAATCTCAGCTCACTGCAAGCTCCACCTCCTGGGTTCACGCCATTCTCCTGCCTCAGCCTCCCGAATACCTGGGACTACAGGCGCCCACCACCACACCCGGCCAATTTTTTTGTATTTTTAGTAGAGACAGGTTTCACCATGTTAGCCAGGATAGTCTTGATCTCCTGACCTCGTGAGCCACCCGCCTCGGCCTCCCAAAGTGCTGGGATTACAGGTGTGAGGCACTGCACCCGGCCTTGAAGTGGTATCTTACTGTGGCTTGGATTTGAATTTTTCCAGTGACTAATGATGCTGAACATTTTTTCATGTGTTTATTGGCCTTTTGTATATGTTCTCTGGAGAAATGTTATTTAAGTCCTTTGTGCATGTTTTTTAATTGCACAAATTTAAGTCCTTTGTGCATGTTTTTTAATTGCTTGTCTTTTTTGTTGTTGAGTTTTAGGAATTGTTTTTATATTCTAAATATTAAACTCTTATCACAAAAATAATTTACAAATATTTTTTTCCCATTCTGTAGATTGTCTTTTCACCCTCACGATAGTGGCCTTGATGCACAAAAGTTTTTTTGTTTTTTTGTTTTTTTTTTTGAGACGGAGTCTCGCTCTGTCGCCCAGGCTGGACTGCGGACTGCAGTGGCGCAATCTCGGCTCACTGCAAGCTCCGCTTCCCGGGTTCACGCCATTCTCCTGCCTCAGCCTCCCGAGTAGCTGGGACTACAGGTGCCCGCCACCGCGCCCTGCTAATTTTTTGTATTTTTAGTAGAGACGGGGTTTCACCTTGTTAGCCAGGATGGTCTCGATCTCCTGACCTCATGATCCACCTGCCTCGGCCTCCCAAAGTGCTGGGATTACAGGCGTGAGCCACCGCGCCCGGCCAAAAGTTTTAAATTTTAATGAAATCCAATTTGTGTTTTTCTTTTGTAGCTTATGCTTTTGGTATCATATTTAAGATGCTATTGCTAGATCTAAGTTCATGTAGATTTTTCCCTATGTTTTCTTCTAAGAGTTTTAGTGTTTAGGTCTTTAATTTAGGTCTTTAATCCATCTTGAGTTAATTTTTGTTTATGGTACAAAGTAAGTGTCCAGTTTCAATCTTTTGTGTATGAATATCCAGGTTTCATAGCACCTTTTGTTGAAGAGCCTGTTCTTTCCCCATTGAGTGGTCCTGGAAACCTTGTTGAAAGTCAGTTGACCATCGTATCAGTTTGGGCTGTCGTAACACAGTATCATAGTCTGGGTGGCTTAAACAACAAATTTATTTCTTACATTTCAGGAGGCTGGGAAGTCCAAGATCAAAGTGCCCACAGGTAGGTTTTATTTTCAGGCCTTTTCTCTTGGCTTGTAGGTAGCCACTACCTTGCTCTGTGCTCATGTGATTTCTTAGTGTTTGTGAGGTGAGAGAGAGTGTAAGCTTTCTGGTGTTTCTTCTTAGAAGGGCATTAATCACATCATGAGAGCTCCACTCTCACTACCTCATCTAGCTGATTACCTTTTAAAGTCCCCCTCTCCAAGTATTATTACATGGGGGGTTAAGGCTTCAACATATGAATCTGGGGAGGAGGGATACAAACATTCAGACCATAACAACGACAAATGCGAGAGTTTATTTCTAGACTTTCAGTTCTGTTCTATTTGTCTATATGCCTGTTCTTGTGTCAGTACTACACTGTTTTGATTACTGTAGCTTTGTAGTAGGTTTGAAATTAGGAAGTAGGAGTCCTCAAGTTTTTTTTTTCAAGATTGTTTTGGCTATTTGGGGTGTGTTGAAATTTCACGTGAAATTTAGGATGGTTTTTTCCTATTTCTGAAAAAAGAGTTATTAGGATTTTGACAGGGATCAAAATTGAATTTGTAAATCAAGGGTAGTTACTGTCATCTTAACAATGTTAAGTCTTCCAGTCTGTGAACATGGAATGTCTTTCCATTTATTTTGGTCTTCTTTTATTTCTTTCAGCAATGTTTTGTACAGGTCTTTTAGTGTACAAGTCTTGTGCTTCCTTGGTTAAATTTTTCTCAAGTATCAATCAGTATAATCTACCACATTAGTAGAATGAAGAAAAAAAAGAACTCACTACAGTCTGTCCTTTGTATCTATGAGTTCCACATCTGCAGATCAAAAATATTTGGAAAAAAAAATAAAAGGTAATACAAATTTATTCCTTAATCAAGGACCAGAGGAAAAAAAATACAACATTTAAAAATAGAGTATAACAACTGTTTGCATAGTATTTGCATTGTATTAGGTGTTATAAGTAATCTAGAGATGATTTAAATTGTATAGGAGGATGTGTGTAGGTTATATGCAAATACTATATATAAGGGACTTGAGCATTCAAGGATTTTGGTATCTTTGGGGGGTCCAGGGTCCAGTCCCCCACAGATACTGAGGAATGACTAAATCATCTCAGTTGATGCAGAGAAAGTATTAAAGAAAAGCTAACATCCTTTCCTTTGTAAAAGCACTTTAATAAACTAGGAAAAGAGGGGAATTTCCTCAACATGATAAAGGCTACCCATGAAAAATCATTGCTTACATCATATTCAGTGGTGAAAGACTGAGAGATTTTATCCTCAGATGAGGAACAAGATGAGGATGCCTTCTTTCACCATGTCTATTCAGTGTAGTATTAGAAGTTCTAGCCAGAAGTTAAGCAAGAAAAAGGAAATAAAAAGCATTCAAATTGGACAGGAAGAAGTAAAACTATCTCTATTTAAAGGTGACATGATCTTATACGTAGAATACCCTTAAAGTTATGCCAAAAACAAAACTGTGCAAGTTAGTAAGAAATTCAGCAAAGTTGCAGGATATGGCATCAACACACAAAAATCAGTTGTATTTATGTACACTAGAACAATCCCAAAAGGAAATTTTAAGAAAACAATTTCATTTACATTAGAGTCAAGAAGAAAAAAAAAATACTGAAACACCTGTATCCCTTTGACTTAACTCCAATAGTCCTTGAAAGATTCCTCCCCGTCCGCCAAAAAAATAGAACCAGGCTCATCTATACATACGCTACTTCAGACCTGGAATTAACTTGTTTTGCAAGACGCCTCAGTACCTTTCAGTGGAAGATGTTATCTGGAGACCACAGCCTGAACTCAGACAAGCTTTTTGAAGTTAGAATCTTTATGAGATGGTGTAAGTTGCTTATTTCCCATTCACTCCTGAGCCTGCCTGCCTCTGTCTGCCTATTTTTTTTTTTTTTTTTTTTAAGAGACAGGATCGTACTCTGTTGCCCAGGTTGGAATGCAGTGGCATGATCACGGCTCACTGAAGGCTTGACCTCCTGGGCTCAAGCAATCCTCCCACCTCACCCACCTGAGCAGCTAGGACCACAGACAATACCCTTGTGCCTGGCTATTTAAATAATTTTTTTTTTTTTTTTTTTTTTTTTTTTTTTTTTTTTTGTAGAGACAGGGTCTCCATATGTTGTCCAGGCTGGTCTTGAACTCCTGGGCTCAAGCAGTCCTCCACCTCTGCCTCCCAAAGATTATAGGTGTGAACCACCCTGCCTGGCCCTAGCTTATCTTTCTGTTTTGGCACTGAAATTCTTCTCTTTAGGAACACTGAAATGATCTAATAATCACCAAATCTAATGGATGCTTTTCAGAGATTATTTTATTTGACTTTTCTTAGATCTTTATTTGACCTTTCTTATTTCTGTTGCCCTTCCTTCCTCGACTTTTTCCTTGTTTTATGAGATGGCATTCTCATGGTTCTCCTCTTGAATTGCTCTTTTTGCGTGCTCAATAAGTGTTATTCCCTCAGCTTGTATTTTCTTGAGCAATCTCTTCTACAATAGTGGTTTTACTTAATTTTTTTTTTTTTTTTACTTAGTATTTTTTAAGAGATGGGGTCTTGCTATATTACCCAGGCTGGCCTTGAACTCCTGGCCTCAAGTGATCCTCCTTCCTTGGCCTCCCAAAGTGCTGGGATTACAGGCATCAGCCACTGGCTTATAGTAGTAGTTTTAGGATCTACCCATTAAGTACATTATGTGATTTCCATTTTACTTCTTCGCTTCTGTTTTTGTCTTTAAAACTAAAAATCTTGTGTTTTTGCTGTCATACAAATACTGCAAATTCACTATGTCTACAACTGAACTCCTACTTCCTTCTTCCCTGCCAATTACTTGCTCACACACCTAGTGCCCTCCCCTTCTCAACTTGTTATTTTTCCTATTTATTTTATTTTTATTTTTATTTTATTTTATTTTTTGGGGGACGGAGTCTTGCTCTGTCACCCAGGCTGGAATGCAGTGACGCAATCTCGGCTCACTGCAACCTCCATCTCCCGGGTTCAAGCGATTCTCCTGCCTTAGCCTCCCATGTAGCTGGGATTACAGGCATGCGCCACCATGCCTGGCTAATTTTTGTATTTTTAGTAGAGATGGGGTTTCACCATGTTGGTCAGGCTGGTCTCGAACTCCTGACCTCGCGGTCTACCAGCCTTGGCCTCCCAAAATGCTAGGATTACAGACGTGAGCCCCCACTCCCGGCCTATTTTTATTTTTATTTTAGAGACAGTCTTGCTATGTTGCCCTGGATGGAATGCAGTGGCAAGATCATAGCCCTCTGCAGCCCCAGTCTGTTATTCTTCACATATTATCTCTATTAGTTACTGGCTTCTAGTCACCCAAGTTAGAAATCTGTGAGTCATCTTTTGTTTCTTCCCTTTCCCTTACTGTTTAGTTTTAATTGCTAAGTCTTGTTAATACTACATCAGGTATGATTTTAAAAACATTTTTGATGTTCTACTGCCACCACCTTAGTTCTGGTACTCATTTTGCATGTTTTGTCTTTTGACTTTCCTTGCTTTTACAACTCTTCTTTTCGCACTCCCTTCTTTACTGTTTCCTCTACCCCATTCATTTTTACACATTGGAGACAGATTTTTCTTCTAAAATGAAAACATGTTTATCTTTGAGGTAACAAGTTGGCTCCCTTATTATTCCAGTTCTCTAAGGTGGTTATTGGTCAGAGTTTTTTCCTGTGGCGAAAGGCAGCTTGCCTTACAGCTCTGACTCCTATCAGAAATTTACTTTTTCTTTGTGGGAGAGTTTCTTTCTGAATGTCTTTGCTACTATCACGCTAGCTTTGGTAGAGGCCCTGCTCGTGACCCCACCCTCTGTGGTGACAGAATCTTTGCCTAATTCCACCCAGCACAGCTGAGACCAGGCTGTGATTATTTCAAAACAGACTTTATTAAAAACTTAGTATAATAGGGAATTGCAGAACAAATATGTATGTATTTATATATGTATTATGTGTGGCTGATCTAGGAGAAATAGGCAGCATCTACTTGCTGAGCTTTCAGTTGTCTCATGGTGAGCAGAGGGCATCTTTTCTTTGAAACTCAGAAGCAGGTTGAAATCTGGGGGAATTAACTTATTTTTTTCCTTTCTTCCAAAGACCTTATTTCATGACCTATAATTTGTGTCCTGGCTGACTAACATTGGGAATATCAGTTCACTTTAGGAGATTCAGTCTCCTTCCTGCTCAGATTTATTGTTACTCTGTCTCCAGTAGAACAAATAGACCATTAGTACAGAAGAGATTCATTCATTGAACAAATATTTAGGACATGTGTCAGATGTGGTTCCAAGTGCTGGACAAAGAATAATAAGGAAGTTAAGCTTTGTGCTAGTGGTGGGGGTAAGATAGAAAATAAAAAAGAAATAGAGAAAATAATTTTAGGTAGTGAAGAAAACAGGACAGCATAAGATAATATGATAGTGATTGCAGTAGGAAGAATAGATAATTCTCTGAGCATGTTGGTTTTTGTGTATGATCTAAAGAGTATGATCTCTTAAAAAGATTCTTTTGGCTCCTGTATATGAGATGAACTTCAGGGAGCAAGATGGGAAACAGAGGGTCAGTTAGGAAGCTATTGGTATAATTCAGGTATGAAAGTAATCATTGGAGTAGAGTGTAGATGATGAGAATTGGTTGGGATATATTTTGGAGGTACAGTCAATAGGACTTGTTGATAAATGTAGTGAAATAAAGAAGACCACTAACCCCTAGGTAGCAGGGTTAGTGCTAGATAGTTGGTGGCACCATTAATTGAGATAGGAAAACTGGGGAAAGAATACACAGTGGTCGGGATGAAGGAGGAAGCTATTATTTCCTTACTTTAGATCACTCCACTGATTTAAAAATTGGTGATTACTTAACACCTACAGTGTAGTCTGAATCAGGGGTTCTCAACGTTGGCACTGTTGGCATTATGGACCAGGTAATTCTTTGTTGTGGGGTATTGTCTTGTGCATTGTGGGATATTCAGCTGCATACTTAACCCACTATCAACTAAGATGTCAATAGCACTGCCCCACTAGTTGTGGTAACTAAAAATATCTCCAGACATTACCAGTATCTTCTGGGGAACAAAATTGCCCCTGGTTGAATACCACTGGTCCAGATACTTTTACCATATATCCTAAAGACCTTTTTAGATTGTTGTATTCTATGTATAATAGCTGCTTTTCATACCATTCACTTATATAAATTATGACAATATATCATAGTGATTGACTTGCCAGTTTTCTTTCTTTTCTTTTTTTTCTTTTCTTTTCTTTTCTTTCAGATGGAGTCTCACTCTGTCACCTAGGCTGGAGTGCGGTGGTGCGATCTCAACTCACTGCAGCCCCTGGCTTCCGGGCTCAAGTGATTCTCCCACCTCAGCCTCTGAAGTAGCTGAGATTACAGATGCGCACTACCACGCCCAGCTAATTTTTGTATTTTTAGTAGAGACAGGGTTTCTCCATGTTGGCCAGGCTGGCCTTGAACTCCTGACCTCAAGTGATCCACCCGCCTTGGCCTCCCAAAATGCTGGGATTACAGGCGTGAGCCATCTCTCCTGGACTGACTTTCCAGTTTTCTTGTCTTTTTAAAAATCATATTTTATTCAGCCATAACTACTAATTGTACTTATGCTTAGCATATTTCTTTCTAGGATATTTCTTTGCAGGTATGTGTTTTTACATGGTTAACATCACATGTACAGTTCTGTTTCCTGATCTTATTTACTTACTTAGTTTTTATTTTTTTAGAGACGGGATCCGGCTCTGTCACCCAGGCTGGGGTGCAGTGGTGCAATCATAGCTCACTGCAGCTTTGAACTCCTGAGCTCAAGGGATCCTCCTGCCTCTCCAATAGCTAGGACTAGAGGTGCATGCCACCATGCCTGGCTCATTTTTCATTTTTTGTAGAGATTGGGGTCTTGCTATGTTGCCCAGGCTGGTCTTGAACTCCTGGCCTCAAACAATCTTCCTGCCTTGGCCTTCCAAAGTGTGTTGGGATTATAGGAATGAGCCACCATGCCTGGCTGGATGAAAATATTCTAGAATTGATTGTGGTAATGATTGTACTGCTCTGAATATACTAAGCACAATTGAATTGTGCAATTTAAATTGATGAGTTATGTGGCATTTGAATTATATCTCAATAAAGCTGTTATTTTTAAAAAAGAAGCTAAACCAAATAGCATTATATGTAGTTTCTGTCTGTAGCTCTAGTTCTCTAGAAATTAAATTACTGGTTCAGGCATGTGATAAATATTTTTGAAATAAGGTTTATTACAGTATAATTTATATAGAGTAAAATTCATCCTTTCATTGTACAGTTCTGTAAGGTTTGACATATGCATATAGTGGTAAAATTAGCACTATAATCAAGATGCAGTACATTTTCATTTCTTGTTCATGGGTTTTTATATAAACATGTTTTCATTTTTCTTGGGTAAAAGGAGTAGGATTACTGGATCATATAAATACTGTATGTCTTCTTATATTGTGTTTTGAGAGTTCTTTATATATTTTGGATACACATCCTTTATTAATGTTTTGAAAATATTCCCCCCAGTTTGTGGCTTGTTTTCACTTTCTTTTTTTTTGCAGAAATAGGGTGCCGGGTCTTGCTTTGTTGCCTAGGCTGGTCTCATATTTCTGGCCTGAAGTGACCCTCCCACATCAGCTTCATTTTCTTAAGTGTTTTTCAAAGAGCAGAAATTTTTTATTTTGATGAAGTCTACTTTATCAATTTTTTTCTTTTATGGATTATGCTTTTTGTGTCATATCTAACTTCTGTGCCTTTTAGCATTTTATTTTTTTCTGTCTCCAGATGTCTTTCTACCTGCTCTTCCTTCAAGAACCAGCTTTTTCTTTCTTTTCCCTTTTGTCTCCAGACATAGCTACAGTTATTAGCAATAATAGTAGTGGTAGTGATTGTTACTTTTTTTTTTTTTTTTTTTTGAGACAGAGTTTCACTCTTGTCACCCCGGCTGGAGTGCAATGGTGCAATCTCAGCTCACTGCAACCTATGCCTCCTGAGTTCAAGCGATTCTCCTGCCTCAGTCTCCCAAGTAACTGGGATTACAGGTGCCTGCCACCGCGCCTGTCTACTTTTTGTATTTTTAGTAGATACAGGGTTTCACCATGTGTTGGCCAGGCTGGTCTTGAACTCCTGACCTCAGGTGATCTACTTGACCTCCCAAAGTGCTGGGATTACAGGCATGAGCCACCGTGCCCAGCCATGATTGTTACTATTTAGCAGGCCCTTTTTGCACCACATTCCCGCTTTGATACCATAGTGTTTTTATTTGAGTCTTGCAAGTAAAGACTATTCTAAAGTTAGTTGGGAACTGAAGCCCAAGATAGAGATTGAGGCAAGTGAATATACACACAGACATTCAGACACACAAATTTAATTTTCTAGAAATCAGCAGATAGATAGCATCAGAAGACCTAAGAGAAAGCATATCTTGGTTTAGTCTTGTGTTTTTGTTTTAGTTTTAGACACAGGGTGTTGGTATGTTGCCCAGGCTGGAACGCAGTAGCTAATCTCAGGCGCGACCCCACTACTGATCAGTATGGGAGTTTTGAACTGCTCCGTTTCTGACCTGAGCCAGTTCACTCCTCCTTAGGTAACCTGGTGGTCTCCTGCACTTGGGAGGTTACCATATTGATGTCTACCATTGTGCAGATACCCAATTGGCATAGCTAGCACACTATAGCCCAGAACTCCTGGGCTCAAGTGATCCTCCTGCCTCAGCCTCCTGAGTAGCTGGGGCTATGGGCATATGCCACGTCGTGCAGCGGTTAGTTGTTTTTTTTGAGACAGAGTCTCACTCTGTTGCCCAGCCTGGAGTGCAATGGCATGATCTCAGGCCGCTACAACCTCTGCCTCCTGGATTCAAGCAATTCTCCTGCCTCACCCTCCTGAATAGCTGGGATTACAGGCACCTGCCACCATGCCTGGCTAATTTTTTTGTATTTTTAGTAGAGACCGGGTTTCACCACGTTAGCCAGGCTGACCTCTAACTCCTAACATCAGGTGATCCACTCGCCTCGGCCTCCCAAAGTGCTGGGATTACAGGCGTGAGCCACCGCGCCCTGCGATTTAGTTGTTTTTAATTAATAATGTGCTTCAGAACCCCCAGGGGAGTTCCCCCATTTCCCCACCGCCTTCCCGCCTTTACAGTATGAAAATGCCCAGGCCCTATCTATTCTAGACCTTCTGAAGTAGAACATGAGGGAGAAGGTGAAGTATTGTAGAGTAGGTACTGCTACCATAATAGAATTGTGTCTGTGATACCATTAACATTTTTTTTTTTTTTGAGACAGGTTCCTGCTCTGTCACCCAGGCTGGAGTATGGTGGCATGATCATGACTTTCTACAGCCTCTAACCCCTAGGCTCAAGCAACCCTCCCACCTCAGCCTCCTGAGTAGCTGGGACTATAGGTACCTGCCACCATGCTCGGCTAATTTTTTTTTCTATTTGTTGTAGAGACAGGGTCTTCCTATGTTACTTAGGCTGGTCTCAAAGTCCTGGGCTCAAATGATCCTCCTGCCTCAGCCTCCCGAAGTGCTAGGACTACAGGTGTGAACCACCATACCATGCCATTAACATGGTTTTTGTTTTTGTTTTTGAGACAGAGTCTCACTCTGTCACCGAGGCTGGAGTGTAGTGGCAGGATCTTGGCTCACTGCAACCTGTGCCTCCCGGGTTCAAGTGATTCTACTGCCTCTGCCTCCTGAGTAGCTGAGATTACAGGCAATGCGCCACCACACCTGGCTAATATTTGTATTGTTAGTAGAGATGAGGGGTTTCGCCATGTTGGTCAGGCTGATGTTGAACTCCTGACCTCAGGTGATCCACCTGCCTCGGCCTCCCAAAGTACTAAGATTACAGGCGTGAGCTCCTGCGCCCGGCTGTGGGTTTTTCTTTTTTAATGGATTAAATGGAAATACAGATAGTGTCTAATTCTGTTTCAGTAGGTTTCGATAGGTTTAGCGCACATGAAATACCTAGCATATACTAGGTGGTAATTTCTCGAAGCCAAGGAGAAAGAGTAGAAGTCAAGGGTAGTGTCATGGGAGCCCTGGAGGTCGATGCTAGGAAGTGGGAATAAACATACTCTTTTTTAGCCTTCCATTCTGTGGAATACTTGAATTATTTAAGAATCAGGCCAGGCACGGTGGCTCACACCTGTAATCCCAGCACTTTGGGAGCACGAGGTCAGGAGATCGAGACCATCCTGGCTAATACAGTGAAACCCCATCTCTACTAAAAACACAAAAAATTAGCTGGGCGTGGTGGCACGCGCCTGCAGTCCCAGCTACTTGGGAGGCTGAGGCAGGAGAATCGCTTGAACCCAGGAGGCAGAGGTTGCAGTGAGCCAAGATTGCGCCACTGCACTCCAGCCTGGGTGACAGAGTGAGACACTGTCTCAAAAAAAAAAAAAAGGAATCAAAATGTTTGTTCCAATTATTCTTTCATTCAGTCTTTTCTCTTGAAATTGACTGTGGCATATCTTAATAACTTTCTTGCTGCTTTATATGATCTTTTCATAGAATGTGTGAAAACTCTGGGACTTGGAAAAAAATAGAGTGGTATATCATGTTCCTGGATGGAAAAACTCAATATTATAAAAGTATGTGTTCCATAAAATTAATTAAAATTAATATTATTACATTAAGTATCCCAGTAGGGGTTTTAAAAATTATTCTATTTGATGATAGATAGGGCAGGATAATATGTGAAAGGCAAGACAATCTTGAATTAGAAGAATTATGAAGGCAGGGGGCAGTAGGGGAATATAGAACCTTGTTCTATAGTAGGGTCTTAAATATGATACTGGTATGGGAATGCTGAATTGTTACAAATAAACAGATTCATGTCTATATAACAGTAGAGTATATAGATCATTCGTGTTTGGATGGTCTACTGGCCATTTTGGGGAAAAAGTTAGATCTTTTTCTTATTCCAAATGCCAATACATATCCTATTTGAATTCAATATATGAATATAAGAAAATGAAACTATTAAAGTACTGAAAGAAAATGTAGGTAAATATCTTGGGATGGTACGCTTTCCAAGCGTAAACAAAAAAAATTAATTCAAAAGAATGAGATTTGACTACATTGAAAACATTGTCACATTTTGAAAAAGGTAAATGTCTTTGAAATATCAGAGAACGGACTTTTCAGAACAAGGTATTGAACAGATAAAAACAATAGATAACCACTTGAGTCATTTTAGATTCCACTGTGCTTCACATCCCTAATTTCTATTCCAGTCACCATTCATGCTTTCATTCAACAAGTGTTTGAGTGCCTGTTATGCATGAGGAACCATTGTAGGTACGGAGGATACAGTAATGAATAAAATGGAGAAAATCTCTGCTCTATGGAGTTTACATTCCAGGGATGGGGTGGGAATAACTGCTAAACAAATAATTAATGTACAACATTTTAAATAAAACATTTCTATAGAGGAAGATAAAGCAGACAATAGAGATACAGTGTACTTCGGTGGAGAGGGTATTGCAATTCTGAACAGTGGCAGTTAAGCAAAGATCTGAAAGAAATGAGAAGTCATATGGGTATCTGATAGGAGGAACATTCCAGGTAGAAGGAACAGCAAGGGCAAAGATTATGAGGCAGGAGAGTGTTGTATATGTTTTGTGAACATCAAAGAGGCAGCATAGAGGCAGTAGCTGAACATGAGTGAGCAAGGTGGTGAATAACAGTAGATGAGATCAGGGGAATAACAGGTTATAGATAATGTAGGGCCTTTTAAGGTCAGATAATTTGTTGTGGGGGCTGTTCTGTACATTGTAGGACGTTTCAGCATCCCTGGTTTCTATCTACTAGATTTCAACAGCACACCCAAGCTCTGACAACCAAAACTGCCTCCAGACATTGTCAGATTTTCTAGATTTGGGGAGCAAAATTGCTCTGGTTAAGAACCACAGCTCTGCTAAATGGGTACATAAATTCCTTTGGGGAAGACTTGGAGGAAGATTTATGGTATATACTTGCAGTAATGGTGCAGAGTCCTTCCTCAAGAGGACCCAGTCTGTCCTCAGTCAAGAGTCTGGCTGGGCCTGTGAATTGACTAACTTTGGAAACTGGGAAAATGCCCATGACTTGCACTGTGATAAGTCAAGTTGGGTTTTGGCCACCAGATTTAGCCATTTTTCTGTTATATAGATTAAACTGCCCATCTATTTCATTCCTAGGAACATCGTGATCAATTAGCCACTGCCAAAGATCCCTGCTGGCCAAAACATTCTGATTACCGGTATGTCCCTGCTGTCCTTATCTTTGGGGTTAAATAGTGCCATTTGGCCTCTGCTACTTTGGTATCCCATTATCCTTGGTGAAGTCAAGGAGCCCATCTCAGTGTGGCATTTTCTGCGGTTATCCCTGACCTACAAAGGAGAACAGCCACAGGACTTTTCAAAGATGAGTGTTCCCCTTACTAACAGAATGACCCCTGGGCCTTCTCAGGAAATGTAGTTGGGTGGTAGGTGTGCAGGTTGCAGAGGATGAGTCCACTTCAGGATTCCCTCTTCCAGATAATGCCAGGGAAATCTACTGTCTCAGTCTTATTAAATATAGACTATTGTTGAATCTAAGTTTCAGTCAACAACCAGAGAAGCCACTAGCGATACCTCCATCTACACAAGCTAACATATTCAATTCAGAATCTGTATTACATGCACCTCGTATCAGTAAATTCTAACCACCTTAGTGTAATATCCTGAGACTCTGTTTTCACATGTCCCTCAGATTTCTGCTTTTATATATTAGCAAAATCTTGGAATTTTTTGGCCTGTAAAACTGTTTCCATTGTGTGTACCTGTCCCCCTACAACATGCTGAGATTTGACCCTAGTTATGGCTCTAGTGATGACGGGGTTAGCTGTGGTTGGTTTTGATGAGAATGAACGTCCTCCTGTAGGGCATCTATTGCACATGAGGATATCACATGATTTTCCAGCAAAAGAAGGCTATTCTTTTTAGATACAGAGGGCAGGTGGAAGTTTGAAATAGTCAGTTTCATTCTGATCCAACCAGATATTCCCATTTGAAGTTTCAAGGTCCCATTATTTCCCAGTAACTGTTCTTACCTTTTCTTTTTCTTTCTTTCTTTCTTTTTTTTTTTTTTTTTTTTTTGAGATGGGAGTTTCGCTCTTATTGCCCAGGCTGGAGTGCAGTGACGCCATCTTGGCTCACTGCAACCTCCATCTCCCGGGTTTAGGCGATTCTCCTGCCTCAGCCTCCTGAGTAGCTAGGATTACAGGCGTGCGCCACCACACCCTGCTAACGTTTGCATTTTTAGTAGAGACGGAGTTTCACCATGTTGGTCAGGCTGGTCTTGAACTCCTGACCTCAGGTGATCCACCTGCCCTGGCCTTCCAAAGTGCTGGGATTACAAGCGTGAGGCACCGCGCCCAGCCTGCTCTTACTTTTTCTTTCTTTCTTTTTTTTTGAGATGGAGTCTCGTTCTGTCTGCCCTCACTTTCACACAATAAACTTGGCGAGACTGAATTCAACTAATTTTGTAATTCAGTTTGCACAATTAAATTTTGCATTTGATTTTCAGCAATATCAACCTGTGGTTATATAAGAATTAAGATTATTAATACAAAAATGAGCCAGGCATTTTGGCTTACACCTGAGGGTGAGATGGGAGGATGGTTTGAGCCTGGGAGGCAGAGGTTGCTGTGAGCTGAGGTTGCAGTGAGCCGAGGTCACGCCACTGCACTCCAGCCTGGGTGCTTGTCACAAAAAAAAAAAAAATGTATATATATTTTTAAGGTTATCTTGAAAGGTCTCTCTTTCTCTGACTGTGACTTGAGCTGACTTAACGGACCTGAACTTGTTATTTTCATCAGAAATGCAGAAGAGCACTTAGAGAATTCATCTCACATAACAGACTTTGTAGCCATCATTACTGCTTTACTAGTTAAGTGCAACAGCCATTTGGGTTCCCAAGGTACTTGCTTTAGTTGGCATTTCATCATCACCAACCACAGGTGATAGCCTGATTAACTGTGATGCCCCTGCATATGTGGGATTATTACCAAACTAGTTCCTGCTTGAGCCCTATACTCAAGCCTAAGGACACAACGAAAAGCAATTCTGAATCCCATTTTTGTGTGCCTGTCTCCTATGACCACTGCCACTACCAGTCCTGTATCAGAGGACAGAAACCACACAGTAATTTGAATATGGAAAGTTTAACATAAAGAATTATTTACCATTAATGGGGAATTAACTCTAAGGCTTAAAGAGAATGCTAAAGATACAGAATAACAGTAGAGGGAGCGGCCACTGCCTCTAGGTCTGAGGCAAAGTTAACAAGGATGGAATAAATCTGGATGATGGCCAGCCCACCAGCTTCAAGGCTGAGATTCAGATCTTGTTGGAGAAGGTGTGGTCCACTGGATGCTGGAAACATCTGAGGTGGGGCAGGCTTTTGCTGGCAATTAAAAAATGCCCCCCTGGGGTGCCAATAAAAGTCAGTAGGATGGTGAGTCCCTCATCTCTACGAAAAATAAAAATATTAGCTGGACATACTGGTGTGCACCTATGGTCCCAGCTACTTGAGAGGCTGAGGTGGAAGGATTGCTTGAGGCCAGGAGATCAAGGCTGCAGTGCACTCACTGTGTTTGTACCACTGCACTCCAGCCTGGGCAACAGAGGATACTGTGTCTCAAAAAAAAGTCACTAGGAAGCCCCTTGCTGAATCTGGCTAAGAAGATAGGCTGGGACACTGGCAAAATTCTCTGGGAAGTCTGTCTCCCATAGGGGTGCTGCTGAAACTTGCAGGGTAGGTGCTTTCTGGAGTGCTGACAAAACTTGTCAGGAAACTACTCATGCGTGTGTGCCTGTGTCACTGAGACTTGCTGGGGAGTTGGTCTCTGGGAGGGCCATTTGGAGTCCTGCACAACACCTCCACTGGAGCAAGCCGGCTAGAGAACAGTGTTAACAGGAAGAGAAGCCCCTTCCTTCTAGAGTATTCCTCCAGTGCCATCTACTGACAAAGGTTAACATTGTGCCAGCTGGCAAAGGAGAAAGTTTTGCAGGGTCCATCTCCATTATGTAAAGCAGGGCAGAGAAGAGTGGGTTTGGAGTTGAGAGGCAATCCATTTGTAACTGGTGAGAACCCACATAGTTACATTGCCATACTCTTTACTTAGGGTAGATGCTTGTTTTCATATGGTGTCATTTTCCTTCTGCTGAGGGACTTTCCTTTAATACCTCTTGTAGACTGGTCTGGTAGTGATGAATTCTCTGTTTCTGAACAAGTATTTATTTTGCCTTCAGTTTTGAAAGTTTTTTTTTTTTTTTTTTAAGAAACAGAGTCTTGCCATGTGGCCCAGGCTGAACTCAAATTCTTGAGCTCAGGTGATCCTCCTGCCCCAGTCTCTTGAGTAGCTGGGATTACAGGTATGCACCACCACACCTGGTGTAGTTTTGAGAGATATTTTTGCAGGATTTTGAATTCTAGATTGACATTTTCCTTTACTTTCAGTACTTTAAAGATGTTGCTCCTATACCTTCTGGATTGCATTGTTACCAATGGAAGGTGTTCAGGTTCTTGGCGTCTTGAACAAAGAATTGGACAAAACACACAAACAAAGCGGGAAAAGAATGAAGCAAAAAAAAAGCAGAGATTATTGACAATGAAAGTAAACTTCACAGTGTGGGAGCTGGTTGGAGCATAGGGGCTCAAGGGTGCCATTACAGAATTTTCTGGGGTTTAAATCCTCTTTAGAGGTTTCCCATTGGTTACTTGGTGTACACCCTTTGTAAATGAAGTAGTGGCCCCCAATGAGAGGCTGAAGTTAAGTTACAAAAGTTATACCCTATGCAAACCTCTGGTTGTGGAAAGCAACCAATCAAAGGCTAAAGTGAAGTTACAAAGTTATACTTCTGTGCAAACAAAGACTTAGCCAGGAATCAGTCTGAATAGTTGCCTGGTAAGTTGCAGAAAGCAACCAATCAAAGGCTAAAGTGAAGTTACAAAGTTACACTCTTATGCAAACATCTGATTGGTTGCAGAAAGCAACCAACAGAGATTCTTTCTTTCTTTCTTTTCTTTTTTTTTTTTTATGAGACAGAGTCTTGCTCTGTTGCCCAGGCTGGAGTGCAATGGTGCCATCTCGGCTCACTGCAAGCTCCGTGCCCTGGGTTCATGCCATTCTCCTGCCGCAGCCTACAGAGTAGCTGGGACTACAGGCGCCTGCCACCACGCCTGGCTATTTTTCTTGTATTTTTAGTAGAGACGGGTTTTCACAGTGTTCGCCAGGATGGTCTCGATCTCCTGACCTCGTGATCCGCCCACCTTGGCCTCCCAAAGTGCTGGGATTACAGGCATGAGCCACTATGCCCGGCAACAGAGATTCTTTCAATTTTCCATCTGCCACATAGAAAAAGAGTGGGGTTTGCAAAGGGAGTAGCCTCCAGCCCTTCTGTTACTTAGGTGTGGAAATTTGGGGTTTTCCTTTTGATTTAGCTCTGGGAAGTCAGTGTGAATTGGCCTTAGGTTCCCTGCCTCCAGATTCTATTTTCCTGCCTCAGCATTGCTTCTATGAGTCTACTCTTATTATTTTTGTTCCTTTGGATGTAATACCATTTTCCCCCAGCTGCATTTAAGAATTCTCTATCACTTTTTATCAGGAATTTGATTATGCCTTGGTATGGTTTATTTCAAACTTCTGCACAGGGTTCATTGAGCATTCTGATTCTGTGAGTATACAGTTTTCATAAAATTGGGAAGTTTTGGCCATTATATTTTCAAAATCTTTTTGTCTTCTCCCTAGCATATTTATTGACTCCAGTTATATGTATATTATATCACTAGATGTTGTTCCATAGCTCACTAATTTTCTTTAGCCTTTTTTCTCTTTTTATTTTGGACTGTTTCTTTTGCTGTATGTTCTAATTCACCAATCTTCCGCAGTGTATAATTTTCTGTTAGTTCCATTCTGTGTAATTTTCATCTTAGACATTGGGTTTTTCATCTCTAAGTTCAGTTTGGGTACTTTTTATGTATATCTTTGTGTCTCCTTAGTATATTCATGCTTTCACCTTTACCTTCTTGAATACATGGAATATATTTATAATAGTTCTTTTAATGGTCTACTAGTTTTATCATTTGTATAATTTCTGGATCTGTTTCTGTTGATTAACCTTTCTCATTATAAATTGGCTGTTCTTGCTTCTTTGCATGCTTGGTAGCTTTTGATTGAATGCTAGACATTGTGGCCTCTACCTAGTTGGGTGCAGGACTTAAAAAAAAATTCCCTTAACTATTCTCAAGCTTTGTTCTGGGATACAGTAAAGTTACTAGAAACAGATATTTTTGGTACCCTGTATCCCTGCCTTAAAAAATAATAAGATAAACAAGTCTTTTTGAGGCTTACTTTTAATCTTTGTTACGTGGTGGCACCAGAATAGCTTCTTGGCAAAAGCTAATTTTATCCTACTGCTGACTTTTTACTATACTATTGAATATTTGATGCCCCATGTGATACCCCATGTGTTAGAAGGTCTTTTCCTTCTGGGCTGAGTGTGGTGGCTTACACCTGTAATCCCAGCACTTTGGGAGGCCAAGGCGGGCGGATCACTTAAGGTCAGGAGTTCAAGACCAGCCTGGCCAACATGGTGAAACCTCGTCTCTACTAAAAGTACAAAATTAGTCTGGCATGGTGGCAGGTGCCTGTAGTCCCAGCTAGTCAGGAGACTGAGACAGGAGGATCGCTTGAACCTAGGAGGTGGAGGCTGCAGTGAGCCAAGGTCATGCCACTGTACTCCAGCCTGGGTGACAGAGTGAGAGGGTGTCTCAAAAAAAAAAAAAAAAAGTCTTGTCTTTTCCTTCTGGTTGATGGAACATGAACTATTTCAGGCCCTGTATAAACTCTAGGAATTGTTCTGCCCGCTTTTTTCTGGTGACTGTTTCACTGGCCTCCATGGTTTCTTCTCTTACTTGTGCAGCTTGATACTTAGCTGAAGACTAGAGGAGAGTACTCTGCAGATCTCTGAACTTCTCAGTGTATCTCTCTCCTTTTTAGTATTCTGGCCTCTTTGATGTCTGCTAACTCTGAACCCTGTTTCCTCAACTTCGGGAGATTGCCAGGCTCCATTTAGGTTCACTCTGTATGCTATGTGGCCTGGAAACTCTCAGATGGTAAGCTGGGGCAATGATAGGACTCACCTCGTTTGTTTCTCTTCTCTCAGAGCTTACTGTTCTATTCTGCCTGTTCTCCAATGCCTGAAAAATTTACTTCATAATTTTGTCTGACCTTTTAGTTGTTTAAGGCAGGAAGGTAAATCCACTCTCTGTTACTTCATAATAGCCGAAAAGTTGAAATCCTGTTCCATTCATTTTTGTTGTCTGAGCGCAGTCTCTAGAACAAGGGTCAACAAGCTGTAGCTCACAGGCCAAATTCTAGTCGGTAGCCTATTTTTGTATTATCCACAAGCTAAAAACGGCTCTTGCTTTTTTTTTTTTTTTTTTTTTTTTTGTGACAGGGCCTTGCTATGTTACTCAGGCTGGGGTGCAGTGGCACCATCACAGCTCACTGCTGCCTTGACCCCTGGGCTCAATAGATCCTCCTGCCTCAGCCTCTGGAGAAGCTGGGACTACAGGCCTGTGCCAGCGGACTGGCTAATTTGACTTTTTTTTTTTTTTTTTTTTTTTTTGAGATGGAGTCTTGCTCTGTTGTGCAGGCTGGAGTGCAGTGGTGCGATCTCAGCTCACTGCAAGCTCCGCCTCCCGGTTTCATGCCATTCTCCTGCCTCAGCCTCCCGAGTAGCTGGAACTATGGGTGCCTGCCACAATGCCCCACTAATTTTTTGTATTTTTAGTAGAGACAGGGTTTCACCATGTTAGCCAGGATGGTCTCGATCTCCTGACCTCATGATCCGCCCTCCTCGGCCTTCCAAAATGCTGGGATTACAGGTGTGAGCCACAGCGCCCAGCCTAATTTGACTATTTTTTTGTAGAGATGGGATCTTACTATGTTGCTAAGTTGGTCTCAAACTTCTGGGCTTATGTGATCCTCCAGCCTTGACCTCCTAAAGTGCTGGGATTACAGGTGTGAGCTACTGCACCCAGTCTGGCTTTTGCATTTTAAAGAGCTGTTTTTAAAAAGAGAGCCTGATGTGGTGGCTCATGCCTGCAATCTCAGCTACTCTGGAGGCTGGAGGTGGGAGGATTGCTTGAGGCCAGGAGTTTGAGACCAGCCTGAGCAATACAGGGAAACACTGTCTCCAAAAAAAAAAAAAAATTATCCAGGGCATAGTGACCACGCCTATATTCCTAGCTCCACCAGAGGTTGAGGTGGGAGGATCACTTGAGTCTAGGAGTTCGAGTCCAACCTGGGAAACCTGGCAAAAAAAAAAAAACAAAAAAACCTTGTCTTTGCAAAAAATCCAGAAATTAGTTAGGTGTGGTGATTGCCTGTAGTGCCAGCTACTCTGGAGGCTGAGGTGGGAGGATCAGTTGAACTTGGGAGGTCGAGGCTGCAATGAGCTGTCATGGTACCACTGCACTCCAGCCTGGTGACAGAGGGATACCTTGTCTCAAAAAAAAAAAAAAAAGAAAAGAAAAAAAATTGCTTATAGTATTTCTTTATATTCCTTGTAATGTCTGTAGATTTGTAGTGGTGATCTCTCTTTCATTCCTGATATTGGCAATTTGTGTTTTTTGTTTGTTTGTTTGTTTGTTTTTGAGACGGAGTCACCCAGGCTGGAGTACAGTGGCACAATATCGGCTCACTGCAACCTCCGCCGTCTGGGTTCAAGCGATTCTCCTGCCTCACCCTCCCAAGTGGCTGCGACTATAGGCACGCACCATCACACCGATCTAATGTTTGGATTTTTAGTAGAGACAGGGCTTTGCCATGTTGGCCAGGCTGGTCTCAAACTCCTGACCTCAAGTGATACATGCATGAGCCACAGCGCCCAGCCTATATTGATCTTTTGATAGAACTCATTTTTGGTTTCACTGATTTTTATGCTGTTCTTTATTTTCTATTTAATTTATTTTTGCTTTTATCATTATTTGATTGATGTTTGCTTTTATCTTTATTATTTCCTTCTTTCCACTTATTTTGGGTTTACTTTGCTTTCTTTTCCTAGCTTCTTGATTTGGCATCCTTCTTTAAGTTATATCAATAACTTATGGTTTAAAGCTATAGACATTTCTAAGCCCTGCTTTAAGTGCATCCCCAAACTCTTAGTAAGTTGTGTTTATATATCATTCAGTTCAAAATATTTACTGAGTTTTCTCTGATTTATTTTTCTACTTACATTACCATACAGTTTCTTTTTTTTTTTTGAAACGGAGTTTCGCGCTGTCGCCTGGGCTGGAGTGCAATGCCATGATCTTGGCTCACTGCAACCTCCGCCTCCCACATTCATGCGATTCTCCTGCCTCAGCTTCCTGAGTAGCTGGGATTACCGGTGCATACCAGCACACTCGGCTAATTTTTTGTATTTTTAGTAGAGATGGGGTTTCACTATGTTGGCCAGGCTGGTCTCGAACTCCTGACCTAGTGATCTGCCCGCCTTGGTCTCCCAAAGTGCTGGGAGTACAGGCGTGAGCCACCGCGCCCGGCCATACAGTTTCTTTAGAAGTATGCTTAATTTCTAATTTTTGATATTGTAATTATCTTGTTTTATAGTGATTTCAAATTTAATACCACTGAGGTCAGAGAATGTATTTTCTATTATTTCAGTTATTTGATTTTTTTTTCTTTTTTTTTTTCTTTGAGACGGGATCTGGCTCTGTCATCCAGGCTGGGGTGCAATGGCTCGATCTTAGCTTACTGCAACCTCTGCCTCCTGGGCTCAAATCATCCTCCCACCTCAGCCTCTTAAGAGTACCTGTGACTATAGCGTGTGCCACAATGCCTGGCTAATTTTTTTTTTGTATTTTTTTTTTTTTAGATATGGGGTTTCACCATGTTTCCCAGGCTGGTCTCCAGCTTCTGGCCTCAAGCAATCTTCCCACCTTGGCCTTCCAAAGTGATAGGATTACACGTGTGAGCCACCACTCCCAGCCTCAATTATTTGATTTCTATCGATGCTCTTTTTTTATGGTCCAGCATATAGTGTATCTTGGTGCCTCCACAAGTAAACTTTATTTTTTATTATTTTTTAGACAGAGTCTTGCTCTGTCCCCAGGCTGGAGTGCTGTGGCGCAATCTCAGCTCACTGCAACTTCTGACTGCCTGGTTCAAGCGATTCTCCTGCCTCAGCCTCCTAAGTAGGTGGTATTACAGGCATGCGCTACTACGACCAGCTAATTTTTGTATTTTTAGTAGAGATGGGGTTTCACCATGTTGGCCAGGATGGTGTTGATTTCCTGACCTCGTGATCCATCCGCCTTGGCCTCCCAAAGTGCTGGGATTACAGGCGTGAGCGACTGCGCCCAGCCCACAAGTAAACTTTAAAAAGTGCATACCAAGTTATTAGGTGTAGTGTTTCTATAAATACCACTTGGGTCAAGTTGGTTGGTAGGGCTGTAAAAATCTTCTGTGTCTTACTTGTTTTTTTGTCTTGTTCTAACTGACAGAACTATAAATCTGCAGCCACAGTTGGAGATTTTACTTATCTCTTTAGTTCTGTTTTTTGCTTCATGTATTTTGAAGTTGTATTGTTAGTTGCTTCACATATAGAGTTATGTCTTGTTGATGATCATATTTAGTGACTCTATTCTTTTTTCTTTCTGTTTTTTTTAAGATTTTTTTTCTCAGGTGATCTCTCAGCCTCCCAAAGTGTTGGGATTACAGACTTGGGCCACCATGCTTGGCTGAGTGACTCTATTCTTGTCATGTTTTCTCTTCTTTTTTTTTAGAGACAGTGTCTTGCTCATCACCCAGGCTGGAGTGCAGTGGCGTAATCATAACTTACTGCCGCCTCGAACTCCTGGGCTCCAGCAGTCCTCCCATCTCAGCCTCCCAAGTAGCTGGAACTACAGGTACACACCACTGTGCCTAGCTGAGTTTTCTTATTTTTTGTGGAGATGGGATTTTTCTTGCTTTGTTGCCCAGGCTGGTCTCCAACTCCAGGCCTCAAGTGATCCTCCTTCCTTTGCCTCCCAAAGTGTTGGGATTACAGGTGTGAGCCACTGTGCTGGGTGCATACTTTCTCTTTAGGCCTCCTATATCTGAGATTAATGTGGTTATATATAATATCAGGGTTTTTTTATGCTTAGTGTTTGGATTGACATGTGTTACCCTCCCCACCCTTTGACTTTCAGTCTGTGTCTCTATGTGGGTTTTGCCTTTTTCTGCAGTCTGACAGTTTGTAATTGTTGTGTTTATTCCTTTTAGACTTAATGTAGTAATTACATAGTTGGATTTAAGTCTTCTGTCTTCTTATTTGTGTCTTATTGATGCCATTTGTTCTTTATTCTCGCCTTATTGTAGGTAGATTGCATTTTTTCACTGTTCTATTTTGAGTATTTAGATGTATTCCTTTGTATTTAGAGGTTATTGTAAAGATTACAGCATGCATCTTTTAAGTTATTATCTTTAAAAATTATATCATTTATAGAACCTGTAGAATAGTATATTTCATTTATCTCTCTCCCTTCCTTTTTCTCCACCATATTTTAGGGCCTTGTCTTATATTTTCCTTCTATGAATGCTTGTTTATTTTTATGTATCAGTAAGGTCTCACGAATTCTTTAATCAGTGTGTCATGATCCATTGTTACCAGTATTCATTTTGATACTCAAATTATCCCATATTCAGCCTGTGGGAGCCCCTCTAACCTACCTTCTTTTTGTTTCATTTTATTTTTTAAAATATCCATTAGTTTTTTGGTCTTTACTTACTTTTTAACACAATAAGATGTTCCAGAGTGATCTTTTAAATTCTTTAATCACATTATGGCTCTACTTAAAATTTTTCAGTGGCTTTCCAGTAACCATATGATAAAGTTCAAAATCATTCAAGGTTGGGCATATATGGTCCTGATTATATATTTAGTTTTATGTCTTGTTTCTTTTACACCTATACTCCATTTCTTCTGTTGTGGACCTCCTCTACTAAAACTTTCTTACCTTTCCCTATAGCAAATGCTTTTTCATCCTTCTGATCTCATGGATGCCTTTTAAATTTGTAGACTAGGTTAAGTCACTGCTAAATACATTTCATAGCATTTTCTTCTTCCCCTTGATACCATTCATCTAACTATGTAATTGTTTGTGTAATATCTACATTTCCTGATAAACTGAAAAGTACAGAAATGCTTCATTTTCAGATCTGTTTTAACATAGTTTTAATGCAGACCAGCACTGTTTGTGCCTGATTTGTAGTAGGCAAATATGCAATAAATTACCGTTGGCTAACTGACTGAACTGGGCATGTTAACTTTCTGAATGTCCTTGGGTGATTTCTTTTTCCTCATCTCTAAAATGAGAGATCTCTGTTAATACTAAATTATCTTTAAAATTACTTTCATCTTTTGAATTCTTAGTAGTATCATTTAGTAGGCATGATAGAGAGACTAACTGAATTTGAACATAAAAGTCCACATTAGAGTAAGGGGAGAAAACACTGCATTGGTAGTGAAAATTTGGTAGGTTTAGGTTTTAGTGCTGTGCAGTTTAGAAAGCTTTCAGGGTATGAATGCAGTGCAAAAACCCCTGTACCTTGGTACAGTGTCTGGCTGTGACATCACATGGGTACCCTTGGACAAACAGAATTCCCTTAGAAGGTAAATGATGTTTTTCTGTGTATCTGCAAACACATGCAGTACTTTAAAAAAAAATTTTAATTGTTTAAAAAAAATTTTTAATTATTTTTATTATTATTATTATTATTATTATTTTTTTTTTGAGACAGAGTCTTGCTCTGTCGCCCAGGCTGGAGTGCAGTGGCACGATCTCGGCTCACTGCAAGCTCTGCCTCCCGGGTTCACGCCATTCTCCTGCCTCAGCCTCCCAAGTAGTTGGGACTACAGGTGCCCGCCACCACGCCCGGCTAATTTTTTATGTTTTTAGTAGAGACAGGGTTTCACCGTGTTAGCTAGGATGGTCTCGATCTCCTGACCTTGTGATCTGCCCGCCTCGGCCTCCCAAAGTGCTGGGATTACAGGCGTGAGCCACCGCGCCTGGCTATTACTATTTTTTGAGACGAAGTCTTACTTCTGTCCCCCAGGCTGGAGTGCAATGGTGCAATCTCGGCTCACTGCAACCTCCGCCTCCCGGGTTCAAGTGATTCACCTGCCTCAGCCTCCCAAGTAGCTGGGATTACAGGCGCCTGCCACCGCACCCGGCTAATTTTTTAATTTTTTTGAGATGGAATCTCGATATCACCCAGGCTGGAGTGCAGTGGCTCAATCTTGGCTCACTGCAACCTCCACCTCCTGGGTTCAAGCAATTATCCTGCCTCAGCCTCCTGCGTAGCTGGGATTACAGGCATGTGTCATCACACCTGGCTAATTTTTGTATTTTTAGTAGAAATGGGGTTTTGCCACGTTGGCCAGGCTGGTCTTGTACTCCTGACCTCAAGTGATCCACCTGCCTCAGCCTCCCAAAGTGCTGGGATTACAGGCATGAGCCACTGCACCTGACCATAGTACTTAATTTTAAGGTAGTTTATTCACTTAATAATATGTACAGAGTACACCTACTGTGTCCCACACAAATGAAATGCAATGGTATATACAAACTGTCTCCCGTGCCAGGTGCTTGAGAAATAGGAGTTCATTCATTGAGAAATTTCAGACTTTTAGGCCCAATCTCTCATAATTTGGTGGTTGAGCTGGTCTAGAACCCTAGTCGCCTGAACTAGTCTACTTTAGTGTTCCGCTTGAAGTACTAGAATCAAAGTGAGTTTTCGTAGTTAAGAGTGGATGATAAGACGGGTGTGGTGGTTCACGGCTGTAATCCCAGCTCTTTCGGAGGCCAAGAGGGATGAAATCACTTGAGCTCAGCAGTTCGAGACCATCCTGGGCAACATGGCGAAACCCTGTCTCTACCAAAAATACAAAAATTAGCTGGGCATGGTGGCGCATGCCTGTAGTCCCAGCTACTCAGGAGGCTGAGGTGGGAGGTTTGCTTGAACGTGGGGGGTGGAGGTTGCAGTGAGCCGAGATCATGCCACTGCACTCCAGCCTGGGTGACAGAGTGAGACCCTGTCTCAGAAAACAAAAGAAAGTGGATGATAAAAGGAAATTTTTTGCTTTTGGAAGATTCATGCAAAACAATAATACCAAATAATTGACATAGCAAGTTGAAAGATTAGAGCAGACAGCCTTGTTTGAAAGAGGAAAAGTGGTGTGAATGACAGAAAATGGAAGACATGTTAGAATGGTATGTGAATTTGGGGAGAAATGGTGGGTGGGTTTGAGAGAGGTTCTATAGCACAGTTGCCTTCCTGACTAAATATGGATGCCAACCTCATTGAATCTGAGAAATGAAACAAGATGACTTAACTGTTGACATTTTATAATATTAATTTTATAATTTTGGTTATACATGGTACAAGTTTGGGGATCTTTATGAAAATGAGTTATTTAAATAAACTTTATTCTTTGAATGCATTTTTGTAAATTTAGCTTATTTCTTTGACATAGACCGAAATGTTTTTCTTAAATTTTAAGAATAGCTTTATGATTGCATTATGTATTCAACAAACACATATTTGTCCTTTAAATTGTGCTGGGCATTGCCTTAGATTTGTTCCTTAGACTTGTAAGGAAAGGATAAAATAGTTTTAGGTAATTGAGCAATAAAGAATTTAGTCAGAATAATTTGTCTAATATTTGGCTTTGTACTGATCATTTATATGTGTATAATGATTATATATTCTGAAAGGGGAGATTACACATAAGAAACTAGGTTATCCTGTCTCATCTATCTCTTTAAAAACCTTGTAATTGTTTTGTTAGTAGATTTTTAGGGATAGGTTGGGGAAAGCAGTTGTCTGCCTTTGTAATTACACTTTATATTTGCGATCTCAAAATACTTTATGGTGATTGCTTGAGCCCAGGAGCTTGAGGCTACAGTGAGCTATGATCGCACCACTGTAGTCCAGCCTGGCCGACAGAGTAAGACTCTGTCTTAAAAAAAAACCCACAAAAAAACTACTTTAGAATATTCTGATTTATTTATTTTTCAAGTAATTCTATAACAGAACTATATTTAAGGGACATCTTCTTAAAAAAACTTAAGTATTTTGTGGGGTTTTTTTGTGTTGTGTGTTTTTTTTTGTTTTTTTTTTTTTGAGATGGAGTTTCACTCTTGTCGCCCAAGGTCTAGAGTGCAATGGCGCGATCTCGGCTCACTGCTACCTCCGCCTCCCAGGTTCAAGCGATTCTCCTGCCTCAGGCCTCCTCAGTAGCTGAGATTAAGGCACCCACCACCATGCCCGGCTAATGTTTGTATATTTTTTTTTAGTAGAGATGGGGTTTCACCATGTTGGCCAGGCTGGTCTCGAATTCCTGACTTCAAGTGATCTACCTGCCTCGGCCTCCCAAAGTGTTGGGATTACAGGCGTGAGCCACCTCGTCCAAGCATTTTATGGTTATCTTTGAATGTCTTACTTTTATTATGAAGGCAGCATTGTTGTAGATGATTTGAAAGATTTTAAAAGGTATAAGCTCACAAGTGTAGGTAGTGTGCTACATGAGGGGCAAGTTTTTCACTAATATTACAAGGGTCTCTGATCCAGTGAGTGGAGTTTGATAGTAATTTTTGATACAAGTGAAAATAAATAAATAAAAATAAAAAGGTATACAGAAAAGATAAAAATCTCTTGTAATTTTACTACTCACTGTATTTATTTACAATTATACATAAATTTATGTTGCATACGTATGTATTTTATTTTTTAAATGAATGTATGCTAAAATTCCTTTTTTCTTTTCTTTTTTTTGAGATGGAGTTTTGCTCTTGTTGCCCAGGCTGGAGTGCAATGTCACAATCTCAGCTCACTGCAACCTCTACCTCCCAGATTCAAGTGGTTCTCCTGCTTCAGCCTCCCGAGTAGCTGGGATTACAGGCATGCACCATCACACGCAGCTAATTTTATATTTTTAGTAGAGACAAGGTTTTACCATGTTGGCCAGGTTGGTCTCGAGCTCCTGACCTCAGGTGATCTGTCTGCCTCGGCCTCCCAAAGTGCTAGGATTACAGGTGTGAGCCACCGCATTCGGCCTCTTTTTTCTTTTTCTAATTCACACGAGTATGAAAATCTATAAAATTCCTTTTTTGACATTTGGTGCATACTGGATTGAATTTTAAACACACACATAGATTCTTATAAACACCACCGCAAACAGTATACGCTTCTATCACCCCATTTTTGGGGTGCTTTCTTTTGTAGTCATAGCCTCTATTCACCTTTAGCCACTGGCTGCCACTGTAGTGTTATCTGTCGCTATAGTTTTGTGTTTTTGAGAATGTCGTAAGTGAGAAGGCCAGGCATTGTGGCTCACGTCTGTAATCCCAGCACTTTGGGAGACTGAGGCAGGTGGATCACCTGAGGTCAGGAGTTTGAAACCAGCCTGGACAACATGGTGAAACCCCGTCTCTACTAAAAACACAAAAAAATTAGCTAGGCATGGTGGCATGCACCTGTAATCCCAGCTACTCAAGAGGCTGAGGCATGAGAATCGCTTGAACTCAGGAGGCGGAGGTTTCAGTGAGCCGATATCATGCCATTGCACTCCAGCCTCGGCAACAAGAGCAAAACTCTGTCTCAAAAAAAAAAAAAAAAAAGTCATAAATGAACTACTGTAGTATATAATGTTTTGGGACTGGCTTCATAGAATCAGTATTTTATCACTTCAGACCTGGCGTGGTGGCTCATTCTGTAATCCCAGCACTGAGCCATGAGCGTACCACTGTACCCTAGTCTGGGTGACAGAGGGAGACTGTGTCTCAAAAAAAAAAGTCACTTCAAGTGAGATCTAGACAATGAATTTGGAGGGCTGTTTTACTCTCCCTTTTATGTTGTAGTTTCCATATATGTATATATTGAAAACCGTGTAATATTTTTTACACTCCACTGTTAAACATAGGTTAAAGAAGTGAAAAATAAAGCAATAGTCTATATATAGAAATAGTTATATTTATTCAGATATTTATTATTTCTGTTGCTCTTCATTCTCAATTTTCTACATTTTCTTCTGATATTATTTCACTTTTGTATGAAGAGCCTTTCTTTTTCTTTTTCCTTTTTTTTCGAGACGAGGTCTCACTCTGTCACCCAGGCTGGAGTGCAGTGGTGATCCTAGCTCACTGCAGCCTCAAACTTTGGGCTCAAGCGATCCTCCCATCTTGGCCTCCCAAAGTGCTGGCATTACAGTCATGAGCCACCATACCCTGCCTGTTTTTCTTTCTTTTGGCATCCATGGTTTCTGATGGAAAGTCTGTAGTTATAAGTAATGTGTTGTTTGTTTCTGACTGTTCAAAGATTTTTGTTGTTGTTGTTGTTTAGGTTTTGGCAGTTTGATTATGAGTGTCTTGGTGTATATATCTTTGGGTTTTCCTGTTTGACGTTTGCTTAGCTTCTTGAATCTGCAGATATCTATCTGTCTTTCATCAAATTTGGGAAGTTTTCAGCCATTATTTCTTCAGATATTTTTTTCTGCTCTGCAGTCTTTCTCCTCTGCTTCTGGAACTCTGATGCCATAAATAATATACCTTTTTATACCTTTATTTTGATAAAATATACATAACATAAAATCTTCCATTTAACCATTTTTAGGTGTATAATTCAGTGGCATTAAGTACATTCGCATTGTTGTGCTACTATTAACACCATCCATATCCAGAACCCTCTACCATATTCTTTTTAAAGTCTGCGTAGAATTTCGTGTTTAATCTGTCTTAATAAATTAACCATTTCCCTGCAGTGGTACTAGTACTTTTTTTATTGTTTAAATTATGTGGCAGCAAATGTCTTTTTTTCTTTCTTTTCTTTTTCTTTCCTTCTTTCTTTCTCTTCTTTCCCTTCTTTCTTTTCTTTCTTTCTTTCCCTTCTTTCCCTCCCTCCCTCCCTTCCTTCCTTTTTTGAGACAGAGTCTCACTCTGTTGCCCAGGCTGGAGTGCAGTGGCACAATCTTGGCTGACTGCAACCTCCGCCTCCCAGGTTCAAGTGATTCTTGTGCCTCAGCTTTCCAAGTAGCTGGGACAGGTGTTTGCCACCATACCTGGCTAATTTCTTTTATTATTATTATTGTTTTTGGAGACGGAGTCTCGCTCTGTCACCCGGATTGGAGTGCAGTGGCACGATCTTAGCTCACTGTAACGTCTGCCTCCTGAGTTCAAGTGATTCTCCTGCCCCAGCCTCCCGAGTAGCTGGGACTAGAGGCGAGTGCCACCACAGCTGGCTAATTTTTGTGTTTTTAGTAGAGACAGGGTATCACCATGTTGCCCAGGCTGGTCTGGAACTCCTGACCTCAGGTGATCCACCCGCCTCAGCCTCCCAAAGTGCTGGGATTACAGGCATGAGCCACCGTGACCGGCCCCAGCTAACATTTTTATTATTATTAGGTACGGGGTTTCACCATGTTGGCCAGGCAGGTCTCAAACTCCTGACCTTAAGTGATCTCCCTGCCTTGGCCTCCCAAAGTGTTGGGATTACAGGCGTGAGCCATTGCACCCAGCCTATCTTAAGTATTTTAAAGGTAAACTTTTATCTGTCACTTTTTCTTTTTCTTTTTCTTTTTTTTTTTTTTTTGAGACAGAGTCTCACTCTGTAGCCCAAGCTGCAGTGTAGTAGCACGATCTCAGCCCACTGCAACGTCCACCTCCTGGGCTCAAATGATTCTTGTGCCTCAGCCTCCCGAGTAGCTGGGACTACAGGCGGGCGTCACCACACCCGGCTAATTTTTTGTATTTTAGTAAAGGTGGGTTTTCACCAGGTTGCCCAGGTTGGTCTCGAACTCCTGAGCTCAGGTGATCCACCCAGGTTGGCCTCCCAAAGTGTTGAGATTACAGGTGTGAGCCACCTCACCTGGCCTCTGTCACTTTTATTTGCAGTGACAGTCTTAGAGGTTGGGAGATTGTAAAGGTTGTGTGTATTGGCTAAAATGAAGCCTTTATTATTGGAATTTTTATTTTAAAAATTTATGTTAAAAATGTATATTATATTTTAAAGGTGTATATAATATGATCTATGTGAAAAAATGTGAGCCTGAAAGGGCCGGTCTTTCAAGTTGGATCCCAAGTGGCTAACTGGGCCTAAATTTAAAATAGAGCCTAGCAACCATTTGCTGACTAGAGGTCATTCACATACTCTTAGTTCCTGAAAACTCACACCTCTGCTTAACTTTAGGTATCACTAATTGAAGAGAAGCAGTCCAAGGTTTTTATTTTTACCTTAAATAATTGAGAAAACTTTTATTTGTTGTTTTAGTTATAAGTTTTATAATTTACATCATGTTTGCTATAGACTTTAGGAAGCACTGAAAATAGTTTCTTTGAGGAATGCCATGATTTTATCATAAATATTCCTGATTCTTCCAACTTGGTAACCAATTCTATACATTATTTTGGACTAGTAAACTTAATGACAAAAACTATAGTTTATTTTTCTTTTCCCTCAAAAAAAAAATAGTTTACTCTTTTTTTTTTGAGACGGAGTCTTGCTCTGTCTCCCAGGCTGGAGTGCAGTGGCACAATCTCAGCTCACTGCAACCTCCGCCTCCCGGGTTCCAGCGATTCTCCTGCCTCAGCCTCCTGAGTAGCTGGGGTTACAGGCACCTGCCACCACACCCGGCTAATTTTTGTATTTTTAGTAGAGACGGGGTTTCACCATGTTGGCCAGGCTGGTCTTGAACTCCTGACCTCAAGTGATCCACCTGCCTCAGCCTCCCAAAGTGCTGGGATTACAGGTGTGAGCCACTGCGCCTGGCCCCAGTTTACTTTTAAGGGTAAATATAGTATTTTATACTTGCAGATTGAAAGGGAGACATTATTTAACTATTCAAAAATGATTTTTTTTTTTTTTTTTGCTGGGGTAGTTTGATTTCTATCCTTAACTTTTGTGAAAAGAAGTCATTAAAAAAATAATTTTGGCTGGGCGCAGTGGCTCATGCCTAATCCTAGCACTTTGGGAGGCTGAGGCGGGCGTATCACCTGAGGTCAGGAGTTCAAGACCAGCCTGGCCAACATGGTGAAACCCTGTCTCTATTAAAAATACAAAAATTAGCCAGGTGTGGTGGTGCGCATCTATAATCCCAGCTACTTGGGAGGCTGAGGCAGGAGAATTGCTTTAACCCAGGAGGCAGAGTTTGCAGTGAGCCGAGATCACGCCATTGTACTCCATGGGTGACAAGAGCAAGACTCCATCTCAAAAAAACAAAAAAACAAAAACAAAAAAAACAAAAGTAATTTTAAGGTGATGGCCTTTTTTTTTTTTTTAAAGCTATTTTCTCAGTAATGGGCTCTATTCTCTATATTCAGTGATACATTTCGACTATTTTATGTTTATCAGGTTATTGTAGCTATTCAAACAAGTTTTTTCATTAAAATATATAATGTAAATTTAACACTCAAAAGATACGTTTTGCAAAACTTCAATAGAACATTTTTAGTAGCTGGCTTGTTAAGTTTTTTTCTGAACTTGAAAGTAATTCAGTTGCTTTATTTTATACAATTTGAGTTGTAAAATGCAACTTAACTCCATTGCTTCTACGTAGAACTTTGGTTTTTATTTTATATAACCTTTAAAAAAAGTTCTACTAAAAAAAATTACTACCAGCACATGAAATGTGTATTACAGACAATAAGTGTACCTACAGCAAGTTGACAGTTAGCCAGTCTTTTTTTGATGGAGAAACCAAGCCTGTTTTTAGTTTATGTCAGTGTAATTTCTGTGAACTAATCATTTTGTTTAAGTAACTTTACATAAATTTTGAAATGAATAAAAATGCGAAAAGAAGATGTATTTGCTTCTTTTTTAAAGGAAGAATTGTTAATGTCTTAAAAAGTCAGGCTCACCCCTGTAACCCTAGCACTTTGGGAGGCTGAGTTGGGAGGATCGCTTTAGCCTGGGGGTTTGGGACCAGAATTGGCAACAGTGAGACCCTGTCTCTACAAAAAAATAAAGAAAAAAATTCACTGGATGTACCTGTAGTCCCAACTACTCAGGAGGCTGAGACGGAAGGATTGCTGGCGCCCAGGAGTTCAAGGCTGTGGTGAGCAAAGATCATGACACTGCACCCTGGCCTGGGTGACAGAGTGAGTCCCTGTCTGGGGGAAAAAAAAAATTATTATTATTTTTTAAAAGTCATTTAATTAAAAAGAAATACTTTATGTATAGAGAATTAGACCTACTTTTTATAGTTTTCTTAACAAGTATTCAGTGTCCATTATATAATACTAATTCAAGTTTTTAGTTTATGCCTAGCTTGAGAGTGAATTGTGAGCATTAAATTTGAACGTTTGGAAAGAGTTTTTAGGATTATGTAGCCCAACTTTATTATATATTAATTATATGGGTTGAAGAAATCGAGTCCCAGAGGAGTGAAGTTTCTCCCTTAAGCTTTGTTTGTTAGTAGCAGAACAGTGACTAGACTATTACAGTATTGAAATTAGTAGTCCTTCTCAAGACCTACTGTGTATTTGGTAGCAAATGTGTAATAGTAAGTTAGTCCTCACTTTTATTTTGTTCTGATATGCTTGAATTTCAGTTGCCAAGGTTTAAATGCCAGTTCTCTAACAACACAGTTCATATTTCATTTACCATAGTGTGTTAACTGTGAGCAATTGCATAAAGTATAAACTTCAGTGCTAGCTCTTGTGTTAACAAATCACTATGTAATTAGCAGATGTCTCACGAGCAGTGACTAATCACATCACTTCTTTCAGAGTCTGTGTTGCAGTTTTTCACTCTGCATCTATTATTTAGTTCATACACAGACAGCAAAGTGTGTAGTTGTGTTGCATCCTTGTCTCCCAATTATAAACTTATGTGACATTTTATGAAAATGGATACTCAAGAGGAGAGAATTTGCAAAAAAAGATGAAAGTTCAGAAAAGGAATCAAAAGTGATAACACAGGAACTGAAAAATTAGATGTGATTAGATGATCCAAAAATGGTGACAGGCAAGTGAAGATAGGACAAGAGCTAGGCCTGCATGTAGTTACAGTATGAACTATATTGAAAAAATTCAATTGGTGGCTCACGCCTGTAATCCCAGCACTTTGGGAGGCTGAGGCGGGCGGATCACCTGAGGTCAGGAGTTTGTGACCAGCCTGGCCAACATGGTGAAACCCTGTCTCTACTGAAAATACAAAAATTAGCTGGGCATGGTGGCAGGCGTCTCTAACCCCAGCTACTTGGGAGGCTGAGGCAGGAGAATCACTTGAATCTGGGAGGTGGAGGTTGCAGTGAGCCGAGATCATGCCATTGCACTCCAGCCTGGGGGACAAGAGCGAGACTTCATCTCAAAAAAAAAAAAAAAGTTAAAGTGCTTCAGCCAGGCGTGGTGGCTCACGCCTGTAATCCCAGCACTTTGGGAGGCCGAGGCAGGTGGATCGCCTGAGGTCTGGAGTTCGAGACCAGCTTGGCCAACATGGTGAAACCCTGTCTCTGCTAAAAACACAAAAAATTAGCCAGGTGTGAAGGCGGCACCTGTAATCCCAACTACTCAGGAGGCTGAGCCAAGAGAATCCCTTGAACCCGGGAGGTGGAGGCTGCAGTAAGCTGAGATTGCGCCATTGCCCTCCAGCCTGGGCAACAAGAGTGAAACTCTGTCTCAAAAAATAAATAAATAAATAGATAGATAGATAGATAGCTTTATCACGTAATTTAAATAAATTGTATAAAATGTAGTCAATTTGGCTAGCATTCAGGCTGAATCATTGAAGTTAGTTGTTGCACTGAAAGAAAACTAATTACAAGCCAACCGAAGGACTTCTTGTTGCCAGTAAAGGCTGGTTTGATCATTTCAGAATGGTCATAGATTGTTGATAAGTTTTCTGGTAAAGATGCTAGAACAGATCGGGATGCTGCTGTGAAATTTGTGCCCAGATTCCAGAGATTACTTAAGGCAGGTAATTGTGATCATCAGCTATTTAACATGTTGATGGGATAGGTCTTTTTTGGAATGCAGCCCATCATTAACTTATGCAATGAAAGACATAGGATCTTCAAGTGGCCATAAAGGGGAGTGTGTAGATATGTCACCTGAAGAATTCAGTGAAGACAAACTTACAAACATAAATGAGGAAAATGTTGTAACAAAGAGACGAATGTCATAGTGGAAGTAATACTGGTACAAATTTCACAGTAACACAACTCGTTGAGATACTCAAAAGATTCAAAGAGCAAAGGGTATAATTTTGGAAGCCAATTCAAATTTAGAAGGGATTATGGCAGTTTTTTTTTTTTTTTTTTTTTTGAGACAGAGTCTCACTCTATCACCCAGACTGGAGTACAGTTGCGCAACCTTGGCTCACTGCAACCTCTGCCTCCCGGGTTCAAGTGATTCTCCTGCCTCACCCTCCCGAGTAGCTGTGACTACAGGCACGTGCCACCATGCCTGGCAATTTTTGTATTTTTAGTAGAGACAGGGTTTCACCATGTTGGCCAGGCTAGTCTTGAACTCTTGACCTCAGGTGATCCACCCACCTTGGCCTCCCAAAATGCTGGGATTATAGGGGTGAGCCACTGTGCCCGGCTGACAGTTTGTTAAGGCATGGAAAAGTTGCTTATTCTGTATCACAAGTTACATAGGAAAAGACAAAGGCAGGCACTGTCTACTCCTGGTAGGGTTTTTTGTTTTTTTGTTTTTTAATTTGAGGCGAAGTCTCGCTCTGTCACCCAGGCTGGAGTACAGTGGCATAATCTCGGCTCACTGCAACCTCCGTCTCCCAGGTTCAAGTGATTCTTCTGCCTCAGCCTCCCAAATAGCTGGGATTACAGGCATGTGCCACCACACCTGGCTAATTTTTGTATTTTTAGTAGAGACAGGGTTTTACCATCTTGGCCTGGCTGGTCTTGAACTCCTGACCTCAAGTCATCCGCCTGCCTTGGCATACCAAAGTGCTGGGATTACAGGCATGTACCACTGTGCCCAGCCATACTCCTGGTAGATTTTTTACAAATAAATAAAACCCTTTGATTCTCACATTTTAAATTATAACGTAGTAAGCAAATATTAGTTATACAATATTTTTTCATTTCCCTACACATTTAAACTGACACAGTGTTTTTGTTTTTGTTTTTGAGACGGAGTTTCGCTCTTGTTGCCCAGGGTGGAGTGCAGTGGCATGATGTTGGCTCACCACAACCTCCGCCTCCCGGGTTCAAGTGATTCTCCTGCCTCGTGAGTAGCTGGGATTACAGGCATGGGCCATGATGGCCAGCTAATTTTGTATTTTCAGTAGAGACAGGGTTTCTCTATGTTGGTCAGGCTGGTCTCGAACTCCCGACCTCAGGTGATCAGCCCGCCTCGGCCTCCCAAAATGCTGGGATTACAGGTGTGAGCCACCGTGCCTGGCCAAACTGACAGAGTTTTTAACGTTTCAAGTGTTTTGACAAAAAAAGATCATGGAACAATTTTAATTTTTCTCTTTGATCATTAAGATTGCTTTGCATGGTTTCAGCTTGCATAGTCGTTTTTATATTTCTGCGTGGTAGCTGCCTGTATAAAAAATATAATATCGCTGGGTGTGGTGGCTCATGCTTGCATTCCCAGCACTTTGGGAGGCTGAGGTGGGAAGATCACGAGGCCAGGAGTTCAAGACCAGCCTGGGCAATATAGCAATACCCAGTCTCTACAGAAAATTTTAAAAAATTAGCTGGGCGTGGTTGTGCACACCTCTAGTTCCAGCTACTTGGGAGTTGAGGTGGGAGGATCCCTTGAGCTCAGGAGTTTGAGGCTGCAGTGAGCCATGATCATGTTACTGCATTCCAGCCTGGGCAACAGAGCAAGACCCGTCTCAAAAAAATTTTTCCAAAACAAATTTCTCACATTGAGAAACTTGAAAAAAATGATTGTAAAAATCATCAGGATTAATACATTTGAAAAACTAAGGGACATCCAAATCAGAGTAGCAACAGGGAAAGACTAACATTACTCATTGTGGCGGTTGAAGGAATAGGAATAGGATTGGACATTTGATTTGGAGTGGTCTGTTGAAAGTATACAAATTATTTGAAACTTCAGTGGAAACTTTGGGAGTTTTGGAAAATTTAAAGTACACTCTATGGTTAAGTTTTTTAAATAAACAAGTTTCAAACTGCTTATTAACTAATAGAAATGATTCTTTTATTTAGCAAAGACTGAGTTTTTGTTATATTTTACGCAGTGTTGTAGGTGCTAGGCTACTAAATACAGAACAAATAAAAATATCTTTGGGCTAGTGTGATACTGTGATATAATAGGAAATACATATTTGGTTTCTGCCCCAGGTTCCTGGCACACAGCTCCTAAAACTGTTGGAATCTCTGAAGTGATAAGTGTGGATTGTGTACTAATGAGTGACTTGGGCTTAGGGCCAGGCCTTTCCATAGCTTCAGCATGGGGCTGGTCACCAAAAATACCAAGACATGACTAGAGGGCTAAACATCGAGTTGAGCAGCAGTGCCAATGATTTACTCAATCATGGCTGCATAATGAAGCCTCCATAAAAACCCCAAAGGCAAGGTTCAGAAAACTTCCGGATTGCTGAACCACACAGAGGTGCTGGAAAGGTGGCATGCCCAGAGAAGACGTGGGAACTCCATGCCTCTCCCCAGCATGTATCATCCTATGCATCTCTTTCATCAGGTTGTTCACCTGTATCCTTTGTAGTATCCTTTATAATAAACCAGTAAATGTGTTCCCCTGAGATCCATGAGCTGCTTTAGCAAATTAATTGAACCTGAGGTGGGGGTTGCGCACACCCCAAGTTATATAGCTGGCCAGTTACAAGGTCAAGTCACAGCCTGGGGCTTGTGATTGGTATCTGAAGTGGGAGGCAGCCTTGTTGGACTGAGCCTTCAACCTGTGGGATCTTACTCTTAATTCTAGGTAGATAGTGTCAGAATTGAAGTGAATTATAGGACACACAGTTGGTGTCTGCTAGATATTTGGTGTGTGATGAAAAAGTCCCACATATCTGGTCACTGAAATGTTCTGTGTTGCGAGACTGTTATAGCAGAAAAATAATCTTTTGTTTGTTTTTTTCTTCAGGGTGCACTTTTGCCTGCCCTGGCTTTGAGAAGTGTAGGATTTCTAATCCTTTATAGAATCTTGATTTCATTTAGGTTCTATTGAAAGAAACTAACTAGATTGTTTTTTGTTTTTAATTTTTAACATTATTCTAAAGGTCTTTATATAAAGCGCTCCTTTTTATTGATTTTGTGTTTAGTCTCCAAAGTTGGATTAAAACTCAAGGTTTGTATAACCCCTGTTATCTGTCAGCAGGTTGGTCTACAAAAAGAATGGGATATGACCTCATACAGCTTCAGAAACCTGTATGGGTACTTGATTCTTTATAGCATTCCCAACTTGGGAGTAAAGTTATTATAGTTGTTACACAGTCACATTGGTCGTAGTATCACTAGGAAAGAGCTGTGAATTCTACTTTGTTCGGGAAGTTGGGTGTGTGTGGGTTGTGTGTGAGATTATGGTACCATAGAGGAGTAGCAGCTTTAGCTTGAAGCTGAGTATATGTTTACTATTGAATTAAGACTGGAAAAGCTTAAGCACTGTGCACAGTGACCCAGATGCTTGAAACTACCTGAAAGGTTGGGTGAGCAGCTATAGGTTATTTATCATGGCTGGAGCATTTGCTTACAGGATGGGGATGTAATGGGAATGTGAAGGCAGGAAAAGATAAAGCTGTAGAGGAAATTAGGGCTAGATTTTGGAGAGTCTTATATATCCACAGAAGTTTGGACATTTTTCTTGGGAGACTTTCAGAGCTGTGTGTGTGTGTGTGTGTGTGTCCTTCCCCTTAACCTCTCAGTACCTCCATTTCTTCACCTATAAAATAGAGGTGTTAACAGTACCTACCTTATGAGATTTTTGGGAGATTAAATTGGATTAAATCATATAAAGTACTTGGAAAAAAAGTGTCATAAACTGGGCATGGTGGTGTGTTCCTATAATCCCAGTAACTCATGAAGCTTAGTTGGAAGGAATTAAATTTTAAAAAATTAAATATTTAATTTTTTTAACCTAGTGATCTTTTTTAACCTAGTGATCCCACTTCTAGAAATTGATCCTACAGATATACTCACATACCTAAGCCATATCATATGTATACAGATGACAACTGCAATATTGCATTTAAAAAAAAAAAAGCAGGAGGCAACCTTAAAATGTTCATCAGTATAATATAATAAGAGACTGTGCAGCCACTGGAAAGAATGAAGTAGATCTCTGTATAATTTTCCAAGATATACTATTGGGTTTTTTAAAAACAGGGACATTTCTATGTCTCTCTTCATTTTGTATCTTTACCAGTCTGAGAGAAAATGGTATCTCAATTTTGATTTTGGGTAAGATTGAATGTTTAGTGCTTGTTTATGTTCTTTGATCACTTTCTATTGGGATAGTACTCTTTAATTGAGTCCAAGATTGCTTTATACATAGAATATTAACCATTATTATACTACTACTACAACTTTTTCATTCATATTACCTTTAAGCTTTTCCAAACAATTTTTTAGAAATATAGTCAAACTTTAAAATCTTTTTCATGAAGATCTCTTTTTCTGGTTAAAAGACTTTTCTATCTTCTAGGGCTTTTATTTTTTTTTCAGTTTATTTTTAACTTATCTGGGATTAATGTTGATGTGAAGTAGTGATTGTGATCCAAATTTTTTCACCTTAAATGGTTGTCATCTTCTAGTTCTCTTTTTTCCTTTAGGAGTGAGAATAGATCATTGGGTTTAGCAGTGTGGAGGTCGCTTATGACCTTGACGAGAAAAGTTTCAGTAGAAATAGTGCAGGCAGAAGCCTTACTGAAGTGGGTTCAAGAGACAGGTGTCGTAGGCAGCATGTATAGACAACTTTTTTTTTGTTTTGGTTTTGGTTTTTAGATGTAGTCTTGCCCTGTTGCCCAGGCTGGAGTGCAATGGCGTGATCTCGGCTCACTGTAACCTCCGCTTCCCAGGTTCAAGCGATTCTCCTGCCTCAGCCTCCCAAGTAGCTGGGATTACAGGTGTGTGCCACCATGCCCGGCTAATTTTTTTGTATCTTTAATAGAGATGGGGTTTCACCATGTTGGCCAGGCTGGTCTTGAACTCCTGACCTTGTGATCCACCTGCCTCGGCCTCCCAAAGTGCTAGGATTACAGGCGTGAGTCACCACGCCTGGCTTTTTTGTTTTGTTTTTGTTTTTGTTTTTGAGACGGAATCATGCTTTGTCCCCTAGGCTGGAGTGCAGTGGCACAATCTCGGCTCACTGCAACCTCCACCTCCTGAGTTCAAGTGATTCTCCTGCCTCGCAGCCTCCCAAGTAGCTGGGATTACAGGTGCCCGCCACCACGCCCAGCTAATTTTTGTATTTTCAGTAGGGATGGGTTTTTGCCATGTTGGCCAGGCTGGTCTTGAACTCCTGACTTCAGGTGATCTGCCCACCTTGGCCTCCCAGAGTGCTGGGATTACAGGCGTGAGCCACTGCACCCGGCTGGACAACTCCTTTGAAGAGTTCTGCTGTCAAGGGGAAGAGAAAAATGAGCAGTAGCTCTAGGGGGATAGAGAGTCATGAGAAATATTGTATAAGATGAGAAGGAATAATAGCATCGGGCCTTGGGACAGTATTGTTCAAAAACAAACTGTTATTAAACAATGGGATTCTTCTCAGTGTAGGCAGATGCTTTCATTCTTTGGCTTACAGAGTGACATTTTTCTTCGTTTTTTGTTTTTTGTTTTTTTGGTGTTTTTTTTTTGAGACAGAGTCTCGCTCTGTCGCCCAGGCTGGAGTGCAGTGGCACGATCTCAGCTCACTGCAAGCTCTGTCTCCCAGGTTCATGCCATTCTCCTCATTCTCCTGCCTCAGCCTCCTGAGTAGCGGGGACTACAGGCGCCCACCACCATGTCCGGCTAATTTTTTTGTATTTTTAGTAGAGACGGGGTTTCACCATAATTAGCCAGGATGGTCTCGATTTCCTGACCTCATGATCCACCCGTCTCGGCCTCCCAAAGTGCTGGGATTACAGGCGTGAGTCACCACACCTGGCCCAGAGTGACATTTTTCATTTCCCATTTCCCTTTCATTCTAGAGCCTAGCTCATTGACTGGAATGGTAGGTGGAGTGACCTTCACTATTAGTTTGCTTTCCTTTACTTTCCAATGTTTACATAGTTGAATTTCAAGTTAAATGTGTTTATAAATTACCTGCACTATCATTTAAAAAATTGCTCCTTTTGTTTTCTTTTGGAATTCTGATATATTTTACCAGGATGTATCCTTTTTTTTTGTTATTTCTTTGGTATTTAGTGGGCCCATTCAATCTCAGATATGGTATTTATATCTTCAGTTCAGGGAAATTTTTTTCTGTTATCCCTTTCACCATTATTTTCTTCTTTGGGGGTACCTTTGATATTGCTGTTAGACTTAGTGCTTCAATCCTCCATGTCACATAAATTATCTTTTCCAACTTTTTGTCTAGAGATGAGGTTTCACCATGTTGGCCAGGATGGTCTTGATCTCCTGACCTTGTGATCCGCCCACCTCAGCCTCCCAAAGTGCTGGGATTACAGGTGTGAGCCACTGGGCCCAGCCAAGAAGTTGCTTTTTTATAAGTTACTTGTTTCCTTCTGGAGTGGTGGTTCTGTTTGTTTACCTTGAACTTTCTCTTTCACATAGGTTTCTTTTGGAAACCTGGGATCTTTTATTTTCTCTTCATATTTATGAATATCAGATACTACTGATTACTATAGCTAGCTGTTGTGTTTCCTCTACAGTTATGTAGGTAGCTAGGTAGTTCTTTTTTCCTTAAAAGTCTCTCCCTTGAATGGGGTGGCTGATTCTGGCTTCTTACAGTAGGCAAGGTTTATCAAGAAGCAGCATTTCTTGTGTTCTTGCCTCACTGATGAGTAACAGGCAGGGAAGCAGGAACCTCCAAAGTAAGGAGGCCTTCAGAGACTCAGAGTGAAGTGTGCCATTTTCTTTAGTTCTTTGGTGGAGTTACCGGTGCTTTGCTTTCTTTTCCCTCTGTGTTTAAAGATCTGAAATTACCTCTGACATGGCTCTACTTCTGTCTTAGGCACTAACGTACTCAGTAGGAACCATCCCTATAACAGGCCTCACTTTCAATTTAAGAGCAGCATGTTTTTGGCTTTAGCTTAAGAGCAAAAGCTGTTAATTTTTCTGTTCAGTTTTGATGGGAAGTTTTACATAGTTCTCGGTGTTAGTAAGTTCTTATGAAGCGTTAGCTGTGTTTACTGTTATTAAAATATATATGATCATCTCTTTTGTGACATGAATGATTAAAAAAATAAGTAGTTGTTTATAGTGAGAGGATGTGATTTATCTCTTAGTTTTTGGTTTGGGGCTTTGGTCTGAGAACTACTTTGGTTCATCCTAAATTTTATTTTACTCTATTTGGCAATGTTTTTGTTTATATTGTGCACTTGTCATTTGGGTTGAAAATTACAGCTCCTTGGGGAATAGGGAGGGATACCAAAAGAATGTATGATAGAAGATATGATGGTAATGTTACTTTTTCCTTTTTTGCTTTTCCAGTTTGAACAAAAAAGTGGTGCAGTTTTTGATGAAATTGTAGAGAACTGTAAGTACCATTTGAGAAAAAACAATCATGTCTTTAGATAGAAAATGAATGTTAATCTAGATGTGGTATTTAACTATTACAGTGTTTAGTTAGGGCTGATTTATGTGATGGTTCAATCTGATTTAGTCTAGATCTCATCACGTACTGTTCTTTCAGCAGGTTAATCTGAATTGTAAGAATCTTATTCTTTTTTTCAATAAATATTTTATTCTCATAGTTATCATATTAAAATATAGCCATACTTCGTGTCTATATGGAAGATTATACTTACCACTATTAAGGGTTTCTACTTGGGTTAAGGTCTTTTATTTTCTTTTAAAATTCTTTTTGTGTTATCGTATTTTTAGAAATAATTTGTTTTTTATGATTATAAAAGTAATACATTCAATTTTACAATACAGAAATGAATAAAATAGAAAGTAAAAGTCTTTGTCATTACCATTCTCCAAAGATAACCAGTTTTAAAAGTTTAACATATATATCTTTCCAGACTTTTTTCTATGAGTGTATATAGCTATACATGGTGTATGGAGATTTATATATGTGTGTAGGAATCATAGATACTGTTCTTGCTTTTTTTCATTCAACTGCGTAGACATCTTTCTGTGTCAATGGATATAGACCTGTTGCACCCTTTTTAATGGCTACTCAGTATTTTATTGTATGGCTGTATAATAAGTCCTCACTAAATGTTGTTGATATGTTCTTGGAAATTGTGACTTTAGGTGAAATGACATATAATGAAACCAATTTTACCATAAGTTTAAATTGATAGAAGTAAGAGTTAAGTTCCTGTGGCATATTTTTAGTCACAAAAACACCATCAAACTTCTAAATAAAGATCTGAAACACTTCTAATATTAAACATTGAAATAAATGTGAGCTATACATGCATACAAGAAAGATTAATAAAAACAAGTAAGATAATTATTTACCCAGTTTTTGGTGAATCAGCGAGTGATGGTGCTTGTAGTGGTGGTTGGTTAACTTAAGGAATAAATGTTTGCAAAGCAAACATTGTCAAGAGCACCTCCTACCACCATGCAGTTCAGAAACAAACAATAATAAACATGATGGGCTCACTGAGTGCATCATTTATGTACTTTTCTGTGCTGATTATATATTTTATGAATTTTATTACAATAATTTATATTCATTCATTCATTTTCCAATCCCCTTATTCCAATTCAGGGTCATGGGTGGCCGAAGCCTATCCTGGCAGCCTCAGGGCACAAGGCAGGAACCAGTCCTGGACAGGATGCCATCCCATCACAGTGTGCTTCACACACACACACCCATGCTCACTCAGACTGGGACAATTTAGACACGCTAATTAACCTAATGTGCACATCTTTGGGATGTGGGAGGAATCTAGAACATCTGGAGCAAACTCATGCAGACATGGAAAGAATATACAAACTCCACATAAATAATAGCCCTGGCTTGGAGTCATTTTTTTTCTCTCTTTTTTTGAGATGGAGCCTTGCTTTGTCACCCAGGCTTGAGTGAAGTGGCGTGATCTAGGCTCACTGCAACCTCTGCCTCACAGGTTCAAGTGATTCTCCTGTGTCAGCCTCCTGAGTCACTGGGACTACAGGCACACGTCACCACTCCTAGCTAATTTTTTATATTTTTGGTAGAGATGGGGTTTTACCATGTTGGCCAGGCTGTTCTCGAACTCCTGACCTCAAGTGATCCACCTGCCTTGGCCTCCCAAAGTCCTGGGATTACAGGCGTGAGCCACAGCGCCCGGGCTTTGTTTCTCTCTTCAGTGCTACAGCAAAATAACATTGAATGAAATGTTATTAGAGGACCTGCTGTACTATAATTTAACTAGCTTCTTTTATACATGTGTAATTTATTTTCAATTTTGCATTATTATTAAGAACATTGAATATGTATTCCCATACACATCTTTGTATACTTGTTGAAGCATTCTGTAGAATAAATTCCAAGAATAGAATTGATTAATTATCAAAGGATATTTTTGTGCTTTTTTATGAAAGACAAATTTTGTCAACTAGAGTTCTTGAATTAAGGGAATGTACTTTTTTAAAAAAAATTTACTTCTACCAGTAGGATCTGTACTTTCTTTCTCTTTGTAATTAGTTTAATATTTTAGAATGATAATATTTTTAGACTACCGTCTGACTATGTTATTTGATATTGAGAGGTAACTATATCTCCTGATCTTCAGTGGATTTAGTTATTGTGTGTCTTTTTTGTTTTAGGCAATCAAAAATAGAATTTAGCTAGCTTATCCAGAAGAATCATTTTAGATATATACTAGGATATTTCATAAAATATAAGATAAAATGAATTTCCTGCAGGGTACTCAGCAAAAGGAGATCATGTCTGTTCTCTACAAGTGCTGCCAGAAAGCAGTTATATTCCCACGATTTTTAATCTTTCTGTATATCCATTCTAAATTTCAAGTTGTTTGGAGAAAGATTATGATTGGGCCAGCTTGAATCTCATGTTCATCTTTGAACCAATTATCTGTGGTCAGGGAAACCAGGCCAGATAGTAAAACATACCTCTTGGAAGGCATGCCTCTGTCACTACTCACTTTCGCCAAATAATGTTTGAATACCTATTTTGGATGATATGCCTTTGCTCAAGTGTGTATATTGGTATTAGAAATGAATCATATAGCTTTCTAATGAAGGTTTTAATCTGATGGATTGTTAAAGTTGTTGCAGTAAAAACATTCTTAAAGAGGCAATAGGAATCTGTATTAAACCTGTAGCCGGGCTACTGTACTTGGAGTTCTACACCCAACATTTGGGGTTTGTGTTTCTGGTACGTGGTGTTTCTCTGCTCTCCTTCCTTAAACATTATTAGGCTCTCGATTTACAAGCAGAATGTTTTATTCTTTATTTTAGTTTTTATTTTAGAGACAGGGTCTTGCAGTTGCCTAGGCTGGAATGCAGTGGCATGATCATAGCTCACTACAACCTTGAACTCCTGGGGTCAAGTGATCCTCCCATCTCAGCATCCAAGTAGCTGGGACTATAGATGTGATCACCATGCCTGGCTAATTTTTTAATTTTTTTTTTTTTTTTTTTTTTGTAGAGATTAGGTCTTATTATGTTTTCCAATCAGGTCTTAAACACCTGGCCTCAAACAATCCTCCTGCCTTGGCCTCCCAAAGTGCTGGGATTACAGGAGTGAGCCACCACACCCAGCCAACCAGAAAGTTTTATACCAAATGTTAGTTGCAAATGGTGCAATAAAGGTTACCCTTTATCTCCCCTTTTCTGGTAGTTTAAATTAAAAGGATGTTGAAAGCCCTGGAGGCAGAGAAGTGACTAGCTTGGAAGGAATACTGGCCTCTCTCTGTGAGGGGAATTCAGGAACATAGACCCCTATCCAGGAGAGATAAGGGCAGACAGCTACATAGATGATATTCTGGAAAGCTCCGATACCAAAGATGATCATCCTAGCCCTCCCATTTTGTCTTGGGATTCATGTCTAGAAAAAAAGATTAACTGTATCTCAGGGAACTGTCTCAAAATGTCTGGTGTAGCACTAGACCTACCAGACCTACCCTGCTAGACCTACCATCTACTCATTGCCCAAGACCACCGGGATATGGGACCTCAAATATTTGTTTTGTAGATCAAATTCTGCCCTACTGTGGTATAATCCTATCACTGTCAGCAAAATATAGTATTTACTAATTATTGGCACACATAAATTAGCAGAGGCTAACCCCGTTTGTGAAGACATTGAGAAATCTAGTTTAAACATGAAAAATCTGAATTGACTTTCCAAAGATACAATATCTTCAGTGAAAGGGATTTAAAAGAAGACTTCAACATTTTATGCAGGTGAGAAGAGAAGGTGCGTTTCTTCAAGTTTGTTCTCCTGTGTCAGGACAATTTGTGATGTGGATTTTTAAAGATACATGGTGTGTTAGAGGAAATGACTGATTCTGTAGATGATCTTAATTCATGTTCCCTCAACCATTACTAGTTTATGTGAAGTTTTAAAGAAGTTGAAATAAAATAGGGAGATTGCTTTTATTTAATATATTCAGATAGTTGCTTCCTTAAGTCAAGGATTTTTATTCATTAAATGGCTCTAAGATAGCCAACTGGTCACTCAGCAATGGTTACTTTTCTTATTGATAGAATAAGTTTATTGAACATAACAGACTTGACAGTTTTAGGGGAAAAGTAAGAGCATTGCCGATTTGTTCATGAAGTACAGTTATTTGGATTCTAAAAATTATTCTTATTATTTTGACTACTTTCAGTGTACTAGTTTACTTGTGAAAAAGTTTGCATGTATTATCTTTTAAAAATTCTCCCTTTTTCTGGTTTAACTGAGGCAGGGTCTTGCTATGTTGCTGAGACTGGCTTCAAACTCCTGGGGTCAAGCAGTCCTCCTTCCACTGCCTCCCAAACTGCTAGGATTACCAGCATGAGTCACCACGCCCTACCCTTTAAAAATTCTAATAATAATTAATTAGAATATTAGGTTTAACTATATATAATAGAAGCACAATAGAACTTTATTTCTTGGCTGGGCATGGTGGCTCACACCTGTAATTCCAGTACTTTGGGAGGCTGAAGCAAGAGGATTGCATGAACCCAGGAGTTCAAAACCAGCCTGGGCACATAGCAAGACCCTGTCTCTGCAAAAAATACATAAAATAGTTGAATGTGGTGGTGCATGCCTGTAGTCCCAGCTGCTTGGGAGATTGAGTCAGGAGGATTGATTGAGTCCAAGAATTTGAGGTTACGGTGAGCTGATGGTGCCATTGCACTCCAGCCTGAGCTGCAGAGAAAGACCCTGTCTCAAAATATAAAAGGAAGGAAGGGAAGAAGGGAGGGAGGGAGGGAGGAAGGATAAGGAAGGAATGAGGAAAGAAAAGGAGTTTATTTCTCATATAAAAGAAGCCCAGATGATAATATGGCTCTGTGGTTATCAAGAAAGCTCTTCCAGCTATCTGGATTTTATCCCTAGTGTGTGACTTCCATTTTCAAGGTAGCGTGGTGTTCTAGGATGGCTGCTGTATCTTGAGCCTGGAGTAGGGAGGAAGGAGAGCAAAAGGCACACTTCTGAACAGAATCAGCTTCTTGAAGAACTTTCCTGGAAAATCTACCTGTGTACTTAGGTTTATATCTCATTGGCCATCCTACCTTCAAAGAAAGCTGGGAATAGTAATCCTTTACCTGAGCCCATTGTTATCAAGAATAAAATTGAGGCTCTCTTAGTAAGGAAAAGGGAGAGAATTGTTATTGTGTACATAGTGTCTGCTGCAACAACCTTTTTTCAAAGGTGCTACAACTGTTTCTATTTCACTAAGGAGCAAACTAAGGCTTAGAGACATCATTTCACTTTTAAGTGATGGAATCAGGATTTGAATGCTGATTTACCTAGCTACTAAGACCCTCCTTCCAAATCTTTCATTACCTGTTTCTGTACCTCACCCTAGTTCACTTGTATCACAGGTTTTGAAGAATAATTATTATTCGATGAAATAGTGGAGTAATTTATAAAGTAATTCAGAAATAGTTTTAGGTATATTAACCATGACTGAAGTTTTTGTGGCTGCTTGTGGAGCATCAGCATCAGTTTGTGTCTGAATTATAATGTATCTGCCTTATCAATGCAGTTCAATTTTTAAAAGAACTGATATAATTAAAATTTTTCTAAATGGAACAAACAAAAAATAAAACTGATAATTTGAGTCTTTTTTAAAAAAAACTACTTAAAAATTTTTGTTTACATGGTCTTTTGCTAAGTATTATTTGGATCCTTCAAACATTGTAAAGGAATACTTTCTTTATGAAAATGTTGAAATCAAAGCCTAAAAGTCTTCTTTAGGGATATAAACATGGGTAGAGAATTGAGATGGTGTTAATTGAAAAACACCTCACAGTTCTCAATAATTTTTTAGTTCTCCTTAAATAAAGGTATAGGTTCTTCTTGAATTAAACAAACTGATCAGTGATTAGTATACAATTTTCAAATGAATAAACTGAACTAAACTGATTTTTGTTTTATCTCTGTATTGGTAAAAGGTTTATGTTTTTGCCAGTAACTTACAGCAATTTCAGCATTGTTATCAATAAAATTGTGGTGTCAGTCAGGCGCAGTGGCTCACGCCTGTAATCCCAGCACTTTGGGAGGCCGAGGTGGGTGGATTGCTTGAGGTCAGGAGTTCGAGACCATCCTAGCCAACATGGTGAAACCCTGTTGCTACTAAAAATACAAAAAATTCACTGGGTGTGGTGGCGGGCACCTGTAATCCCAGCTATCTGGGAGGCTGAGGCAGGAGAATCACTTGAACCCTGGAAGTGGAGGTTGCAGTGAGCCAAGATCGTGCCACCATACTCTGGCATCCTGAGAAACAGAAAAAGACTCCATCTCAAAAATACATAAATAAATAAATAAATAAATAAATAAATAAATAAATAAAATTGTGGTATCAAGGAAACTCTGACACTAAAAAGGAGATATAAGTTCTATGTGAATTTTAGTTTAGGTTGATCAGTAGGATAAGAGGGTGGTAAAAGTATGTTGTAAATGTTTGAATATAAGATGATTCCAAATACAGGGTTCTGACCCATTTCCCAGTGAAAAGATAAGAGAAAAAAATAGAATTTTGTTATCTAGAATACATTTACTAATAGCCATGTGGGTGAAATAGATGTCTATTAATCATTTATTAAATTATATACATATTTAAAATCTCCTTATGTTAAATAGTATTGATTTAGAAAATACTGGTTTTCTTATAGTTGTTTTGTGAATTTTATGCAGACTCTAGAAATTTGACATTGTTAATCACTAGTGTCACTTTTTAAGTCAGTTAATGTAGTTTTCCAGAGCCTTCTAAATTATGTAAGTTATATTCTGAATTTGCATTCTGATTACTGGTATGTGCTACTTAACAAATCACCCCATAACTAATGGTGTAAAACACTTTTATTAAGCTCAAGGATTCAATGGCTCCGGTGTTCAGAAAGGGTATACTGGGGATGTTTTTTTTTTTTTTTTTTCTCTCCACAATGTCTTTGGTCTTGACTGAGAAGATTTGGAGGCTGAAGTTGACTGAATGGCTTGATGTTGGAATAATCTGAAAGTTTGTTCACTCATGTTTGGTGCCTTGCCTAACAGGACTCAAAGACTGTGACTGCTGACTTGAGCACCTGTACGTAGTCTGTTACCTTGCCTTCCTCATAGTGTGGCAGCCTTAAGGTCTTCTCACTTCTTTTATGGTGGCTCAGGGATCCAAGCAAAATACTAATTCAGTGAATAAGGCATAAGTTATATTATTATTATTATTTTTCTCCAGACAGGCTCTCATCCTGTCACCCAGGCTGTAGTGTAGTGACTATCATAATTCACTCTGACCTCGAACTCCTGGGCTCAAGTGATCCTCCTGCCTCAACCTCCCAGGTAGCTAGAACTATAGGCCTGCACCTCTGCACTTGCCTGATTTGTATATTTTTTTTGTAGAAATGGGTCTTGGCTATGTTGCCCATGCTGGTGCATCATCTTTTCTGACCTAGCTTCAAAAGTTATTTGGCATCCCTTCCACCAGGCAGTTCACAAGCTTGCCCAGATTCAGAAGCTATAGACCCCACATCTTAATAGGAGGAGGGAGGGTGAAGGTCACGTTATAGAAAAGCACATGGATGGAAGATACTGTTGCAGCCATTTTTGTAAAATAAAATCTGCTGTCACAGCATATAAAATACCCTGTTAAAAAATATTCTAAGCCATAAAATAGCTTTAAAAATTTTATCCTAGAGGTTTGTGTTTGGATCTTCATGGCATTAACTATTTCCAGTAATACATATATGTAAATTGCATGAATCTGATCATACATGATTTTTTTTTTTTTTTTTTTGAGACAGAGTCTTGCTCTGTTGCCCAGGTTGGAGTGCAGTGGTGCAATCTAAGCTCACTGTAGCTTCCGCCTCCTGGGCTCAAGCAATTCCTGTTCCTCAGCCTCCCAGGTAGCTGGGACTACAGGTGCGCCACCACACCCGGCTAATTTTTTGTATTTTTAATAGAGACGGGGTTTCACCATGTTGGCCAAGGTGGTCTCAAGCTCCCGGTCTCAAGTTGATCTGCCTATCTCGGCCTCCCAAAGGTCTGGGATTACAAGTGTCAGCTACTGCGCCTGGCCCATATATGATTTTTTAAGAGTAACATTTTGGCTTTTCTGTTGGCTTGGCCTCACCTTCCCATATCATTGTTCCTATCCCCTCTCATAACTTGTGTCAACAGCTTTGTAGGTAGCCTTCCATGTTTTTCAGTGCTCATAACATCATTATATACATAAACATACACAAATATATGTATGTCAGGATTTTGAGTTTTTCTTATTTAACAAAAATGGGATCATATACATACTTTTCTCCTCCTCACTTCTCTCTGTCTTGAGTACTTCATAAAACCCCTTCACCTCAACTGGAATAGCTCTCTATTCTGTGATTTTAATGCACAATAAGTCATCTTCTGCTTTGTTTTTAGGCATTTATGTCGTTTAAGGTTTTTTCTGCCACAATGAACAATGATACATTAAAAGTCCTTTAATGTATGTTTTTGTAAGTTGGTCATTTTATATATGTGGTTAGATTCCAAAGAGTAAGGATTCTGTGACTTAAAAAAAAAAAAAAGCATGCTGTAATCCCACCACTTCGGGAGACTGAGGTGGGCGGATCGCTTGAGCCCAGGAGTTCGAGACCAGCCTGGGCAACATGGCGAAACTCCATCTCTACAGAAAATACAGAAAAAATTAGTTGGGCTTGGGGGCACATGCCTGTAGTCCCAGCTACTTGAGAGGCTGAGGTGGGAAAATTGCTTGAGCCCGGGAGTTCGAGGCTATAGTGAACTATGATTATGCCACTGCACGCCAGCCTGGGTGACAGAAAGAGACCTTCTTTCTAAAAAATAAAAAAGCACTTTAATACCTCACATTTCCACCAGCAGTGTAGTAAGAACACCTTCCCCCATCCATTAGTATATATTATAGCTCTTCTTAATATTTCCCAGTCTGATGGATGTAAAATATCACAGCCTTAACTTTAATTTGTATGTTCTCAACTCCTGTAGAATTTGAGCAGCTTTTAATAAGTTTAACATTTAGACTGGCTTTCTCTGTATTGTCTAGTAATAAATATTTGTTGAAGAATGAATATCTTTTGCCCTTTAAAAAAAGTTTACTTTTTCTTCATAGCAAGTTGTAAGCTTGTTTTATATTTTAATAATAGCTGTTATGGTGAGTCACAGTAAGCACAGTAAAGCATACATCTGAAAGAAGATTCAGATATACATAATAGACAATCACTATTCATTCAGGATTTTTAACTTTGAGAATGCATAATGTAAAGTTCTTTTGATGGGGGCAGGAGTTCTGATTTCCCTCATTTGACTCCCTTTTTGTGTCATCTTGAGCTAAATAAATGTTTTTGACACTTAAACATTTTGGTATCGTTTATGACATCTGGGTTTTCAGTCTTGTTTAAGAAAGTTTTTCTCACTCCTTAGTTATTTCTCGGAATACTTCGAAAACTTTTTATAAATTATTAAACACAAAATAAACTTACAATGTAAGATATATTTTATGAAAACGCTTAACCACTTAGCTTTTTAAAATGTATATTTTCATGCTCTTGATGCCAATTTCCCAGTCTCATACAAGTAGCCACCTCTCCAAAAAGGTAGCCATCATCCTGAATTTTGTGTTTATTTTCTTGCTTTTCCTTTACCACAATTATTGAATATTTGTAGTTTTGCTTGGTTTTGAGCTTTGTATTGTTTTTGAATCATGCTGTGTGTTACCACTTGCTTTTATTCCCTATTGCATTTTTTTTTTTTTCCCAGACAGAGTCTCGCTGTGTCACCCAGGCTGGAGTGCAGTGACGCGATCTCGGCTCACTGCGATCTCTGCTTCCCGGGTTCAAGTGATTCTCCTGCCTCAGCATCCCGAGTAGCTGGGACTATAGGCACCCACCACCATACTTGGCTAATTTTTATATTTTTAGTAGAGACGAGGTTTCACCATGCTGGCAAGGCTGATCTCAAACTCCTGACCAGGACTCTTGATCCGTCCGCCTCTGCCTCGCAAATGCTGGGATCACGGGTGTGAGCCACCATGCCTGGCCCTCATTGCGTATTTCTGAGATTTTACTGCATTGTTGTATGCGGTTCTTGTTTATTTGTTTGTCACCAATGCATGATAATTCATTATATAAATATATAACTATTTTAAATTGTGGAAAAAACATAAAATTCTGGGCCAGGCGCAGTGGCTCAACACCTGTAATCCCAGCACTTTGGGAGGTCAAGGTGGGTGGATCACGAGGTCAGGAGCTCGAGACCATCCTAGCTAACACGGTGAAACTTTGTCTCTACTAAAAATATAAAAAATTAGCCGGACGTGATGGCAGGCGCATGTAGTCCCAGCTACTCGGGAGGCTGAGGCAGGAGAATGGCGTGAACCTGGGAGGCGGAGCTTGCAGTGAGCCTGGGCGAGAGAGCGAGACTCCGTCTCAAAAAAACAAAACAAAACAAAAAACCATAAAATTTACCACCTAAGCCATTTTTAAGTGTGCAGTTCAGTAGTGTTAAGTATATTCACATTGTTGTGCAACAGATCTCTGGAACTTTTTCATCCTGCAAAAGTGAAACTCTGTACCCATTGATCAATAAGTCCTCATCACCCCCTCTTCATCCCCTGGCAACCTTAGAAGTTTTATCTTCTAAGAGTTTGACTATGGTAGTAACTGTGTGTACGTTAGCATATCCTCAAGGTTCATCATGTTGTACCTTGTGGAACCATGTTGAACCTTCTTGTACCATGTTGAACATTCTGATACATGTAGCATGTGTTAGAATTGCCTTCATTTTTAAGGTAAAAATGATACTTTAGTGTATCCTCAAGGTTCATCATGTTGAACCTTGTGGTACCATGTTGAACATTCTGACACATGTTGTAACATGAGTCACAATTACCTTTTTTTTTTTTTTGATACAGAGTTTCACTCTTGTTGCCCAGGCTCCAGTGCAGTGGTGGGATCTTGGCTCACTGCAACCTCCACCTCCCAGGTTCAAGCGATTCTCCTGCCTCAGCCTCCCGAGTATCTAGGATTACAGGCGTGTGCCACCATCCCTGGCTAATTTTGTATTTTGGGTATAATTTTGTATTTTTAGTAGAGACAGGACTGTACCACATTGGTCAGGCTGGTCTCAAACTCCTGACCTCAGGTGATCTGCCCACCCCAGCCCTCCAAAATGCTGGGATTACAGGCATGAGCCACCACACCCAGCCAATTACCTTCATTTTTAAGGCTGAATCATATTCAGTTGTTTATGTAATACATGATATGGTTTGGCTCTGTGTCCCCACCCAAATCTCATCTTGAATTGTAATCCCCACATTCAAGGGAGTGACCTGTAGTCCTCATGTCTCTACAAAAGGGAAGTGATTGGATTATAGGGGCAGTTCCCCCCATGTTGTTCTTGTGACAGCGAGTGAATTCTCATGAGGTATCATGGTTTTATAAATGGTAGTTTTCATGTGCTCTTCGTGCTCTTGCCTGCTACCATGTAAGACATGCCAGCTTCCCCTTCTGTCATAATTGTAAGTTTACTGAGGCCTCTCCAGCCATGCTGAACTTTGAGTCAATTAAACCTCTTTCTGGGCCGGGCACGGTGGCTCACACCTGTAATCCCAGCACTTCGGGAAGCTGAGATGGGCAGATCACTTGAGGTCAGGAGTTCGAGACCAGCCTGGCCAACATGGTGAAACCCCATCTCCGCTAAAAAAAAATACGAAATTAGCTGGATGTGATGTTGCACGCCTGTAGTCCCAGCTACTTGGGAAACTGAGGCAGGGGAATCGCTTGAACCTGGGAGATGGAGGTTACAGTGAGCCAAGATTGCACCACTGCATTCTAGCCTGAGCAACAGAGCAAGACTCCAACTCATATATATATGTATATAGTAAATCCATCGTGTTCTCTATAGATTTCTTGATGTTTCCAGTTTTTCTATTGCAAATTTATCCTTTATGATTATTCTTGCATATGTTTCTTTATAACATATAAGAAATTAATATGTATGCAATTCAGTATAAGATGTGTTTCTTATGGTAGGTCTCTAGGGCAGAGGTTGGCAAACTTTTTCTCTAAAGGGCCAGATAGTAAACATTTTAGACTTTGTAGGTCATACTGTCTCTGTTGCAGCAGTTCAGCTCTGCCTTTGTAGCATAAAAACAATACAGATAAGGCCGGGTGTGGTGGCTCACACCTGTAATCCCAGCACTTTGGGAGGCTGAGGCGGGTGGATCACCTGAGGTCAGGAGACCAGCCTGGCTAACATGGCGAAACCCCATCTCTACTAAAAATACAGAAATCAGCTGGGCGTGGTGGCAGGCACCTGCAATTCCAGCTACTTGGGAGGCTGAGGCAGGAATATCCTTTGAACTCAGGAGGTGGAGGTTGCAGTGAGCCAGGATTGCACAACTGCACTCCAGCCTGGGTGACAGAGCGAGACTCCATCTCAAAAATAAAATAAAATAAAAACAATATAGATAGTACATAAATGGATTATTGTGTTTCTGACAAAACTTTAGGGACTCTGAAATTTGAATTTAATGTAATTTTTCATGTGTCAGGGAATGTTCTTTTGATTGTTTTTTAAACTATTAAAACATGTGAAAATCATTCTTAGCTCTTGGGCTATACAGAAACAGAAGGGAGGTCTCTTGGATTTGACATGCAGGCATAGTTTACCTACCCCTGCTGTAGGGTATATTTGAGGAGGTGATTGCTCAGGCCTAGGCAGGTGTACATTCTCAACTTTGCTAGAAACGCAAAACTTAGTTTCTTTTGTGCAGTTGATCCTTGAACAACATGGGCTTGAACTGTACGGGTCCACTTATGCATGGATTTTGGATTTTATTTAGTAAATACAGTTGGCCCTCTGTATCAGTGGATCCTGCAACCAAGCGTGGATAGAAAATGCAGTATGTGAGGGATGTGAAACCTGCTTATACAGAGGGCTGACTTTTTTTTCATATCAGCAGTCTCATGCCAACTGTAGGCCTTGAATATGCTCGGGTTTTGGTATCTGTGGGGTAGGGGAATGTCCTGGAACCAAAGCCCCAGTAATACCAAGGAAAGACTAGTTTTATCCATTTACATTTCTGTTACTGGTTAATTAAAGTTGTGGTCACCTCACATCTGGCCAACACTTGATTTATTAGACTTTTAATCTTTGTCAGTATGGAGGATATAACATGAACTTCATTTTGTCTTTAATTTGCATTTCCTTGTTAATGAGTAGTTGAACATTTTTCACATTTATTGGGTATTTTTAATTTTTTTTGTGAAATGCCTGTTACGTTAAATCTATTACCCACTTGCTATTAGTTTTTTTCTTATTGAATTGTAGGCATTCTCTAAATGTTCTGAACAATAAACTTACCAGTTATAGATGGTGCGAATAAACTTCTCATTCATCTCTTATGTCTTCATAAAATCTTTGCATATGCAGAAGTTAATTGATTTTAATGTAGTTGAACGATAATAAATTTATCAGTCTTTTCCTTTATGGTTTATATTTTAACCCCCATTTTATTTAGGAAAAATTTCCTGGGCTGAGATCAGGAAGAGCAATTACAGTTTGCCCTCTGTATCCATGGGTTCTGCATCTGCAGATTCAACCAATCGTGGATCAAAAATATTTGGAAAAAAATATTGATGATTGCATTTGTTCTGAACATATAAAGACTTCTTTTTCTTGTCATTATTCCCTAAACAATACAATATAACAACTATTTACATAGCATTAACATTATATTCTTTTTTTTTTTAAGATGGCGTTTCACTCTTGTCACCCAAGCTGGAGTGCAGTGGCGCGATCTTTGCTCACTGCTTCCTCCGCCTCCTGGGTTCAAGCAGTTCTCCTGCCTCAGCCTCCTGAGTAGCTGGGATTATAGGCACCTGCCACCACACCCAGTTGATTTTTGTATTTTTAGTAGAGATGGGGTTTCACCACACTGGCCAGGATGGTCTCAAACTCCTGACCTCAGGTGATCCGCCTGCCTTGGCCTCCCAAAGTGCTGGGATTACAGGCATGAGCCCATAATATTAAGTTCTATAAGTAACCTAGAGATGAATTAAAGTATATGGGAAGATGTGTATAGATTATGTGCAAATACTATTCCATTTTATATAAGAGACTTGAGCATCTGTGGGTTTTGAGCATGGTTGGGAGGGGTGTCTTGGAACTAGTGCCCCATGGATATGGAGGGATGACTGTATATTATTTCCTAAAATCTTTATTGATTTTGCCTTTCACGTGTAGCTTTTGAATTACCCTACACTAATTTTTTATATGGTGTGGAGTAGGGAACTAATTTTATTTACTATTATAAGGCTAATAAATTACCTTACTCACCAGCATCTATCAAATACTACCTCCTTTCTCCAGTAAGCTGCAAAGTTTCTCTATAACTACATCTGTAGGCATTTCCCCACATTCTCAGTTAATGTTTTCTTGGACTGTTTGTTTGTTTATTCCTGTGACAGTACCAAGGTGTTCTAATGAATGAGCTGTGTAATAATTCTTAATAATCTGATGGGACACATCCCTGAAAATTTTTCTTCAGGAATGTTTTGCCTATTCTTGCCCCTGTTTACATTAGAAATATCTTGGGAAGTTTCTGACAGAACAAAATCAAATAACAAAAATTTTTTGGGAATTTTATTTAATTATCATGAATGTGTAGATCAACTGAGAGAGAAGTGGCATTGTGTCTTTCTATCCATGAACTTGGTATGTCTTTGTATTTATTTAAATCTTCAATGTCTTTGAATACAATTTTATAATTTACTCTGTAAAGTAGCAGTCCCCAACCTGTTTTGGCACCAGGGACCAGTTTTGTGGAAGATAGCTTTTCCATGGACCCAGGCGTCAGAGGGAGAGGCAGGATGGTTTTGGGATGATTCAAGCACATTACATTTATTGTGCACTTTATTTCTGTTATTATTAGATTGTGATATATAATGAAAATAATTATACAGCACATTATAATGTAGAATCAGTGGGAACCCTGGTCTTGTTTTCCTGCAACTAGATGGTCCTATCTGGGAGTGATGGGAGATAAGTGACAGATCATCAGACATTAGATTCTCATAATGGGCAGGCAACCTAGATCCCTCACATGCATAGTTCACAATAGGGTTTGCGCTCCTATGAGAATTTAATGCTGCTCTCCTATGAGAATTTAATGCTGCTGCTGATCTGACAGGAGGCACAGCTCAGGCGGTAATTCAAGCAATGGGGAGTGGCTGTAAATACAGATGAAGCTTTGCTTGCTTGTGGGATGCTGACCTCCTGCTGTGAGGCCCAGTTTCTAACAGGCCATGGACTGGTACTGGTCTGTGGCCTGGAGTTTGGGTACCCCTGCTATAAAGGATTATCATGCAAGCTCTTTATTTTATATTTTAGCATTTAAGTTTTATTTAATTGGATGTAGGGCAAGGTTGGGGTCCACTTTTATTCCTTAGATGAGTAGCCTATTGTGCCACCATAATCTTTTTATCACTGAACTGAATTAGCACCACTGAGATATATTTAAAGTTCTATGTATATTGGGATCTATTTTGGAATTTCTATTACATTCTATTAATATATTTATTTTTATATTGATGCCATATTGATTTTTATTATTTGTATATTTATTTGAAGGAGTATTTTTAAATTACTGTGTATTTATTGGCTTTGTGGTATAGACATTTATCTGCTGGGTCAAGCCACTGTCTCAGTTTTATTTTTTGTAATTTTTGCTTTCCATTAAGCCACTAAATTTTAACATGATTTTATATACTTTCCAAAAATATTTTGTTGGACTTCTAATTGAAAATGATACATGTACATATATTACTTTTGGGCAGAATCAATATTTTTATTATGTATTTGTTCTTACATACAATAAGAACAATAAGCCCAAATCTTAGCATACAGATCTTATTTTATGCCATTCACTAACATTTTATTTTCAAGTAATATTTATTGTGCTTTTTCTTGTATCAGTTGTTCTTTAGTACTTTGACAAATGTAAAAATTTTTATTTTTTATATTGAAAAACTTTTTTCATTTCTAGATTCTTATTGCAAGAATAGTCAGGGTGTTACTTAATTCCCTTATTAAATCTAGTAGGCTTTTAAAATAAATTTGAATCTGTAGTTATGCATTATAAAGCCATATCATCTAAAACTATTTTATTTCTTTTTTCCAGCTTCTTCACATTATATAATTTTAGTGTTTTGCTAAAATTTGTAGGACTTCATTAAATATTAAAGTAGTAGTGACTTTTGACTAATTCTTGATTCTAAGTAAAGTAGTTAATTTGTAGTATTTTGTCATTGGGGGCTGATTGTAGTTGGTTTCTGTCAAATAGGCTTAGGCTTTATTACATTAAAAAATATATGTTCCCATTCTACCTTGAGGAATGGCTGAATAATATTCATATTTATATATTGCTAGATTCAGTTTGCTAATATTTTCCTGACAGAGTTTGTGTTAAGATTGGAGTTATAGCTTCATTAAATTTTTATACAATTAATCACTGAAATCATCTGGACCTAGATATTTCTTGGTGTGATGGTTTAAAATTCTGAATTCACTTTCTTTAATAGATACAGCATTTAAAGAATTTTATATTTCATCTTGTGTCTGTTTTTGGTAGGTTGTATTTTTCAAGGCATTTGTTCATTTCATTTTTGTTGTTATTTTTAGACAGGGTCTCGCTCTGTTTCAGGAGTGCAGTGGCGCGACCTCAGCTCACTGCAGCCCCCACCTCTCATGCTTAAGTGAGCCTCCCACCTCACCCTCCCCCGTAGCTGGGACCACAGGCATGTGCCACCATTCCTGGCAATTTTTTTTATTTTTATTTTTTGTAGAGAGAAGGTCTTTCTCTGTTGCCTAGGCTGGTCTCGAACTCCTGGGTTCAAGCAATCCTCCTGCCTTGGCCTCCCAAAGTTCTGGGATTACACTGCTCTTGGCCTCCATTTCATTTAAGTCGTCCCTGTCTTTTGAACTGTAAGCGTTTTGTGGGGGATGGAAAGTAGCATCTCAATGCATTTCCCTGGTAACCAATGGTGTTGAGCATTTTTCAGAGTACTTATTGGCCTTTCCTAAATGTTGTTTTGTGAAGTGTATGTTTGAATTTTTGTCCATCTTAAAATTTGTTTGTCTTCTTTTTATGAAGTTGTAAGGATCCTTTTTGTTGTTGTTGTTGTTGTTGAGACAGGGTCTCAGTCAGTTGCCCAGGATGGAGTGCAGTGGTGTGATCATGGCTCACTGCAACCTCAATTTTCTGGGCTCAGGTGATCCTCCCACCTCAGCCTCCTAAGTAGCTGGGACCATAGGCACATGCCACCACGCCCAGCTACTTTTTTTTTCTTTTTGTACTTTTTTGTAGAGATGGGGTTTCACCATGTTGCCCAGGCTGGTAGCGAACTCCAGGCCTCAAGCGACCTGCCCGCCTCAGCCTCCCAAATTACTGGGACTACAGGCAAGAGAATCCTGAGCCTGGCCCAGGATTCTTCATGTATACTAGTTTGGATACAAGTCTCAATAGATAGACTGATAGAAACAGATGGGGCTATCTCTGTGTCTGTCTCCATCAGTCTACATCTGTATTTCTCTCTCCGTATCCATCCATCCATCCATCTATGCATTCATCTGTTCTTTGGATTGCCTTTTGTTGTATTGTTGGTGTTCTTTGAAAAGCACAAATTTTTAATATTGATGAAGCCCAATTTTATTATTATATTTTTATGGTCTATGCTGTGTTCTAAGAAATCTATCATAAGATCATGAAAATTTGTACTTGCTTTTTTTCTAGAAACCTTATAGTTTAGGCTTAGCTTTTATGCTTAAGTTGATGATCCATTTCAAGTTTCTGTATGTAGTGTAAAATAAATCTTTTTGTATATGGATGTCCAGTTGTATCAGTAACATTTATTGAAGATTTTTTTTTTGGATTGATTTACCTTGGCACTTTTGTGGGAAGTCATTTGACCAATGTTTTTGAGTCTATTTTTGGACTTTTCTATTCCACAAATCCGTATGTTTATCCTTAGGCCAATATCACACTGTCTTGGTTAATTTAGCTTTATATTAAATCAGAAGTTTGGCTGGGCACAGTGGCTGACACCTGTAATCCCAGCACTTTGGGAGGCCAAGGCGGGCGGATTGCCTGAGGTCAGGAGTTCGAGACCAGCCTGGCCAACATGGTGAAACCCCATCTCTACTAAAAATACAAAAATTAGCTTTGCGCAGTGACGGGCACCTGTAATCCCAGCTACTCGGGAGGCTGAGGCAGACAATTGCTTGCACCCGGGAGGCGGAGGTTGCAGTGAGCTGAGATCACGCCACTGCACTCCAGCCTGGGCGACAGAGCGAGACTCTGTCTCAAAAAAAAAAAACAGAAAAATTGTTTTGGCTTTTCATGTCTCTTGTAGTTACACATACATTTTAGAGTCAATGTGTAAATTTCTAGAATAATCCACAGAGACTTTGGAGTTACATTAAATCTCTAGATTAATTTGGGGGAAAATTAACACCTTAAGTATATATAGTCTTTTCATAAGCATGGAATATTTCTTTTTTCCTTTTTTTTTTTTGAGACATTCTTGCTCTGTTGCCCAGGCTGGAGTGCAGTGGCGCTATCTGGGCTCACTGCAACCTCTACCTCCTGGGTTCAAGCGATTCTCGTGCCTCAGCCTCCTGAGTAGCTGGAATTACAGGCGTGTGCCACCATGCCTGACTGATTTTTATATTTTTAGTAGAGATGGGGTTTCTCCATGTTGGCCAGGCTGATCTTGAACTCCTGGCCTCAAGTGATCCACCTGCCTCGACCTCCCTAAGTGCTGGGATTACAGGTGTAAGCCCCTGTGCCCAGCCGCTAGGATGTTTATTACAGTATTGAGTAGAAGTGGTGAGAGGAGAGATTTTTAACTGTTTTTTTCAACTTAGGGGGAAAGTATTCAGTCTTAAACTGTTAAGTAGGTCATGAGATGTTGATTTTTTTTTTTATAGATGCCCTCTCTCAGATCAAAGACCTTCTTTTCTCTTTTTAGTTTACTGAAAGATATTTTCATGAATGAGTATTAAATTTTGTCAGTTGCTTTTTCTCTACTTAGATGATCATGTTATTTTTTCCTTTAATGTGTTAATATGAAGATGAATTTTTAAATATTAAACTCACTTTGCATTTATGGGATAAATCTTACTTATGATATATTATTTGTTTTATATGTTTCTATATTCAATTTGCCAATATTTTAAGTATTTATGCTAATATTTTAAGCAGCTATGTTTGTGAAAGATACTGGCATGTATTTTTCATGTAATGTGTTTTCCTGGTTTTGGTCCCAGGGCAATATTGGCCATATAAAATTAGGAAATATTCCTTTCTCATATTTGCTTAAAGAGTTCATATAAGATGGGTTATTATTTCCTAAGTGTTTTATTTACTCAATTCACTAGTGGAGACATCCGGGCCTGGGGCCATTCAGATTTTCTATTTCTTCCATGTCAGTTTTGGTAATTTTCACCTTTTGAGCCATTTCTCTATCTGCACAGTCAGAGTCTGCATCATCATGGAAATGTTCTTGTACACAGTTAAAGTATGGTAGCCACTGGCACCTGTGACTGTTGAGCACTTGAAATGTGATGGGTGCAGAACTGAAGTTTTAGTTTGACTAAATTTATTGCTTCTGGGCCTCTTGGCTAAGATCAAGTGTAATTTAATTAGAATTAAGTTTAAATAGTCAAGTGTCACGTGGCTACTGTATTGCATATCACAAAGCTAAACTGTCATTTATTTTTGTAAAGTTGTTAATCATTCTTATGTATTGCCATCAAGTTAATAATATTTTAAACTGTATGGACCTCCAGTTGTTTATAATATTTTCTTAGTTTATTTTTAATTTCTATGAAATCTGTAGTCCCTTATTTCATTCCTGATATTGGTAATGTGTATCCTCCACCACTCCCCGTATTACTTTTTTTTTTTTAAAGACAGGTTTTTACTCCTGTTGCCCAGGCTCTAGAGGGCAGTGGTGCGATCTCGACTCACTGCCATCTCCGTCTCCCGGGCTCAAGCAATTCTCCGGCCTCAGCTTCCTGAGGATTACTGGTGCATGCCACTTCACCGGCTAATTTTTGTATGTTTTGTAGAGATGGGGTTTCACCATGCTGCCCAGGCTGGCCTTGAATTCCTGGGCTCAATCAGTCCGCCTGCCTTGGCCTCCCAAAGTGCTGGGATTACAACCGTGAGCCACTGTACCCAGCCTCCCACATTACTTCTTAAAAAACATCTTTAAAAACTTTAATTGTAGTAAAATATACGTAAAATGAAATTTACCGTCTTCACCATTTTTAAGTGTACAGTTCAGTAGCATTAACTGTTTACATTGTTGTGCAATCAGTCTGTAGAATGCTTTTCATTTTGCGAAACTGAAACTGTACACCCAATTTCCCAACTCGAAATTTCTCTCTTCTTTCAGCCTGTGGCAATCACCCTTCTACTTTGTCTTTATGAATTCAGTTATTCTGTATGTTATGTAAGTGGAATCATGCAGTGTTTATCTTTATTTGGACTGATTTTACTTAGCATAATGTCTGCAAAGTTCATCCATTTTGTAGTATGTGTCAGAATTCCTTTCTTTTTAAGGCTGAATACTATTCCATTGTATGTATATACCACATTTTATCTGTTTATCTATAGTTGGACACTTGGGTTTCTTCTACCTTTTAGCTATTGTGGATGAGGCTGCTATGCAGGAGGGTTATTTTGGAACCAGTACTGCACCATGGTGGCTGGAAGTGGAATGTTTTATGATCAATATTTTAACTAGTGCCTAACTTACAATTTCTGTATGATTTTGAACTTAACTCAGAAATAGTTCTATAGAGGTGAGACGTTGTGGCTCACACCTGTAATCCCAGCACTTTGGGAGGCTGAGGCAGGTAGATCACCTGAGGTCAGGAGTTCGAGACCAGCTTGGCCAATGTGGTGAAACCCTGCCTGTACTACAAACACAAAAATTAGCTGGGAGTGATGGCGTACGCCTGTAATCCCAGCTACTGAGGGAGCTGAGGCAGGAGAATCACTTGAACCTAGGAGGTGGAGGTTGTAGTGAGCCAAGATCATGCCACTGTACTCCAGCCTGGGTCACAAAGTGAGACTCCATCTCAAAAAAAAAAAAAAAAAAAAGAAAAAAAAAAGAGAAAGAAATAGTTCTATAGATAATTTCCCTAAGTAGCTTTCTAAGCCTATTTAACTCAGTATTATTTCTCTACCATAATGCCAGTTGTACTGTGTGAACTACACATAGCAACATTTCTATAGATGTAGTGTTAGCAAACCTTTTTCCTAAAGGGCCAAATAGTAAATATTTAAGCTTTCTTGGCTGTGGTCAACAAATATGACTTTTTGCATTCTCCTTATTCTTCTTTTTACAACCTTTTAAAAATGTAAAATCATTCTTAGCTTAGAGCCATCCAGAAATAGGCCCTGGATAAAATTGTTTAATTAGGACTTCTTCTATATATATGTATTTATTTTGAGATGGAGTTTTGGCTCTTGTCACCCAGGCTGGAGTGCAATGGCACTGTCTTGGCTCACTGCATCCTCTACCTCCCGGGTTCAAGCAGTTCTCCTGCCTCAGCCTCCTGAGTAGCTGGGATTACAGGCGCACGCCACCACACCTGGCTAATTACTTGTATTTTTAGTAGAGACAGGGTTTCACCATGTTGGCCAAGCTGGTCTCGAACTCCTGACCTCAGGTGATCCACCGGCCTCGGCCTCCCAAAGTGCTGGGATTACAGGCGTGAGCCACCGCACCCAGCCTTCTATTTTTATTTTCAAAAAAATCTCCATTGACCATTTTTGCAGATAGTATGAGCTCTAGTAGAAGTGGTTTATTCTGTTAATGAACTTATGAGAGTAAAAAAATGAAGTTGTTATAAATTTACTGATGCCATTGAGGGAAAAAAAGTACAAGTTACTCTGTCTCTACAGTTATAAAGCCCTTAATAAAGGATTATTTTAACATTGCTTTCTTTTTTTTTTCCTGGATTATAAGGGGTAGCGTTAAAAATTAGGTTTAGGGCTTGAACAGATTCTTGTTTATCTGAATAGAAAGGGATATCAGCTAAATCTGCTGTGACAAGTGAAGAGAGAAGATGAAAATACAGATTTTTGTTTTATAAGTAACAGAACTATGTTACAGAAATTTTGGAATTAGAAGGAAGAATAGTAGGAATGCTTATGGGCCTAAAGATTGGGGTATAGTTGGGTCATTGGTACCGTCTCCCCATATCTCTGTGGTATTGTGCTTCTGCAATTATTGGCAAAAATGACTTTTGTATTTATTATTTTGCTTATTATGTTATTCTGCTTACAAAAGTAATATGCTCTTTGAAATACTGACATGTAATAAGATATGAAAATTTTACTCAGTAAGATGATAGTTTATTACAGTGATGTGCTTCAGTTTTAATAGACTTTTGACAGTTTTTAGGTAATTGCTGAATGTTTTATCAGTTTATATAGATACCTCTAATCTTCTTGATCATTGTTGCCAGAACACTAGAAATAACAGGGATCATTCTAAAAAGTAAAGTCTGTTGTACTTGTTCTCATATTGAAAAACAACAATTTGTTTTATAAAATGGTTTATACTGTACTTCAAAGTCATAATTTTTAAAGCCTTAGTGCGTAAGTTGACTATTAAAATTGGTAAAAATCAAACTCATTTCTATCAGAAATGTATCAAGTGTAAATATTTATCACCTTTTGGTAAGCTATAAAATCAGATTGATCTAAATATTCCACTGGTTTCAAACTTTAAAAAAATTTTTGAAACACTGTTAGAAATATATTTTACATTGAGACATATACATGTGTATTTCTGTGTGTACACAAACATTTCTTGTAGCATTACTTATTGTCATTCTATATGATACACTTCGCTTTCTGTTCTAGCCCATTAAAAAAATACTGGTTCCTTAATGTGCCCATCCCTGCAACTTGAAAGAAGACTAAATTATTACATTGTAGTTATTATCTCGTTCTCATGCAGAGTTTTCTTTTGGCTATTGCCATATTAATAACTATGATTCTTTTTCAGTTTAGGATCATACATAAGAATTAACCATTTTTCTATTGTAAATGTGCTCTGATAAGAATCACGGTCTGTCACTAAAGGAGAAAACTAGAGTGGCTGTTGAGGAGCATCTAGTAGTTTCAGACACAGCCACACAGTTCAGCATGCTTACCAAGATTTATTGTGTTTGTTCCCAAACTTTATTAATACTTGCCATTGTAATTATATAAGTTAACATGTACATTTTTTTACACTAGTGAAATGTTACTTTGAAAAGTAAACTGTTGTTTCTGTGAAAATTTGAGTGCTTTAGAAAAACTAAGCAAGTCAGTAAAAACATGGATGTGCAAGTGTCTTTACTTTCTCCCTCCATTTTAAAGAAACTCAGATTGCAATCATGAAGATGGCCTATATGGTTGTGATTTATTTATTTTTATTTCATTTTTTTTGAGATGGAGTCTCCCTCTGTCACCCGGGCTGGAGTTCAGTGGTGTGATCTTAGCTCACTGCAACCTCCACCTCCTGGGTTCAAGCGATTCTCGTGCCTCAGCTTCCTGAGTGGCTGGGATTACAGGCATGCACCTGGCAAATTTTTGTATTTTTAGTAGAGACGGGGTTTTGCCCTGTTGGCCAGGCTCATCTCGAACTCCTGACCTCAAGTGATCTGCCTGCTTCAGCCTCCCTAAGTGCTGGGATTACAGGCGTGAGCTATGGTGTCCGGCCTGTGGTTTAGTTAAGAAAGACATATTAGTATAGCCATTATCAAAATCTTGGCTGATATTAAATGATTGGTAAATGTGCTTTTGTATGTCTCAAGTAAAAATAAATGTTTAAGGCAATTGTGTTTCATTTTTAATGATTTTTGGCTTTGACTGTTGAATTACATTGTGATCTTATAAAGGGGTTTTTATTATTTAGGAAATTATATTTTATTGAATAGCAGATAGTCAGATCATCCCTTAGAAATGTTTATGTGACAGCGGCCGAGCGCGGTGGCTCATGCCTGTAATCCTAGCACTTTGGGAGGCTGAGGCAGGTGGGTCACTTAAGGTCAGGAGTTCGAAACCAGCCTGGCCAACATGGTGAAACCTCGTCTCTACTAAAAATACAAAAAAACCAGCCAGGCGTGGTGGTGGGCACCTGTAATCCCAGCTGCTTGGGAGGCTGAGGCAGGAGAATTGCTTGAACCCGGGCAGTGGAAGTTGCAGTGAGCTGAGATCATACCACTGCACTCCAGCCTGGGAGACAGAGCCAGACTCTGTCTTTAAAAAAAAAAAAAAAAAAGTTTCTGTGACTAAACAAAGTGCTAACTTAAGCTTTTATTTAAAGCAAATCACAATCACCTTGTTTTTGTTTTTCATTTTTTAATTTATATAATTTAATTTTTGTTTTTCATTTTTTATATATATATATTTTAAAGACAGAGTCTCTCTCTGTCACCCAGGCTGGGTTCAGTGGCGCAGTCATAACTCACTGCAGCCTTCAACTCCTAGGCTCAAGTGATCCTCCTGCCTCAGCCTCTTGAGTAGCTGGGACTACAGGTGTGTGCCACCATGCCTGGCTTGTTTTTTAATTTTATTTGTAGAGACGAGGTCTTGCTGTGTTGCCCAAGCTGATCTGAAACTCCTGGGCTCAAGTGATCTTCCTGACTCCATCTTGAAAAAAAAAAAAAAAAAAAGTAGCAATCTCAGGGAATTGTTAGAGAACCATGATTTCTAAAGTTGAAATTACTTTTTTTTTTTGAGACAGAGTCTTGCTCTGTTGCCCAGGCTGGAGTGCAATGGCACAATCTTGGCTCACTGCAACCTCTACCTCCCAGGTTCAAGTGATTCTCCTACCTCAGCCTCCCTAGTAGCTGGGATTAAAGGCATGTGCCACCACGCCCAGCTAATTTTTCTATTTTTAGTAAGTGGGGTTTTGCCATGTTGGCTAGGCTGGTCTCGAACTCCTGACCTCAGGTAATCCGCCCACCCCACCCTCCCAAGATGCTGGGATTACAGGCGTGAGCCACCACACCCGGCTGAAATTACTATTAATACTAGTTTATTTCTGAAAATTATGCTTTGATTAAAAACAAAAATGTGCCCTTCCCACTCCCAGCACTGCTGGGCCTGCAGGTCTCTGTCCAGCTGCAGACAAAGATCTCTCTTCTGCAGGATGGGGTTTGTTAAAGTTGTTAAGAATAAGGCCTGCTTTAAGAGATACCAAGTGAAATTTAGAAGATGACGAGAGGGTAAAACTGATTACTATGCTTGGAAACGCTTAGTGATACAGGATAAAAATAAATACAAAACACACAAATACAGGATGATAATTTGTGTAACAGAGATATCATTTGTCAGATTGCTTATGCCCTTATAGAGGGGGATATGATAGTCTGTGCGGCATATGCATATGAACTGCCAAAATATGGTTTGAAGGTTGGCCTGACAAATTATGCTGCAGCGCATTGTACTGGCCTGCTGCTGGCCCGCAGCCTTCTCAATAGGTTTGGCATGGACAAGATCTGTGAATGCCAAGTGGAGGTGACTGGTGGTAAATACAATGTGGAAGGCAATCTTGGTCAGCCACGTGCCTTTACCTGCTATTTGGATGCAGACCTTGCCAGAACTACCACTGGCAATAAAGTTTTGGGTACCCTGAAGGGCGCTGTGGATGGAGGCTTGTCTGTCCCTCACAGTACCAAACGATTCCCTGGTTATGATTCTGAAAGCAAGGAATTTAATGCAGAAGTACACCGGAAGCACATCATGGGCCAGAAAGTTGCAGATTACATGCACTACTTAATGAAAGAAGATGAAGATGCTTACAAGAAACAGTTCTCTCAATACATAAAGAACAGCGTAACTCCAGACATGATGGAGGAGATGTATAAGAAAGCTCATGCTGCTATACGAGAGAATCCAGTCTATGAAAAGAAGCCCAAGAAACAAAAAAGAAGAGGTGGAACCATCCCAAAATATCCCTTGCTCAGAAGAAAGATCAGGTAACTCAAAAGAAGGCAAACTCCCTCAGAGCTCAGGAGCAGGCTGCTGAGAGCTAAACCAAACAATTTTCTATGAGGATTTTTCAGATAAAGACAATAAACTGATGGATAGCAACAACAACAACAAAAAACAGAAATCAAAAAAACAAAAAACAAAAATGTGCAGGAGGAATATGTTAGAATATTTCACAATATTTATTTATATGATAGTTGAATTCCTTAGTTGGTGGTTATACCTTGAAATGATTCTTGGATATAGCATAGAATTATCAGTATACTGCTAAAGCAATGACTAAGAGGGACAAAGAATGGCGGTTGACTTTACCTCGAAGTATGAAATTTGCTTTCATTATAAAACAAATATTGTTCTTAAATTACTTAAAATAACTTTATTCTCCTTGTGCAAAATCTAAGTCTATTTGCATTTTACTGATCACAGTCTCTATTACACAAAGATTTTCCTCCTGAACTCACTGCTCTTTATTAGAGCTTTCTTGTAAGCATACTACAAAGCTGTAATATTCTCAATCTTAAAAAAAATTCTTATAAAAAACCACAAGTAAATAGGCTGGGTACAGTGACTTGCACCTATAATTCCAGCATTTTGGGAGGCTGAGGTGGGAGGATCGCTTGAGTCCAGGAGTTCAAGACCAGACTGGGCAACAGAGCAAGACCTTGTCTCTACTAATAATTTAAAAATTAGCGCGCACGCGCGCGCGCACACACACACACACACACACACACACACACACACACACAGCCAAAGTCCAAAAAACAAAAACCAGACTGGGCAACAGAGCAAGACCTTGTCTCTACTAATAATTTAAAAATTAGCGCACACACACACACACACACACACACACACACACACACAGCCAAAGTCCTAAAAACAAAAACCTCTATTAAGGGCCTCTGAATAGTTATCTCTGTTCCTTCAGTTCCTCTGAAGAATTATTTTATACTAGGATTCTCAGGTTATCTCCTCTCAATCTCTATTGGGATCACTCCACTCTGACTTGTACACTCATTTTCCCACTGATGTAGCTGTTCTCAAGTTAGAAGTTAAGTTCTCAGTCTTCATTTTATCAGTCATCTCAGCAGCATTCATTATGGTTCAGGCACTCCCTCCTATTTTCTTCGTTAGCTTCTATGACACCAGTCTCCTCATTTTTCTCCTACTCTATTAGCTGTTCCTTCTTAGTGTCTTTTTCTGACTCCTTCATTTTGACCAGATTTCTAAATACTGAAGTATGTCAGGACTCTCAGCTGTCTTCCATCTGTAGTAAATAAACTCACTGGGTGATCTTACCTAGTTTCATGAATTTTAAGTACCATCTCTTCATTGATGAGTCCCAAATTTATGTCTCATTTCTTGGCCAGTCTTCTCTTAACTACAGGCTAATATATCCAACTGTCTTCTTGATATTTCCATTTGAAGATTTAAGAAGGATTTCAAAATCTACCATCCCAAAACCAAATTATTCATTCTCCCTCTTTCAGTGTGGTCCTCCCTTAGTGTTCCTATCTCAGGAAATGACACCCTGTTGTGTTATTCTTGACTCCTTTCATACCCCGCATCTCATATACGTATCAGGCAATGCCTCTACCTTCAAAATATATCCACATCTGACTACTGTTCTTCACATCCACCATTATTATTACCTTGGGTTTAACTACCAGTTTTTCCTTGGGTTATTGTAGCTTCCTAAGTGGTCCTAAGTGATCTTCCTGCTTCCATTCTTCTTCTGCTCCGTATAACATTGAACACTTCATAGTACACAGAAGCTATATGTAGAATGTATGATCCTTGTAAAACATAAATTATGTTAATTTGTCTGTAGAGTCTTCTAACGACTTCCTTTTACACTTACATACATTGCAGTTTTTTCCTGTTGCTTGCAATTTCCTAATAGATCCATTCTGTTTATTTCTCTTTTCTCATTTTTTAATCACTCTTCCTCTCATACATGCAATTCCAGCCATACCATCCTTGCTTTTCCTCACATACGCCAAGCATACTCACAGTGTCTAAAAGCCAGAAATCTTCCATGAGAAATTTGTGCTTTCAGGTGTTTCAGCTGCTGAGATCGTAGTGTTCTGTTTTGTTCTCTTGATATAAGCTCTGAGAAACAGAAACTGTTTCTTTTATTTGGTTATATGGATCACAAGGATGAGAAGAATTCTGATTCAGTTAAGTAATGTAACTAGTACTTACATTTTAATTGCATAAGATTTTATGCAGCCTACAGATTTATTGTGTAAGTACCAAAATTGCTAATTCACATCAGTTGCTTTGTTAGAAATTGACATCTCTGAGGCCAGGTGCAGTGGCTCATGCAGTCCCAGAACTTTGGGAGGCCAAGACAGGAAGAGTGCTTGAGCCCAGGAGTTTGAGACCAGCCTGGGCAATGTGGTGAAACTCCCATCTCCACAAAAAATTAAAAAAAAATTAGCTGGATGTGGTGACATACATCTGTGGTCTCAGCTATTTGGGAGGCTGAGATGGGAGGATCACCTGAGCCCAGGAGGCTGAGACTGCAATGAGCCGTGGTCATGCCACTGCACTCCAGCCTGGGTGACAGCAAGATTCTGTCTCAAAAAAAGAAAGAAAGAAAAAAAAGAAATTGACATCTCTGAGAAAACTGTAAATCTCCAGTGCATTTCAAAGATTTAAAAATTTTTTTTCACTTAACAGATCTTGGGAATTCATAAAGCTGCCTCATTCTCTTTAACAGCTATATAATATTCCATTAGAGGTATGTACTATAATTAAGTTAGCCTCACTGATGAACACATACGCTGTTTTCAGTCTTTTTCTGCTATAAATATTCTTTTTCATCACTCTCTTGTGAGATTATATCTGCAGGATGAATTTGTAAAAGTTGAATTGTTGGGCTGGGCGTGGTGTCAAACGCCTGTAATCCCAGCACTTTGGGAGGCCAAGGCGGGTGGATCACCTGAGGTCAGGAGTTTTGAGACCAGCCTGGCCAACATGGTGAAACCTTGTCTCTACTAAAAATACAAAAATTAGCCGGGTGTGGTGGCAGGTGCCTGTAATCCCAGCTACTCAGGAGGCTGAGGCAGGAGAATCGCTTGAACCTGGGAGGCAGAGGTTGCAGTGAGCCAGGATGGCACCACTGCATTCGAGCCTGGGCGACAGAGTGAAACTTTGTCTTTAAAAAAAAAAAAAAAAAAAAAAAAAAAAAGTTGAATTGTTGGGTCAAGAGTTCTGTGTATTCAAAGTATCAAAAACATTGCCTAATTGCTCTTTATTAGTTTTGTACCAGTTTGCATTCCTACCAGCAGTATTTGACTGCAGGGGTTGGCAAATGTTTTTCTGTTAAGGGCCAGATGGTAAATATTTTGGACTTTGCAGCCTACATATGGTCTCTTTCAAAAACTTTTCTTTGTATATATTTTAGTCTTGGGCCATAGTTTCCTAATTTTGGCCTATAATATAGCTGCAAGACTTTATTTTTTATTTTTATTTATTTTTTATTTTTGAGACAGAGTCTAACTGTCGCCCAGGCTGGAGTGCAGTGGCGCAATCTCGGCTCACTGCAAGCTTCGCCTTCCAGGTTCACGCCATTCTCCTGCGTCAGCCTCCCGAGTAGCTGGGACTACAGGTGCCCGTCACCACGCCTGGCTTCTTTTTTTTTTTTTTTTTTTTTTTTTTTAAGTAGAGACAGGGTTTCACTGTGTTAGCCAGGATGGTCTCAATCTCCTGACCTCATGATCCGCCCACCTTGGCCTCCCAAAGTGCTGGGATTACAGGCGTGAGCCACCGCACCCAGCCATCTGCAAGACTTTTATCAAAACTTTTTGTCATTACCAACCTGCTGTGTGAACGTGATATCTCGTTTTATTAGTTTGCATTTCTCTTGTTGAACCTTAGTATTTTGCTCTCTCTGAAATATTTGTTTGAGCCCTTTGCTTTTATATGTGTATTTGGTTATTTGTCTGTATCTTTACTGAACTATAGGTCCTATCTTTATCTTTTAAGGAAATTACCCTTTGTGATATGAAATAAAACCTTTTAAATCAGTTTATCTTTTTATCTTTTTGATTTGGTTTGTGTTTTCTCATCTCTAGCCATTTTTAAAGTCACATTTGATCTTTTATATTTTTATTTATAACTTGATCTTTTATTCTGGATTTTTTTGGTCATTATTAGAAAGGCTTGTCTCTGCGACTCAAAAATAATTCTTCCATAGTTTCTTTAATATTACTAAAATAATTCTTCCGTAGTTTATTTAATATTACTGTTTTATTTCTTTATGCCTAAAACTTAGATACATCTGTAAAATTTTTTGATGTGAGTTAGGGATCTCATTTTTCCATATGACTACCCTTTTCTTCAAATACTATATCCTGAATTTAAATGTAATGATAAGGGGCTGGGTGCAGTGGCTCATGTCTGTAATCCCAGCAGTTTGGCAGGCTGAGGTGGGCGGATTGCTTGAGCTCAGGAGTTCAAGACCAAACTGGGTCTCTACAAAAAATACAAAGATTAGCCAGATGTGGCGGCATGCGCCTGTTATCTCAGCCACTTGAGAGGCTGAGGTAGGAGGATTGCTTGAGTCCTGGAGGCGGAGGTTGTAATAAGCTGAGATCATGCCACTGCACGCCAGCCTGGGTGACAGAGCCAGATCCTGTCTCAAAAAATGAACCAACTAACTAAATAAATAAGTAAATGTAGTGATATGGAAAGTTGCTTACAATATTACTTCTTAGTATTGACTTCTCATGCACTATAGAACTCATTGTTCTGACTACATAAAACACCTAATTTTTCATTTATGAAAAATTACAGAGCACATGCTATGTGGTCAGCTACTAATGATGAAACGTTGAGATGGCTCACCTGTAAGTTCTTCAGCATACATCTCCTAAGATTTTAGCATCTGTTTTACTATCTGTTGTCTCAATTGATTATTTTAGAAAGTATAGACAATTTTTCCAATTATATTATTGCCTCTACGTTTATTAGCAAACGTTCTTATGATAGAAACAAGCTTTTATCTCCTTCCCTTTGACATTATGGACTCAAATCATTATTTACCCTCATACTGTTTCTAATTTTCTGTTTATTTTTTCTAGCTCTGTGAGGAGGAAGAGTCATAGCTATCTCTTTCATCATTTTATCCCTAGAACCTAGTGCAATACCTACCACAGAGTGGTTTCCTAATAAATATGTACTGAATGAATGAATACTTCAAGCAGTGGGGAGCTATTGAAGAATCTCAAGGGAGGATGTAATGTGAAATGATTTATATTTTGGAAAGGTAATTCTGATGTCATTATGGAAGAGAGCAACTTGAGCAAAGCTCAGAAAAAAAAAAGAAAGAAACAGGGGGTTGCCCTGTCACATCACCCAGGCTGGAGTGCAGTGGCACAATTATAGCTTGCTGCAGCCTCAAACTCTTGGGTTCAAGTGATCCTCCTTCCTCAGCCTCCTGAGTAGCTAGGACTGCATGTGTGTACCACTACACCTGGCTGATTAAAACAAAATTTTTTTTTGTAGAGATGGGCTTTTGCTATGTTGCCCAGGCTGGTCTTGAACTCCTGGCCTCAAACAATCCTCTGGCCTCAGCCTCCCAAAGTGCTAAGATTATAGGTGTGAGCCACTGTGCCTGGTCCAGGAAAGCTTTCCTTTGGGTTCTGTATCAGTTGGGACCTGATTACAGATAATCCAACTCAAATCAACTTAACAAAAGGAATTTATTGGATTCCATAATCCAGAGAAGGGTTGAAGAACCAGCCACATGAAGGATGTAACTGGGCTTCAGGAACAAATAAGAGCAAGGATGCCAGTGCCACTAATATTTTTAGTCTTCGCCTCACTCTATTTTTATCAGTTCCAGTTTGTTTGCTGATGTATCAATTAAATGTGGTTTAGGCATAGAGTTTATAAGGGTATGGTTGCTTCCTGAGTATCCATGTGGACTGAATTAGTATACCTTTGAAGGTATTGTAGAATCCAGGAGGAGACGTGGAGTATTAGAACTAGGTGCTAAGTGGAAAAGATGGATTTGAGAGAGATAAGTAATAAAGTTGACAGAATTTGTCCAGGGGGAAATCTTGAGCAACTGCTGGTTTGGTGAATCTGTTAACCATCTGAGGGAAATATAAGAAGCATATGCTTGGAATGGGAGGGAACATGATGAGTTTTGATTTTAGAGATGCTAAGTTGGAGAACGTGTAGGAGCTAGTTGAATATAGACATCCGAAATCTTATAAGAAAGGTCTAAGCTTAAGTGCTTAGGAAGTCAGTAGCAAAGGTAAGTGTTATGGAGGTGAACAAAATAGCTCAGTCTGAGTGTAAAAGTAAAGAGAACAGGAATCTTGCAGAAAAGCTAACATTGAAGCCATGTGAACAGAAGAAGAGTATAAAATAAATTATAAGGCAATTAAGGAAAGTAAGAAATAAGAGTACCAAAGAATCCAAAGGAATTTTATCCATGAGGGATATGCCATTTAGGAATTGAAAAAAGTCAATTTGCTTTGACCATTAGGAGATCATTGATGATGTTAATGAGAAAAGTTCCAGTGGAAAGTTGGGAGCTGATTGTATTAAGCTCAAAGGGTTAATGATAGAGATGAAGTAGAAGCAAACTAGGTAGAATTTTTTTCCTACAAGTTTGTGAAGGGAAGATGAATGAGGGCATTGTAGGGTTAGGGCATGAATGAGGGCATTGCTTTGTTTTGTTTTGGAATGGGAGAGATTAGTATATATTAGTAGTTTTAAACAGTAAATAGTCTTTTATTCTAGGTTGGATAAAATTTATTTTTATGTGTAAGTATTAACTGCCGTCAGTGTTTATTAGTGTTAGTGCAGAGAAAATGGGACTCAGACCAAAGACCTGAGTGCTAATCTCAGTTTTCCCTGAATAATCGCCATAATAATTATAATTACCATTTTATATTCCCTTCTATTTGTCAGTCATTGTGTTAGTAGGTCTTTTGTACATACTATCACTAATCCTCACCACAAATTTATCTCCAAGGTGAGTATTATGCTGTTGTATAGATAGACTCTGAGAGTTTACTTTTTAGGATTACATAGATTTTCAGGATCATGCTTTGATTTCAACACAGATATGTCTGATTCTGAAGTTGGTGCTCTTTTCTCTATATCACGTAGCTTTCTTTTCTAACCTAAAGTAGTTTCTCAAGTTTTGGCTCCTTGTTTCCTTAACTGTCAGATAGGAATAGTTATATCTGTCACACCTATATCAAAGTGTTAAATGAATACTATGGTAATATCTGTATTTTGTTTGAAAAAATATTTATTTGGTTAAATACCAGACTGACCTTATCATTGTGGTCATCTTTAGCACTATCATTTGTCTAAACAGTATTTTACTTTTTAAGGTGGTGGTATCATGGATACAGAAATGTCTGAAGATATAGACCACAACTTAACTCCTACCCTTGACAGCATGTCTTATGGAATGCCGAATCAAACAGGATCTGAAAATTCATTGCTGGATGAAGATGATTATTTTTTGAACTCTGGGGATCTTGCAGGAATTCCAGTCGTTGGTAGTGACAATGAGGATGAACAGGATTTTAGTTCAAAGGACAATCTTGTTTCTTCAATTCATACTGATGATAGCTTGGAAGTAGAGAGAAGAGTCACACAGCATGAATCAGACAATGAAAATGAAATACAAATTCAAAATAAGTTAAAAAAAGACTTTCCTAAACAATTTGATCAGGTTTCTGTCTTTAAATCAATACGGAAAGATTTTAGTCTAGTAAGAGAAAACAGCAAAGAGACATTTTCTGGAAAGGAGAAAAATAGAGACCTAACTTATGAACGTGAAAAACGGTTGGATAAACCCCATAAAGATTTGGATTCAAGGTTGAAAAGCAGTTTTTTTGATAAAGCAGGTAATAATTGTTGGACTTAGAACCATAAAACACAATTAAAAATTACCGATCATAATATATAGCTTTTATTACTTTTGATGTTAAGTGAAGTATGAACGGTTAAATTCATTGTAAGCTTGTCATTTTTCTTTTGTCCTTGTTCTTTGCAGAGTGACTGAATTTCTCCCAGTAACTTTTGGTAATGGTATAAATGGTTGAAAATAGCTCTAAACCTCATTTCTCCCTCCCCTGGTTGCAATGTTTTGATGAGAAAGGCAAGATACTTGAATCACCTGTTCATTTTCTTTGGTTGAACATTGGAACCTGAAGTTGGATTTAACTTCTTTGTGCTGTAAGCACTAATTCAAACTGCTGTCTCACCACTTAGTCCAAATTAGGGAGTTATTTTATTTTTTTAATTTTAATTTAATTTTTTGTTTATTAACTCTCACCTCTATCTGAAAGGGAGTTTTTTTTTAATAAAAAAAACCCAAACATTTCTAATTTATGTTTTAGAAGTTTCTTGAGGTTCCTCCTGAGCCTCTTTGCCCAGTGTACCCTATACTTTAGCTTTAGTTAACATTCTTGAATATATCACATATTTCCTTCTATGCCTTCCTTTCCTCCTGCTATTCCATTTGCCTGCATGTCATTTTCTCTCTGTATATTTGCTTGTGAAAGTACTTCTTATCCAACAATGCCTAACTCATAAACCTCTTCTACTCTGTCATCATTCTAACTGCTCTACATCAAGAATGGTTTCCTTATCTATATTTCCACAGCATTTTCATGCCTCATTATTTATAGTACTTATCACACAGTATTATAGTTCTATATTTGTTTTACCTTACCTACTAGTGTAGGAGTTGAGGGCCAGATTGTATCTTACTCATCTTTGTATTCTTGGGGCCTAACCTGGTGTAGTAAAATAGTAATTCTTCAATAAATGTTCAATAGCTGTGAAGGAAAGCAAGTATTCTATACCAGTCCTTGTATTTCTTCTAACAATGCTAGGAAATGTATGGTAGAAAGAACAAACCAGTATTGTTAAAAAGACAGCTTTTGAGTATGTACAAGTCTGTGCAAGGATATACTATATTTTTCTCTATAATTCAGTATATATTTCCAATATCCCTTCTTGGGGTATGAGAGTCATGTTTCTCAAGGAACATAATGTCTAGTAGTAGAATGGACAAGACAAGTCAGGCCGTAGAAGTGCCAATGTCCAGCTGAATAGCGTAAGATTTAATTTACAGTTAAAGACAGTGGTAGAAGAGTTTGTCATAAGGCAGTTCAAAAAGATGTCTTTCAAATAACTGAAACTGTGTTTTAGGGATTCTTAGAAGAGAGATGATTTTTAACTTAGTGAACAGGGAAGGTTTTATAGAGGAGAGGTGAATTTTTAACTGAGCTGAGTCTGGAAAACTGTATAAAGATTAGGATAGACAGAGGGGACTTGGAATAGAATAAGTAGAAATGGGGGAGAACAAATGCAAGCAATTTTCAGAGCAAAAATAATTTTTTTTTTTTTTTTTTTAGGTTTGAGCAAGGAAAAAATGTAGGGTAAGGCTAAAAGCTAGGTGGGGCCAGATTGTGCAGAACTTTGAGTGAAAATACCTTTTGGGTGTTTTTGGGACCCAGTTCACTCTAACGAGCATCTTTGTTGGAAAAGAGAGGTGATTATCAAATGATAGCTTTTTAGGTCACTCTTTGTAAGATTTGTTATTCATATACATGTGTTTGTTTGTTTTTTTTTTCCTTTCAATAGCTAATCAAGTTGAAGAAACATTACATACCCATTTACCACAAACCCCAGAAACAAACTTTAGGGTAAGTTTTCAGTGTGTATGTAGATTGCTGTAACTGTGACAAGTGTCAAAGTTTTCTTTATGTCAGTTTCTAAATTCTAACAATGTATTAGGTAGAGCACTGATTTTTTTTTTTTAATTTGCTTAATATTTGTTTAAGGTCATCATCGGAGACATTCTAAAAAGCCTCAAATCTTAGGGTCTTTATTTGTATTTGGTATTTGGACATATAACACAATTACTTTTAGGCGTAGGCATAAGATCCAAAAGCTAATGAATGTCCATAGAGTTCTTCATTTCCAATGAGCTTTTCTTTGGGTGTTAAACCTGAAGAGGAATCATTTTAAAATCTGAATATTTATTAATCCTTTATATTGTGTTTTAGGATTCCAGCTACCCATTTGCCAATAAAGAATCCATTGGTTCGGAACTGGGGAATTCCTTTGCATCAAATATTAGAATTAAAGAAGAACCTTTGGATGATGAGTATGACAAAGCAATGGCACCACAGCAGGGACTACTAGACAAAATAAAAGATGAACCTGACAATGCTCAAGTAAACATTTCACCTTTTTTCCCCCCTTCTTTTTGTTCCACACATTGAATTATTCATTTGAGAGAGGAAGTGCTTAAGAAGTGAAATAGTTTGTTGACAGGGTGAAAGGAAACTCTTAAAGAAGGTTGAGGCGATTTGAATTACCATATAAGGCATTAACGAGCTATATGAAACTTTTCCTGAGTAGTAATTAAGGCTTTTAATCATCTTTGTTTCTTAATACCACTGTGATTTTTGCAATGCATTTTAGCGCAAGGCTTTGAGAACTATACAGCAGATATGGTTGAAGATTTATGGTAGTTTATAAGTTTGTGGTGCAATCAAGTTTATGTAGGATAGTAAGCCTTTTGCAGTTAATGCTAATGAAGTACAGGCTATATATGGATTTAAATATTTTTCAGGAGGGGTTAATGGACAGATCATCTTTGGAAGGGTTAATTGATTGAAGAACCAGTTCATTGGATTAGTGGATAGAAGGTAAAGGAGGCTTTGATGAATGATACATGATTCCAAGTTTGAGATCTGTGAGTAATAAGAGTGAAGGTAGAGCTCTGCTATTTCAAGGTTGCTCTGGAGATAAAATCATAGAGATCTTAAAACTGTGAGGTCCTGAAGTCAGCTAAGCTATCCATGCAGTTAATGATGTTGCTGTTGTTGGAATAGAAGAAAAAAGTTATATCAGATGCTGCAATCATTTTGAAGTGCAAGAAGGGGTCCAAGGGACGAATATGCAATAGCAGCAATTATTTGAGGGTATCTGTGTTTTGTAAAGATGGTATGAATTGGCTCTTTTTCTGAAATGACATTTAATCTGGGGGAAGCTTATATTTTCCTATCTTTCTGTTTATATTAGAAGGTTTGAGACTGTCAGACTTCTGTGGAAGTGCTTTCTTTTTCTTTTCTTTCTTTTTGTTTTTTCTCTTTTTTTTTTGAGACAAGGTCTTGCTCTCTTGCCCAGGCTGGAATGCAGTGGTGCAATCACTGCTCACTGCAGCCTCAACCTCCCAGGCTCAAGTGAACCTCCCAGCTCAGCCTCTTGAGTAGCTGGGACCACAGGCGTGTACCACCACACTGGCGAATTAAAAAAAGATTTGTAGAGGGGCCAGACGTGATGGCTCACGCCTGTCATCCCAGCACTTGGCAGGCTGAAGCCAGCAGATCACTTGAGGTCAGGAGTTCCAGACCACCCTGGCCAACCTGGTGAAATCCCATCTCTACTAAAAATACAAAAAATTAGCCAGGCATGGTGGCGGGTGCCTGTAATTCCAGCTACTTCGGAGGCTGAGGGAGGAGAATCACTTGAACCAGGAGGTGGAGGTTGCAGTGAACTGAGATTGTGCCACTGCCCTCCGGCTTGGATGACAGAGTGAGACTTTTTTTTTGGTAAAGTAAGTTGCACAAGCTTGTCTCTAACTTCTGTGCTCAAGCGATCCTCCTGCTATGGCCTTCCAAAGTGTTGGGTTTACAGACGTGAGCCACCGTGCCTGGTCAAGTGCATTTTTCATTTAGATGTTTTTGGACAGGATTTCTCAAACTCCACAGCATTGACATTTTGGACCAGATAATTCTTTGTTGTGAAGAAATGTCCTGTGCATTGCAGGACATTTAGTAAGCATTTGTGGCCTCTACCTACTACATGCCAGTAGCAGCCTCCTCCCTTGCCAATTTTAACAAAAAATGATCTATTGAGAACCATTGTATTAGAGTAAGCAGATGGAAGAATAGGAGATTGCAGAGGTTGGTGATTCATGTGAGTCACTGAGTCAAATTGATGCTCAGTTAGCATGAATTCCATGACGTTCAGTGGAAGTTGGATGTGTTAGGGTAGTGATAAAGCTATAGGAGTTGGATGGATATGAGTATACTTGCTACAAAGAAGAAAGTAGAAGGAATATAAATAGATTTTTCTGTTCTATTTAAATAGAAGGTAAATAAAAGCATGTTTATAGAAGCAGGTAATGGAGATCTTAGATATCTGAATTAGGGATAAATAGATGTCCCAACACCTGGGGAAAGTTCATGTGGCAGTATATGCTTCAGAAGACTACAGCCATGTCTATATGAAGGGCAGATCTTGTATCTCTTCTCCTGCCCCAATGTGGGCATGCTGGCAGGGTACCAAAATCATCTCTTTCTTTTGTACTTGAACCATGTGACACTTCCTTGGGACAAAAAGGCACTTAGAGCATAAACCAAATACAATAGGGGTAGAGAACACTGAGAAGGTTATTAGTATTGTTGTTTTCAGAACAATCAGAGGTTCCAGTGGCTGGAGAATATAAATAGGATGGAACAGATAGAAACACTTAAATTTTTATATACTTATTCAGAATTATAAAATGTGTTATCAAATACTGAATATGAATATGAAGTTTCATCATGATTATGGGAAGAACTTCCCCAAAGGCTTACTCCCTGATTGATTGGACTTGAGAATTAAGCAGTAATGTGAGTAGGTCCTGGGCATAAGATCCAAAAGCATTCTTTACCCTGACCCCACAATAAGGGACTTGTAGTATGTGAGTGGATAGAGCTAGGTTTTCCCTGAGGAGTCCTTTTTGTTGTCAGCAATACCAGTCCTATAGGATCAGACCTTTGATAATTCTTCTAGAAATCCCCCAGAGCAGCTCTCATGTTATAAACTAGATATGTGATTCTTTCCTTCTTTTCTTTTTCTTGTCTTTTCCACACCCGTCTCCACCTTCCCTCCTTCTTTTAGAAGAGTATTGCCTTTCAAAATTGCATAATTTATTACTTTTATTCATTTCCCATGGACTGGAAAAGAGAACTCTAGTGTATTATATTATTAGTCTCAAAAAAGTACTATTAGCCTCTCATAAAATACTGATAGATTTTACAGTTGTGGTCAGTGTTTACTTTTGACCATCAGTTACCAGTAACTTCTTTCATGGTTCAATAAAATCATAGCTTTAGTTTATGGCACCTTTTCAAAACTTCCTTTGGCTTTTCTTTGTGCTTAATTTAGGTAGTTTTGCTTTTAGCTCACTTCCTAATTCTCTTTTTTACACAATTCATTTTGGTCCTAATTTCTTTACTTTACTATATAAACAAGGTGCTGAAATGTGTGTGTATGTATTTAACTTCCTCTACCCATTTGCTCTTGGTTATTTCTTCAGTTATGATATTCTGGATTTGCCAGTCATTGTCCGTCCTCCTGCCTCTATTACTGGCATAATGTCATTGGGTCTCACAGTTTCATTTCTTCATTCTAATTCTATTGCATGTTTCTATAATGTTTTCTGTAGTATTTTTACAGTTACAGATGCTTTTACACGTACTGTGTTGCTTAATTCGCCTAACAACCCTGTATAAGATGGCCAGAGTAGAGGATGTTAACATTTATAGGTGAGAGAGCTGAGAGATATAGAGATTTAGTTACTCAAGCCCTCATGGCCAGGAAGGAGCCAATCTGGGGTCATAATCAAAGTCTTTTTTTTTTTTTTTTTTTTTTTTAGTCTACCAATCTTTCTGTAAATAAAAGTTGTTTAATTTTAAAAATACCAAGGGAAGGTTTCAAAATAGATACTTTAAAGAGAGCCAGAGACCTCATTTTCCTCTTTTGCCTTTTCCATAGGGTCTAAAAACTGTACATTCAGTAAATACTACATTAAAGTCATGATTTCTTTTTCTTCTTGTTCATAATAATAGAGGACGAGCTAATGTGTAGTCTCTCATTGAAAGAACTCAATTAAAATGGGAAAGCAAATGAACTAATTGTCATAATAGTCATTCACACAGTTTTGGAAAGAAAATGTAGTAATTCAAATGTTGGGGCTCTTTTAGCCATATTGAGTTAATTTGGCAATAGAAACTGTGTTATTCATTTCTAAAATACTTTCATGGGATATTAATATTGATCTTCATTTGTAGTAAACTAAGAAGGTAAAGGTATTGGTAAAGGAATTTTTTTGTGTTTTGGCATGTGTTTTTCTGCTTCTGAAAGCTTTTGGGTTACCAATTAGATATTTACTTCTCAGAAAATATTTATTAGTATTTGGCTACTCATTGATTTGTTTATCAAATACTTGTAAAATTAGTGATCATGGGAGGATCCAAACATAAACCAAACATGATTGTGCCTTGAAGGCATTGTGGACCATACAAACAGTACTTAAGATGTATACTATTTTACTATATTACATAAATAATACGTACTCAAGGCTAAAGGAATCCAGCAGAAGTTTGCAATAGCCATCACAGAGACTAAGAGAGCTGACTGCAGACCGTTAATGTATGCCAATGAGTATTGGTTGTTTCTGGAGTTTTCTGAGATTAAAATAAAAATATTTAAGGAAATTTTCTTTAATACACTATATAATGAAGGAATGTCATGATTAGTCGATGTTAGAAAATCTTTTAATACATATATTTCATCAGCAGGTCAAATAAGGGTATCTGTAATAGTCACTTTATTAGATGCCAAAAGACATCTCATGTAATTCAGACATTTCTTAGAATAGATTTTTTCTTGATCATAGTAAGGAACTACTACTTCAGATCAGTAACAGTTATTGAAGTTGAAGTAAAATGATGGAAATCTTCTGTTAATATTACTAAAAGAATACAAGTTGCGGATGTCATCGTTATTATTTAACTCTTGTTGGATTTTTACTTCAATCCATGTTAAAGAAATTAGAAGAAAAAATAATGGAAAAAGGGAAATAAAATTATCACTTGCTATTAAGAATATTTATGAAAGAATTAATAGAATTCATGAAAATTTAGTGGAGTACCTAGTTGAATTATACCAATACTTCTATAAATAAACTTCCCAGTTAGATGATATAATGAAAAAGATACACTATTCCCAGCAGCAACTAAAAAGTACTTATATCAAATACAACTTGAAATAATGAAGAGACCATCTTTTTAAATGTAAGAAATATGTAGATGTCAGTTATTTTTAAATTAAGATTTAAGGCCAGGTGCGGTGGCTCACGCCTGTAATCCTAACACTTTGGGAGGCCAAGCGGGGGGCGAATCACTTGAGGTCAGGAGTTCAAGACCAGCCTGGCCAACATGGTGAAACCCTGTCTCTACTAAAAAATACAAAAATTACAGAAATTAGCCGGGCGTGGTGGTGCATGCCTGTAATCACAGCTACTCGGGAGACTGAGACAGGAGGATCACTCGAGCCTGGGAGGTGGAGGTTGCAGTGAGCCAAGATCGCACCATCGTGCCCCAGCTTGTGGGATAAGAGTGAAACTCCATCTCAAAAAAAAAAAAAAAAATTGAGATTTAGATTTGATGCAATTCTGATGAAAATATCAATGGTTAGGTTATGAAGTTTTGTAGAAGAATAATAGGCATGCACATACACACACTTATTACACATATATTCTAAAAAATGGATGGAGAGGTTGAATGTGGCAAATGCTGTTAAATGGTTGAACATCATACAATTAATTAATTTTTTTTTTTTTTAAAAGACAGAGTTTCACTCTTGTTGCTCAGGCTGGAGTGCAATGGTGCAATATTGGCTCGCTGCAACCTCTGCCCTCCCACCACCCTGGGTTCAAGCGATTCTCCTGCCTCAGCCTCCTGAGTAGCTGGGATTACAGGCGTGCACCACCACACCCCGCTGATTTCTGTAATTTTAGTAGAGACAGGGTTTCACCATGTTGGCCAGGCTGGTCTCAGACTCCTAACCTCAGGTGATCCACCCACCTCGGCCTCCCAAGGTGATTGGATTACAGGTGTGAGCCACCACGTCTGGCCATAAGTATCCTACAATTAGTTTCGTTAGGATAGCATGATATCATAAGATTAGTCAGACTGAAAATGATATAGAAGAGATAGCCCAAAAACAGACATTATTTTTTAAGAATTTGATATATTTATCAATGGCAAATGAAAGGAATTCACTATTTAGAGAAAGATAAAGAGGTGGGCATGGTGGCTTATGCCTGTAATCCCAGCACTTTGGGAGGTTGAGGCGGGTAGATACTTGAGGTCAGGAGTTCAAGACCAGCCTGGCCAACATGTTGAAACCCCATCTCTACTAAAAATACAAAAATTAGCCGGGTGTGGTGGCAGGCACCTGTAATCTCAGCTACTGGGGAGGCTGAGGCAGGAGAATCACTTGAACGCAGGAGGCAGAGGTTGCAGTGAGCCGAGGTTGAGCTAGCCTGGGTGACAGAGTGAAACTCTGTCTCAAAAAAGAAAAATGTTCATTATACATCAAAATGAGTAAATTCCAAATGGACTAAGGCAGGGGTTGGCAAATTATCAGTGGTGGGCCAAATCCAGCGCCCCCCCCCCACCCATTTTTTTTGTTTTTCCACCCACTGCTTTCATAAATAAAGTTTTATTTGAACATTGCCACATTCATTCATTTACATATTATGTGGGTGCTTTTGCTCCACCAGAGCAGAGTTGAGTAGTTGGGACAGAGACCATATGGCCTGCAAAGTCAAAAATATTTGCTATCTGGTCCCTTACAGATAAAGTTTGCTGATCCCTGGAGTAAATGAATGTATTATTATAAAAATGAAACTATTTTCTTATTCTTTTAATGTGGAAATAAAACTTTGTAAGAGATAGAAGAAATCACAAAGGTAAAGACTGTCAGATTTTTTTGGCACAAAAATGGAAACAAATATATAAAATTTTAACTTAACGTACATATTGAGGAAATGTTGATAACAAATGCTACTGAGAGTTAATAGTGTTCCATTATAATGTACTTTTTGTAAATGAACATTAAAAATAGCTGCAAATTGAAACAAAGTGGGAAAATACTTTTAAATGGTGTTTTTTTCATAAATTACTGGAGTAAATATAATTAAGAACATTTTTTGGGGAGGAAAACAACCTGTCATTATGTATCAAGAACCTTTACTATGTACCTTTTTACCTAGTAGTTCCACTTCAGGAATTCTTTTCTTAGGAGATAATCCTAAATATGGGAGTATGAATATTCACAGAGATATTCATCGTGGCATTACTGATTGTACTGAATATGCGGAAACATTAAATGGACCAACATTGTGTTGTGGTTATAAAATCTTGGTGCCATTGGAGCCGGAGGCAGAAGGAAAAAATCAGTAATACTGATTTGGTATTTATTTAAAAATTTGATATTTTGCTCTTCATGGACCTTGCATAAATTTGATTTTTAAAAATACTGTGTTAAAATATTATCTTCATTACTGAGGTTTTTGGTGCCCCCTTAATTTTGTACCTGAGGCATGTGCCTCACTCACCTCATCCCAGTCACATCTCTGTGTAATGTGTTATGTTTCTTAAATAATACATATTTGTATTTTCAAACTTGAGTAATGTGCCGACAACTCCCCATCACAAAAAAAGGAGATATATCTGAGATACTCCAGAATTCCAAGAATAAGTGATCTTGCAGAGTTTTTGCATGTTTCAATATGATAAACAATATATTAAAATAAAAGTTAAATCTATTATGTAATGATTTTAGAATGCAATTGTATAATTGTAAAAAGCAAACAGCACTGAAAGGTTGTAGTAGAACTCAGTTATATGGTGGTTACTCATGACTTAAAATACGTGTATATGCACATAGAAATCATTGAAATAAAAACAAAATTTAAACAGCATTCTTTTAGAATTTTCAGACTATGTAGACCTCAGGGATTCTTGGACTTCAGTTTTAGAAACACTGGTATATTTAGCCATTAGAAGTAATTTTGGAGTAATATATACTAATATACAAACGTTCAAATGATTCAAATGAGCAAAAAATCAGTTTATAAGAATGGTATATTTAATATAATTACAACTTATTAAGAAATAAAACCTCTGCATTGAGGAGGGGAAAAGACTGGAAAGAAATATACCCAAAGAATAACAGTGATTGTTTTGGGGTGATTAAAATATGATTAAATTTTTTCTTATTTTTATTTATCTAAATTTTCTATAGTGATTGTGTATTACTTTTATAATAAACAGTAACTTATAATACTTTAATAAAAATAAAATTAAAGATTTTTCAAAAATAATAAATACTTAGTGTCACAGACTAAGTAGATACTTTCATTTTTTTCTGTCTTACACTCCTAGCATATACATATTTTACCTATATTTAATTATAGTTTGCTTGCTGTTTTGTACTTTATTATTTCTTACTAATGTTTTAAACATTTTCCACCTCTATATAGTGGTAGTAAAATGTCTTGAATGTCTGGATGTCTTTAGGTATTTATTCTTTTCTCTATGTATTTATTTATTTTTTTCTTCTTTAAAGGAGTATAGTCATGGCCAACAGCAAAAAACTCAAGAGGGGGAACTGAAAATTAGTGCTGTGTTTTCAGTCAGTGGCAGCCCTCTTGGTAAGAAACAGACCTGAATAAATGGATTGTGTATGTTCTGACCAATATGAATGAGAAGAAATTCTGCTTGTATTAATAAACCAGGCAGCTCTCTCTACCCACTTAGGATGCCTTTAAATTGTATATTGCATAATTACTGTTGGGTTTCAAGACTAGTTCTAGAAGAGAAAGAAAGAATGTCTACTTAAAATTCATGGTAAAAAGTAAAACATTTTTTTCTTTCAATTTTTTTTTTTTTTTTTTTTTTTTTTTTTAAAGCTCCACAGTTGACTACTGGCTTTCAGCCCTCACTGGCGTCATCTGGCATGAATAAAATGCTTCCTTCAGTTCCAGCCACAGCTGTTCGAGTTTCCTGTTCTGGTTGTAAAAAAATCCTCCAGAAGGGGCAAACTGCTTATCAGAGGAAAGGGTCTACTCAGCTATTCTGCTCCACACTGTGCCTCACTGGATATACAGTTCCACCTGCCCGCCCACCGCCTCCTCTCACCAAGAAAACTTGTTCAAGTTGCTCAAAGTATAGCAGAATTCTAAATTATCTTTTTTGTTTCTTTCCTTTCTCTTAACATACTTTGTTCTTAGGTCATGTATTACATTTGATATTCTACATTTATTCCTTTTTTTTTTTTTTTTTTTTTTGAGAAATACCACATTATTTTCTGTCTGCTTTCAGTTGTTGCTTTTCAGTCTTCCAGGTGCTAGGTGCTCAGCTTGTTTTTTAGCTTTCAATAATGTTACTTTTATGTATTGTTTTTGAAACCAGCTCTCCCATCCTTGTTAGTTGAAGTGCCTGATATAACAAAAAGTGCACATTTAGGGATATTGTATTACAGCAGTATTTTATAACTATAGGCAATAGATATTTAAATCCAACAAATATTTTAAGTTATATTTCCTGTTATGTAATTTGAATTTCTTTAATACTTTTCTTCTTAACCTTAAATGGCTTCCAGTGTGTGTGTGTGTGTGTGTGTGTGTGTGTGTGTGTGTGTGTGTGCGCACATTTATTTATTTATTTATTTTGAGACGGAGTCTCGCTCTGTTGCCCAGGCTGGAGTGCAGTGGTGTGATCTCGGCTCACTGCAAGCTCCGCCTCCCGGGTTCATGCCATTCTCCTGCCTCGGCCTCCTGAGTAGCTGGGACTACAGGTGCCCGCCACCATGCCCAGCTAATTTTTTCTATGTTTTAGTAGAGACGGGCTTTCTCTGTGTTAGCCAGGATGGTCTCGATCTCCTGACCTCGTGATCTGCCTGCCTCAGCCTCCCAAAGTGCTGGGATTACAGGTGTGAGCTACCGCGCTTGGCCTATATTTTTATTTTCTCAATGTCTCTGAACTACCACATTGTGTCCATTGGAATGTTTAATAACAAAAAAGGGGTATGATCTTATGACTGTAATAAGGTCATCCTGATATATTTGAGGAATACACAATAACTTTGACTAATTTTATGATTGTTAGAAACAGTTTAAGTCAGAAAAAGAGGAATAATGCTCTTGTTCTGAAACACTCTATCAGGCTACTCAAACCATGATTCATTTATTACTTTAGGCGGTAATGTTTATAGTTCCTCACACAGATGCTGCACTTTGTCTGCCCGGAGAGGAGAAAAAGATACTCCTCCTCCTAGTTCAGTTAGATAAGAGATGTTTAAAAGAAATTTAAATATGGTTAGAAGTTTTTCTGGAAGTTACTGATATGCACATCGTTTATGCTTCATTTTTTTGAAATGACCGACAGGGTAAATTTTGGTTATATTTGAGGCAGCTTAAATATATACTGTAATTTATATATACAAATGTAGATTAGACTTCAGTTTTCTTTGGAATCTCTATTTTTATTGTAAAATTGCCGCTATTTAAAAGAACAATAGAAACTTCTGCAACTTTTTGTTTTGGGACTATCTTTCAAGCTAATTACACATTCTTTTGAATAGCTTCTGTGCTATCAAATTTTTATCTCCTGAGTGCTTATTTACTGTTCACATGTGGCTAAAAGCCATTTAGAACCATGTATATTGATTAAAGTGCAGATTAAGATATTTTATATCAATTTTTGTTCAAAAATGAAATTTGATTATATAAGATTGGTGCTTTTGTGACTTTCAATGCCTTTTGTGAAGGAATTTATAAAAGGGAATTTAAAAAATATATCTTTGAGTTATGTTGTCATTGTTAGAATAATAATTATACCAGGGCTATTTTGAGTGATAGATTTTGGCTTATTTCTTTAAAAATTTATTTCATTAGAACATAAACCATGAGGAAGTAGTTGGGAAAGGTGTCAGGGAATGTTGGTTAAAGGATACAAAATTTTTTAGTTAGAAAGAATTGAAGATGTATTGTACAATATGGTGACTGTAGTTAATGATACATTGTATTCTTGAAAAATGGTGAGAATAGATATAAAATGTTCTCACCACAAAAATGGTAACCAAGGAAAGCATATATTAATTAGCTAGATTTAGGCATCGCACAGTGTGTATGTGTATACACACACAGACACACACACACAGGTTGAGTGTCTCTTACCTTCAATGCTTGGGACCAGAGGTGTTTCAGATTTTGGATTTTTAAAAAGGTTTTGGGATATTTGCATTATATCTACTAACTGATTGAGCATTTCTAATCTGAAAATCTGAAATTTAATGCTCCAATGAGCATTTCCTTTAAACATCATGTTGGCGCTCAAAAAGTTTCAGATACTGGGAGCATTTTGGATTTCTGGATTAGGGATACTCAGCCTGTTCTTTAAAATATGATGTTGTGGCTGGGCGTGGTGGCTTGCGCCGGTAATCCCAGCACTTTGGGAGGCTAAGGCAGGTGGATCACTAGAGGCCAGGAGTTCAAGACCAGCCTGGCCAACATGGTGAAACCTCCATCTCTGGTAAAAATACAAAAATTAGCTGGGCCTGGTGGCACATGCCCATAATCCCAGCTACTCAGATGGCTGAGGCACAAGAAACACTTGACCCTGGGAGGTAGAGGTTGCAGTGAGCCAAGATTGCACCAATGCACTCCAGCCTGGATGACAGAGTGAGACTCTATCTCAAAAAAAAAGAAAGAAAATTATGTTGTACACATAGTAAATACATATAATTTATGTCAGTATAAATAAATATATATATATGCATATATATATATATACACACACACCCACACCCCCCACAAGGGTAGGAACTTTGTGTATCTACTTCAATATACCCAGCACAGTAAATGCTTAATAAGTATTTGTTGAATGGGAGAATTAATGATCTTAACTTTTTTTTTTTCTTTTTTTTTTTTGAGACCGAGTCTCGCCGCTCTGTCGCCCAGGCTGGAGTGCAGTGGCGCAGTCTCGGCTCACTGCAAGCTCCGCCTCCCAGGTTAACGCCATTCTCCTGCCTCAGCCTCCTGAGTAGCTGGGACTACAGGCATCCGCCACCATGCACAGCTAATTTTTTTTTTTTTTTTTTTTTTGTATTTTCAGTAGAGATGGCGTTTCACCATGTTGGTCAGGCTGGTCTCAAACTCCTGACCTCCTGATCCACCCACCTCAGCCTCCCAAAGTGCTGGGATTACAGGCGTGAGCCACCGCGCCCGGCCCTGCACGGCTAATTTTTTATATGTTTAGTAGAGGCAGAGTTTCACTGTGTTAGCCAGGTTGGTCTCGATCTCCTGACCTTGTGATCCACCCGCCTCAATCTCCCAAAGTGCTAGGATTACAGGTGTGAGCCACCGCGCCCAGCCCAATGATCCTAACTTCTAAAAAAGCTATACTTACTACTTTATAGTTATAACTTATGTAGTAAAATTATTTAGTAAAAAGAGACTTTATACTGCTTGAATTGTAAAATGTACTTTTAAAAATGAGTACTTAGGTATATATCCTGTCTCTAATTTCTGTATTCCAGTATGTTCATCATGGGATTCTTTTTTTTTTTTTTTTTTTTTTTTTTTTGAGACAAGAGTTTTGCTCTTGTTGCCCAGGCTGGAGTGCAATGGCACGATCTTGGCTCACTGCAACCTCCACCTCCGGGGTTCAAGTGATTCTCTTGCCTCAGCCTCCCGAGTAGCTGGGATTACAGGCATGCACCACTATGCCCAGCTAATTTTTTTGTATTTTTAGTAGAGATGGGGTTTCTCCATGTTGGTCAGGCTGGTCTCAAACTCCCGACCTCAGATGACCCACCCGCCTTGGCCTCCCAAAGTGCTGGGATTACAGGCATGAGCCACCGTGCCCGGCACTCATCATGGGATTGTAAGACTTAAATCAGTTTGAAGATTTTAATTTTTATAGTTTTTTTTCTGTTTATTTTGCCATGAAATCATTCACATAATAACTTCATGTTTCTTTATTTAATTCTTACTCTAGGGATCAACAGTCTTTAAAATTTCAGTGATATTTATCCTTTTATAATCATAGCTATAGGCTGGGCATGGTGGCATGCACTTGTAGTCCCACCTACTCAGGAGGCTGAGGTGGGAGGATTGCTTGAGCTCAGGAGTCTGAGACTCAGCCTGGGCAACATAGTGAGACCTGGTCCCCCCCAGCTCCTAAAAAAAGTCAGCCACATCTCCGTCTCAAAAAAAAAAAAAAGTCAGTCATAGATTTTTTTTTTTAAAGATTTATCAGTTATTTTCAAAATGGCTATGGAAAACACGTAAGTTTTAAAATATGCCCTCTTTCTCGTTTTAAAAAATTATTACTATTGTCCATACATGTTACTCTTTTCATCTAGATTTATCATGTTTCTTTGGCCTCCAGTCTCTGGTGTTTGCCTAAGCTTTATTAGAGACAGGTCATTTCTACCTATGTGTCATTTTATCTATGTCTTGATCTTATGTAATTCAATTGCTCTTTAAGATTATGTTCTCTTCTCATGTTTGGTTTATCCATTATCCAAATTTTCCATTTCTTTAACCTGTTATCCCTTGACTCTTTACAGTTCTACCTTTTTATTCACTTAGTCTTTTACCCTTTTTTTATTCGTTCACCCCTTTTTGTTGTTTCAGGTACTCCTTACTTATCTCCTTAGCCTTTTCTTCTTCATCTTCTTTCTTACTTTTCTCCTACTTCTCATTTTACATAATACTTACTTTTTGCTTCAGTCTTCAACCATTGTCAATCTTGTTTTTCCTTATATTCCATTTTACTTTCTGAACTACTCTTTAATCTCCTGTTCAACACTACCTTTCCTTCTTTTTTATCCCCTCTTATTTACACGGTGATTACAACAGTTTGGTATAGTCTGATTTATCTGATTGTAAAATTGATGAGTTGGATGTACCAAAAATATAAGGAAGCTAAATTCAAAGAAGGTAAAAGATTTGCTTGTGTCACCTAGCTGGTTAATTTTGGCATATGCATTGTTTCTCTACATAGTCTATGTAGTCAAACAGGTTTCATTTAGAAATCATTCCCCATAAGAAGGGTTTCAATTTGATTTGAACAGGCAGAGATGGAAAAAATTTCCTCTCTGATAACTACTGCTACTGTTGTATACCAGTAGAAATATAACAGCAGCACTTAGGTTAGAAGAAGCTCATTAGCTATTCAGAATAAATTTCATTTTTCTTAATTTTTGGTAATCATATCTCAGCCTGTTGAATTTAACTTAAACTCTGAAAGAATTTTGGTTGCCATTTAATTTTTAGGTTTCCTTAATGATAGGGACCTAATAATTTGTTTTAAAAAATTTGTCTTGGCTGGGAGCAGTGGCTCATGCCTGTAATCCCAGCACTTTAGGAAGCCAACATTGGAGGATTGCATGAGCCCAGGATTTCGAGACCAGCCTGGGCAACACAGTGAAACCTCATCTCTACAAAAAGTTAAAAAATTAACCAACTGTGGTGCCACATGCCTGTAATCCCAGCTGCTTGGGAGGATGAGGTGAGAGGATTTCTTGAGTCCAGGAGTTTGAGGCTGCAGTGAGCTATGATCACACTCCTGCTCTTCAGCCTAGGTGACACAGCAGGACACTATCTTTGAAAAAAAAAAAAAATCTCATATTTTGCAGAGAAGAGGTAATTTGGAGGATAATTTTGTTAATACTGTTAGATCAGATTCTTGTTATAATGATATTCAAAGAAGTAACACCCAGATTGTCTGTACCATTTCTGAATTTTCACTAACTTGAATGAGATTGTTTCTTCTCATTCTGTCATAAGATATAATCCACTACCACAATAAGATGTAATCTAATTGGACTCTAAGCATAGTGAGAGCAGTGAAAAAATACCTAATTTTATACTTCCATTTCCTTGATCCATGCTGCTCCCAATTCTTATCTCCTTAACTTTCTGGAAAACTCCTATTTAAGGTCCAGCTAAAATATCACCCTTTGGGTTGCATTTCATGTTACATGTAGTCTGAAATAATTGTTTCTTCATTTATATTTTTATGGCACGTTATTCGTGTCTTCTCCAAAAATTATTTATACTTCTTTTTTTTTTGAGACGGAGTCTCACTTTGTTGCCAGGCTGGAATGCAGTGGCGTGATCTTGGCTCACTGCAACCTCTGCCTCCCAGGTTGAAGTGATTCTCCTGCCTCAGCCTCTCGAGTAGCTGGGACTACAGGCACACGCCACCATGCCCAGCTAATTTTTTTGTATTTTTAGTAGAGATGGGGTTTCACCGTATTGGCCAGGATGGTCTTGATCTCTTGACCTCAGGTGATCTGCCCACCTCGGCCTCCCAAAGTGCTGGGATTACAGGCGTGAGCCATCACACCCGGCCTATAGTATTTTAAGAATGCTTCTGTTACAGTATTTTATAAAATATTTGTCTATTTGTCACAATAACTCTGAGCTCCTTAAGTACATACGTCTCTTTTTTGAGATGGAGTCTTGCCCTGTTGCCCAGGCTGAAGTACAGTGGTGCGATCTGGGCTCACTGCAACTTCCGCCTCCCAGGTTCAAGCGATTCTCTTGCCTCAGCTTCCCGAGTAGCTGGGACTACAGGCGCATGCCACCATGCCCGGCTAATTTTTGTATTTATAGTAGAGACGGGGTTTCGCCATGTTGGCCAGGCTGGTCTCAAACTCCTGACCTCAAGTGATCTGCCCACCTCAGCCTCCCAAAGTGCTGGGATTACAGGTGTGAGCCACTGCGCCTGGCCCATATGTGGACCATATTTTGACTAAGGGTTTCGTTAATGTCTGGCTCAATGTAACTACTCACTAAATATCCTTCTCACTAAATATCCCTCTATGAAATACATTAAAACCTAATTTTAAAAATAACAGGAAATGCAAAAAGCAAAGCAGTCTAGAGCTGCTAAGTATGGAAGATGGCAAGGTATGGAGTTATGTATTATAGTAAAATATTAGGTGCTCCTAACGATGATTTCCCATTATATCTACTATTTTACTGAAGCAGAGAGATTTGTATAGCCATACTTCAGAGATATTCAGGATTTGGTTCCAGACCACCTCAATAAAGCAATTAGCTCAATAAAGCAATTATCTCAATAAAGTGAGTGATATTAATTTTTTGGCTTCCCAGTTCATATCAAAGTTGTGTTTATACTGTAGTCTGTGTGCAATAGCATTAAATCTTTAAAAACCAATGTACATTTTTAAATTAAAAATACTGCATTGCTAACAAATGCTAACAATCATGTGAGCCTTCAGTGAGTCATAATCTTATTACTAATAGACAGTCTTGTTTCAATGTTGATGGCTGCTGATTCAGGGTGATGGTTGCTGAAGGTTTTGGTGGCTGTGGCAATTTCTTAAGATAACAATGAAGTTTGTCACATCAGTTGACTCTTCCTTTCACAAAATATTTCTTTGTGGCATGCAATAATATTTGATAGCATTTTACCCAGAGAAGAACTTTCCAAATTGGAATCAGTACTCTCAGACTCCACCATTGCTTTATCAACTAAGTTTATGTAATACTTTAAATCCTTTGGTGTCATTTCACCAAAGTTCACAGCATCTGCACCAGGAGTAAATTCCATGACAAGAAATTACTTTCCTTGCTCATCCATTGGAAGCAACTCCTTATCTGTTCAAGTTTTATCATGAGATTGCAGCAATTCTGTCGCATCTTCAGGCTCCACTTCTAGTTCTCTTACTATTTCTCCCACATTTGTAGTTATTTCCTCCACAGAAGTCTCAAACTCCTCAGAGTCATCTGTGAGGATTGAAGTTACCTACTTCCAAGCTCCTATTAATGATGATATTTGGATTTCCTCTCATTAATCATGAATGTTCTTAATGTCATCTGGAATGGTGAATCCTTTCCAGAAGCTTTTTAATTTCCTTTGGCCGGATCCGTTATAGGAATCACTATCTATGGCAGCTGTAGCCTTAGGAAATGTATTTCTTAAATAATGAGTTGCAAAAGTTGAAATTACTCCTTGATCCACAGGCTGCAGAATAGATACTGGGTAAGCAGGTATGAAAGTAACATTAACCTCTTGTACATCTCCATCAGAACTCTTCAGTGACTAGATGTCAGTGAGCAGTAATATTTTGAAAGGAATCTTTTAAGTGTCCTGGGATTTTTGAAAGTTAAAAGTAGAAGCTGGTGGCTTCTACTTGAAGTCACCAGCTATGTTAGCCCCTAACAAGTCAGTCAGCCTGTCCTTTGAAGCTTTGAAGCCAAGCATTGATTTCTCTCTGGCTGTGAAAGTCCTAGATGGCATCGTTTTTCAATAGAAGACTGTTTCTTCTACATTGAGAATCTTATTTAGTGTAGCCGCCATCATAAATTGTCTTAGCTAGATGTTCTTGATAACTTGCTACTGCTTCTCCATCAGCACTTGCTGCTTCACCTTGTACTTTGATGTTCCAGAGATAGCTTCTTTCGTTAAACCGTATGAGCTAACCTCTGCTAGCTCTAAACTTCTGCAGCTTCTTTACCTGAGTCTTCCTAGAATTCAAGAGAATTAGGGCCTTGCTCTGGATTAGGCTTTGGCTTAAGGGAATGCTGTGGCTGGTTTGATCTTCTATCTAGACCACTATAACTTCTCTCCACATCAGCAGTAAGACTTGCGCTTTCTTTTCTGTTGTTGTTGTTTTGAGACGGAGTGTCTCTCTATCACCCAGGCTTGAGTGCAGTGGCGCAATCTCAGGTCACTGCAGCCTCCGCCTCCCGGGTTCAAGCAATTCTCCTGCCTCAGCCTCCCAAGTAGCTCAGACTACAGTCACGCGCCACCACGCCCAGCTAATTTTTCTATTTTTAATAGAGATGGGATTTCACCATGTTGGCCAGAATGGTCTGGATCTCTTGACCTTGTGACCCACCCACCTCGACCTCCCAAAGTGCTGGGATTACAAGCGTGAGCCACTGCTCCCTGCCTAAGTTTTGCATTTTTTAGTAGAGTCGTGGTTTCACCATGTTGGCTAGACTCGTCTCCAACTCCTGACCCCAGTTGATCCGCCCGCCTCGGCCTTCCAAAGTGCTGGCATTACAGGCGTGAGCCGCCACGCCCGGCCAACTGTTGCGCTTTCTTATCATTCCTGTCTTCACTGGAGTAGCCCTCTTAGTCTTTCAAGAACTTTTCCTTTGCATTTACTATGTGGTGAAATGTTTGGCGCAAGAGGCCTAGCTTTCCACATGCCTTCCTCACTAAGAGTAATCATTTCTAGCTTTTGATTTATAGTGAGAAATGTGGGACTCTTACTTTTGTTGAGCACTTAGAGGCCATTGTGAGGTTATTCATTGGCCTGCTTTCGATATTATTATGCCTCAGGGAATAGGAAAGCCTGAGGAGTGGGAGAGATACAGAAGTGGCTGGTCAATGGAGCAGTCAGAACACACACAATTTTCAATTAAGTTTGCTATCTTACATTGACGTGGTTTGTGGTTACTTCCCAAAACAATTACAATAGTAACATCAGTGTTCACTAATCATAGAAAAACAGATATTATAGTAGCAAAAACGTTTGAAATATTGGGAGAACTACCAAAATATAATACAGAGACATGCGTGGGCAAATGCTGTTAAGAAATGGCACTGATAGACTTGTGTGAGGCAGGGTTGCTACAAGCCTTCTATTTGTTAAAAAGTGCAGTATCTGTGAAGCACAATAAAACAAGGTATGCCTATAATCTTTTCTTTAAAAGTATCCTGCTAGTGTAATCTCTTTAAGATACAAACATGAGTATAAAGCAGTTTATTAACTATTATGTGGATGTATACTCATGGGAGAGAGACATTGATTAGAAAATTTCACCAGTTTGAAAAATTGGTTTTTATTATTTATTTATTTATTTTATTTATTTATTTATTTATTTATTTTTTTGAGACAGAGTCTCGCTCTGTCGCCCATGCTGGAGTGCAGTGGCACAATCTTGGCTTACTGCAAGCTCCGCTTCCCGGGTTCATGCCATCCTCCTGCCTCAACCTCCTGAGTAGCTGGGACTACAGGCACATGCCGCCACGCCTGGCTAATTTTTTGTATTTTTAGAGAGACGGGGTTTCACCGTGTTAGCCAGGATGCTCTCGATCTCCTGACCTTGTGATCCGCCAGCCTCAGCCTCCCAAAGCGTTGGGATTACAGGCGTGAGCCACTGCGCCCGGCCGAAAAATTGGTTTTTAATATGGTTTCCACTTGAACTGTCTGGTAAACTACTATAGAGTGAGTGGTTTGGTGGGATTAGGGTTGGAGTGGTAAGGAGCCTTAATCATTAGGGTTTTAATCTTCAATGCCTTTGTTACTAGTGCTTAGAAATTAAATTATTTAGATATGGTAATGTTATATTTTATATAACTGTGCTAGAATATGCACTGTGTAGTGTAAAATGTATGTTTACTTTTAAAAGATACTAATTTTTGACAATGTTAAATGTAATACAGTATTTTTTAAAGAATATTTTGAAAATACAGATAATTCTAGAAAAGAAAAATCTCGTATAATCCCTCCTGTAGAGATAATGAATGCTAATCATTTGATGTTTTCCTTTTAGTCTTTGAAACATACTAATTCTCATAACAGTTCTATGAAGTAGGTGCTGTTAATTCCACTTCATAGAAAATAATTTAAGGATCAAAGCAATTTTTAAGTGTCTCCCAGAAAATTAAAGTTTTTAAACTTAAATTCCAGTGTTATTTCCCTACAGTATAATTGCCTCTGTTTTATTTAGTTATTTTAGCTCACAGAAAGGAAAAAGAAATGAATTATACCATGGCTTATGTTATTTTTTTCTTATTTTTAGAGACATTTTAAATCCAAAGGATGTGATCAGTGCCCAGTTTGAAAACACCACCACTAGTAAAGATTTTTGCAGTCAGTCATGTTTGTCAACATATGAACTGAAAAAAAAACCTATTGTTACCATAAATACAAATAGTATTTCAACCAAATGCAGCATGTGTCAGAAGAATGCTGTTGTAAGTTACCATTTTCCTTTATTGGGGCAGGAGTCTAATACGTTTGTGCTTAAAGAACAGCTTTTGATGCTCTCTGCTCCTTGTTTTTGTGTTGCTGTTATTTAATTTCTAGATTCGACATGAAGTTAATTACCAGAATGTGGTCCATAAACTTTGCAGTGATGCCTGCTTCTCTAAGTTTCGTTCTGCTAACAACCTCACCATGAACTGTTGTGAGAACTGTGGGGGTTACTGTTACAGTGGGTCGGGACAATGCCACATGCTTCAGATAGAGGGACAGTCTAAGAAGTTTTGTAGTTCATCGTGTATCACGGCATACAAGCAGGTACATGACCATATTTAATCTTGATGTCTTTGTTCAGTTCAGGTAATCTGTATTTTTAGTCAGAATTATTTATGAAAATGTTGTTTTGCAATATTGGGTTTACTGGCCAAGTGCCATGGCTCACACCTGTAATCCCAGCACTTTGGGAGGCTGAGGCGGGCAGATCACCTGAGGTTGGGAATTCGAGACCAGCCTGACCAACATGGAGAAACCCCATCTCTACTAAAAATACAAAAATTAGCCAGGTGTGGTGGCACATCCCTGTAATCCCAGCTACTCGGGAGGCTGAGGCAGGAGAATTGCTTGAACTCGGGAGGTGGAGGTTGCAGTGAGCCAAGATCGTACCATTGCACTCCAGCCTGGGCAACAAGAGTGAAACTCCGTCTCAAAAAAAAAAAAACAAAAATGTATATATACACACATACACACACACACACACACACACACACACACACGTATATATACGTATATATGTATGTATATGTATATATATGTAAATATGTATGTGTATATATATGTATATATACATATAGAGAGAGTTTACTATTTGTTTTAACTGGTATTCTTTATACATAAGTAGTATTTGTTGAATAAATGTGCATTAAATATTCATACAGAGTTCTATAAGTAGCAGTTTTATTCATGCATTTGTTTATACACGTTTATGCATTTGAAATACAAGTTTTTAGAGTGTGGCTTTTTTTTTTTTTGAGATGGAGCCTTGCACTGTCTCCCAGGCTGGAGTGTGATCCCGGCTCACTGCAACCTCCACCTCCCTGGTTCAAGCGATTCTCCTGCCTCAGCCTCCCAAGTAGCTAGGATTACAGGCGCCCACCACCAGGCCTGGCTAATTTTTTTGTATTTTTATTAGAGATGGGATTTCACTATACTGGCCAGGCTGGTATCAAACTCCTGACCTCAAGTGATCCACCTGCCTCGGCCTCCCAATCCCTGTGCTGGGATTACAGGTGCGAGCCACCACGCCCGGCCAGTATGGCTTTTTTATTTCAAAAGTGATTTGTATTCTTTAACAATATTTTGAAAGTTAAAAAAAAACATGAAGAAATGCAGTGTATCTCTCACAGATAACAAATCCTGTCATTTTGGTGTATAGCCTTCTAATCTTTCCAGCATGTGAGATTTGCATATATACTTCTTATTTGACAAGGAAAGGTTCAAGTTGCATATGTAGTGTTGAAATCTGATTCACAGAATTAAAATTGCAAACCAGATAATCAAAATTATATCATTAATTGTTACAGTAAGGGATTTTTCTTATCTTTATGAAATAGGAAGAAATAGATGTGGATTATATATTTGTGAATTGATGAGGTGTGCACGGGATGAACTGGATGAACTCTATAACAAATGTCTTTTATGTAGTTTTGTGTGTATTAGATTTGTATTTTATTAGTGAATTTTGATCAAATATTAGTTTTAAAATTGATAAACCTAAAGGAATAGTAAATGCTATATATATTTCTAATTTTTAATTTTTGTGGGTCCATAGTAGGTGTATATATTTATGGGGTAAGTACTTTTAATATTTTTAATTTTATAATGTCTTTTATGTAAGTGCATTTGCTAATCATTCTTTTCCTTAGAATAGTAAGTTTTTGTACAGTTTACCAAAATTGGTGAATTTAATAGCGTTGATTAGGAACATTCTTGTTAATTGTTCTTAAAACCTTGTAGTAATTTTGGAATTTAAGCGTGTTTCAATTTATTTCCTGTTAATGTGAAAACACACTATAATGGCTAAGTTTTACTATTCATTCCTTATTTTTGTTCTCAAAGAAAAAAAAAATCCCCACATCTTCATTGTTTTGTCATTTTCCAAAAGACTGTTCTTTTCCTGATACTGTATCAGGTACTAAAAGTTACCTGGATTCAGTCCATTGAAAGATGAGTGATAGTCCACAAGAGAGGGAGAAATAGGATGAAACATCTTAATTTTAAATTTATTCTTTACTTTTAATTTAGTCAAAACCTATTAAATTTTTCATGTATTATATCTGCTGTGGTAGAGAAAGAACTGGAATTTAGAAGTAAGGCAGATCTACATTTAATTCTAGACCTTATGTTCAAATACAGTTTTACCTTGGGGAAAGCAGTTAAGCTCCCTGAGTCCCAGTTTTTCTGTCTGTAAATAACTATGATACCACCTATGTCACTGGGATGTTTTTAGGATTATAGAAAGTAAGAATGAAAGAATGCCTAGTATGTAACTGAGGCATTGTAGATGGTCATTTCTGCTACCTTCCTTTCTTCCTTATATATAATTCATTCAACAAACATTAGATATAATTTCTGTTTTGAGGGGCTGCCTGTCTCCTGAGAAAGATAAGACGTATAAATGAGTAAATAGAGATGCTATGATGGAAGTATTATGGGTACAGTGGGCCACAGAGGTAGCATAGTGAGCTCTACTTGATAGGGAAAGATGAGACTATCAGCAGAAGCTTCACAGAGGTAACTCTTGATCTGGGTCTTACAAATGAGGTTTGCTTTTACAGTCCTCATTAGGGAGGAGAGGGAAATGGGGTTAGAGATTTAGAAGACATTCCAGAATTCAGGCATATATTCACTTTACTGTGTATTTATTTTAATATCAAGTTTTACAAATTGATTCTTTAAGAAGGAAGATTGCTCTTAAAATCTCCTAATTGGTGCTGGACGTACTTTAAAAATTATCCTGAATGTGTGACATGTTAATAATACTTAGCATTATTTGCTGCTGAATCCCTAATTGGGTGAAGACTTAAGATAACGGACTCTGGTTGTTTGTATTTGGACACCTGTGATGATATCCCAGGTTTGCTCTTACTTTACGCTTATGGAGTATTTTTTTTATTATTAGTGGTAGAATATTTGCCAATAAGTTGCCTAATAAGGTTACTAATTTCCTTAAATTCATATTTACAAGCACCTTTGGAGGGGGTTATTTCAATTTATAGGATGATATAGTATAAAAGCATGAACTTGCTGTTATTTAATGTTTTTAAAACTGTGGTTATGACCTATTAATAGACCCTGAAATTAATTACTAGGTTATAACCAGCATTATTATTTTTTTCTTTTTCTTTTTTTTTTTTTTTTTTGAGGTGGAATCTTCTCATTCTGTCGCCAGGCTGGAGTGCAGTGGCACGATCTCAGCTCGCTGCAAGCTCTGCCTCCTGGTTCACGCCATTCTCCTGCCTCAGCCTCCTGAATAGCTGGGACTACAGGCGCCTGCCACTATGCCTGGCTAATTTTTTTTGTATTTTTGTAGAGGCAGGGTTTCACCATGTTGACCTTGCTGGTCTTGAACTCCTGACCTCAGGTGATCCACCCACCTCGGCCTCCCGATGTGCTGGGATTATAGGGGTGAGCCACTACGCCTGGCCGCATTACTTTTTCAATGAAATAGAATAGATTGGAAAATATCAAAGTGCATTACATGTTATCATGATATTTATTCCTCTATAAAACTTTTTAGTTTTATTACATACATGCATCATACACAAATGCAAAATCTCAGAAGTACATGTGTACCATGAAACTTCCTATTGAGGATTACAATCATAAAAGTTTGAAAATCACTGATTTCAAATATTTCAAAAGTGTTGAGTATAAACATTTCGAAGAATTATGCTTTTACTAGGAATTTGTTAAAAATGAATGTTGTTTTATTCTCTTAATAGAAATCAGCCAAAATTACACCGTGTGCGCTTTGCAAATCATTGAGATCCTCAGCAGAAATGATTGAAAATACCAATAGCTTGGGGAAGACAGAGCTTTTCTGTTCTGTTAATTGCTTATCTGCTTACAGAGTTAAAATGGTTACTTCTGCAGGTAATATTGGTTTCACAAACTATGAAATGCAATGGTTGAAAAATAATGGTTATTGCTTTGTTTTTAACGGTTTTTTTTGGTTGATTTTTAAGGCACATTTAACATATTTCAGATATTTGTTGTAAAATATCACCTGTTACCTTGATTGCTTATTTATTTACTTGCATACCTATTTATGCATTTCCCCCTTACCAAAAGAATTTCATATGGCTTCTTTAATATATTTTCTTTTTCCCTACCTAATTTCTTTGAAGTTTCATTTATCTGGTAGTTTCAGGGTAGACTTTGACCAATTTAAATTGGAAAGAAACATTTTCAGTATTATGTTAGTTTTTGTCTATATGTGACATGATTTAGTTTCAGTTCCTACAACTTACCCTGGCTCTTAAATTTTCTTATATTGTATAGTATTATTTAATTTCTCATACTTTTGTGTACATTTGTACATATTACTCATTGGTTTTTATTTTGATTTGCTAAGGTGTACAAGTTCAGTGTAACAGTTGTAAAACCTCAGCAATTCCTCAGTATCACCTAGCCATGTCAGATGGAAGTATACGCAACTTCTGCAGCTACAGCTGTGTGGTAGCTTTCCAGGTATGGCTTCAGGAACCTTCCTCTTCTTCAGTCAGTGAGTCACCTACTGTATGAGTCTGTTCTTGCACTCCTCTAAAGAAATACCCTAGACTGGGTAATTTATAAAGAAAGAGGTTTAATTGGCTCACAGTTCCACAGGCTGTACAGGTAGCATGGCTGGAGAGGCCTCAGGAAACTTTCAATTATGGCGGAAGGCGAAGGGGAAGCCGGCACGTCTTACATGATGGGCTCAAGAGGAAGAGAGAGAAGCGGGAGGTGCTACACTTTTAAACAACCAGATAGTGAGAACTCACTATCACCAGAACAGCAGGGGAGAAATCCACCCCCATGATCCAGTCACTTCCTGCCAGGCTCCTCCCCCAACATTGGGGATTACCGACTGGACATGAGATTTGGGCAGGGACACGAATTCAAACCTATCACCTACTATAGTAATGCACATTTATTAGGTGTTTGCTAGGGCCTGGGTTGTATAAGTTTCTATATCATTCCTATTAAACTTGGATTTGTAGTTCATTCTGTATTTGGAATTTAATTTAACTGCCTTCTATAAAATTGAATGGTACTTTTATCACCCATATTATCTATTGGGAGGATATTATTTTTGAGGAAGATTATTAGTTAAGTTATTTTATTTTTTCATCATAAATGAGACTCCCCCCATTCCGTAATAAGCTGCTCAGAGGCAGGAACATTGCCTGTTAACAGATGTACCTTACATGCCTAGAACGGTGCTTGGCATATGTAGGCACACAATACTTCTTTGTTTTAACAAAGATTAAATTGATACTTTTTGTTGTTTTGTTTTTCCAGAATTTATTCAACAAACCAACTGGAATGAATTCTTCAGTAGTGCCCTTGTCTCAGGGCCAAGTAATTGTAAGCATCCCCACAGGTTCCACAGTGTCAGCCGGAGGAGGTAGCACATCTGCTGTTTCTCCCACCTCCATCAGTAGCTCTGCTGCAGCTGGTCTCCAGCGTCTCGCTGCCCAGTCCCAGCATGTTGGGTTTGCACGAAGTGTTGTGAAACTCAAATGTCAACACTGTAACCGTCTTTTTGCCACAAAACCAGAACTTCTTGACTATAAGGTAAAGTATAGCATGTTCATGATAAGATTTTGAGTATACGTGGGTCTATTTGTAAAATTATTTTTAACTTTGCATCTCTCAAAATCATACCATTTGTTTTGAAAGTAAGGGAGATAAGGAGTTCCATAAGACAAACCAAATGTTTAATTAGTACTTAATGATTATTTCTTTGCAGGGCAAAATGTTTCAGTTCTGTGGCAAGAATTGTTCTGATGAATATAAGAAAATAAATAATGTAATGGCAATGTGTGAATATTGTAAAATTGAGAAAATTGTAAAGGAGACTGTTCGGTTCTCAGGTGCTGACAAGTCATTCTGTAGTGAAGGTAAAGACAGAAGATTATCTTACCTACTGAGCATGTTGGTTGTTTTAAAGCAGTTGATGATGATTTAAGCTTTCACTGTCTAAGTTAATCTGTTTTATTGTTTATGTATAACGTAAATGCCTTTTCGATTCATTTACACTTAGTTCATTCTTTTTTGATCTAGTTTTCTTATATTATGTAGCTGTTAAAATGAAGTGAAAGATTTGCAAAGTATAATGCAGAAGAAGATGATGTGAAAAACATTTAACATCCTTAGGTTCCCCATTATTAGGTTGATCGGGACCTCAAAGAGCTTCTAGTTCGTGTACTTATTTCTAAATGGGATGCCTTAAATTATGGTAACATTCTAAGTTTATACTTTTATTGTCTTAAACAGCCATTATATTTCTGAATATAAATGGCTTGAATATGCAAATTAATATGTGGAAGATTGTTTTCCTTAGATAACTCTTCTATATGTTTATAATGTTTTATTTTACTCTAAAGCTGTATTAGCCTTCTAGAGCAAGGGCTTTCAAACCTTTTGATAACACCAAAGAAGAAATACATTTACACTGTGACCCAGTATATTTTCACATACCTAAATAAAAGTTTTTTTTGTTTTTGTTTTTGTTTTTTGAGACAGAGTCTTGCTTTGTCACCCAGGCTGGAATGCCATGGAGCGATCTTGGCTCACTGCAACCTCTGCCTCCTGGGTTCAAGCGATTCTCCTGCCTCAACCTCCCGAGTAGCTGGGACTACAGGCACCCGCCACCACACCTGGCTAATTTTTGTATTTTTAGTAGAGACAGGGCTTCACCATGTTGGCCAGGCTGGTCTCCAACTCCTGACCTCAGGTGATCCACCCACTTTGGCCTCCCAGAGTGCTGGGATTACAGGTGTGAGCCACTACGCCCAGCCCCAAAAGTTTCATGAAATAAAATCGATGCAGTTTAATATTTTCTCTTCTGTGCTATCCTGTCTTATATCATTTAAAACAAAAACAAAAACAAAGCAAAACAAAAACTAGTATAGATACTCTAAAAAATCAAGATACTCTGTGAACTGGTCAGGACCCAAGTGTGAAAACTTTGTCCTAGACCACTTATTTTTCTTTTTTTTGTTTTTGTTTTTATTTGACATGGGGTCTTGCCATGTTGCCCAGGCTGGTCTCAAACTCCTGGGCTCAAGCACTCCTCCCGCCAGCCTCCCAAAGTGTTGGGATTACAGGTGTGAGCCACTGCACCGGGCCTGTCCTAGGCCATTTAAAGTTGCAGAAAACTAATACTTCTACCTAATGTTAATTTTATCTTTCCTGATTTTTAGGTTGCAAATTGCTTTATAAACATGACTTGGCAAAACGCTGGGGAAATCACTGTAAAATGTGCAGTTATTGTTTACAGACATCTCCCAAATTGGTACAGAATAATTTAGGAGGGAAAGTGGAAGAGTTCTGTTGTGAAGAATGCATGTCCAAATATACAGTTTTGTTCTATCAGGTAAATAGAATTCACATTCCTGGGTTTTTCATTCTAGGGCATAAATTATTCCCTTTTAAAATTTCATGTCACATAAAGGACAATTTAATTATTTAAAACTTTTAAGTATTAAATGTTTTATGCCTTCTAGCAATTAATATAAGATTTAGAAAGACTTTAATGTTATTGAAGTTTTCTTTTGTTTTTAATTTCCTGTAGGAGACATATCAGTCTTAAGACATTAAAATATTTAAACTTATAATTTTATTCACTTATTATTTAAATAAAGTGAATTTGTCTTCTGAAGTCTGAGGAAGATAGACCTTATTTTTATTTCACTTTGTTTTTTAATTGCTATAGAGTGAAGTCTGTATGTTACATGTGTTTTTTAAAAAAAATTAGTATAAAATCAGCTGGGCGCGGTGGCTCACGCCTGTAATCCCAGCACTTTGGGAGGCCGAGGCGGGTGGATCATGAGGTTAGGAGATCGAGACCATCCTGGCTAACATGGTGAAACCCCGTCTCTACTAAAAATACAAAAAAATTAGCTGGGTGTGGTGGCGGGCGCCTGTAGTCCCAGCTACCTGGGAGGCTGAGGCAGGAGAATTGCATGAACCCAGGAGGTGGAGCTTGCAGTGAGCTGAGATCACGCCACTGCACTCCAGCCTGGGCGATAGAGCAAGGCTCTGTCTCAAAAAAAAAAAAAAATATATATATATATGTGTGTGTGTGTGTGTGTGTGTGTGTATAATCATTGATAAAGACAAACTAATTTTTTGATCTAAATTCTAAGTTAATTTCGTCACTTGTTATGTGTGTCTTATTTTTATTTTGTCAGACCACAGATAATTTGTTTCTTACTCCTTGACTACCTTCTTCTTTTTAGATGGCCAAATGTGATGCTTGTAAGCGACAGGGTAAACTCAGTGAGTCCTTGAAATGGCGAGGGGAAATGAAACATTTCTGTAACCTGCTTTGTATCTTGATGTTCTGTAATCAGCAAAGTGTATGTGACCCGCCTTCACAAAATAATGCAGGTAAAATTAACCTTAGGTACTGAATGGAGTCTTTGGTCAATACTAGGAACTACTGTTCTTTTACAGATCAGGAACTGTGTAAACAGTTGTCATTAATTTCATGAAACCTCAGTTTCCTTGTATTCTGTATCAATAACATTTAGCTTTTTTTGTTGAACACCTTATTTCACTGTCGTCCGTGTGAAGAGACCACCAAACAGGCTTTGTGTGAGCAACAAGGCTGTTTATTTCACCTGGGTGCAGGCGGTCTGAGTCTGAAAAGAGTCAGTGAAGGGAGATGGGGTGGGGCCGTTTTATAAGATTTGGGTAGGTAAAGGAAAAAGGGGGGTTGTTCTCTGGCGAGCAGGAGTGGGGGTCACAAAGTGCTCAGTGGGGGAGCTTTTTGAGCCAGGATGAGCCAGGAAAAGGAATTTCACAAGGTAATGTCATCAGTTAAGGCAGGAACAGGCCATTTTCACTTCTTTTGTGTTGGAATGTCATCAGTTAAGGCAGGAACCGGCCATCTGGATGTGTACCTGCAGGTCAGAGGGGATATGATGGCTTAGCTTGGGCTCAGAGGCCTGACACCTTAGATTAAAGCTGAGTAAAAATGAGTTTTTGATTAAATAGATTTCTTTGAGAATATTGAATCAAATAAACTCTGTAAGAACTTAAATTTATGGGAAAGGATAACAGTTAATGGTTTGTAATTGAGTATAATTGGCTTCCTTAAAAAATCCTTTGAGACTACTTATAACAAAAGACATAAAGTCAAAATCACATGGCCTTTTAAATATACCATGTGCAGGCCAGATGTGATGGTTCATGCCTGTAATCCCACCGCCTTTGGAATGCTGAGGTGGGAGGACGGCTTGAGGCCAGGAGTTCAGGGGTGGAGTGAGCGGTGACCACAGCACAGCAATCCCAGCTGGATGATATAGTGAGACCCTGCCTCTAAAAAATTAAAATAAAATAAAACTATATGTCGTGGGCGTGACTAGTTGGGGCCAGTGTCACGGGCTGTAAAGGAATTTACCAAGACAGTCATAGGTAAAGGCAGATTTATTGGAGAAAGTGTGAAAATATGTTGCAAGGTTGCAGTGAGCAGCACAGCAGAGAAGGGGAAGTCTGCAAAGACGCAGCGGCTTGAGGGACGTTTTACATGGTCCTGCTGGAGGGGACTGCTTGCAGAATGTAGCCGTGCTCCTGGGGCTACCTGTAGGAGGTCATCTCTCAGAGTAATTACTCATTGTTCTCCCCCACCTGGGCCCCTTCCTCTTTGTTGCTTACTTACCTTGTCAGGACTTACTTATCTTATCAGGACTACACACTATGTGCTAGGCCACTTTATCTCAGAAAATTTATTATTTAAAAACAACACTAGTATCATCCTGAAAGCTAGAAGAATTTAAGTGTAGTCTCCTTACAAATAAAAGCAAAATCTACAAGAGCCTACTCCAAAACTTAAAAAAAAATTATTTCTATATAAAGGCAAGATTTAAGAAAAACATTAGGCTGAATTGTCCATTAAATCTAACCTGTGATCTTCATTGGTATTGTGTGTTTGAGGATTTGCATTGTTGGTTTTTAAGTTGGTTTTTAAGTTAGACTATTTGTTGCCTTTTTTATGTAAAGATAAAGTTAATAGAAAACTTTCAAGTTTTACTAATTAAAAAGTAGAAAACCAGGGTATGGTGGCTCATGCCTGTAATCTCAGCACTTTGGGAGGCTGAGGCAGGCGGATCACGAGGTCAGGAGTTTGAGACCATCCTGGCCAACATGGTGAAACCCCGTCTCTACTAAAATACAAAAAATTAGCTGGGTGTGGTGCTGCGCACCTGTAGTCCCAGCTACTTGGGAGGCTGAGGCAGGGGAATCGCTTGAACCCGGGAGGTGGAGGTCGCTGTGAGCTGATATCGTGCCACTGCACTCCAGCCTGGGCAGCAGAGTGAGACTCTGTCTCAAAAAGAAAAAAAAAAAGAAGAAAACCAAAACCCAGTTAATCCTAAAGTGACTTTTTGCTCCAACAGAAATTACTCAAACCTGAAAACATTGTTTAACTTCCTTGAAATGGTTTCTGTGTAAGTACATATAAATCACGTGAGGTTTCCTTATTTTTGTTTATTTTAATCAGCAAATATTTCCATGGTTCAAGCTGCTTCAGCAGGACCCCCATCTCTGAGAAAAGATTCGACTCCAGTTATAGCCAATGTAGTATCATTGGCAAGTGCCCCTGCTGCTCAGCCTACAGTGAATTCTAACAGTGTCTTACAAGGTATGGCTTGATTGGAAAGCATTTATCTAGCCTATTTAGGTTGAATGCAGTGGTCCCCTAACTTCCTTTCATCAGGGATTATTTTCATACATTTGACACATTCAATATTAGGAATAGTGGCTTGCTGCACAAGTTTCATATCTCATACTTTAGAATTGCTAGTTTCTTCCGTTGAATTAAAAAAACACATGTTCTTAGTATGAGGGTTTGTGTTTATGTACTGATAATCAGCTTTTAATGCTAATGTTAAAATAATTGTAAAGATCCTAAATTTATGTTTTAATTTATATCAAGGTGCAGTTCCAACAGTAACAGCGAAAATCATCGGTGATGTAAGTTTTATTACTTTTATTGGTATTGTCACTGTATTTATTTTTCATTTTCATACAGTATAAATATGTGTGAACTAATTTGCCCTCCTTCTTTATTATATGAAATAGATTTCATTAGCTCATTTAATCTTTGTTCAGGAATAGGATTTTCTGGCTATTTAAATAGGTCTTTTATGTACTTTAATATCTTTGAATGCTGGCTATGTAGTTACTGAAAGTTTTTCTTTAATTACACAAAATTGAAGTAAATTGTACAGGATTTAGGCCTGAAAGACTTTTGGATGTTTTGTGATGTACTCAGATTATAAATAAAATGTTTATACAATGTAGCTTATCCTCCCTCTGACCCATTACAGATTATACTGTAAAAAAAAATTCTTTTTTTAACCCATTAATATTTTCTGCTTTGTCTCTTAAAAGAAGAAAATAAATAATGAGAAAAACTTCTGACTGGAACAGTGGCATTTCTAAGGTGTTTCTCCAGGTTTCTGGGATAACTTTCACGTTGTCTTTATTCAAGTTACTTAAATGATCATAAGTGATTCTGTTATTCCTAGTTATCTTGAATCTCTCAAGTCCTCTGTGTCTTAATCAGGAAGTAAGAATTCTCATTTTAAACTTAGCCAGCATTGTTATTGATCAGCAGTGTGTTACAATAGAAATAGCATTTTTCTTGGTAAATAGAAATTGTGATTAGAGACATGCAGAGTAATATATAGTTATTAAAACATTCCTTGATTACTATTAATATTTTAGGAGTATTGTATTTCTTATACATTTGGTTGAATATTTACTTGCTATGTCCTCCATGTAATTCCAATATGACATTTCCTTTAATATTATAATATTTCTTATAATTACAATGAGATTTTTAAAAATGTTTTTGGTTTCTAATTTGTTTTTTTACTAGGCAAGTACTCAAACAGATGCCCTGAAACTGCCACCTTCCCAACCTCCAAGGCTTTTGAAGAACAAAGCTTTATTATGCAAACCCATCACACAGACTAAAGCCACCTCTTGCAAACCACATACCCAAAACAAAGAATGCCAGACAGGTATGTTCCTTGGTCTTTCTTTCTTTATTAATTTTTTAAGGGAAAGAAATGTAGGATCTACTTACATTGAGTACCTGCTATTTCCTAGGTGATGTGTTTGGTTGTTTGTATACATTGCCCAATTTAGTTCTCACAGCATCCCCGTGAGTTAGGTATTTTCCGCATCTGAGGCTTAACAAGTTGGGTCAAAGAGAAGGAAGTTAATCAGTGATACCATACTGTGAGCAAGTCATTTAATTCTCTTATTAATGACAATGTAATATTATAGAATAAGCATAAGGTTTGGAATTACATGGACAGGCTTCTAAGGAGGTGCTATTGTTTTCCAGTGTGACCTTAGGTTTGAACTACTCCACAGTCTCTTGGCTACTCCACACTGTTTCAAATGAAGTCAGTTCCTTTGAGGAGAGCTTCAGAGCTTTCTTTTTTTTTTTTTTTTTTTTTTTTTTTTTTATGAACTGCCTCTCCCCCTAGGCAGAATCTCTGAGCCACCTCTATGGATGCTGGGCAGGGTAGTAGTCTCTGGCCTTCTTGGCTTGCCTCCCCTGGCATGGAACTTCTGCCCTACAAGTGAGCTGGGGTGAGGGTGATCAGGATCCCAGTGTTCTTGGCCTGCTTTTCCTAGGGTAGAGCCTCCATCCAGTGGATGGAAACTGGGTGAAGGGAAGCCCCTGACCTCTTGCCCGTACTCACCAGGAATTTAGCCTCTTCAGCTTTCAGTTGGAGCGGATGAGAAATGCTTGTGGCCTCCCTTTCTTGATGAGATACAGTAACACTTGATTGGGAGCTGAGTGGAGAGAAGCCCATTTTTATTGGCCACAGCTACCCATAGTGGAGTTTCTGTCAAGCTGAGCTGAATTGAGCTGGGGGGATAAAGCCTGTGATGGCTGAAATGTCACAGACTTTCACTGTTCTTACCAAATTTGAACAGATTGTCTTGAATAAATGTTTCTTCATTTGGTATATGCCTTTAGGACAATTTCCCAAGAATTTAAATGGCTGTTTTTAAATAGTTTCACTTTCTTTGCTTGTTTCACTAAGGAATAGATCTTTGTAGCTCCTCATGCTGCCATCCAAAAGTCCTAGAATTTTGGCCGATTGCAGTGGCTCACACCTGTAATCCCAGCAGTTTGGGAGGCTGAGGCAGGAGGATCACTTGAGCCCAAGAGTTCAAGACCAGCACGGGCAACATAGCGAGACCATCTCTACTAAAAAATTTTTAAAAGTCCCAGAATTTTTAAACTAGAAGGAAATTCTTGATTTCTAGAGCTGCAAGGCTATCCTGTCAGCCATTGCTTCTCAAAGATTAATATGCACATGAATTATCCAGGAATTTTACTAAGTAGATTCTTATTCAGTGAGGCCTGAGATTTTGCATTTCTTATAAGCTCCCAGGTAAAGTCAGTGCTTCTGGTTCATGGACCACACCAAAATAGCAAGGCTCTAAATGATTTAGTTCTTTTTTTTTTTTTTTAATCAATAGCAGTTTATTTAGTATTATGTAGTTTGGTTATCAGATGTTTCTAAATCAAGTAACAATTTTTTAATGTCCGCTGTATTATGTAAAGTTTGTTGGCCAAATGTGGTGCCTCATGCCTATACTCCCAGCACTTTGGACAGCTGAGGCGGGAGGATCACTTGAGCCCAGGAGTTCAAGACCAGCCTGGGCAACATGGTGGGACCCCCATCTGTTAAAAAAAAAAATTTATGCCATATTATTTTCCCACTTCTAACTCTAGTCAAATTGTTAGCTCTTCTCTTTCTGTCCCTAGTATTACCTTTCTCCTAGATTAATGATTTTACACTTATCTAGCATATTCTCTGACACATAGAAAGGACTCTATATGCTCCTTGACTTATAATGTTGTACCCATCATATGTTAAAAAAATCATGAGTCAGAAATGCATTTAATATGCCCAACCTCCAGAACATCATCATAACTGGGCCTAGGCTATTTTAAACATGCCCAGAACATTTACATTAGCCTACAGTTGGGCAAAGTCATCTAACACAAAGTTTATTTTATAATAAAGTTTTGAATACCATGTAATTCATTCAGTGCTATACAGAAGTATGGTATATACTTGTTTTTGCACCATCATAAAGTTGGAAAATCCTGTATTGAACCATCGTTAAGTTGGGGACCGTCTGGTTAAATAATGGAATAAATCATCCATCTTGCTACTTTCTCCAAGTTTTTTTCCAAGTTCTGTTTCATCCTTTTAATACTTAGAACATCTGCTATATATATTTATTCTTTTTTGTAGGTATCATAACCTAGAGTAGTCTCCCATCATCTTAGCTCTACATATTATAATTGCCTCCTATTTTAACAGTTGATATATTTTTTATTCAGTGCTGAAATTGTTGCCAAATTAATCTTTTTTGATGTCATTTTCATCACTACTTTGTGTTAAAAAAATCTTCAGTAGCTACAAATGATTTTGAAATGTGCATTATAGCATGATGGAAATGGCCCCTCCCTATTCAGCCTCCTCTTTAGCAAGTGGTTTTCCATGCCTGTCTTCTAGGTTCCCTGTTTCAATCCTTTCAATTTATCCATCTAAATTATATCCTGCATTCATTTTCTCCTCACATCACTGATATTTGTTACCCACTTTTTGTCAGTGCTATACTCAAGATTTATTTTTTTGGCTACTTTAGTTATTTCTCCTTTGTAAGAAGTCCTGTAGTGTCATAGGTTACTCTTATTTTGAACTATAAACCTCCATAAGCTTTTTTATTTTGAAATCTTATGAAAGCATTTCTAACCCTCTTTGCTTTTTGTGATTTTGTTGTTGTTACTGTTAGAAGACACTCCAAGTCAGCCCCAGATTATTGTGGTGCCAGTTCCCGTACCAGTGTTTGTTCCCATACCTCTTCACCTTTATACTCAATATGCTCCAGTCCCATTTGGAATTCCAGTTCCAGTGAGTAATCATTTAGAGATTAAAGCTAATATAGCATGCATTTTCCTCAATTAAAACTGTATAGTTCTGTGAAGAAAGTTTTCATTTGTTAGTAAAATATACCTGCTTCTGATTGGCTGTTATCATATTCCCATTATTACTTAACATGGATTATATAAATGACTGCTTTTATTTGTACCCTTCCTTCTCAGAAAAGGTTATGATGTAGCTTTTTAAAAAACTTACATGCACAATAAGACCACTCAAATAGAAAAAGATCAGAAATGGTGTATGTTGAAATCCTGGATTCTAGCAAGGGTGAAAAGAGTACTGTGATTTATATAATTCTCATTTTTGATTAAAGAAAAATGTATTTTTTAATTACAAATTTATTTTTCCCAGGTACTGAGTCCTTAAAGGAAACAGTTATGAGAAAATTGTGAGAAATACAAGCAAAAACAACAAAAACAAAATGCAAGTGTATTATAGAATTATTCTTTTAGAGGATTCAGAGACATAATTGGTTGAGTGTCCAAAGCACTTATTGAAATTTTATTTAAATGGCTCTAGTCTTATAAAAACAAACTAGCAAGACTATTTTAATCATCAGCAATGAATATACCTTAAATTTGTTTACTATTTTAATACCTAAATCATCTCACAAATCATACTTTTGGCTACAAACCTGTTGCCAAAGAAAGCCTTCAGTCTATCCTTGGTCTTTCAGATGCCTGTCCCTATGCTTATTCCATCTTCAATGGATAGTGAAGATAAAGTCACAGAGAGTATTGAAGACATTAAAGAAAAGCTTCCCACACATCCATTTGAAGCTGATCTCCTTGAGATGGCAGAAATGATTGCAGAAGATGAAGAGAAGAAGACTCTATCTCAGGGAGGTTGGTATACTCTTTAAAAGTAAAGAAAGAAAAAACACGTTTTACACATTTTCAGGTGACTCAAGTAATTTTAAGTATAAGACAGGGTGTTTCTAAAACCTTTATTGTCTGTGAATACCAAGCCTGTGGGGTTGATTACACTTTTTAGTGCTTCTGAAAGCTCTTATTGTTTTTATGAAGGAAAACCAAGTATTGGTATTCAATAGTTTTTAGTTATGATTCCAGAAAAATAACTTAGAAATCAAGATTTCATGATCATTTTCCAATTCCATCTCTGTAATCAAAGCCATGGTCCCCACATAAGAATTCCTGTTATATAATAACCAGCATGCTGGTAGAGGGTAAATAGAACCTTAGGATGGAAAACCATTTGGCTCAAAATAACTGATAGATAGATCTCATACTACTAGTGTGGAATCATGATAAAAACAATAGTTAACGTTTTGTGTGCTTGCCATACTCTAGGCATTGTGCTCAGTGCATTGTGTGCCTTGCCTGATTCAATCTTCATGACAGCCTTATGGGGTGGGGAGGGGGTACTATGTATCTCAAATTTCTGATCTGGAAAGTAGGATGTTAGACTTGCCTTGGTTATGCAGTCCAGAAGTGGCGGAACCAGAACTTGAATCCAGATACATCTGACTCCAAAGCACATGATACTAACCAGAATCCCCATTAACAGTGGTAATCTGTTTAACTGCATTTATCCCTAATGTCTAATTTTGTTAATGAATTATTCTTTCTGCATATGAAATCTATTTACTTAGAACTTTGTAGTATGATTGATGTATATAGTGCAGTCATTTCATTTGAGATATAATTTGTTGTCTAAACATAAATTATTTATGTGCTTTTCTTTTTCTTTAGAGTCCCAAACTTCTGAACACGAACTCTTTCTAGACACCAAGATATTTGAAAAAGGTTTGTAGTTGAAAATATGTTTTGATTTTTAGAAATACTACCCTCTGTTAGAAACCTATAAAATATTAGTACCCTTGGATTTCATATTTGTAATTTTAACTATTTGTAAGGGGTATCAGATGTATATGAAGTGTACTAATTTGTAGTGAGAATAATAAAAGCCACTCAAATGTTTGTTTTAAAAATTAATTGAGATAATGCTTTCAATTGCCTACCAAAAATATGAATCCAGTTCTTTGAGACTGATGAACAAGTTACCTCATTCTTGAGTGTACCTAGGTAATTGTCCATCAACCGTATCTCATTTTTTGGTATTTAGGGGTTCAGGAAGTTTTCCGAGCATGTCAAGATGAGGCTATTTTATTTTGAGGGCTTAATTGTTATCTATATATTTCAGACCAAGGAAGTACATACAGTGGTGATCTTGAATCAGAGGCAGTATCTACTCCACATAGCTGGGAGGAAGAGCTGAATCACTATGCCTTAAAGTCAAATGCTGTGCAAGAGGCTGATTCAGAATTGAAGCAGTTCTCAAAAGGGGAAACTGAACAGGACCTGGAAGCAGATTTTCCATCAGGTTTGTGTACAGTAACCTGTCCACTGAAAGCTTTTTATTTTAAAAGATCGGTACAACTCTGAATTGACACTATTAAGCAGTGCCAATTGTTATTGATAATAACAGTGTAATGTGTTAGAGGTCATAATCTAGAGCACAAATAGACCCTGGCTTTGTAGGTGTTAATTCGTACCATATTGTTCTTATAAGTGGTTAATGTGGTTAAAATTTTTTTTAACCTTTCCCGTAGTAGCTATATAAGAGGTTTTCCTGATTGTTAATGAAGTTTTCATTTATGCACTATATCCTTGGTTTAAGTCTATAAGTGGAATCCTTATTTTATCACAAACAAACTAATGAATATAGTGATGATTACCTGATATTTCTTTACTAGTCTAAGTCTTTATTTAAATTTGTGAGTTATTTACCTCATGTTGTCCTTTCTGCTGATTATTATAGACTCCTTTGACCCACTTAATAAAGGACAGGGAATCCAGGCACGTTCCCGAACAAGACGACGACACAGAGATGGCTTCCCCCAACCCAGACGAAGAGTAAGCTGCAGCTTAACTTTTCTAGACTTTTCTTTCCTTCATTCTACAAGCATTATTTAGTTCCTGCTGCTTTCAAAACTCTGTAACAGCCAGAGTCAGGTAGTTCCACATGTTGTTTTGCAACTTTTGTTTTTTGAATTCAAGAACCATATATTTTATTTACATTTCTTTCAGTAGGAACTTTTTTTGTTTCTATAGTTAAGGGTTTTCTTTTATATTGCTTTGTTTACTTTAAAAAACTTTTTATAGTTATTTTTTATGCTTTATCTGTTTGAACAGCCTCTAAATTTAGCTCTTTTTACATGTTATAATACTGAGTACTTTGGGAGGCCAAGGCAGGCGGATCACAAGGTCAGGAGATCGAGACCATCCTGGCTAACATGGTGAAACCCCGTCTCTACTAAAAATACAACAAAATTAGCCAGGTGTGGTGGTGGGCGCCTGTAGTCCCAGCTACTCGGGAGGCTGAGGCAGGAGAATGGCCTGAACCCAGGAGGTGGAGCTTGCAGTGAGCTGAGATCAGGCCACTACACTCCAGCCTGGGTTACAGAGCAAGACTGTCTCAAAAAAAAAAAAAAAAAAGTAATAATAAATAAAAATAAAAAATACTGAGTAGTTCACTATTTTTTTTTTTTTTTTTTTTGAGACGGAGTTTCGCTCTGTCACCCAGGCTGGAGTGCAGTGGCGTGATCTCGGCTCACTGCAAGCTCCACCTCCTGGGTTCAGGCCATTCTCCTGCCTCAGCCTCCCAAGTAGCTGGGACTACAGGTGCCCGCCACCACGCCTGGCTAATTTTTATTGGTATTTTTTAGTAGAGACAGGGTTTCACCATGTTAGCCAGGATGGTCTCGATCTCCTGACCTCGTGATCCACCCGCCTTGGCCTCCCAAAGTGCTGGGATTACAGGCGTGAGCCACCGCGCCCGGCCAGTTCCCTATTTTTATAGTATAGTAAAATAGTGAAGTTCACATGGCTGTTTTTCACATTGACAGGGCTTTCCTATACAAAGTTGAAAGAATAATAGCTTTATTTTTAAAATTAGCCCTATTGTATAATTATATTAAAACATTTTTAAGTTCTGAGTGTACATTTTGATGGCCTTCAACTAATGTATATGTTATGTAATTCCCACCACAATCATGAACAATTCCACTTAGCAAGAAGTTCCACTATGACCTTTTGCAGTCAGCCCCTCTGGCTGCTGACAACCACTGATCTACTGTACCGATTGATGCAGAATGCCACTGCTTTGCCTTTTCTGAAATTTCACATGAATGGAATCCTATAATATGTAGTCTTCTGTGTTTAAGTTCTTTTACTTGGCATAATGTTTTTGAGATTCATCCATGTTATTTCATGTCCCAGTAGTTGATTCCTTTTTATTTCTGAGTAGTATTTCATTACATGGACAAACTACAATTTGTTCAGCTGTTTAACAGGTGATAAAAATTTGGGTTGTTTCCAGATTGGGGCTATTTTGAATAAAACTTACTCAAAATGTTATGAACATCTTAGTATCAATCTTTGTGTGAACATATGTTTTCATTTCTCTTGAGGAAAAAGATCTAGGAATGAGATTGCTAGGTTTTATGCTTATGTGTATTTTTAACTTTGTAAGAAAGCTGCCAGACTGTTTTCCAAAGGAGATGTACCATTTTGCAGTCCCACCAGCAATGTATGAGAGAGTTCCATCTGCTCCATGACTTTGCTAACACTTGGTATTGTTGATTTTTAATTTTAGCCATTCTAGTCAATGTATAGTGGTACCTCATTATGGTTTTAATTTGTTTTTCCCTAATGATTAATGATGTTAAGCATCTTTTCATATATGTATTTGCCATTCATGTGTCTTCTTTGGTAAAGTGTTTATTCACAGTTTTCGCACATTTTTTTCATTTTTTTGTTGGGTTGGTTGTTATCTTGCTGAGTTGTAAGTATTCTTTACTGTGGACATAATTTCTTTATCAAATCAACGTTTGGTCCTATTTTGTTACTTCCTTTTTATTTTCTTAATGATGAGTAGCAGATTTTGATTTTGAGGAAGTCCCTTTTATCAATTTGTTATTTTATGGATTGTGCTTTTTAATACCTCATCTAAAAATTTTTGCCTAACTCATAGTAACTAAGACATTCTCTTACATTTTCTTCTAGAAGTTTTATAGTTTTAACTTTTATGTTTGTGATCTATTTTGAGGTAATTTTTATATATGAGTTGAGACAAGGGTCAAGGTTCATTTTTTGAATATGGACATCCAGTTGTTCCAGCACTGCCCTTGAAAAAGACTATTCATTCCCCATTGAATTACATTGGCAACTCTGTTAAAAGTCAATCATATATGTATCTATCAGTCTGTTTCTGAAACTTTCTATTCTGTTCTATTGACTTATATGTCTATTTTTATACCAGTACCAACTGTCCTGATTACTGTGATTTTACAGTGAGCCTGGAAATTAAGAGTGTAAATCTTCCAGCTTTGTTCTTCTTAAACTTGTCATTTGCATGTCTATATACATTTTGGAATCAACTTGTCAATTTCTTTAAAAAAAAAAAAAAAAAAAAGGCTGCTAGAATTTCAGTTGGGGCTGTCCTGAATCCAGAGGGAGAGAATTGACATTTTAGGAATGTTGAGTCTTCTAATTTGGAAACATGGAATAGTCTGCATTACAAGTCTCATTATATTCTGTTAAGTTTATTTCATAAGTATTTAAGATATTTTGATGCTGTTGTAAATTGTATTATTTTTAAATTTCATTTTTCACTGAGCACAATGACTCACACCTATAATCCTAGTACTTTGGGAGGCTAAGGCAGAAGGATTGTTTGAGCCCAGGAGTTTGAGACCAGCCTGGGCAATGTAGTGAGACCCCATCTCTACTAAAAATTTTAAAAATTAGCTGGGCATGGTGACGCATGCTGGTGGTCCCAGCTACTTGGAGGGCTGAGCTGGGAGAATTGCTTGAGCCTAGGGGGGGTCGAGGCTGCAGTAAGCCCTGATCATGCCACTGCACTCTAGTCTGGGCGACAGAGCGAGACCCTGTCTCAAAAAAAAAGAAAAACAATTTCATTTTTCGTGTTCCTTACTAGTATATAGAAATATAGATAATTTTTTCTTCTATGATATTTATCTTAGAAATAAAAAAAAGAAATATAGGTAATTTTCATGTATTTACTTTGTGTCCTGTGACTTTGCTCAACTAAAATCCTTAGGATTTTCTACCTAGACAATCATATTATCTGTGAATAAAGACAGTTTTACTTTGTAATCTGAATGCATTTTCTTTCCTTCTTTTTCTTGTTTTATTGAACTAGCTAGTATCTTCAGTACAATGTTGAATATTAGTAGTGAGAGCAGACCTTTTTGCCTTATTCCTAACCTTACGGTGAAAAAAGTCTTGCAACAGAAAGTATGATGTTACCTGTAGGTTTCTCATAGGTGGTTTCTATCAGGTTGAAGAAGTTCCCCTTCTCCTTTTAATTTGCTGAAAGTTTTTTAAATCATGATTGGGTATTGAACTTCCTCAGGTGGATTTCTTGCATCTTTTGAGGTGATTATCTGGTTTTCCTTTTTTTAAGTCTGTTAAAATGGTGAAATACATTAATTTTTTCAAATGATTAACCTTCCATTCCTGGGATAAACCCTACTTTTTTCTGTATTTATTATTTTTTTGTGTTGCTGGATTTGGTTTGCTAATATTCTGCGAAGGTTTTTTGTTGTTGTTCTGTTTTGAGACAGAGTCTCACTCTGTTGCCCAGGCTCGAGTGCAATGGCGCGATCTCGGCTCACTGTAACCTCCACCTTCCAGGTTCAAGCAGTTCTCCTGCCTCAGCCTTCCAAGTAGCTGGGATTACAGGTGCCCACCACCATGCCTGGGTAATTTTTGTATTTTTAGTAGAGATGGGGTGTCACCATGTTGGCCAGGCTGGTCTTGAACTCCTGGCCTCAAGTGATCCACCCACCTCGCCCTCCCAAAGTGCTGGGATTACAGGTGTGAGCTGCCATGGCTGGCCCTATGAAGGTTTTGAGTGTCCCTGTTCAAGACATATTTATCTGTACTTTGTGACTGGTTTTGGTATCAGGGTAATGGTGACATTATAAAATTAGTTAATATTTCTTTTTCTTCTATTTGTATAATTTCTTTAACTATGATAGAATTTGTATAATTTCTTTAACTATGATAGAATTTGTATAATTTCTTTAACTATGATAGAATTTAACTATGATGGAATTTAATCCATCTGGGAATAGAGTTTTTGTGGGAGGGTTTTAAGCTATAAATGCTGTTTCTATGGCTATTTAGGTTATCTGTTTCTTCTAGAGTAAGCTTAATTAATCTTTCAAGAAGTTTGTCCATTTCATCTAAGTTGTTTAATTTATTGGCATGAGAGTCACAAGTGATCCACCTGCCTCAGCCTCCCAAAGTGTTGGGATTACAGGCATGAGCCACTGCACCCAGCCTGGGTTTTAATTTGGATTTCCTTTTCTGGTTTTTTGCTTGTTTGTTTTTAGACAGGGTCTCCACTCAGTCACCCAGGCTGGAGTGCAGTGGCGTAATCATGGCTCGCTGCAACCTCAACCTCCTGGGCTCAGGTGATCCTTAAACCTCAGTCTCCCAAGTAGCTGGGACTACAGATGTATGCCACCATGCCTGGCTAATTTTTTAATTTTTTGTAGAGACGGGGTCTTGCCATGTTGCCCAGGCTTATTTCGAACTCCTGGGCTCAGTCTGCCCACTTAGGCCTCCCAGAGTGCTGGCATTACAGGTATGGGCCATTGCACTTGGCCTTCCTTTTCTAGTTTCTTAATATAGAAGCTTAGGTTATAGATTATAGACTTTTTAAAAATTTTCTTATTGAAACATTTTAATACTACAAATGTCCCTTTAAGTACTGCTTTAGTTCCATCACAGAAATTTTGGTAAATTTTATTTTCATTTTCCTTTAAGTTCAAAATGTTTTGTGATTGCATGTGTCCTTTCTTCTTTGACCCATAGAGCTGTTTAATTTATGATTTTGGAGGATTTTTTTGGACATCTATGCATCATTGGTTTCTATTTTAATTTCATTGTAGTTAGATAATTTGTTGAGGCTTGTTTTATAGCACAGAATATGATCTGTTTACATGTTTCATTAAATAGACCTGAGTGGTAATAGTAGTTATTCATACCTCATCAGGTGAGTCTATATCTGGAACATAGTAAATACCCAAATGTTAGTGATTATTACAGTGTGCTCTTCTGCATTTAAACTTTTTCTTTCTTCCTTCCTCATATGGATTGGATTAAATAATCTCTAAAGCCCTTTCTTGCTCTAAGAACTCTGAATCTTTAGGATATAAAACTAAATTCTTTATTCTACAAATGTATACCCTTTCCAGCTTTGAGAACCCTGACTCTTAAAAATCCAAAACTAAATTTTATGTTCTGTAAATTTTTGGAATTCTTACAGGGACGGAAGAAGTCTATAGTGGCTGTGGAGCCCAGGAGTCTTATTCAAGGAGCCTTTCAAGGCTGCTCAGTGTCCGGGATGACACTGAAATACATGTATGGGGTAAATGCTTGGAAGAACTGGGTTCAGTGGAAAAATGCCAAGGAAGAGCAGGGGGATCTAAAATGTGGAGGTAAGTGCACAGCATGAATTGTATCTTGATTTAGGTAGGGGGAAATATACAGATAATCTACTGAAAAGGGATACATTTTAGGTCAAAAACCCCATAAAACTTTGGTTTGGGCTTTACTTAATTTTTTCCGCACTTTTATTTTATTTAAACTTTTCTTTTATGTTTCTCTCCTTGTCAGGGGTTGAACAGGCCTCATCTAGCCCACGTTCTGACCCCTTAGGAAGTACTCAAGACCATGCACTCTCTCAAGAATCCTCAGAGCCAGGCTGTAGAGGTAAAATTTGTTTCTCTCCATTTGGTATGAATTATTTATATTATTATTGCGGATTTAAATTTGTAAATTGAATATTTAAAATTATTTAAAATTTAGAGTATTAAGGTTAGAAAGAGAAATTAATCTTATCCCGTTTTAAGGAGGTTGTTATAAGGGTAAGGTTATGTCTTCTGCTCTTGAGTTTATTATGCAAATATACAGAATTTTGTTTTATTTTTGACACTGTGCAAGTGCCTCAAAATATGTCTTCTTGAGCCCTGCGTCTGTATAGTAATCCATGTGGAGCCCAGTTTTTTTTTTGTTTTTTTTTTTAAGAAAAATACCTGGAAAAGCCTTGCTTCTAATGTAGGAATTTTTCCTTACAGTGAGATCTATGTAACTGACAATGTTTGTGGGTTTCACTTCAGCTGCCAGGAAATTTGGTATTACATGAGCATTTCAAATAAAGCAACAGTGTATAATTTTAAGGCCCACATTAGTTTTCATTTTTCACTACTTTTGACACCCTATTCTAAATTTTTGTTTCACTTTATCTTTTGCTTTTAATTTGTGTTTTATGTAAAATACTTATACAATCTTTATGGAATGAGATGGGGCAGAATGGAGGAGTATATCCATGTAACTTGATTTTATTCCACTTTCCAACTATATCTTCTTTCTGTCTTAAACCTAGGTGATTGTATGCACTCTTGGCTTCACTCCAGTCTACCCTGTTGGTTTTGGGGCACATGTAACTGTCCTTATTGGAGCACTTAGTTGCTGCTGTGGGCAGTGACTAACTCATTGAGTTCCTATAGATGAAATGTAATCTGTCTGCTCCAAAGCTATGTAAATACACTCCTGTTGTGGAGATTTACTAGGCCATTAACTGCCTAGTAGCATGTTTTAAGTTAAAAGAGCAACCTGCTGGGTGCAGTGGCTCATACTTGTAATCCCAGCACTGTAGAAGGCTGAATCAGGAGGATCTCCTAAGCCCAAGAGTTCTGAGGCTGCAGTGAGCTATGATTGCACCACTGCACTCCAGCCTGAGCATCAGAGTGAGACCCTGTCTCTAAAAAAATAAAAATAAAACAAAAAGCCGGGGAAGGGTAATAGTGCAAATGGAGAGGTAATACTGCTTTAGACTACTAAGCCTAAATGCAGCTGTTACAGGGATGGCAACCCATTTCTACCACTCTTTCATTGAGAAATACTTACTGAATATCTCTCTTATATACCAGGTATGAAGCTAGGTACTAGGGTGAAAAAGTCAAACATGGTCGGTGCTCTCATGAGATACGGCTTGCTTTAACTAAAACCCAACTCACAGGAGCCCATGTGTATGTAATCTTATCTCAGTGCAGAAGAGCAATGACTAGAAAGGGTGTTTTAATCTTGGCCCCACAATGTGGATCAACATGTTGTAGTAGGACCTCTACAAATCAAATTGGATAACTCCCCTGCTCAAAATTAATTCAGCTCATTGTCTGCAAAATCTTAATATGAGAAATGAGGCTGATCATGATCTGCTCCCACCTGCCCTTCTTGCCTTGTCCTATACACCCAAGTCCCCTGAACCTTTGCAGCCTGTGACCTAGCAAAGGGAATACTGTATTCTAGCATTTCCAAAGGCAAGAGGGTGTTATTCATTATTTGAGGTGTTCTGTATTCAAATAAATATCAGCTGAAGAAAGTTAAACAGCTGGTCGGGTGTAGTGGCTTATACTTGTAATCCCAGCACTTTGGGAGGCCGAGGCGGGCGGATCACCAGAGGTTGGGAGTTTGAGACCAGCCTGACCAACATGGAGAAACCCCGTCTCTACTAAAAATACAAAATTATCTGGGCATGGTGGTGCACGGCTGACTCCCAGCTACTCAGGAGGCTGAGATAGGAGAATCACTTGAACCCGGCGGAGGTTGCAGTGAGCCGAGATTGTGCCATTGCACCCCAGCCTGGGCAATAAAAGCGAAATTCCATCTCAAAAAAAAAAAAAAAGAAAGAAAAGAAAAAGTTGAATAGCTTTCTTTTTTGCAAATATGCTCAGAGCCTTTAATGTACCATTAAGCACTGTGAATTCTTCAGAGACAAATATAGTATCTTGTGTTTTCTGAATATCAAATCTTAGAAACCCAGTGTTCTCCAGCTCTCACATAAGACTAGTATTTTGTGGACTCTACTTTGGGAAGCCTTTTTGTGTATCCTCAGATTGGAATTCTTTACCTATCTACCTGTTTAACTCTTCCTCACCTTTTAAGGTCTAGCTCCAGTATCACGTTTCCCAGAATCTAACCTGACTCTTCCCTGTTGGATAGCCCTCATTTGCTTTCACAGAATGCCATTTAAAGAAAGCCTCTATCATAGCACGTATTGCACCATATGCACTGGTCTTTATTTCCCTAACTGAAGTAGACTTGAGATCAGAATCTGTCTTTAATCCATATACCCACTAGTCTGCACCGCAGTGCCTGGAGCACAGTAGTGTTCAATGTTTATTCAGTTAATCAATGCTACTATGTTTGTTAAAAGTTAATGTTTCAGATGTTTTCTACCTTTCCACAGTCCGCTCTATCAAGCTGAAGGAAGACATTCTGTCCTGCACTTTTGCTGAGTTGAGTTTGGGCTTATGCCAGTTTATCCAAGAGGTGCGGAGACCAAATGGTGAAAAATATGATCCAGACAGTATCTTATACTTGTGCCTTGGAATTCAACAGGTATCAAGTTAAACATATGGATTCTTCAACCTAGCAAATCCATTGACCAGAATATGTCCCCACAGAAATTACATGCACATGTACACACCCAGATATATACTGGTATTTTCATTGGAACATTGTTTTTAACAACAAATTGGAAACCGCTCAAGTGTTAATCAAGCTTTGTGGATCAGTCAACTATAATATGTCCATACTGTGGAATACTGTAAAATATTTACAAAGGAATGGCTTGCTTCTGTATTTATTGACCTAGGAAATTCTTAGAGGCATATATTTTAAAAAGTAACCTGCAGGGCCAGGTGTGGTGGCTCACACCTGTATTCCTAGCACTTTGGGAGGCTGAGATGGGAGTATCACTTGAGGCCAGTGATGCAAGACCAGCCTGGGCAACATAGGGAGACACTATCTCTACAAAAAATAAAAAATTAGCCAGGTATGGTGGTGTATGCCTCCACTCCCAGCTACTCAGGAGACGGAGGCAGGAGGATCACCTCAGCCCAGGAGTTTAAGGCTGCAGTAAGCCATTGGAGCTCCAGCCTAGGTGGCAGAGTGAGAACCTGTCTGAGGAAAAACAAAAAAAAAGTAACTTGCAGAATTATATATATAGTGTGATTGTTATGGGAAAATATGCATAACATAAAATTTACCATTTTAAAGTTTGCAATTCAGTAGGACTAATAAGTACATTCTTAATGTGCAGTCATCACCACTGTCTATTCTGTAGCTTTATGACTCCAAAGGGAAACCTCAAACCCAGTTAGTAGTCACTCCCCATTACTCCCTCCACCCATCCCTGGCAACCATAAATCTGCTTTCTGTCTCTCTGGACTTGCCTATTCTGGATATTTTGTATCAGTGGATTCACACACTATGTGGCCTTTTGTGTCTGGTTTCTTTCCCTTAGCATTATGTTTTCAAGGTTTATCCATGTTTTAGCATGAATCAATATAGCATTCCTTTTTATGGCTGAATAATATTCTATCATATGGATATACCACATGTTGTTTATCCATTCATCCACTGATGGACATTTGAGGTTCTGCCTTTTGGTGATTGTGAATACGCTGCTGTGAACATTCATGTACAGGTTTTTGTTTGAACACCTATTTTCAATTCTTTTGCCATATATGCTTAGGAGTGGAATTGCTGAGTCTTGTAACTATGACTGAGTTGTTGAGGAACTACTGAACTGTTTTCCAAAGTGGCAGCACCATTTTACATTTCCAACAGCAGTGTATGAAGATTCCAGTATCTCCACATTCTTGCTAACATTTGTTAATTTCTGTCTTTTTTTTTTTTAAACAACCATCCTGGTGGGTATGAAATGATATCTCATTGTGTTTTTAATTTGCATTTTCCTAATGACATTGGGAATCTTTTTGTGTACTTTTTGACCATGTGTATACCTTCTTTGGAGAAATGTCTATTTAAGTCCTGTCTTAGTCTGTATTGCCATAGGGGAGTACCTGAGGCTGGGTAATTTATAAAGAAATTCTTGGCTGGGTGCGGTGGCTCACACCTGTAATCCCAGCACTTTGGGAGGCCGAGGCAGGCAGATCACGAGGTCAGGAGTTCGAGACCAGCCTGGCCAACATGGTGAAACCCTGTCTCTACTAAGAATACAAAAATTAGCTGGGCGTGGTGGCACATGCCTGTAGTCCCAGCTACTCGGAAGGCTAAGGCAGGAGAATCGCTTGAACCCAGGAGGCAGAGTTTGCAGTGAGCCAAGATCGCGCCCCTGCACTTCAGCCTGGGTGACAGAACAAGACTCTGTCTCAAAAAAAAAAAAAAAAATTCTCATGCAGAATCATGGCTTATGGTTCTGCAGTACAAGAAACATGGCTCCAGCATCTGCTTCTGGTGAGCGCTTCAGGAAGCTTCCAATCACGGCATCATATGATCATGGCAGAAGGTGAAGGGGGAGCAGGCGTCTCATGGCAAGAGAGTGAGGACGAAGTACCAGGCTCTTTTTAACAATCAGATCTCTCAGTAACTAATAGAGGGAGAACTTCATTACTAGGAGAATAGCATCAAGCCAGTCATGAGAGATCAGGGCCCCACTGCCAACATTAAGGATCAAATCTCCACGAGGTTTGGAAGGCACAAGTATCTAAACTATATCAAGTCCTTTGCCTAATTTTTAATTGAATTGTCTTTTTGTCATTGTGTTGTAGAAACTATATATATTCTAGATATTAAACTTTTATCAGATATGTGATTTGCAAATATCTTCTCCCATTCTCTGGATTTTCTTTTCACTCTCTTGGTGTAGTGTACTTTGAATGACAAATATATATTTATTTATTTATTTATCTGTTTATTAATTAATTTATTTATTTATTTTGAGATGGAGTCTCGCTCTGTCGCCCAGGCTGGAGTGCAGTGACACCATCTGGGCTCACTGCAAGCTGCGCATCCCAGGTTCACGCCATTTTCCTGCGTCAGCCTCCCGAGTAGCTGGGACTACAGGCGCCTGCCACCACACCTGGCTCATTTTTTTTTTTTTTTCCAGTAGAGACGGGGTTTCACAGTATTAGCCAGGATGGTTTGGATCTCCCACCTCGTGATCCGCCCACCTCGGCCTCCCAATGTGCTGGCTTTACTGGCATGAGCCACTGTGCCCGGCCAAATTTTTTTTATTTTAATGAAGTTCAGTTTCTTTTTTGTTCTTCCTTTTCTTTTCCTTTCTCTTTTCTTTTTATTGCCTGTGCTCCTGGTGTTATATCTAGGAATCTACTGCCACATTCAAGGGCATGAAGATTTAATCCTCTTTTCTTCAGAGAGTTTTATGATTTTAGCTCTTATATTTAGGTCGTTCATTTATTTTGAGTTAATTTTTGTATCTGGTATGAGCTAGGTCTACCTTCATTCTTTTGTATGTGGTTATCCAGTTCTCTCAGCACCATTTGTTGAAGAGACTGTTCTTTACCCATTGTATGGGCTTGATACCATTGTAGAAAATCTTTTGACCAAATATAGATGGGTTTAATTTGGACTCTCAGTTATAATCCATTTTTCTTTTTTCTTTTTTTTTTTTTTTTGAGATGGAGTCTTGATCTTGGCTCACTGCAAGCTCCGCCTCCCGGGTTCACGCCATTCTCCTGCCTCAGCCTCCCGAGTAGCTGGGATTACAGGCGCCCGCCACTATGCCCGGCTAATTTTTTTTGTATTTTTAGTAGAGATAGGGTTTCACTGTGTTAGCCAGGATGGTCTCGATCTCATGACCTTGTGATCCGCCTGCCTCGGCCTCCCAAAGTGCTGGGATTACAGGCGTGAGCCACTGTGCCCGGCCCTAATCCATTTTTCTATAGATGGCTATTTTTAGGGCAGTACACAGTTTTGCAACTTACATTATAGCTTTGTATTAAGTTTTGAAATCAGGAAATGTGGTTCCTCAAAATTCTTTGGGCTCTTCAAGGTCCTTTGAAATTCTATGTCAATTTTAGAATGGGTTTTTCCATTTCTGCAGAAAAAGGTCATTGGATTTTGATATGATTGCAGTGAATCTATAAATTGATTTGGAGAATATTGCCATTTTAACATCATTAAATCTTCTGATCTGTGACTACAGGATGTCTTTCTGTTTATTTAGTTGTTCTTTAATTTTTGCTTTCAGCAGTTTTTTGTGGTTTTAAGTGTGTAAGTCTTACAACATTTTGGTTACATTTCTTCTCAAGTATTTTATTCTTTTTGATGCTTTGGTAAACATGGGACTTTTGTTTGTTTGTTTGTTTTTTTGAGACGGAGTCTCACTCTGTCGCCCAGGCTGGAGTGCAGTGGCACAATCTCAGCTCACTGCAAGCTCCGCCTCCTGGGTTCAACGCCATTCTCCTGCCTCAGCCTCCGAAGTAGCTGGGACTACAGGCGCCCGCCACCGCGCCCAGCTAATTTTTTTTTTTTTTGTATTTTTAGTAGAGACAGGGTTTCACCGTGGTCTCGATCTCCTGACCTTGTGATCCGCCCGCCTTAGCCTCCCAAAGTGCTGGGATTACAGGCATGAGCCACCGCACCTGGCGGGACTTTCTTAATTTCCTGTTTGGATTGTTCATTGCTAGCTTGAAATACAGCTGATTTTTGTGTATTGCTTATATGCTGCAACTTGGCTGGATTCACTTATTAGCTCTAATAATTCATTTTTCTGTGTATTCTCTAAGATTTTCTATATATAGGATTCTGTCACCTGCAACTAGAGATAATTTTACTTCTTCCTTTCCTATTTGAATGCGTTATATTTATTTTTCTTGCCTGGCTGCTCTGCTAGGATTCGCGGTACAGTGTTGACGAAGAATGGCAAGGATAGGCATTCTTGTCTTGTTCCTGGTTAAGGGGGAAGAGACTTTTTTTAAACATGTATGTTGCGTTATATGTACTGATATATTTCTGTAACTGTACAAAACTCACTTCTGCATAATGGAATTTCTTAAAGATTGGAAATATTTTTGCATATGAATAGTAGTTGACTTTGTGTGATGAGTTTGAATGAGTTTGAATAGTCTACTTTTTCTTTATTTTGAACTTTTTCAATAACGAAGATATATTTTTAAGCTTGAAAGTGACTATATTAAAAGAAGAAAAAGAGGAATACTGTTGAACAACAAACTGTAATCTGCCAATAAGTTCATAAATTGCCTTTGAGGAGGCCTCATAAAAATGCCTATTGAAGTGGTAATTTTTGTTAGCCAGAATAAATTTAAATGGAAATAATTTTCTCCAAATCATACATAGAAATGCAAGAAACCAAGATAGCCACAGAAATATAAATTAAAAATACTAAACCTTAAAAACACCAAAATACTTTTATCACGTAATTACATGCTGCCTTGGATTCCGTTACTACTCATGGTGTGTCCCTGTCTCAATTGATTTTATCTGACCTGCGCCGTCAGTACTTTTTAAAAGAGACAGGGTCTTGCTCTGTTACCCAGGCTGAAGTGCAGTGATATGATCATAGCTTGCTGCAGTCTCAAACTCCCAGGTTCAAACAACCCTCCTGCCTCAGACTCCCAAGCAGTTAGGACTACAGGCATGCACCACCACCCCTGGCTATTTGTTTTTAAATTTTTTGTAGAGATGGGTCTCACTGTGTTGCCCAGGTTAGTCTTGCACTATTGACCTCAAGTGATCCTCTCACCTTGGCCTCCCAAAGCACTGGGATTACCATTCCTGGCTCAATACATTTTTAAACTATAGGTATTCTTTTTGTTCTAGCCTATGATATGGTTGTTAATGGTTATAATTAACATAGTTCAATGTCCTATAATTAGACTTGAACTTTTTTGAGGGCTAGGTTGTGGGGCAGAGTTGAGAGCTGTAGTTAGAAGGCTCCAAATAAATAGTTTTTAAATTTGGGTTTCCTCAGGTCAACTGACATTAGCTAACTGTGTGATTGCAAGAAATGATCTTGTATCTAGGGTAAAAAACAAAAGAGCACATCTGCAGATACACATTATGAATCAGGAAAAACATGATTTGGAACGTGTGCATTGGAACCAAGTTTTAGTATGTCAGTTTTAGGAACTAAGTAAAGGGTTCTTCATAATACTTCTTCTGTACCATCCGTGTTTGAAAACGAAGTACAAAAACTTTACCTTGCAAGGTCAGTGCTGAAGATAATGTGTTAATAAGAACAGGAGCTTTAGCTTGAATTCTAGTGTTTTAACAACTATCTCTAAGGTACTGAGAGGTTAAACATGGTTTATAATATTGTAAGGGCAAAAATTAAGGGTAAACTGTATTTCTTACAATAATTTTTTAAGAACTCATGTTTTCTTTTTATCAACATGTATATTTTCTTTTTTTTTTCTTGTAGTACCTGTTTGAAAATGGTAGAATAGATAACATTTTTACTGAGCCCTATTCCAGATTTATGATTGAACTTACCAAACTCTTGAAAATATGGGAACCTACAATACTTCCTAATGGTAGGGTGATTTTTTTTTTATTGTTTTCATGATATGCTTTCTTAAATTGCTTAACTTTTTTGGTTATCTTTAAAAAAATTGTTCATTTTTATTTCTGTCCAGATTTATACCATATTTGGACTTCTGAGGAGACGGTCTTTGGTTTATTGTTGATTGTTTTAGGAAAACTGTACAAGTCATATAGCACATGTATAGATACTGATTGCAGAAAATATAAACTAATTTGAAGTTACATTTACCTTTTTAGAAACCATTTTTGATCTGGTAGCATTGGTGTAGCTTTCACATATCATATCTGCTAACAGTGGACCTTTTTTGGTAGTTTGTATGTATACTGAACTGTTGTTAAGAGAGTTAAGTCCTCGTCCTTGAATTATCTTTGACCAGATGTCATCAGACAAGTCCATAATTCACTCCAGGTCTCAGGCTGAGGTGAATGAAGAGGTTCAATGTTATGCTTAGTAATATATGCACCTTTCTGTTGGGCTGCAGAGCACCTTTAACAGTAAGCTTAATGATCTCCAACAGGAGTTTGCAAACTATGGTCCATGGGCCAAATCTGGCCTGCTCCCTGTTTTGCAATCTATGAGCTAAAAATTGTTTTTACATTTTTAAATAGTTGGGGAAATTTTTTTAAGAATTCCTATTTCATCATGTGAAAATTATATTAAATTCATGGCTGGGTGTGGTGGCTCACACCTGTGGTCCCAGGTGTGACTTTGGAAGGCTGAGGCAGGAGGATCACTTGAGCCCAGGAGTTCAAGATCAGCCTGGGCAACAAGGTGAAACTCTGTCTCTACAAAAAATAAAAAAAATTAGCTGGGCATGGTGGTGGTGCCTTGTAGTCCCAGCTACTCAGGAGGATGAGGTGGGAGAAGCACCTGAGCCCAGGAGTTTGAGGCTGCAGTGAGCCCTGATCGTGCCACTGCACTCCAGCCTGGGTGACAGAGTAAGACCCTGTCTCAAAAAAAAGAAAAGAAAATTATATGACTATAAATAAATTTTACTGGCATATAGCTCTGCCTGTTTATGTGTTCTCTACAGCTCCTTAGTTTCTACAGCAACAGCGTTGTTCAGAGCCTATATGGCCTACACATCCCAAAATATTTACTTTCTGGCCCTTTATAAAGACAGCTTAACCCCTAATCTAAAATATCAATAGATTAAAACGGTTTCAGGAGACTCCACGAACGGTGTCTACTTGAGTGGAATCATCTGCCTTTTTCTTTGTGGTGCGTTTTCTGGTTTTCTGCATAAGGAAGAGGGGAAAGAGGAATAGTCAGTTTTTCTCTTTATATCTCCCTGTCTTAGAATTTGAGAGATTACTTAGTCTACTTTAGCAGGAGCTCAGTACTGTTTCTTGTACCCCTTCTTCTGTCTAGGTTACATGTTCTCTCGCATTGAGGAAGAGCATTTGTGGGAGTGCAAACAGCTGGGCGCTTACTCACCAATCGTCCTTTTAAACACCCTCCTTTTCTTCAATACCAAATACTTCCAACTAAAGAATGTTACTGAGCACTTGAAGCTTTCCTTTGCCCATGTGATGAGACGGACCAGGACTCTGAAGTACAGTACCAAGATGACATATCTGAGGTTCTTCCCACCTTTACAGAAGCAGGAGTCAGAACCAGGTACGGGATACTGTTTGTCAGATTTCTCTTTGAAGTCTTAGTAGTAGTACTAAAATAGAGAGTTACTGCAGAAAGGTAATTATAAATGCTAGACGTGAAAGAGTGTACCTTTAACATTTGAATATTTTTCTCTATTGTCAGAGAGTGGTCAAAGGCTGGCCTCAAAGTGAGAGGAATCACGTGCTTCAATATACTTTCATTGGCTTTTAAATTAGAAATTTTGATTTAATTGGGCAGAGCTCAAATAGCCTGCATTTTAAAACTTCTCAGGAAATTAAAAAATACAAACAGGGTTGAGAATCACTAATTTACTAGCCCCAGATGAGTCAATCACTAGTTAAACGAAACCTGCAGAACTTTTAGTCCATTGTTTCTAAATCTTTTTTTGACCAGAGCCCCTCTTTTTAGTTAACATTGTGAAATTCTGAAGGAACTTAAAAGCTGACCTACAATATACTGCTTTTGTACACAATAGAATAATAGCAGTGACAATTTTATTAGAAGGTTTATTGTCTTGCATTTCAAAAACAGCCTATTAAATAAGTTTGTTTTTAATGTTCAGAAACTTAATCTTGGTATTATAGGATTAGAAATTAAATTTATTATTTTTTGAATAGAATCATAAGTCCTGAACTTCCCAAAATCAGTTTCTGAGAGTGAAATACATTTTTTGAATGTGAGAATTTAAATCACTGAAACTAAAATCTGTATTTGTGATGTTCAACTTTGTATAAACTTTTTTCTGAATTGTTCATTTACTAAGATTATCTTTTTCACCTAATGTCTGTGTCCTGTTTGCTTAGTTTTATATATATGTAACCCACTTTGTGCTCTCAATTGATTTTTATTTATTTATTTATTTATTTTGAGATGAAGTCTCACTCTGTCACCCAGGTTGGAGTGCAGTGGTGTGATCTCAGCTCACTGCAGACTTCGCCTCCCAGGTTCAAGCAATTCTCCTGCCTCAGCCTCCCAAGTAGCTGGGACTACAGGCATGTGCTACCACGCCTGGCTAATTTTTGTATTTTTAATAGAGACGGGGTTTCACCATATTGGGCAAGCTGGTCTCGAACTCCTGACCTCAGGTGATCCACCCGCCTCGGCCTCTCAAAGTGCTGGGATTACAGGCGTGAGCCACCATGCCTGGCCTCAGTTGGTATTAACTGGGGGAGGGAAAGGCAGGTGGATAATGTTTCCCTGTTTGCTGATTGGGTGCTTGACATGATTAGTAGTGAATTCAGCTTGCTTTCTAAGTGAGTAACTAGCAAAGTCTTTCTATTTAGCTAGCTGCTAAATGGAAAATGGGTGAGTTTTGTTAAAGTAATAATGCAGGAAGCTGGGGAAAGTCCTATACCGGTTGTTAAGAGCAGATATAGGCTGAGTGCAATGGCTCATGCTTGTAATCCCAATATTTTGGGAGGCTCATGCGGGAGGATTGCTTGACCCCAGGAGTTTGAGGCTGTAGTGAGCTGTGATGGAGTCACTGCACTCTAGCCTGGGCAACAGAGTGAGACCCTGTCTCCCAAAAAAAAAAAAAAAAGAAAGAAAACCTTTTTTCCTTAGGTCCATCTAGTGTTCTCTTGAGGAGTGAATGGAAAAAGTGGGAAAGAAATAGCCCACTTTCCGTATCTTCACCCTGACTTCCTTATATAATGCTTGGCCTCTGCAAAATACTGTTGGGGAAAAATGGTTTGTTCTTTTCTTACCAAATAGTAACTCTGCTGATAATTTCTCTTCCCAACAAAGATGCCATTTCTCACAATATTCGAACAAATAAACTTGAGCAGATGCCCAGTACTAGTGCCCCACAGTAGAAATATTCTCATAGAGATGACAGCTTCTGCTGAGTTCAGTGGCTTGTACCTGTAGTCCCAGCTACTCCAAAGGCTGTGGCAAGAGGATCACTTGAACCCAGGAGTTCAAGGCTGCGGAGATTCAAGGCTGCTGTGATCACACCATCATGCTCCAGGCTGGGCAACAGAGTGAGACCCTGTCTCTTAAAAGAGAGATGGCGACCGGGCACGGTGGTTCATGCCTGTAATCCCAGCACTTTGGGAGGCCGAGGTGGGCTGATCACCTGAGGTCAGGAGTTCGAGACCAGACTGGCCAACATGGTGAAAACCTGTCTCTACTAAAAATACAAAAAAATTAGCTGGGCATGGTGGCAGGCGCCTGTAATCCCAGCTACTTGGGAGGCTGAGGCAGGAGAATCCTTGAACCTGGGTGGAGGCTGCAGTGAGCGGAGATTTCGCCGTTGCACTCCGTCCTGGGCAAGAAGAGCAAAGTTCCGTCTCAAAAAAAAAAAAAGAGATGGCAACTTCTGTCTTGATCTCTACTGTAGGAGAAAAACATGTGGAACCCTTCTTTCTGCTTTATCTTGATATGTCTCAGGAACCCTGTGCCTAATGAAGTTTATTAATAAAGTCAGGCTCAGAATAGAGACGTTTTCCAGTGCCAGTGCCATACTTTTTGTCATGGTGCCCCCACTTTGGTGAGCAGGGGAGCATAAAATTCATGGGATAGGGACTTTGTTTAATGCCATAGAATCCAGCACTTAAAATAATGTCTGGCACCTTCATAGGCACTCAGTATTTGTTGAATGAGTGTGAGTGAGTGAAAGGGAGGAAATGACAAAGTTCTGGCTGCGAAGCAAAGCTCATTGGTGTCTTGAGACTCAAAGAATAGACTTTTCTAATATAATCCTTTGATTATTATTTCCTGTCTCAAGATAAACTGACTGTTGGCAAGAGGAAACGAAATGAAGATGATGAGGTTCCAGTGGGGGTGGAGATGGCAGAGAATACTGACAATCCACTAAGATGCCCAGTCCGACTTTATGAGTTTTACCTGTCAAAATGGTAATCTTTCTCTGAACTGAATGTAGTGCACTCAGAAGGCAGTTAACATATTTTGGATTTCAGATGCTTGAACATCAGAAAAGTAGCTTGCCCGTGGCTTTAGACAAGGATTTACCATGAATTTTTTCCCCATTGTCATATCTATGTGGATTTTGAACCACAAAACAAATTACCTTGTCTTCATAATTATTTTATGAAAATGTCTTCAAAAGCAAGAATCACTGCTATTGTTTGATCTTTACAACTGTTGTACAACCTTTATGTGATACCTAATCTGTAGTTATTTTGTTATTTGTATAGAAAAGAAATTTTGTTTTGCTAAAGCTATAATAGAAAAACAATTTTTAAGGAATTGAAATTTTCTAAGTAGTCCTTTTCTTAGAGGAACTTTATGATTTTAGAGTTGTAACACTTTTTTTTCTGAAAGAAATGTAATAGCTTCATTTGCCCTTTGATAATGTGTATTGAGTGCCCTTGGAGTTCATTCCAGGATATTGGGCACTTCCAATATGTGGTGCTTGGCCATAGTGTCACATGTGAGTTGACTTTTTTGTTGCTCTTAATAATGTTTGAAGTACTAAAGTTTATGATTTACACTTTGTCTTATATTAACTTTATACTCACTTCCAATCCATTGTGATTTCAGTTGATTCCTGGGAGGAAATATTCCTGTAAACTATTTATCTCTGTGGGTACCTTGCTTTCCCCATTGTGAGTCACAGTGGAGAAAGGTTGAGAGCCATATTAGGTTGGTGCAAAAATAATTGCAGTTTTTGCCCTTACTTTTAATTACTTTTAATGGCAAAAACCTCAGTTTACTTAAGAATAGTACATATTTCCTATACTCTCTGATTTCTAATTTTCTTTTTTCTCTTTTTTTTTTTCCCCTGTGGATAGTTCTGAAAGTGTGAAGCAAAGGAATGATGTGTTTTACCTTCAACCTGAGCGCTCCTGTGTCCCGAATAGCCCCATGTGGTACTCCACATTCCCGATAGACCCTGGAACCCTGGACACCATGTTAACACGTATTCTCATGGTGAGGGAGGTACATGAAGAACTTGCCAAAGCCAAATCTGAAGACTCTGATGTTGAATTATCAGATTAAAACGGAAGTGAGGTTCTTATTTTCATACATATTGGTATGCACCAAACTGTGAATGCATCCAGCTGTTGGAAAATGATGTATAAGTCTAAGTCCTCTTGACTTGACCATAAGATCATGGAAAACAGATGACTTGTGAACCCCACAGTGTGGATGTGCAAATGAAAATTGAAGGAAAGAATATGAACTGAGAAATGTTCTTTGGCAGTGATATAGTTCTTAGACATCTTCAGAATGACTAATTTCTCCGAGTGGTGCATAATCTTATTTTGTTTGGGAGTAACAAATCGTGGAATATTTTTAAGGAAAACTGTTGTATAAAACTTTACCATAGTAACCTTAGACCTTAGAGAGGTAGCTTTGGAGTGAAACTTTGGCTGCAATAGGCTACTTTGGCAAGCCCTCCGTAAAAGTCAGAGGAGAGATCAGTACAGAGCTAAGAGTGACATCAAATGAGGACTGTGGGACCCAGATTTGAAGACCCAATAAAAATACTCAACTTTTTAAAAAAGATAGTGAAGTGGTCTTGATTGATTTTGATTTTCACTGCCAAGCCAATCATGTGAAGGACAGAAGCTTTTGCCATGGGCCCCTCACATCAGGGAAAATGACCTTCACTGCTGTTAACAGTAATGTGTCCCTTTCATTTTCTGGATCAAGCCTTCTCAGCGGTGGGTCTGGATGTGGGTAAACTAAGGTAAAGGGGATGATATTCCACAAACTAATTATGCACACAGAAAATCTGTGGAGCCTATCAGACCCCAAGTGTCTTGAAATGTTTGTAGAAACCCACTAAAATGCCCCTTCTCTGGGTGTGGGCCCTTATTGCAGCTGTCTCACAGCCTGAGCTGTGGTACAGAGAAATGGGGGTTCTCCTTTTATTTTCATTTTTTTTCCCCAATGGCAGCTTTTCTCCCGTTGTTTTACCTTCCTATTTCCCAAACAGTTCCTCTTATTTTGTCTTTTGCACCAGTTTCTGGAGGCCCTTGTCATTTCAAAAAGGATAGTCTCTTTTCTTACTCTGGCAAACCTGTGAGTGATTCCACAAAGATACAGTATTACTTAGCTATCTGAATTATGATAGAAAAGGTCCTAGTTAGGTTCCTATATAAAGCATTTGGAAGATGACCTTGTTGCCCTTGAAACTTGAAAATAGGGATTCTGGGGTGAGGATACAAAGACATTGTCTTGCATATCCATAAGCAGGTCTTAGAGCATTATTCCAAACTCTAGCTGTTTCAGTAGTTCTATGAGGATTGCAAGTCATAGGTGTGTGTGGCATATCAGTCCATCTCCCTCATCTCCATTCTCAGTTTCTTCCCCACAAAATTTGGAATCAAAGCTTTTATGACGTTTGCCAATTGCAGAACTTCTTCAGCTAAGGTTAATTTGACGCTATGATAAAACTGAGAGATGTCAAAAAGCCTCTTAGAAATTTTAATCTTGAAAGACTTTTCAGGGTATCTCATTTTTTAGGTGGGGGTGGCAGGTGTATTTCTTTTTTAACAAATAAAAGGCATTTAAGTAAAACTAAAATGAAAAAAGTAGGCCTTCTGACATTGTGTACTTGGTGGTTCTGTCCCTCTGCCTGTAACAAATCTCATTTTTGTTACCAAGAACTGTATGAAAGAAGTAAATCCACCCCGATTCTGTATGATTAATTCCATCTGTGTTTGTCATTTCTGACTGGAAAACTTCTTACTCCATACCTTGTTCGATATGGAGGACAAATAATTGGATTGTCTGATAAGTCTGCCAATAAACTATCCAGAAATAGCAAGTGTAATAGTCCCCACTATACGAATTTTATGGTTTGTATAAACACTAACATTTTCCCCTTCTGTAGTTGTATGAAAAAACAAATATTGTTAGCATAGTAGATAAATTGTTATGAAATACCAGAAAAAAAAATCTGTATCTTTTACTGAGAACACCCAATACCCAGATAAATGACTGTATCAGGATTTCATTTGCATGTTAGTCCACAGAGTTGCCCAGAACCCTAAATTTATTCATAAGAGAAAATATTGATTAATTATTGGTCATTCCTCATAAGTGTAGCTGTTGATGTGTGCGTCTGATTATTGCTTTTTTAATTTTATGAAAATTGTGTAAAATTACATTTTTTTTCCAGGGGAGAAAAAAACATCAAACAAAAACATCTAAATCATCCTTTTTGTTCTTTTTCAGTTTTTAACCACTTTTAGGTTTTCCCCTTACAGAAACCACAGAAATATTCCCTTAGAATAAAATAGTATATTTGTATTTGATGGGTGAGTTCTTCTTCTTTACGTCTTAAAAGAATTTGAAATCTCTTTTTCTGATTGACCTTATTGGTATGACCCAGCAATTAGTAAAATTACAAAGAAAGAGAGCAGTTTCCGAGAAAGAAATTTTTTTTATGTAGTCCAGTCAACATATTTTTTCATTGCAAGTTCTTTTATTTCCTTTTTTCCATCAAAAGACTTGTTCCCATTTTTAGCTAATTTACTGACTATATTCAAAGTCCCAACAGGTAGAAATATCAGAGATCATTTATACATATCATTTCAGGCAAACTTTTTTGAGATTTACAAAGCCTACATCAGTTCAACTTTAATGAAATTGTAAGACTAGAATAAAGGATATGTTCATTCTTAAGTATAAATACATGTTTAAAACAGGAATGTAAGACTAAATAGCATTTTCCTTCGACTTCAGAGTTGTCTTGGTATTATGCAGCTGTACTTTCAAATTCCGTATCGACTTTCTACCTACCTGCCTTGTGGCAATCCTAAATTTATAAAACAGGTTTTCCCAAAAGATCTAATGTAAAATGAATTTCTATTAATGAATTCAGAATTTAATTTTCCAAAGAAGTCTCCTAGGGTATTGAGTTGAAGTTTTAGGAAAGAAGCAATCATACCCTGAACTCCTCTAGACTAGCACTTGTCTGTTACACTGTGCTATCATCATTGAAGAGAATAGTGATTGAGAGGCAATGCTATGTAGTGGAGAGATCATAGGCGTCGAAGCCTAGTGTTTCTACTTACTGGTTGTATAACTTTAGGTAAATTACTTAACCTCAGGCCAGGCACGGTGGCTCACACTTGTAATCCCAGCACTTTGGGAGGTCGAGGCAGGAGGATCATGAGGTCAGGAGATCGAGACCATCCTAGCTAACATGGTGAAACCCTGTCTCTACTAAAAATACAAAAGTTAGCCGGGCGTGGTGGCGGGCGCCTGTAGTCCCAGCTACTCGGGAGGCTGAGGCAGGAGAATGGCGTGAACCCGGGAGGCGGAGCTTACAGTGAGCCGAGATCGTGCCACTGCACTCCAGCCTGGGCAACAGAGCGAGACTCCGTCTCAAAAAAATAAATAAAAAAATAAGTAAATAAAAATTAACCTCTCTGTGCCTCAGTTTTGTTATCTATAAAGTGGGTATAACTCCCTTATTAAGTTGTGCCTGGCACATGGTAGGCTTTCAAATGTCAGATATTTTTTATTACATGCAAATTTCCTGGCCTGTACTAACACATTAAATAAATGTTAATTCCCACACTACAGTCTGAATTTTTACTAAGTATAGCACTTTGGCTTCTGCAAAACATAATACTCTATTTATATAACCAATTCTACATATTTGAATCAAACAAAATTACAAATTCTTCACTTGTGCTTATGTGCATATCAATAGTAATCAACATCACAAGAATCCATTGATATTTTCACTATATTGAAAAATGGGGCTGGGCACGATGGCTCGTGCCTGTGATCCCAGCACTTCGGGAGGCCAAGATGGACAGATCACTTGAGGTCAGGAGCTCGAGACCAGCCTGGCCAACATGGTGAAACCCCATCTCTACTAAAAGTACAAAAATTAGCTGGGCGTGGTGGCAGGTGCCTATAATCCCAGCTGCTTCAGAGGCTGATGCAGGAAAATCACCTGAACCTGGGAGGCGGAGGTTGCAGTGAGCCGAGATCAGGCCACTACACTGTCCAGCCAGGGCAACAGAGTAAGACTGTCTCAAAAAAAAAGAAAAAAGAAAGAAATGGGCATGTATATCAGTATATATAGGAACAGCATATGATAGAGTTTATTAGTTTTTTTCTTTATATTTCTTTTTGTTTGTTTTGAGACACAGTCTCACTGTTGCTCAGGCTGGAGTGCAGCGGTGCGATCTTGGCTCACTACAACTTCCGCCTCCTGGGTTCTAGTGATTCTTCTGCCTCAGCCTCCTAAGTAGCTGGGATTACAGGTGTATGCCACCACACCTGGCTAATTTTTGTATTTTTAGTAGAGACGGGGTTTTGCCATGTTGGCCAGGCTGTTCTCAAACTCCTGACCTCAAGTGATCTGCCCACCTCAGCCTCCCAAGTGTTGGGATTACAGGTGTGAACCACCACGCCTGGCTAATATTTCTTTTTTTCTTTGAGATGGAGTCTCGCTCTGTTGCCTAGGCTGGAGTGCAGTGGCTCGATCTTGGTTCACTGCAACCTCTGCCTCCTGGGTTCAAGTGATTCTCCTGCCTCAGCCTCCTGAGTAGCTGGGACTACAGGTGCACGCCACCATGCCTGGCTAATTTTTGTATTTGATGGGGTTTCACTATGTTGGGCAGGCTGGTCTCGAACTCCTGACCTCAGGTGATCTGCTGCCTGCCTTGGCCTCCCAAAGTGCTGGGATTACAGGCATGAGCCACTACATCTGGCCTATTTATATTTCTTTGCATATGAATGCCAGGTCATAAATTTATTTTTTAATTGGGAGAAAAACCTTAAATCTATGAAACTTCTTTTACTTGGTAGGTTATATATGTCATCAGTTTAGGAACAAGACAACGGTACAACAGCAATCTCCCCACGCTTCACTTCATTAACAGAACTGCTCCTTCCCCAAAAGTTTTAGCTAGGCAGTGGCTCCCTTGGTAAAAAAGTGTATTTTCCAGGCTAACTTGTAGTTAGGAGTGACCATGGGACGAAGTTTTGACCAATGGCATGGAAGCAGATGTGAGTTTACATCTCCCAGGCTACACTCCTAAAAGGAAAATGCATGCTCCTCTCTTGTCTTCCCTTTTTCCTCTGATCTGGAGCATGAACGTGGTCATGGCAAACCAGTTTTGTCCATGTGGGAAAGGGCAGCATACCAGAAGTACATTAACCTCATGGACAGAGCCACCTGTCTCTCCTGGTCTGCCTACTAGCTCAGACCTTCACATAAGAGAGGAACTTTCATCTTATTTAAAGCCTTTTTTTTTCCTCTTCATTAAAGTAGCCAAACCAGTATCCTAACGAATACACCGGTAATGCCCACTGTCACATTACCACTAAACGGAACTGGAACTTCTCATCACAACAAAAAAGGTTATCAATATTGCAAGGTGAGAAAACACATTTGTTGTTGTTGTGTTTTGTTTTTGTTTTTTTGTTTTGTTTTGAGATGGAGTTTCGCTCTTGTTGCCCAGGCTGGAGTGCAGCGGCGCGATCTCCGCTCACTGCAACCTCCATCTCTCAGGTTCAAGCGATTCTCCTGCCTCAGCCTTTCAAGTAGCTGGGACTACAGGCATGTGCCACCACGCCTGGCTAATTTTGTATGTTTAGTAGAGGCGGGTTTAACCATGTCGGCCAGGCTGGTCTCAAACTCCTGACCTCAGGTAATCCTCCTGCCTCAGCCTCCCAAAGTGCTGGGATTACAGGCGCGAGCCACCACACCCCGCCAACAAACTCTTAAATAAGTTTGGCCGGCCACGGTGGCTCACACCTGTAATCCCAGCACATTGGGAGACCGAGGCAGGCGGATCACGAGGTCAAGAGTTTGAGACCAGCCTGACCAACATGGTGAAACTCCATCTTAACTAAAAATACAAAAATTAGCTGGGCGTGGTGGCAGGCGCCTGTAGTCCCAGCTACTCGGGGAGGCTGAGGCAGGAGAATGGTGTGAACCCAGGAGGTGGAGCTTGCAGTGAGGCGAGATTGTGCCACTGCACTCCAGCCTGGGAGACAGAGCGAGACTCTGTCTCAAAGAAAAAAAAAAACAAAACTATTAGCTAGCCAACCTAATTCGTGTGTGTGTGTGTGTGTGTGTGTGTGTGTGTGTGTTTCACACAAATGAAATCTTAAATTTTATTTATCTCTTGATTCTGGTGTTTTGTTTTGTCCCCTAAGGGGAGGTCTTTGCCATTTTTATTTACTTAATGCCCATTGGTCTACTCAAGTTTTTAATGTCTTGCCAATTTGCATTTTAACTTCCTCATTTTCATCTATATGTTCAGGTTTATAACATATAGTTCATAATTATTTCCTTTTTAAATTTTGTATTGTGTTTGCATCTTCTCATTTTCCCGGTCATTCTTAACCTTTTCAAAGAACCAGCATTTGGCTGAGTCTTATTTCATGTATTTCTAATTTTATTAATACTTTCCTTCTCTTTTCTTGTTTTTTTTTTCCAGTTGTTCATTCTTTAAATGATTGAATGATTGCTTCATTCATTGTTAATCTTTCTTGTTTCCTGAAAATGATTTAAAATCTACAACTTTTTCCTCTCAGTACTGCTTTAGGTGTGTTTCCCGATTCAGGCACAATGATGCGGTCATCAGCCTAAAAGTGTTTCCCATTTCCCTTTTTAACCCAAGTGTTTGTCCACCCTCCCTTGCCTGCTAGCAGCCTTGTCAGTTTTCAGGCTGTGTTTGAGGGATACTAATACTCCTCCTATTTACATTGTTTGTTTCATTGTTCTTTCTTATCTGTGTATCCCACCTTTTTTCCTTTTTGCATTGAATTGTTTTATCAGATACTGTAAATATTGCTCCCCCAGTTTCTCTTGGTTAATATTTGCCTGTTTTTCCCCCATCTTTTTTGTCCTATAATTGTTAGATTGTTTAAAAATGTTTATATTGAGAGTCTTTGTTATTTTTTATTCATTTATATATGTCATTATAGACTCTTAGGTTCCTATCTTATTCAGTAGGTTGTATTCTGATGCTCATTTATTTTGATACTCAAATTGTCATATATTTGACCAACGGAAGCCCCTTCTAGCTGGCTTTTATGTCCTTCTGACATGTTCCTGTCCGTTTTTCAGCATTTCTTAAGATATTCCAGGATTTTGTGGTACTCTTTTGGAATCAGTCATCTCTCTATAGAGCCATAAGACCTTAGCACTTGGCGTGCTCACTGCTACTAAGGTAAAATTGCTTCTATGCCCTCTCAGTGGGTAGAGCAACCAATCAATAACCACATATTCATATAACTATACACATCTATATCCATGTGTGTGTGTGTATGTAGTTTGTTTCTTTAAACCTGTGAGTTGATTCCAGTTTTTCCAATTTCAGTTCAACACCTCAGGATTCTTTGCAGCCTTCTCTCCCTTTCCACATTCATAATCCTTTCTCAAAAAGTGTGAAACCTGGCTCCCATTATCCTCAGTATATGTACTTATTTTCTCAATGAGGAACTTGTTTGCACAGTGTAATTAACCTCCCAACCATTCCAGCCACCCACTGCCCCTCTTACCCTGCTGCTAGGTGGTGGCTGCCTTACCAGGAGACCCCCTCACCACGTGCACATGTGTCCATGGTTTGAGGAGGCCTTCACCTCCTCAGAGGCCACTGTCTCCATGCAGGGAGGGCAGTGGAGACTGGAAGGAAGAGGCCAGAGTCTGGTGTTAAGTTCATATGTAAACACCTTAAACTTAATTACGGCTAATAGAACTTATTTCTGCTGTTTAGTTTTGTGGGTTTTTTTTTTTTTTCACAATTTCTGTTTACTGAACTTTTCGGTTTATCCCCTTGCTTCCCACTGAGTAACAAATTTTCTTCTACTTGTTTAAGAAAGTAATACTTTCTACTTTTATTGATATTACTTTTTTTTTAATTTGAGACAAGAGTCTCGCTCTGTCCACCAGGCTGGAGTGCAATGGTGCGGTCTCAGCTCACTGCAACCTCCGCCTCCCGGGTTCAAACGATTCTCTTGCCTCAGCCTGCCAAGTAGCTGGGACTACAGGCGCATGCCACCATGCCCGGATAATTTTTGTATTTTTAGTAGAGACGGGGTTTCACCATATTGGTCACACTGGTCTCAAACTCCTGACATCGTGACCCACCTGCCTCATCCTTTCAAAGTGCTGGGATTACAAGCCTGAGCCACTGCGCCAGGCCAAAATGCAAAGCTAGTCAAGCGTGGTTGTGGGGGGAGACAATGGTAAATCAGCTTAACAATAACCCACAACACTCAGACCAACATATTACTCTTAATACTAATCATGTTTGTTTACCCCTGTTGGTTTCTTTAACTTACCATCTAAATCTTCTCCTAGTAAGACTTTGTTAGACTTTTATGTTCCTTTGGTCTTGCCCACTCTTACTTACTATGTAAATTATTTTATTATATACTTACAGGTTTTTTTTCCTTTTTGTTAGTCCTGTTTCAGACTACAAACTTTGCCAGCGTATTTGCTCACCATCACTTCCCATCTCTCTTCCCATGTCTAGATTAATTTTTCTATATTTGACCACTTCTTGCAAGAATATGTTCTAAATGGGCCCTTTTGTGAAAAAGTTACTGAAGCCTTGTGTCCCTGAGAATTTTTTTTTTTTGAGACAAGGTGTTGCTCTGTCACCTAGGCTGGAGCTCAGTGGCATAATCATGGCTCACTGCAGCCTCTATAACTCCTGGGCTCAAGCAGTCCTCCTGCCTCAGCCTCTGGAGTAGCTGGGACTACAGGCGTGTGCTACCATGTGGAGTTAATTTTCAAAATGTTTATTTTGTAGAGATGGGGTCTCGCTATATTGACCAGGTTGGTTTCGAACTCCTGGCCTCAAGCAATCCTCTTGCCTCGGCCTCCCAAAGTGCTGTGATTACAGGCGTCACACACCTTGCCCGGCCGCCTGAGAATATTTTTTTATTACACTCAAGTTAGTGAGTTTGTCTTACTATACATTTTGGGGTCAAAGTTCTCTCCTTTAGCACTTCCTTTCTTTTTTCATCTGATACTGTTAAAAAGCCTGATGTCCATCTGATTTGATCTGTTATTTCTCTGAGAGCTTTCAGAATTTCTGCTTTTCTTATTGGTCTTAAATGTCTTTCACTACAATGTTTCTGTTTGTACAGTTTTCTTACTAATTATTCTATGAGTCCTTTGATCTTTCTTTAATTCTGGGAAATGTATTCTCATTATTTTTCCAAATATTTTCTCCATTTTTTTTTCTCTTTCCTTCTGCGACTCCCATTATTCAGATTTGGCACTTCTGCTCTGTCCCTGGACTGCTCTGTATGTGTGTGGGGGGGTGTTCCCACGTTTTTATTTTCCTGCTTTGTTTTGGCAGAGGCCCTCAGTATGATGCCCCACCTCATGGATTTGTTGTGAGATATATCTGTCCTATCCCATTTGTTAATTTTTTCACCCTTAATATTTCTATCTGGAGCCGGGTGCGGTGGCTCACACCTGTAATCCCAGCACTGTGGGAGGCCGAAGTGGGTGGATCACCTGAGGTCAGGAGTTTGAGACCAGAATGGCCAACATGGTGAAGCCCCGTCTCTACTAAAAATACAAAAATTAGCCAGGTGTGGTGGTGGGCACCTGTAATCCCAGGTACTCAGGAGGCTGAGGCAGGAGTATCTCTTGAACCTGGGAGGCAGAGGTTGCGGTGAGCTGAGATCACACCATTGCACTCCAGCCTGGGTGACAGAGTGAGACTCCGTCTCTTAAAAAAAAAAAAAAAAAATCTGCTTGGTCCTTGTTCCTGTTTCAGATTGCCAACATTTCCCGGTTTGTTTTGAATTCTAGTTCAGTTTGCTGTCTTTGTGGGCAGGGGCTTGGGCTCCTCAGGTGGCATCTGGTTATTTTGGCCTGTGAGCTCATGTTCCTTCACAGCACCAGCTTCTCTGTAGTATTTGTTGGTGAAAGGCCAAAGCCAGGCTCTACCCTGTCCCTCCCAGTGAGTTGAAGAAGGGAAGTTCATGACCTCCAGGTCCCTCACAGTTGCTGTTGACCACTCCACCAGGAGTGTTCCAAGATTCACCTTCAGACCTGTAGGAAGCAGCACTGCGAGGAGGCACAATTTCCAGTCATCCTCTGCCAGCTCTTGAGGCTTTGGAGGGAACAAGGGCTTGGAATTTCAAACCTAAGAGCAGCTGCCCAGCCCACCCCTCTTTCTCCTCAGCAGAGCTTTGGGCTGCCCTGATAGTGTCCCACTGACATCAGTGACTTGACTGGCAGTCCCATGTCCAGCAAGAGCAGACATCTCCCTGATGCCCTACCTCCCCTCCCACTTTATCACCTGCATCTTTGGGGATTTTTTTTTTTTTTTTTTTTTTGAGACGGAGTTTCGCTCTGTTGCCCAGGCTGGAGTGCAGTGGCGCGATCTCGACTCACTGCAAGCTCCGCCTCCCGGGTTCACGCCATTCTCCTGCCTCAGCCTCCCATGTAGCTGGGACTACAGGCGCGCGCCACCATGCCCGGCTAATTTTTGTATTTTTAGTAGAGACGGGGTTTCACCGTGTTAGCCAGGATGGTCTCGATCTCCTGACCTCGTGATCCGCCCGTCTCGGCCTCCCAAAGTGCTGGGATTACAGGCGTGAGCCACCGCGCCCGGCCATCTTTGGGGATTCTTACAGGATTTGTGGGGAGTTTTCAGTTTGGTTTGATTTGTGGTAGTGGTGCCTCAGTTGATGATGTTGTTTTTCTAGGGTTGATTTTTGGGGAAGGGAACCTGTAGCATACGCTAGTTCACTGTCTTAATAGGATCCAAAGCCCCAGTGTATCTTGTCTTTTTATTTTCAGTCTATGTGATGCTTTAGTTGTCTGTCCTGTAAATAGAGATTTACAATTAAACCCAGTCTGTTAAGTTCTGTTTGGTGGTAGTGGTTTTGTCGTTAACATCCAATCTGAAAACTAATGCCTATTAAGTGGTCACATTTTTCATGCTGATTTTTTTTCCCTCCCTTCCTGCTGATGGGTTGGTTGAAATCTTTTAATTTTTTTCTTTCCTTGTCTGGTTTAGATGTTCTACATTCTAGTTCTGAATTTTCAGTGGCTTTCTCAATGTTTTTAAGATGAATGCCTGACTTTCTCAAATGAGTATTTCTACCATCGTCCTATGGAAAGACTAGGTTACAGTCATCACCCCATCCCCATCTTATATGTTACAGTTCAGTATTTTCATTCCATCTCTTTATTCTCTCCCCAAGTAGCACTCCCTGGGAACTTCCTAGGCCAGGTTCCATTGGAGGATTTGTGTGGGAGAAACCAGCAGCGACCAGATCTGCCATCTCCCTCCCCGCCTTAACTGGCGTTTTCCTTTGAGAAACCACCTCTGTCACATCCCTGGGCTGGTCAGATTGTGTCCCCCTCCTGTGCTCCTGGAACCTCTCCGCATGCCTATGTTGATGTTTGTCAGGCTCTGTGTTCATCATGGGCACACTTCAAAGGGCATCCCAGTTCCTGTGGTGGAGACTAGGGATAGGATGATGGGTAAGTTGACATTGGTGGTTTTGAAATGCTGAAGTTTATATTGCTTTCCCAAATAAGAGTATGGTATTTGGTATTTCCAAAGAGTACCATGTTTAAAAGTGCCTCGTGCTTTTAAGAGAGATAGCTTGGGATTTCTGAGATAAGATAGGAATAAAGTGGTGTGCACTGGTCGCTCCTGAAAACAGCCATGTTTATGGTTTCTGTGGTTTCTCTACTGCTGTCCCTTAATCACTGATGGAACATACAGATTATGGGTAGCAAGACAGGAACTGTTTTCATCTGACGCTATTGAAACTCGTGTGTTTGTTTTATTTCTACGTAACAGAATCAGAATGAGAAACTTCTGAGGCATTTACTCCCAGATCATGTAGCTCACGTAAGATGTTTTAATATCTGTGCTGTGTTAGAGGTAAGAGTGTTGCAAAACAGAAGTTATGGGTCTAGCCTCATGAACTTGCAAGCGGGTTGGGGACAAAAGGCTGAGTGCTGCACCGTGGCTGAAAGCATAGAAATTGTCAACAGCCCCCATATAGAGCCCCAGGTTTCAGAGGGGGAGGATTCTAGGCTCCTAGGATCCACTTGAAGACAGGGGCATTACCTGGGGAAAAGCTTCAACTGCTCCAACAGGATGGCACTTTCTCTCTTTTAATGCTTTATTTAACCAACTAATAAATGCCAAGAAAAATCATGATTGGCCTGCAATCCCAGCACTTTGGGAGGCCGGGTGGGTGAATCACCTGAGGTCAGGAGCTCAAGACCAGCCTGGCCAACATGGTGAAACCCCATCTCTACTAAAAATGCAAAAATTAGCCGGGCGTGGTGGTGCATGCCTGTAATCCCAGCTACTGGGGAGGCTGAGGTAGGAGAACTGCTTGAATACAGGAGGCGGAGCTTGCAGTTATCACGCCACTGCACTCCAGCCTGGGCAACAGAGCAAGACTCTGTCTCAAAAAAAGAAGAAAAATCATGATTGCCAGTGTTCCCAGGATTCAGCTCCCCATTTAAGAGCAAAATTCCAACTAAAATATATATATGTATATATATCCTTCAGTGGGTTGTAGCTGAGGGTAAACAAGATGGAGAAAAGAGGCCCAGAGGAAAAGGGAAGCCTCCCTTTTTTACTACAAAGCTAGTAAGTGGTCGGGTCCTGCGGTTCCTTCCCAAATCCTTTGAAGCTATTCCCGATGCACCAACCTCACCAAGGCCTTATCGCCTCCCATCCAGCTATTCTGTGCAGTCTGGCCTGTACCCAGCTCCACTGTTCTGTTGCCCGAGCTGCCAATGGCTTCCACTGTGTGCGGGCCAACTTGTTTTTCATCTGGCCACTCTCTGGAGTGCCCTCCGCTCCACAGAGCCTGTCTGCTGTGGCTGTGTTTGGGCTGCAACACTGCCCCCGACCTCCACCCGTCAACTGAGCAAACCTGTGCCCTTAGCTTGGAGGACACTCCTTGGCAGATTCGAGACCTCCCTTTACTAAACTTACTTCTTTCACCCTCACTCAGGATGGGACATGTGCTGGTTCCTATTCATGCGGCATTGACTGTGCTTCTAGGCCAGAGGTTCTAAAGGGAGGCCCAGGACCAGCGCATCAGCATCTCCTGGGAACCTGTTAGAAAGGCAAATTCTTATGTCCTCCCCCTTCCCCAGACCTACTGAATTAGAAACCCAGCAACCTGTCTGAAGAAGCCTCTCGTCTTGAGGTTGGAGACTGCTGCAGAGCGAGCAAGGCTCTGCCGGGCCTGAGTTCTCCTCTGTCACCATGTGTGTAGATTAAGTTACTTCATCTCACTATGCCTTGGCTCTCGATCTGTAAAAACAGCCACTGCTGCCCTCCTGCAGCAGGGTTTTGTGCCCAGGGCCCTGGAGGGAGCATGAGCTCAGTGGTCCTTCCGTCCTCCCTGTCTTGGGAGTGCTAGGCTGTGCACCAGCCCTCCCAAGCCACATACCCAGCAAAGTGCTCTGTGAACTAGGTACAGTCAACACATTTGGGGGCATGTGGCCAACCTCTACTATTTGGGAACACCAAAGGGAAGATGAGTGGTCAAAATTTCTAAAGCCACACCCTGGACTTTAGGACACTCTGTGTCTCCCCAGCTTGGTCACAGGTGGACATGATCATTTTTGTGTTAACAAAAGATATGGGAAGAAGGGACATCAACCCTCCTCCCTTAAAGCCAGCAGGGGTACTGGGGTGGTGCACTCCCACCCACCAGTGGCAGGCAGGGCCCAGCACCACTGCTTGCATGTGCTGATGCCAGGCCCAAAACTTCCTTGCCAGAGGACACGACCTCACAGGGCTGCCCAGGGGGTGGGAGCTGTGCACGGGTCCGAGACGTAGCGTGAAGCAGCACACCCAGCAGACAGAGTGCACAGTTAAATACCATGTTTAATCATCCCACAATGGACAGTAGTGCAGTAGTAGAAATTATAAGTGTCTCTTTAAAAAGTCACTCCCCCAAAGTTTCCATTCCCCAATACCCAGATAACCATGGTGGAACAGGGCCAGGGTGAGGGGGACTCAGGAAGTCTTGGTTCCAAGGAGATGAAAGTCTTTCCAAGTCAAATTTGCCTTGTGAGCAGCCAAGAGCCCAATGAGTTGATGCATACGCGCTCACTCTAACACGCACACATGCAAGGGACACAGAACACATACAGATGGAGGGACAGAGAGGGGACCACAGCGGGGCCATCGCACACATGCGCTCTCATGCCACAACATTCCAGTCCATCTGGGGCTATCTCCTCTGGGGACAGGGAGCGGTGGCCTAAGCCCCGAAGCAGCAGGTGCCGGTCAGATGGAGAGGAGGGAGGCCGTCTGTCCAGCCTGGCTGCTCTGACAAGGGCCCTGGCAGCGAGAGAGGCCACCCGCCATCCCTGACACAGTCAATCCTCCCTAATCTCGGGCCGGATGGGAGAAGGGAGTGGGGCTCCAGTGTTAAGGGGGGGCCAGATATCATTTCTTTTTTTTTTTTTTTTTTTTTGACGGAGTCTTGCTCTGTCACTCAGGCTGGAGTGCAGTGGCACGATCTTGGCTCACTGCAGCCTCCACCTCCCAGGTTTAAGCAATTCTCCTGCCTCAGCCTCCCGAGTAGCTGGGATTACAGGCATACGCCACCAAACCCGGCTAATTTTTTTTTTTATTTTTAGTAGAGATGGGGTTTCACCGTGTTAGCCAGGGTGGTCTTGATCTCCTGACCTCATGATCCGCCCGCCTCGGCCTCCCAAAGTGCTGGGATTACAGGCGTGAGCCACCGCGCCCGGCCATCATTTCTATGCTACCATCTCAGCATCTGTGGTGAGGGGAGGGGTGCCACTTCCTCTTTGCCCAGCGAGAGGGCGTACTCTACCCCAGAGAGGGAAACACCATGCCCACAGTGCTTGGTTTTGCACTCAGGTGTGCGGGCAGCACAGCAGGCCTCACCTTGCAGCACTCTGGGCACAATGACACTGTCCACTGGGGAGCTGCAGAGCTTAGCAGCTGGCTGGGTCTGCCCTCGGGGGAGGGGAGGAGTTTGCAAAAAAAGGAGGCCCTGAGGTGAGGATATCTGGGGGCCCACCAGACAGGTTTAAAGAGGAAACCTCTTCATTCACAGCTTCGTTGAGGGGTTCCTGGAGGACGTCTCTGGATTCAAGTCCCAGGGGTTCTGGTTGGGACTGTCAGGGCGAAATGACCAGCAGATGCTGGGACAGCAGCTGCCCGCAGACTCGGGAGGTAGGAGGACTGGCCGGGCAGTGTGCTGGGCCCTGCCCTGAGGAGACAGACCAGGTGGCTACAGGATCTCCTCCCGCGGGCTCCTGGCCTTCAGAGGGGTCTGCCCGTTGGGTACAGAGCCATTCTGACCATGCAGGAGTTTGCCCTTCTCTCGGTCTGGCCATGTAAAGATGGCATCATCGCTGTCCAGCTCTGACTCGGAGTGCATCAGGCTGCTACTTAGCAAAAGGCCTTTCTGTTTGATGCCTGCAGGGAAAACAAGGAATCCAGCATCAGGAGACTGGCCTCAAGGCTGGAGCCACCCCCACACCTTACCCCAGCCTGAGGAGCCAAGGAACAGGGCAAGTCACAGGCTCCTCTCCAGGCTGGGAGGTGCAGATGGGAAGGAAGCTTCCCTAGTCCTTCTCCCGGGCCCAACTGGTTGGAACAGTCCACTAAGGGGTGTCACAGAGTACGGATGAGAGCACACCTGGGGTCTCCTGCTGGTTCTTCATCTCCAGTATCCATGAGCTTTGGTTCAGGCCACTCAGTGACATTCTCTTTTCTTTACCTTTCAAATTTGGAATATTTTATCACCTCCCTCTATGGGTGGAATGACATGGTAGGCAGGAAAGCACAAAGAACTCAGGCTCTGGAGAATGAGCTTTTAGCTGCACCCTAGGTCAGCAAGGCCGCTGAGTGCTGGCACAGCAGGAGTGTGCAGTTTCAGTCCATGTAGACATTTGCTCTGTGGGCTCTTGTCTGCTGTGGCTTCACTGGATGCTAGGGTGGCAGAGTAGGTGCACACTTGGACAGGTCTCTCCTGCTGGGAGAGCCTGACTGAAATGGGGACTCTCAGAAGCAGTCCCAAGCAGCCAAATCACAGAACACACAAAGCAAGAACCGTATGAAGCACCTGGGGTCGAAGAAGACACCTGCGATTCTGCAAGCCATGGCAGTCCCTTCACTACTTATCCCTATAGATGCCGAGCGGCCACAGACATGAAATGTGGTCTGATAAGAAGAGTTCCAACAGCAAAGATGGCTGCCCTCTGGCTGGTGCAAAAACTCCAGAGAAAACAAACAGCAGGCTGAGATAGCAGGACTAGAGTGGGAGCTGCCAACAGGTGGCACCCCCTCAGCAGTGTTCTGGGTCCTGGGAATGCCCACGCCCAGGAGCTAACCTCCCTCCTTTCTAAAAAAGGTAACCAGTCAGGTGAGGGGTGGACATCTTAGGGAGAGGGGAGAGCCCTCTCCAGCACCACAATCTCATCATCCAATAATCATTCTCCCTTCTCCGGGGAGAAGGATCCAGATCTCCCTCACATACTGAAAGTGCCTTGAGAGGATTCCCAGCCATTCAGCCCTTCCTGGCCACACCTGACTTAAGGGTGGCAGTGCCCCGAGCTCTCCAGGCTGAGCGCATCCAGACCCTGATGCGCCTGCCATTCAGGACCACATGCGCCCAAGGACCTTGTCCATGTACAGCTGTGCCTGTGCCACATGCTCTGGGGCTTGGGCAGGGAGCTTCCTCACCCGCGTTGGTGTCAGGGTTACAGTTCTGGGTCTTGACTGAACCTCTCCTACTGAGTCTTCGGGCAGCGGAGCAGCAGGGCCACAGAAGAACACTGACCGCCAGGACATCTCCAGTGTGGTGGGGACAGTGGAAAGGGCCCTGGCAAGGGCCCAGGTCCTCCAAAGGCCCTGCCTCACCCCTTGAAATACCCACCTGTTCACAGCTGCCTCCTTCCCAAAGCCCCTCTGGCTATAGCAGTGAGGACAGGAGCCTAGGTTCAACCTAATATACTTCAATAGAAAGTTTTAGAAAAAAAATCAATAGAAAACAAAAACAACAACAAAAAACAACAGCAACAAGAGAAAACAAAGCCATAGCTGCTGAATGTAAAGGGGGCCTCCTGAGGGGGGCAGCCCTACACTTACCAGGTGGCACTGCTCTCCTTCCTCAGTTACTGTTCATCCTCAGCCTAAACTGGCTCCTGGCAAACTGTCCGTCCAGACTCCCGCGCACACACATCCTCTTTCCCCCCAACGGACCCACTCAGTTTACCCTTCTTCCAGCTAAACTTCTTCAGTTCCATACCTGACACCATATGGTCTTGAATCTCATTCTCCTCGTCCTCCTAGTGACTCTACTCTAGGCTGGACCTGCTAACCCACTGAGCCCAGAACAAGAACCAGTGCTTCCGGCCTGCTCAGACCCACACCGAACCTGAGCGGGCTCTCCCAGCTCCCTTCGGTAGACACTGCCCACAAGAGACCAGCCCTGCTGCCCTCACCTGGTCGCACGTTGTTGGTTTTGGTCACCTAGATGCCACTGGAACACCCCATGGCTCTCCCCTCTCCCTAAGATGTCCGATGTGCTGAGCTCAGGCTCCCATCCAATCTCACCTCTGCAGCGCGGCACTTCTCCGGGCCATCACCGCCCGTTTCTCCCCTCCTGCCTCAGAAGAGGCATCTGAACTCCATGCTCCCTTTCTCTCCTCTCTTCCCTTCTCCCTCCTTCCTCCTCAGTCAGGAAGCACCTCTCCAACGCACCACTCCTCTACCTGCATTCGACATTGCCACCCACAGATCTGTTCATGAGCCCTTCTCTGAGGAAGAGGAGGCCCTTGCCCTCTGCCTGCCATCCTGCTTCTCTAGCTTTCACTGCTCAGCTTCTAAAAGGATTTTTAAATATTCAGGGCCTTCATCTCCTCACTGCGCTTTCTAAATCACCTGCGCTTTCACTTCCACTGTCACTCCCCACTCTACTGCAGCTCTCTGATGGGCCAGGAGCTTCTCTGGTGCTATCAATTCTGATTCTTTGGCCTTTGCAGCAGCAAACACCGACGGCTGTCCCCTAATGAATCCCCTCCTCCCTCCTGGATGGTCATTCTTGGGGTCCTCAACCCTAGGCCTCTTCTTTTGTCCTTCAACATTCCCCCATAAGGGATGTGACCCTTTGTGGTGCTGATCCTCACCAGCAGATGGGAGATTCCTATTTCTACAGTTCCATGTCTGACTCTTCTGCTGAGTTCCATTTAATTCATCTTCTCTTACCCAGTCACTGCATCAGAGGTTCTGATTCTGTCAACAGCACTATCATTCTCCATCTCTCGGTTGGAAGTCAGCCCTGACCTTGCCAGACCTAGCTATAACCCACTGACACCACGCTGTGTGAATCACTGTCAGCTCCTCCTTGGACCAAAAATCTCCTTGCTGGTCTCCACACTTGTAGCCACTCCCCTTCAATTATTATATGTTGTCACCAGACTGATTTTCCTAAACCAGCTTATCCAAGACTTTGCTTCCCAGCATCACCAGGATAAATGTTTAACTCTGCAGGCTGATAGTCAAACTTTCACAATTTGGGCCTTGTCAATCTTTCATTCTCATTCCCTCAACTCCATTCATAACTGTCTTGCACCAAACACTTGATCTCCACCATTTCTTCTCCAGTCTCTCCCATCTCAGGGATACTACCACCACCCAACCCACAGAGGCTCAGTGCTGAAGCTGGGAGCCATCCTTCCTTTCTCCCTTCTCCCACACGCCTTGGCCAGCAGACCACTAACCTCATCAAGTCTTCCTCAAAAATGTATCTAGAATCTATCTGCCTCTCAACCCCAAGGACATTCTATCTAACTTCCTTTCAGCTAGCCTTTCCCCTCCAACCCCTGCATCTGTCAGCCACAGTTATCTTTTTTTTTTTTTTTTTTTTTTTTTTGAGACAGAGTCTGGCTTTATTGCCCAGGTTGGAGTGATCTCAGTTCACTGAAACCTTCACACCCCCAGGTTCTAGCAATTCTCCTGCCTTGGCCTCTCGAGTAGCTGGGATTACAGGCACCCACCACCACGCCCAGCTACACAGTTGTCTTTTTAAAATATAAACCAAGACCGGGTGCCATGGCTCACACCTATAATCCCAGCACTTTAGGAGACCAAGGCAGGCAGATCACTTAAGCCCAGGAGTTCAAGAACAGCCTAGGCAACATGATGAAACCCCGTCTCTACCAAAAATACAAAACAACAACAACAACAACAAAAAAACCTGGGGATGGTGGCGCATGCCTGTGGTCCCAGCTACTTAGGAAGCTGAGGTGGAAGGATCACCTGAGCCCAGGAGGTCAAGACTGCAGTGGGCCTTGATCGCACCACTGCACTCCTGCCTGGGTGATAAGAGTGAGACTCTGTCTCAAATAATAATAAATGTAAACCAAATCCCACCATTCATCCCCTTAAAAAGCTATCAGTGGCTCCCCATTGTACTCAAGAGAAGTCCTCAGCAGGGACCCTGCTCATCCATTGAGCCTTGGGTCACTCACCCCTTACTCTGTGGGAAGGTGAACCTGTCCATCATGTCACCTTCTTCTACCTCCTCAAATGCTCTCTGCTCCTTCTAGCAGCTGGGTCTGCACCAGTTTTGTTCCTTTGCCTGGAATGCTATTTCCTGCAGCTTTATCTGGCTAGCTCCCACTTATCCAGGTCTCAGCTTAAGTGTTTTTCTTCATAAAGGCCTTTTATGAGCATATTTTATGTATTTGTGAGTTTGCTTAATGTCTGTCTGACATAAGCTACACAAGAGTGAAGTCTGTCCGTTTGATTCACCACAATATAAGCAGTGTCTGGCACAGGGCCTGGCACATAGTGGTCCCGCTCCATATCCACAGATGAATGAGACAGCCCCTGCCCTCAGGGATTTCACTGATGGGTGGGGAGACAGGCAAACATAACTAATCATGAGACAGCGAGAGAAATGCCGACCCAGGCATGTGAGAGAAAGGTGAGCACAACTTGAGGAGGTTAAGGGAGGGATAAGAAAGAGCTTTCTAGGGCTGGGTATGGTGGTGCATGCCTGTAGTCCCAGCTGCTTTGGGAGGCTGAAGCAGGAGGACCACTTGAGCTCAGGAGCTGGAGGTTGCAGTGAGCTATGACTATACCACTGCACTCCAGCCTGGGTGACAGAGCAAGACCTTGTCGCCACATTTTTAAAAAAGAAAGAGATTACTGGATGAACCAGAAGAACTTGTTTAGAAAAGAGGGAGATCAGCAAAGAGAAAGATTCCAGAAAAGCAAACTGATGTAAGCTCACAAAGGCCACATCTACCAGACCAAAAGTTCTAGCTTTTTGTGCTAGAAATAGTAAGTCATTGAAGAATGTCAGGGGGTGAAAAACATGATCAGAGTAACATGATAAAAACCTTGGCTGCAGTGTGAGGGGTGGGTTTTGCACATTTCACCTCCAGGCCCTCATTCTCAATATTCCTGGGTGAAATGCCCCGCCCGCCCTCACTGCTCTGGTTTCCTGGGCTCATTTCAAGCCCCACCACCTCCAGTCTCCACCTTGACAGTGTTGGTGGATCGAGCTGCTTGGTGCAGAGTCCAGACTGCTGTGAGCCTGTTCTCTTCTGCTACTGTGTGTCTTTTCTCCCTCACTAGACTGAGAGCACAGCCTGTGTCTGATGACTCCCTATACCCCCATAGCCTCTCCCTAACACAAAGCTTTAAGCATGAAAAGTGTTTAATAAATGCTTTATATAAAAATAGTTCTACTTGCAGAGTGTTTAGGAATCGCTTTATAGAGTCTAGCTCTCATAAACCAATGATACCTGTCCCATGGCATCCATGATGAGTGAAACCCTCGCCAGGTGACCCAGCCCAGCGGAGGAAGGAAGGCCTACTACCTGCCCTGATCTCCCAGTGCCATCACTCAAAGTCATCTTACTGTTTGTGCAAGGAAATGCCCTCCTATCTGCCCTAAGACACTGACAGAAGCTGAGGACTTGCCAAATGATAAAGATAGGAAGACAGGAGAACAAGGCTGGCTGAAAGGTGGTCAGCTGGCAGACACGGGCCTGGGTCTCATCTCTGCCCATAAAGCACAGACTGGTCAGCAGTAAGAGACAAGTCCAAGGTCCCTGACCCTGACTACCTGGGGCAGTTGGAAAAGCGGAACTCCAGGTGGGAAACATGAGGAGAATGCCCAGGCAAAGGAAAACAACAGGCCCAGCACCCCCGCCAAGCGGAAGTAGCACGCGAAGTGGGTCCTGGAGGCATTTTGTCCAGTGCAGCTCAGGGCAAATCTGACCCTCAGTCTTCATCAGGCAAAAGGGAACAAAATGCTTTGCAAGCACAGTGGGCTGTTAGTGACACACTCAGGAGGGGCTAGTGACAGCAGCCTTCCACAGAGAGAGTGCACAGACCTAGAAGCTCTGGCACCCAGGGCCCCTACCTGCTCGGGAGGTTGGCTTCAGCTCCAGGCTTTCCTGATCCGTGGCATCCAGGATCTTGTACTTGCTTTTCCTCTTGGGTTTTCCTTTTTGCCTAAAAAACACAACCCCCACCCCTGCTCAGGAAAGAGGTTCTCTGGGAGGATGAGGATGAGAGCCAGATGTGCATGCAGGGCCCTATTTTGGTGGGGCACCTACTGAGAGGGGTGTCCTCTCCTCACTTCTCAGCCAGGAAAGGTGGCAACTGTGATTTGTTCCTCAAATGTTCCTCAGCAATTCTGGAGAAGGGCAAGGGAGCTATGACCACCTTGGCACGGACTCACCATCCCACAGGGGCAATGAAGGACAGATTGGTTAAAAACGTAAAGAAAACAAAATCCTCTGCTTGAAGGGTGTGGGAGGAGACAGGCATTACACTAACAAAGTTGGTAATGGTGGTTGTCTTAGACTGGTGGGAATTTTTAAAAATTCCTTTAGTTCTAAGTTTTATAAGAGGTTATACTGAAAGTTGAATCTCAGCTCTGTCACTATCAACTGGTCCTCAGACAGTGATGTACCTTTCCTGAGCCTAAGTTTTTTTATCTGTAAAATGGGAAAAGGTTATGTGTCTTAAAAATGATATTACCTATAAAAATATTATGGCACACAGTATACACAGAAATAATATTATTAATAATGAAAACATAAAATAAATGTAACCATTCCATCTTAGAAGACTCAATAGGAAGACTCAAATGAAAAAACACAGGACGCCTGAGCCTGGCTAGCCTAAAGTGCATGTGTGGAAACATGCACACTCATGAATCCCAACTAGAAAGAAGGCAGAATTAAAAACTCGCGGGCTATGCTGGTGAGGCTACAGTGTGGTGCATTAAAGAAAACACACCTTACAGATGTGATCCGGGTCTGTACCCCTGGCCCTCACGCTCACTCCCCCACCTTGCCCTGCTCCCGCCCAGCCATGTTTCCCAGGTTCCAAATCACTGCAGTGGCTGCCACTCACTGAAGGAGTGTGCCTCTGCCCTCAGGAGAGTCTCAGGGTGAGCAAAGCTGCCCGTGCATGCCTTAGGTGGGTCAGAACTCTCTAATGCTGACTAAGGACCCAGCCCAGTCCTTCCACGTGGAAGGTGCCAAATACCTCTCTGAGGAACGAATGTATGACAAGAAGCCCGAATGAATTTCAAAGGAAAATCCATCTTACCTCTTACAACAACAGATCACAGTCCAAGACAGGATTCCCAAGGCAACAACAATGACAAAGGTAGCAATGATAACATATAACACGCTCCACTCTGCCAAGAAAATCAAAATGGTGAGGGCTGTGGAGGGAGAGGCTGGGAGGGAGGTCTGGGCTGCTCCCAGCTTGGGCAGGTGTGGCTTCACTCTGGAGACAAGAATGCCTCAGGCTCCCCAGGAAGGTAAGACCTTGGAGTTAAGGGCAGCTGAAGCTTTAAACCTTTTGAAATGTCCCTGCTTTCCAGTCCCTGCTCCTGGCAAGCCCTGAGACCCTGCAGCAGTGGTGCAGGCTGAAAAGAGCTTTAAGAGGGAAACGAGGGCTTCCATTAGGCTACAGCACGGAGGCACTCCAAAAGACAGGAGGCTTTTCAGCTGGTGGGATTTAGGCTGTAACTGGCATTGGATCTGAGTTAAGCCTGGTTCTTCTTACACGACTGCTTCAGGGCTTTCCTCTAACCTTGAGCAAGTGTGGAGGAAGGAAGTAAAAGTCCTCTGCAAACAGAAAATACACAAAGTTCTTCTCCTTGCCTGCTCATCTGCTTCAGAAACACCAACACCCACCCACTCAGTGCAGAACCACATTCAGCGCCAAACAGGCTGGCACTGTGCCACATAGAAAACTCACCACAGTTGCTGTCTCCATCCCTCAGCTGCACCTTGATGAAATTCTCCATCCAAAAAGGGTCACAGATACAGCGTTTGGTGAACGAGTCACAGTGGCCATGGTCGGAACAGTTCAGCTGACATGCTGAGAGTGGCAGCAAAGGGAAGAAAGTCAACAAGACTCAGCCAGGGGTGACAAGCAGCACCTAGAGCCCATGAGGGCACCAAAGCACCCCAGATTAATGCTATGTGGTGAAATGTCCTCGAGACCCACCTTGGGCATGGTGCCTGCCTTTCTCATCTCGACTGGACAAAACTGGAGCAGTCAGGAGGCCACTAGAAAGACACTTCCAGCCTGTCTTCACTTGTTGTTTGTCTATATCAGCAATTCTTAATCTTTTATGTCCCACACATCCCCTTCTCACAATTGGAAAAATAAAATACCTATAGTACTTCAAAGGAAGGCAATAATTATATTAAACGTTTTTGAAATATTTAAGAAGACAGGCTGGGCATGGTAGCTCACACCTATAATCCCAGCACTTTGGGAGGCCGAGGCAGGCAGATCACTTGAAGTCAGGAGTTCAAGACCAGCCTGGATAACATGACGAAACCCCATCTCTACTAAAAATATAAAAATCAGCTGGGCGTGGTGGTGCATGCCTGTAATCCCAGCTATTTGGGAGGCTGAGGCAGGAGAATCACTTGAACCCGGGGGGGCGGAGGTTGCAGTGAGCTGAGATTACACCACTGCACTGCAGCCTGGGCAACAGAGCAAGACTCTATCTCAAAATAAATAAATAAATAAATAAATAAATAAATAAGCATTAAACAACAAGAGCTAGAAGTGGGTTTAACAACTATCATAATTTTGAAGTAGTGATAAGTAAAAATGACATCATGTAATGTGATAGGAAATTATTTGTGATTTCTATTGCCTCAAAGCCACAGGTTCTGTTGATACTACTGTAGTTTGTTGCCTACATTGATCATTGAAGTAAACAGTGAGTTTCAGTCAGAGGTTAGTGAAAACAAAGATGTAAATTTTTCCCCACTCAAGCTCACAGCCTTCTGAACACGATCTCAGGGGCCCATGGGCCCCAAGTTAAGAATCCCCAGTGATGAATCAGGACTCTTTCATGGTAATAGTAGTGCAAGAGAATGATTATCTCCATCTTCCCAGAGAAAAGAAGATGAAGGCCAAGGACAGAAAGGACCAATGGGTGAGCTGCAGGCACTAGGTAGGCTCTTGCTCCCAAATTCCCAGAATTACTCACTGACAGTGTTGACTTCCAAGGCTCTGAATATCAAAAAGTCTGCCTTTTGCTTCCGCAGCTCACTCTTGAGCATCGCTGCCACCTCATGGCCTTTGAAGATCTGGTGGGGAGGCTCGTTTTGAACAAAAAATACCATTTTGGTGCTGCAGAGACATGCAACAGTACTAATGAGCTGAAGCGGTCCATACCTGCAGCAACAGCTAACATTTACTAAGTACCTTCTGTTTGTGACAGACACTGTGCTAAGTGTTACATGCATTCTGTTACTACAAGCCAGTGAGAAAGGTGTTATCAGGGTCATCTCCATTTTACAGAGAACAACACTGGGGCTTTGTAAGAGGGGTTAAGTAACTTGCCCAAGGTCACACAGTTGATTATGGCAGAGCCAGATCCCAACCCTGTTATGTCTGACTACAAAGTCTGTTCTTTTTAAAATGCCCTAAGCTGCCCCAGCTAACAAAAGAACCCATTCCTCCAGCAAGAAGACCCATACTCTCCATCTAACTGGAGGATGAGACAAATGGGGATTTGGTATGGCTACATTCCTGCTGTCCACCTTTTTCCAGCTAAGACTGCTGGGTTTGTGACTAGTTTACTTGAAAGACAAACCACAATGCTTTGTTAATGTAAATTGTTGGACAGCATCACAACATAGCCAAAACAATTATGATGACAACAAAAAGATCTTACACTGTAGTATGGCTGCTATGAACTTATATTACTCCATGCCCAGAATCTGTTTGCTGATTGTCAATTCCTGTCCAAGATAGGCCACATGTGAACTCACATCTGGGTAGTACCAAGTCTGTTCTATGCCTTAGCCTTAATTTTTAGTAGCCTGCCCCTTGAGCTCCATGTGAGTTTTACAATTAGAACCTTCTAAATCAGTGAGTCACACTGGTTTACAGGTGTGACCAAGATATTGATCCCCTCATCATGCAGTGTGGCTGGGTGGGACCTGGGCATCCTAGAGGCCCTGGACCAGTTGCTTCCAATACAAGCAGCCTTCTCTGTTTATCCCAAGGTGCCCTATAAATGGTATCATTTTCCAGGCATGCATGACATAAAATCTGAGAAGTACTGCCACAGACTTTCTAAAAGCTTGCTGCACAGTGGGATTAACAATGGGGCATTATCAATTCCAGAAACAAACAAACAAAAAAAAACTTTTGCCATAAAGGATGTGTGGTCCGTTGCCCATTATCTTCTCCCAGTTACCTAATTCATGCTTACAGTTTCAATTTCGGTCTATATATCAATAACCCTCAGATCTTTATCTCCTTTCCCCACATCTCTCCTGAGTGACCAGTCTATATCTGCAAATACTTGTGTGAATATCTACCCCAGAGCTTCAACAGATACCTCAAATCCAACAAGTCTCAAAATCAACTCATAACCATTAATTGCACACTATGTGTGAGGGACTATACAAACATTAACTTATTTAATCCTCATAACAATCCTATAAATAGGTACTAGTATTTTCACAGATAGTAAAACAGGTTCAGAGAGGTGAAGTAACTTTCCCACAGAGCTAACACTAGTAGGGCAGGGCTCAGAAGCTGGGTCTAATATAAGGGCCATGTTCTTTCCTACTGTAAAATACTATTTTCTTCCAATCACATGTTCTTCCTGAATTCCTTAACTAAGTCAATCCAGTACAAGCCAGAAGCTCAGGGAAACCCAGAAGCTTCTCTCTTGCTCATGCCCCCTATGCAGTGCTGGTGAATCTGAGCAACCTGTCAACAGTGCTCTTACCAGCACTCTTGCTAACATCTTTCCACTGCTTGCCAGCCAATTCCCGCCAGCTTGGATCAATCAAGCAGCCATTTGCCCTGTTCCTACTCCCAGGCTGCTGAGTATACTTATCCCTAATCGTGCTATCTCTGACCTAGTGAGCCCTGACTGTAGATTAAATTCACCTGGGGAGCTTTTCCATTCTAGGTACCCAGACCCCACTCCAGACCAACTGAACTATAATCTCTGGGGCTAAGGCTTGGGCAGTGTTATGTTCAGACAACCTCCGCAAGATTCTATTGTGTGGCTGGAGTTGGGAACCACTGCTCTCACCTCATGTTTCCAACTTGGCTGGTCCCCCAGATCTGCCTCCATTTATTACCCATCCCCTATCTCCACCATCTCCTTTTCCTCTCAGTCTATACAAATGCTCACAAACTTCCTATTTTAAAAAGATGTTCATGTTCCACAAGGACCACAATGAAAAAAAATTTTTAAAGATATTCTTTCAATCCTACCTCCCATATTATTTTCAGCACCAACTTCCTCAAAAAGGTGTTATACTGACCATCTCTGTATCCTCAAACCATGAAATCTGTCCTCTGCCTCCAACATCTAAGTAAAATGCTCTCACTATAGTTGCACTGATCTACTAATCACAAACCCATAGGCCTACTTTGTGTTCTCACCACACCTCCATCCCTGTAGCATCTGAATCCTTTGGAAGCACCCCTTTTGCCAGATCACCCCTTAACTTCCAGCAGACTACTCTCATTTGGTTTTCCTCCCACCTGATTGCTGTTTCTTAGTTTCTTTTGCTACCTCTTCTTTCTCTGCCTCCTCCTTAAATAATGATGCCCTTCAGAGTTGTGTCCTTATCCATCTTAGCTCTCTCCTAGTGAGACTCACCCGTTCTCATGGCTTTGGCTCCTGCCTGTATGCAGTAACTCCTATCTCGGGCTCTTCCTTCCACAAGTTCCAGCCTTTACTTGTGGCTATCTGACGGAACATCTCCTGACGCAGCCAGTAAGACACCCCAAATTCAATCATCCATACTGGTTTCGCCTGCCTTCCCAATCTCAGTTAATGACCTGAACCATCTATCCAGACATCCAAACCAAAAGCCTCACATTTGCTATCTCACTCACCTTCATTCGTAAAGGGCCAGGTACTACTGAATTACCACTGAATTTCTTTTAATTTCTTCTCCTCTTCTTCCACTATCTTAATTCAGGTTTTATTACCTTTTCACTGGACTAGTCCAGAAGCTTCCTGAATGGTCTCCCAGCCTTTGGTCTCTCCCTATTTTAGACTAGCTTCCACACTACTGATCTTTCTTTAAAAAAAAAAAAAAAAAAATCAAATTATGGAAATTCCTTGCTTTTAAAAACAAAACAAAAACTTCACACACATAAAACAAACCAACTTGGATCTGCCTACCCAAACTATTAAAACTAAGATCCTCAGCTTGCATATAACTGTTCTCAATCTCCACTGCCAGTCTTGTCTTCTACCACATCCTGGGGCCACTAAGCTTGAACCAAGTGACTTCTTCTGGAAGAAACTGTGTACTTTCATACCACAGGGCCATTGCTCAATGCTGTTGCCCTGTTCTGAATTTCCTCCCCATCCTCCCATGCCTGGTCAATATAAGTTTCCTTTTCCCCTTTTTTTTTCTTTTTTTTTTTTTTCTTGAGACAGTCTCACTCTGTCTTCCAGGCTGGAGTGCAGTGGTGTGATCAGAGCTCACTGCAGCCTCAAACCCCTGGGCTCAAGTAATTCTCCTGCCTCAGCTTCCCAAATAGCTTGGACTACAGGCGAACCACACTGCACCTGGCTAATTTTTAAATCTTCTGTAGAGGTGGGGTCTTGTTATGTTGCCCAGGTTGAAGTTTTCTTTATTCTAGAAAAATCTTTGGATTACTCCTACCCCAACTCTCCTAGAAGAATTCATTGTCCTTGCCACAGTGTTCCACAATGCCGCTTGTTGTACCAAACCCACACCGTACTAATGTTCCATATTTACTTATCTCCTCTACTAGACTGTGGTTGTCAAAATAGTTGACCTCCTACACCCTGGAGCCCTGCTGAAGTGTCTAGTACAGCGCATGTCACCTGCACTAGAAGACAGAAGTCTATTGAAGAAAAGGCAACATGAGTGTTTCTGGTCAGAAAGCCCACCTTTCTCTATCTAACCACACTATTTCTCAGCTCATTCAAGAAGCCCGGGGGCCCCTGGTCTTTCCTTTGCTCCCCCCATTCATTGCCCAGCTACCTCTGCTCCGTGTACGGCTGAATCTTTTGCACAATGATGTCGGAATCCAGCACCCCCAGGAGGACCCCAATCTGGCGGATGAACATCCCCTTCAGCCTCTCAGTTAGCTGACTGACGTTGATATCCAAGATGATCTCCACCAGGTTGTTTTTCCTGGGATCTGGAAAGCATGTGGATCAGTCATGGCTTTAGAAGTAGGAGAGTAAACACAGACCTGCCACTGTGCATTTGCTTTGGCACAGGAGAGAAAGGAGTGAGAACATTCAGATATCCTTCAAATGGAAAGGGACAATAGTGAATTCCTGATCGGGCAATCTGGGGCTGGCTTAGAAAGCTTCTAAAGCACTCCTGCTCTCTATACCAACCTGAGAATTCCCACACATGTGCTGGGGATAAGGCTGAAGCAGTGATGCAATGAGGGGTGGGGAGTAATGACGGGAGTGGGGAAGAGAGAAACACTTAAACATTTGTTTTAAAAGCCTCTGTGCAACTGGCAGTGCTGAGCAATCCAGGCCAAGTGGGGGTTATTAAGCAATCTCTCCTGACTCACATCTGATTTTCAGTGCCTCGCTGTATTTTGTGCACAACAATGGGAGGAAAAGTGTCCATCTCAACAACCTCCTCAATAATGGGAATGCATCCGTCCCTCCAGGTTTAAATACAGTTAACAAAAGAAAATCCAGTCAGCCAAGACACAAGGATTTCCTTAGAGCCACATCACAGCTGCACTATCTTTGTATAACTCTAAAACGGTGAGGCTATCATGTTTTACTTTTGAATATGTCCTAAAGATGTTCTACATTTGGAATTTCAAACTGATTGTTTGGAATGCCTTATTTACATACTTGAATGCACCACTTGCCTGTTCTGATGTATAATTTGCATAATTAGTAGACTATCTGTGATCTGACTTTAAACACCAAAGAGATTTTATAGTGTCTCAGCTACTGTCCTTCCTAGAGGCAGGACAAGGACTGGAAGACCTCCCAAGATCCCTTCCTGTCCAAAACATCCATATATGAGGTTGGCCTAGATAATAAAGAGTAGGTTTAAAGTTAATACCATTTCATCAGAAGCTCAGGAATTTATACAGCTCTATCCCACCTCCATACTCAGTGCCTCCCTATCACCATATTAATCTCAAAGCAAAATAAAAACATGGTTCTATTTAAGAAGAAAATTTTTATTTCTGCAAAGCTGAAAAATGTAAAGAGCACTATTACTTTACCTTCCCTGGATTATCAGACAAGGCCTGAGGCTCAACTTATAAAAATAAATTGTTTTCTGCATCTGGATGCTGATGAGACATCATGACTCAAGCTATTCCCATGCTCAGATTCCCAAGCACTCTGAGCCCTCTCTCATCAGTCACGAGGAGAGGAGAAAGTGCTGGACTACGAGCACAAAGGCCTGGCTCTGACACAACTGCTGTGTGACACTGAGCAAGTCCTGCCCTCTCTGAGTTTGTTTCTCCATCTGAGATGAATAGGGGGAGGTCTGTATTTCTGCATGGGTAGGAGGTATTATTGGAACAGACGGTCTCTATGGATTTTTCAGCTTGGGGTTTCTCGATTATTTTTAAAGCTGGACATGCCATCTGGCTCTGTCCATGCTCGGGGAAGGGGATCTCAGGATAGAGGCCTTGATTGGCTGATTCAGCAATTCTACTCAGCCTCATCACTAAATGAACTCACCAGGTTTCACCTCCACAGTGGTCCGGTCTGTGTCACTCTCACCCTTTGCATCGGTCACTTTCAGGTGAAAAGTGTAGGTTCCCTCAACCAGGTTTGAAAGAAAAAGGATAGGGTGATGGTCAGAGTGATTTAACACCTCCTGTAGGGTTGAACAACATGGCTATGTTACAGAACAAAATGCCATTCCTTTCCTGGAGTCAGTTGCTGCTTTCACCATAACTAGGCCCTTCAGGGCTGAACTGTTTCAACCTTGGGCAGTTCCTGATACGGAACAGCATTGCAGCCTACAACTGCTAGGATCAGGGAAGGGAAACCCATTCTGTGCTATACTAGCTTACAGAATGACCCTAAGCAAGTCACTTCACCTCCCTGGATTTCAGAGAACAATCTGGGTTTGATATAAGGGACCACTTGATTAAAGCATATACTGGAACGCGTGGCTCCTCCTCCTCCCCACTCCTGTGTAGCTCTCCAGCTCCTAGCACACTTACCCCTGCTGCTGGGCTCCCCTCATCTCGAGTCCAGAGGTAGCTGACTATTCCCTTGTCATCTGAGGACTTAGAGCCATCCAGCTCTGCTGTGCTCGTGGGTAGGGTAATCACCACATTCCCAGTTATCTTGGCTATAGGTGGTTTGTTTATTTCTAATCAAAAAGAAATCATTGACATAATGTGACATTCTGGAAAAGAAGAAATGTTTCTTCATGATGCTTATGGGGAAATTAAAACATCAAGAGTACCTTAACTGGAGAACCTTTTTAAGTGCCTGTCCCTGCCACCAACCAACAGTGTAGATGAAAGCTACCAGCGCTGCAGTCCTGAGGTTCCAGTCCTACCCAGAGAAATGTTCTCCTAACACTGTACAACAGAGGGGACGAGTGTGCTTTCCTCTCATATTCTCCCAGCAGCCTTCCCAAATGGAATCCATTTCTCTGCTTTGGAGGTATGTGATGATCAGAAATAACGGCCCAAACTGGCTTAAAACCTTGGAGTTTAGGTTTCACCTAGCTGATCTTGCAAATTCTCCTTCAAAATATCTTAAAATGTTATTCTCTGAATATCTTTTTGGACCCCTTCCTTGGAACTTCACAAGAGAAAACAAAGAGCTACCTCTCTTATTCGGAGCCCCACGTGAAGCTCTGTATATTCAGATGTCTGTGCAGTATTTACTCAGCTTGGTATCTTATGTCTGGAGGTCTGCATATCTGATGGTTTTTCCTGCTATCAACTTAAGGCCCTCAACTTAAGGCCCTCTCCCACAGCTCTCACTGGTCACTGTGCCTGTAAACTAGAGCAAGGCCTCTGGCTGGCCTCAGCTCAAAGGCTCAGGGCAAGCATAGTCAGCTGTAGTGCGGCCGTCATTCTCAAGCCTGACAGCAGGTGTCACTGTAGCTAACAGGAGTCACGGCCCAGGTCTCAGCAATGCAGAGGGGCAAAATAAAAATGCAAAGAATAGAACCCTTAATTCTTTCCCTATTCAACTGAGAAATAAAGTAAGGAGGGAAGGAGGGAGGACTGAAAAGAAAGTAAGGGGATGAGAGGGAAGGGAAGATGTAAGCAGGAGGAGGGAGGGAAGTTAAAATTCACCTTACAGTCCAATTAAAGGCTGTTTTAGAAAAGAAAATAACAATTGCCCTCACCCCAACCCTCTTACCCACCTCTTGCTATCTCTAATCAATTTCTGCAGGCAAACATGACAGGATAAATTCTTCAGCTATCTGACCCTAAGAGGCTGCTACACAAACTGGAGGCAGAGAGGTACCTTCTTTGACAATGACATTCACAGAGCTCTGGCTTTGCAGGTTCCTCTCATCTTTGACAGTCAAGGTGAACACATAGGTCCCCACTTGCAGCCCAGTCACAGTAGCAACACTGCTGTTAGCATTCTCGAGCTGCACCCCATCAGGTCCCCTGCAAAAAAAGAAACTAGAGGGTAGAGTTGTACCTGTCTGCTGCTGTCCTGTCCCTAACTTAGCAGGAGGAGACAATGACTCCCTCAGCAAAGACACGAACTACTGTTACCCAGACCTTGACAAGACATGTTTAAAAATATTTCAATTGGACAAAGTGTCATTTGGCCTCAAAATACAGGCTGCCTGCTGGTCAGAAAATTCAAATAGCTTTCAAACACCTCTAGCCTTATCCTTTATATGAGCTTCTAGAACACTTGAACGCTTTACCATTCTAGTTTGTAAAAGGAAGAAAGTTCTCTGAGCAAGTCTCTGATCAAAAGAATGATTTAAGAGTGATGTTTCTAAAAAGCATTTCTGGCCCAGTAGTTGGTTTGGCTCTTGCCAGCAAGGAAGCAAAATGCATTTCTTAATCACGTGCCCAAATCCTTCCTGATGAAAGAAAAGGAAATGGGGCAAGACTGCAGAGGAACTCTCAGGACAAAATCATCTTGTTTGTAGCAACTCTATAAGCAAAGTTCCCTCCAGCTCCTGGACAGGGGCCATCAAGCACCTAGGACACCCTACAACCCTTCTTCCCCCTTGTGGCCTCAGAGACTTGCCTGCAGCAGCCAAGGGAGCTCTGTGCCAACATTCAGGCTGCACACAGCCAGAGAGCCCTCTGCTCAAGGATCAAAATGCCCCAGAGCTTTTAACTACAGGAAAGCCAGAGAAATCTGCAGACATCCAGGATTTACTTTGTTTTGCCTTTTAAAGTTACAGCCTCTGATCCTGGTAGCTCCTCCTGAAGCACAGTCTCCTTCAAGAAGCTATGCTAAGCATTATCTCTGCTGTAAACACTAATAAAACTCAGCTAAAAGGTCTATCAGCCATATCTTCAATAAACAATTATAATTAAAAACACCCTGGGCTGGGTAAGATTATGTTCTACAAAAGATAAAAACAAGAGCTGAGGGAAATAATTTCTAGATTCCAACTCAGCAATCTCAAAAGCAAGTCATTTGTATAGTCAAATTAAAGTTCTTTTCCACCCATCTCCAATGCCTTTGTCAAACAAACAAACAAACAAACAAACAAACAAACACAATACAAAAAAAAACCCAGGCTGTCCTATGGTTGCTACCTTTGGAAACAGAGAATACTTTTAACTCTTCTTAGAATTCTTTTGCTACTTGTGGGATCCTGCATATAATTTCAGTTGCATTAGTTATGCTTTAAAGGAGCTAAAAGAAACTACAGGAACTAAGAATGGTTCAGTTAGGTAATTTCTATGTAATTAGAATTATTTTGATTACCGCCTTTGGCCTCTGGCTAACTTAATTGGTAAATGGTGTCTTCAAGAAAACAATAACAGAGTAATGCTTTCATTTTATGGATGTATTTTCAATTTCTCTTAATAGCTGCTCTGCCCCATCCCCCGTGCCAGCCTTACCCAGTTAATTCTGAGCAACAGTATTTTTCTGCTCCATTACCCCTTCCATCCTGCCTCTCAAGTGTAATTAAACTCTGCATTTCAGCAGATGGATTGTACCTGAAAAAGCACCAGGATCACACAGTACTACCTGGGGACTAGTTGATGGCAAGCATTCTTTTTTTCTTACAAAAATTATGATTATAATATCATTTTCTTGGAGTTGAAGTTTGGAATTGCAAACATTTCTTCCTCAGTCACCCCACTGGATAAGCCAATAAGAGCAACTCAACTCATAATAGCAAATAAAACCTTGCTCTTCCAAGGTCTGGAGGCTTTGCAAAAATAAGGATTTTGTGTCAATACTCACTGTGTTTTTTCCCAGAGATATGAGATAATTTTCTGATCATCTGAGCTCTTGCTGCCATCCAGGGTTGTGCTATCCACAGGAAGGGTCAGCTCTTTATCTGGGCCTGCATCTGCCTGAGGAGGCTTATTGTTTTCTGGAAGACAAAGAGTTAGAGGTCAAAAGCAGCCAGTCCAGGTGGGAAAGGAGAGGAACCAATTGGGACACATGTTCTGGAAGCCATGGACTCTGCCTCTCAGGCCACAGAACTGTCAGATACTGTGGGAGATGTGGTTACCGTCAGGGAGCACACAATAAAGAATATAAGGCTGAAACATATCAAGCAATTCTGACAGAAACATAGAACATAATGAAGTTATAATGCCATACTAAACTTGAACTCTAATGCTAAGGGAGTTCAAATGAAAGGATTTGAGTGACAAGACAGGGCTGTCCTGAGGAAGTCAGTTTTAAGCAGGCCCTTCAAGGACGTGGTATTGGGTTGGTGCAAAAGTAATTGCTATTGAAAGGAATGGCAAAAACCGCAATTACTTTTTAGGATTTGGGATGGCATAAACTCTATTTCCTAGGTCTCTTTGAAGGTACCAACAACAAGCCAAGGGAAGGGCACAAGCTGAGGCTGGGAAGTATCCTTCATCTCTAGCTATGAAGAAAGCACAAGGGGAAGGAACAATAGAAGTCACCAGAGGCTCTATGGATCGGTGCCTTCTGCTTCTACCCTCATACAGCTCAGAACCCAACACTCTTTTCCCCCAAGGTTAAATGGACCCACCAATAGAAGAGCCTGAACCACAAGGCTGGAGCTTACCAGGTTGCACAATAACAGTCACTTGAGCAGTGGCCTGCTGTCCTATTGTGTCAGTCACTGTGAGCTGGTAAGTGTAGTCTCCTTCTTGCATCGCAGAGAGCTGTAAGGTTGGTGTTCTAACACCCTACAAATACAAATACAGAAGTGGAAAAGTGGACTCCAGGAATCACATCACACAATAATTCCGACTCTGGTAAAAACGATTTAGTTTTCTAAACCAAAGACCTAAGATGGTACTGGGCTATTACGTACCAGTTCAGCATGTGAGTGAATATGGAGTCAGATATCATGAGGCACCTTGCTAAGGGTTTCCCCCTTCAAGGAAACAACCCTCTCTGACACAGCAGCAGTTTCAAATAAAGCCAGAACTCTCATAAGAGAGGGCAGTATTGGGAAATGTGCAGAGATTACCAAGGCCAGTCTCTATGACTCAAACCAGAAAGAATACCGTGAACAAACAATAAATGACCCAGTTTTAAAAACACTGTTTAAAAAGATCCTCTTCCTACTGAAGCTACACAGTGCTCCTAACAAAGCTGTCTCAGTGAAACATGGCAGCAGCTCAAGATGCTGTATAACACCATACTGTCTCCTTCAGGTCTGTACAGGTTCTGCAACAACCTAACATAACATTTAAACAAAAGTCAGGTAAAATGGAGGCTTTAAGGGAGGCCTTAAAACTGAGAAATATAGAATCTTGAGGGACATTATAAATAATTTTGGGCAAACTTCCAATGCAGGAACTTCCTGTAGAGCAGTAGGCAAAAACTAGTAGCCCATGGGCTGAATCCAGCTTGCAAATATTTTTTTTGGCCTGTGGTGTCTCTCATATTGGAAATTTTCACATAAAGGTCTCAATTTCTTTCTTCTCTTGAAAAGCTGGGTTATCAAGCAATGTTAGGACCATCCTTCCATGTGGCAACAACCAGCTGGACCTGAAGAGTAGATGACTCCTTTAGTCAGGGCTTAAGTTCAGCACAGCCACCATCCAGTTTTCTTTCTTTATGTTACCTGCCTGGTGACAGATCTAGTCTCTCTTCTTAAGCATCTCTAGAGAGAAGATACTCACCATCTAGCCAATCTACTCTAACTTGTTATAGAGCTCACTAAGATTTGCACCCTTGTAGCTTCTAAATAGTTTGACTCTCTGGAGTCATCCAGAACAACTAACATTTCTCAGCCTTTTCCTCTAATACTAAACATTTAAGATAATTTTTTTTTTTTTTTTTTTTTTTTTGAGATGGAGTCTTGCTCTGTCACCCAGGCTGGAGTGCAATGGCGTGATCTCGGCTCACTGCAACCTCCGCCTCCTAGGTTCAAGGGATTCTCCTGCCTCAGCCTCCCAAGTAGCTGGGATTACAGGCGCACGCCACTACGCCCGGCTAATTTTTTTATCTTTAGTAGAGACGGGGTTTCACAATGTTGGCCAGGCTGGTCTCGAACTCCTGACCTCATGATCCGCCCGCCTCAGCTTCCCAAAGTGCTGGGATTACAGGCGTGAGCCACCATACCCGGCCAAGATAAAGATTTTTGCTACCACGTTAATCAAAGGCCCCTAAAGCTTTCTCAGTTTGTTTGGAGGTTTCTAAAAATGCAGTCCAGCAGCTCTACTTCTCTTGGGCAAGAAAAAATAGGAACCATTCCCTCCTACCTGCATCTCCACCACTTTCCCTTTGCTGCTTGGGCTGAGTGACCACTCATAGCTGGTGATGCCATGATCATCAGTGCTCTGGTTCCCAAAGAGGGTGATGGAGTTTTGGGGCAGGGTGATCACTTGGTTGGGGCCTGCGTTGGCCACAGGGGGGTAATCCACAGCTTTGTTCACTGTCAGGTTTGCAGTAGTAGAGTTGGTAGCTCCATCAGAGTCTACTACAGTCAAGCTATCAGGGCAGAGAGAGGAGTGTGATCAGGGACGGGTTTAAGGAAAGAGGAATAAACACTAGAAGACTGAAAATTAAGGCTAAGAAATACCAATGTGGCAAGGTTACCTATTCTTACCCACTTCTATTGGAGAAGCAGAAAGTACTACTAGAAGCTAACACTGACTGAAGTTTTATGATGTGCTAGGCACTGCTCCAAGTTCTTTATATCTCATTAAATCCTCACAACAATTCTATAAAGTATCATCCTCATTTTACTCCTCACATATATGAGGAGAAAGACAGAGAGGCCAGGTGCGTTGGCACACACCTGTAATCCCAGCACTTTGGGAGGCCAAGGCGTGCGGATCACCTGAGGTTGGAAGTTTGAGACCAGCCTGGCCAACATGGTGAAACCCCATCTCTACTAAAAATACAAAAATTAGCCAGGCATGGTGGTGCAGGCCTATAATCCAGCTACTTGGGAGGCTGAGGCAAGAGAATTTCTTGAACCCGGGAGGCGGACGTTGCAGTGAGCTGTGATTGCACCACTGCACTCCAGCCTGGGAGACAGAGGGAAACTTCATTTAAAAAAAAAAAGAAAAAGGAAGGAAGGAAGGAAGGAGAGATGGAGGGAAGGAGGAAGGGAGGGAAGGAAGGAGGGAGGGAGGGAGGGAGGGAAAGAAGGAAGGAATGAAGGAAGGAAGGAAGGAAGGAAGGAAGGAAGGAAGGAAGGAAGGAAGCAAGCTTGCCCAAGGTCATACAGCTTGAAAGCAGTGGAGTCAGGTTCTGATCCAGGCAATATGTCTCCAGCGCCATTTTGTCCTGCTGCTGCCTGCACGCATCTGTGTCCTGAGGTCTCTATAAGAATTGTCTGATATGGCCCTCATAACAACCATATAGAGTAGGCATCATTGATTCCAGTTTTATAAGAGGCTTAGAGAGGCTAAGTAACCCACCCAAGGGCTATATAGTGAGCCAAGATGCAAGCATAGTTCTCTGATTCCAAAGCTCAGAAACCAAATCTTAAGAAGAGGTAATTCTTAGTCCCTATTCCCGATTCCCTACGCTATGTAGTGCAAGCTCCGTCTGCAGCAGGCTGTTTTCCCATCATCCTGTTCCAGCTGTTTACACATCACAACGATGGACATCCTAGGCAGACAGCCTGCGGGACGAACCAGGAGGGCTGGCTCCAGTAAGGCAGGAGCTTGAGATGAAAATGAATTCTCCTACGCAACAGTCCCACAATTTGTGCCAGTGAGACACAGGATTTGCAAAAAAAAAAAAAAAGAAAGAAAGAAAATAAAAAAAAATGTTCATTTATAAGAGCAGGCTTTTACCTAAATGATGCCTTCCAGCTGAACAGCCTAAAGCTTCTCATGCCACCTCAAAATGTGAGCATAAGCAAGCAAGGAGGTTTGGGATCTTTCCATTTTGCTGACAGAAAGAGGAAAAGCATAGAAAAGACATGTAGTTTGTTTAAATCTCACCACCAGCCACAGACAGGGCCAGACGTCAGTGAGGTTTTATCCTGCAGTCTCACCTTTTACCTATGGTGTGAAGGGGATTTTTGGTATTACAGCCTTTAGGAAAAAAGCACAAAAACCTCAGACACACAAACATGTACCAATCAGCAGATATCTGAAAAACAAAAATTTACAGAAGTTTTGCCTCTTTTCCTAGTTTCTCTGTTGTTTTCACAGGTTTGGGTTTTTTTGTTTTGTTTTTTTTCTGAGACGGAGTCTCGCTCTGTCGCCCAGGCTGGAGTGCAGTGGTGCGATCTCGGCTCACTGCAAGCTCCGCCTACTGGGTTCACGCCATTCTCCTGCCTCAGCCTCCTGAGTAGCTGGGACTACAGCTACCTGCCACCATGCTCAGCTAATTTTTTTGTATTTTTAGTAGAGACGGGGTTTCACCTTGTTAGCCAGGCTGGTCTCGATCTCCTGACCTCATGATCCACCCGCCTCAGCCTCCCAAAGTGATGGGATTACAGGCATGAGCCACTGCGCCCAGCCTGTTTTTTGTTTTTAACATATGCCATTTGTCTCCTATGTCAGGACAAAAGCACCTTATAGACAGACGGCAAAATGGCAGCTGCCCATTTTCTCTTTCACCTCAAACAGTCCCTGGCTTGCCTGCAAAGATCCTGAAACCAAACAGCAGCTGACTATAGGGCTGAGGAAAAAGGCTACTGCCATGTAAAAGAGAGAGGAAAAGGTGAGTGAATTACAACCTTAATGCTAATCAAATCAAATCATATCATTTCATAGATTTTTTTTAAAATGAAGGTTAGGAAAAAAAAATCACTCTCATACCCCATCCACTAAAAAACCTGTAGGTTAACCTTGTGGTTAAAAGCTTAGACTCTAGAGTTAGACTGTGTGACCTTGGGCAAGTTACTTAAACTCTTTGTGCCAAAATTTCCTAATCTGTAAAATGAGGATAACCATAATACCTGTTATAAGAATTAAATGCAATACTGCCAGCAAAGAGCTCAGAATAGTATTTAGCACATAGTAAATGTTCAAGAAATATCAGCTATCATTGTTACTATGTTTTAAAAGGATCAACCTGGCCCAAGCTGAATTCTGTAAATAGAAAAATTCCGACATTAGAAATCTAAGGTGAAAACCAGCTCAAATGTCCATTTTAAGCGACGTAGAAGGCTCCAATCTTGTTGTACTGGCAGCTACTTTTCATTCACCTGAAGTGTTGAATCAATGGAAATCCTGCTAAGTCAGAAGTTGCATATTGATTTATATGGTAGGTATTGTGCTAGGATACTCATTTCTGTGTCTCTGGCACCATCTAAAATTTGGTTAATCTCAGATTCATGGGAAGACAGATAGACATGGATAAACTGTCACACTATGGTAAATGCCACATAGAGGCCCTGAGTGCAATAGGGAAAGAGGAGAGCCATATTCTCTCCTGTCTGGAGGGATCTCAGAGAACCTCATGGAAATTGAGGAGGTTCTTAAGGATGGGCAAAACTTGAACAGATTGAGAAGGGAATTAAAGGAAGTATGAACAAAATACATGGATCAAGTCAAGGAGTGAAGTGGAATGAACCCTGACTTCAGGATTAGAAAATCTGCATTTAGGGCCAGGCACGGTGGCTCACACCTGTAATCCCAGAACTTTGGGAGGCTGAGGCGGGTGGATCACAAGGTCAGGAGATCAAGACCATCCTGGCTAACACGGTCTCTACTAAAAATACAAAAAAATTAGCCGGGCGTGGTGGTGGGTGCCTGTAGTCCCAGCTACTCGGGAGGCTGAGGCAGGAGAACGGCATGAATCCGGGAGGCAGAGCTTGCAGTGAGCCGAAATCACGCCACTGCACCCCAGCCTGGGCGACAGAGCAAGACTCTGTCTCAAAAAAAAAAAAAGAAAATGTGCATTTAAGTTCCAGCTGTGAGACTTCAGAGAAGCCTCATTTTTCTTAGCTGTCAAATGAAGATAGTATCATCTATATATCATGTTTGTATGATACTCATATATTAATACAAGTGCTTTTTAACATACAAGGAATTACGCAAACATAAGGAGGATTACTCTAGAGTCAGCTTCAAAGCTTTAGTAATCACTCTAGAATATCAATACTAGCTCCCCAAATGTACTTTCTTTGAATCAAATTCCCCAAAAGCCCCAGCAGAGAATGAAAACCACTAGTCAAACATAAAGATTATGAGGTACGTAAGCTGAGGAAGCATTTTCCAAAGGGAAGAAAAAAATGAGAGTAGGTCTTTCAGATTTTGCCTGAGAAGAGGCAAAGGAAGATGGGCCTTTTCATTTAACAACAGAAATCCTAAAAAAAATTTTTGGAGACCTGCCAGATAAGGCTTGAGAAAGATTAACTGTGGCAGATCCTGATCTACTATACAAGAACCTTTGCCCTAAAAAGTTACCATTGTTGTAATCACAATCACCATAGGGCTCAGAGAACCAATGGAACCAAAAGCTGTATTATCAACCAACTCCACAGTGAATTTGATATTTGTCAAAGTTACTCATATAACAATGTAAAACCCACGAGAGGCAAAAAAATGGCCTATGGTAAACTTGAAGCTGAATCCTAATTTACCTGAAAGTGTAGTTCCCAGGGACGAGTTTACTTAGTTTTAATATGGCTGTATCTTCAGAAATCTTCTCTTCTCTTAGAGGCCCCTTAAGTTCTTCCCAATGGTACTGAACGATTTTATCATCATCAGTGCTTTCTTGACCATAAAGAAACATCAGTTACAACATGAGAACGCTTGGTCTTAGCACTTATCCAGTTTACACAAACCAGGACAACTACCCAGAGATTTGAAGCTAGGAAAACTTCATGAAATTACAGACTATCTCTCCAGAATGTTTCTTCCCTAGGAATACTGGGTCATTCTGCCTCTCTATGTATATTCTACTGTGTAGTTTTCCAAGAACTCCAACACAGGCAACCTCTGGTTAAAATACTACTGTATGAAGAAAGGAAAAGCAATAATTCTTAAACACATGAAAAAATACCCAACCTCACTTAAAAGAAATGCAAATTAATTTACACTTGAGATAGCATTTTTTTAACCTACAAAATTGGTAAAGACCAAAATTTCATAACACATTATATTGGTAAAGGTGTGGAGAAAGAGGACCTCTCATTAGTCATGGTATAAGCATAAACTGACACAACCTCTATAATGAGTACTTTGGCAATATTTATCTCTGCCCCTGCGATTCTTCTATGAATTTATCCTAAAAATATACTTGTACATGTGTTAAACATCATGTTTACAAGATTATTCATGGTAACATTGTTTGTAATAGCAAAAGAATGAAAGTAATCTAAATGGTCATCAATAGAGATTGACTGAAAACAAGTAAGAACTCGTACAATGAAATTATACATCTATATGATGGAATGCTACTTAATCATTTTTTAAAAAAAAGAATAAGCATCTTATGTGTTGATTAAGAAAAATTCTCTAGGCCAGGCATGGTGGCTCATGCCTGTAATCCCAGCACTTTGGGAGGCTGAGGTGGGCGGATCCCCTGAGGTCAGGAGTTTGAGACCAGCCTGACCAACATGGACAAACCCCGTCTCTATTAAAAATACAAAATTAGCCAGGCTTGATGGTGCGTGCCTGTAATCCCAGTTACTCAGGTGGCTGAGGCAGGAGAATTGCTTGAACCCAGGAGGTGGAGGTTGCAGTGAGCCAAGATTGTGCCATTGCACTCCAGCCTGGGCAAGAAGAGCGAAACTCTGTCTCAAAAAAAAAAGAAAAATTCTCCAACATACAAAAACAAGCATCACACATAACAGCACATATAATGTGCTTTCATTTGTGTAAACACAAGACAGAAGGACTATATATATATTTTCTTATATATGTATAAAATATCTCTAAAAGGATTCATAAAATAATAACACCATTGACTGTCTGGAGGAAAACCGGACACTTAGGACACACGGATAGTATGATTCTTTTCACTGTATACATTTGCATATTTATTTAACTTTCACCTATTCAAAACTGTAAAATAAAACAGTACAACGTGAGCCCTTTCTACCACTCTCTATCACAAGGGCTTCTTCCTGTTCCCTCTCTTCCCTCCTGGCCTACTATCATCCTCCTAGCCTCCTCTTCTTGCCAGCACCATCAACATCAAACGCTTAACCTTGTTAGAGGGTCCTCTGCTAAAGCTGTGACTGCCTCTCCCAAAAACCATCGCTGGTGCCAAGACAGTCAGGGTAAAGGACCTTAACCGGTCTCAAAAAATCAAAACAAAACAAAACAAAACAAAACCAAAAACCAAGCAAATACTGGTGAGAGGATAGGTCTGAAACCTCTTGCACCATACAGCCACAATTAAGGGCAAAGACCCAAAATCCTCTCATGTCACTCACTGGATGACACTACTCTGAAGAGTAAAATGTTAAGAAGCCCAGACCAGGGTGTGGAGTGCATTCTGTGAGTGTCTCCAGGAGGCGGCTGATGAGAATCTCGTTAGGCAAGTGATGGCTGGGTAAAAGCTCCTCAGTCAGGCCTCCCAGTTACTTACCTTGCTATGATTGGAAGGAACTTTGGTTCCATGAATGAAAAAGGCAACTCCAACTAAGCAAATCTGAAAACCAGTGAGTTTCAACTAAAATCATGCTAATTACATGCATAGTTTCAGTTTCTTACCATCTCAAAGTGGAAATATTACTTCAAATAGGCTACCTGGGGATTTTAAAGAAGGCCTGTCTGGTGTGTTGCTTTTCAGTCAGTTGCTTCAGATGGTTGGCCTTCCCCTAACATGGTCAAGATGACTGGCCTAAACAGAACGCAGACACAGCTGGCCCCAAATCTTCTACTAGAGTTTTCTATCAGAGTACACGGTGAATGTTCTTCTAAAACATCATACTTAGACAAGTACTCACGACTGCCATCAATGACTGTAGAAGTGGTTGGCAAAGAGATCTCCTGGAACTGAGGTGACACAATAGCAATGGGGGGCCGATTCTTACGGGGCTCTGCAAGAAAGTGACCCAAAAGAAATTGGGAAAGAGGCTTCAGAAATTACAGGAGCAGGCTGTATCTGAGAGGATTATAAATCAATTTCCATTACATCAGTGGTCCCTAGCCTTTTTGGCACCAGGGACCAGTTTTGTGGAAGACAATTTTTCCATGAACGGGTGGTGGGGGTTGGGGGCTGGGGTGCAGTGCATGGTTTTGGGATGAAACTTCCACCTCAGACCATCAGGGATTAGAGCCTCAAAAGGAGTGTACAACCTAGATCCCTTGCGTGTGCAGTTCACAATAAGGTTCATCCTCCTGTGAGAATCTAATGCCATCACTGATCTGACAGGAGGCAGAGCTCAGGCAGTAGTGCTCACTCACCCGCCATTTACCTCCTGCTGTGCAGCCCAGTTCCTAACAGGCCACGGACAGATAGCAGTCCATGGCCTTGGGGCTGGGGACCCCTGCATTACATAATTAATGATTGAAGCATCACCACACAGGAGAGTCACAAGACCAGACTGCCATTCTAACATAAGACACTTCGGAGTATAAAAGCCTCTTCCAAATCTGACCATTCCTAAGACCATGCCCTGTGTATTCTTTCAATGCTCATGTGCTATCTAGTTGATGAAAAGTACTACAGCAGCAAGTGACTCCTTTCAGCCAAGCCTGACTAGAAGCAGACAACAAACAAGCTGTGGGCAATAAAGACCTTGGCAATCAAACCGTCCCTTGGCACAGACTGTGCTGAAAAGCTGATGGGTGGTTTCTCAACCATCCTAGAGCTCACTGTATGTGAACTAACTATGGGTTAAGTGATGGGAAGGTCACAAACCACTCTGGTCCACCCAAATGACTGTGTGCTACAAATCCATGGCATTTTCTTTGCAAAATGATCAAATGGTCTTGATGCTGATCACATTTTTAAGAAGGTGAAAGGATTATCTTGGCTACAAAGTACAAGGAATGAAAAGAAAATCTATTACCAAGAAAGAAAAGAGCATTGAGAATTTATGCTGTATATGTACCACTGTTGATATGGTCTGGCTGTGTCTCCACTCAAATCTCATCTTGAATTGTAACTCCCACAATTCCCACCTCATGGGAGGAACCTGGTGGGAGGTGATTAAATTATGGGGGTGGGTCTTTCCTGTGCTGTTCTCATGATAGTGAATGAGTCTCACAAGATCTGATGGTGTTAAAAACAGGAGTTACTCTGCACAAGCTCTCTTTTTGCCTGCTGCCATCCATGTAAGACATGACTTGCTTCTCCTTGCCTTCTGCCATGGTTGTGAGGCCTCCCCAGCCACGTGCTACTCTAAGTCCATTAAAACTCATTCTTTTGTAAATTGCCCAGTCTCGGGCATGTCTTTATCAGCAGTGTGAAAACATACTGACACAGTAAATTGGTACCAGTAGAGTAGGGTGCTGCTGAAAAGATATCCAAAAATGTGGAAGCAACTTTGCAACTGGGTAACAGGTAGAGGTTCAAGCAGTTTGGAGGGCTCAGAAGAAGACAGGAAAATGTGGGAAAGTTTGGAACTTCCTAGAGACTTGTTGAATGGCTTTGCCCAAAATGCTAATAGCAATATGGACAATAAAGTTCAGGTTGAAGTGGTCTCAGATGGAAATGAGGAAATTGTTGGGAACTGGAGCAAAGGTGACTCTTGCTATGTTTTCGCAGAGACTGGCAGCATTTTGCCCCGGCCCTAGAGATCTGCAGAACTTTGAACTTGAGAGATGATTTAGGGAATCTGGCAGAAGAAATTTCTAAAGAGCAAAGCATTCAAGAGGTGACTTGGGTGCTGTTAAAGGCATTCAGTTTTATACGGGAAGTAGAACATAAAAGTTCAGAAAATTTGCAGCCTGACAATGCAATAGAAAACAAAATCCCATTTTCTAAGGAGAAATTCAAGCTGGCTTCACAAATCTGCATTAGTAATGAGGAGCTGAAAGTTAATCCCCAAGAAAATGGGGAAAATGTCTCTAGGGCATGTGAGAGGGCTTCATAGCAGCCCTCACAGGGGCTGGAGGCCTGGAGGCCTAGGAGGGAAAAATGGTTTCGTGGGCCAGGCCCAGGTTCTCAGTGCTGTGTGCAGCCTAGGGACTTGGTGCCCTGCATCCCAGCTGCTCAAGCCATGGCTGAAAAGGGCCAATGTAGAGCTCAGGCTGTGGCTTCAGAGGGTGCAAGCCTCAAGTCTTGGCAGTTTCCATGTGGTGTTGAGCCTGCAAGTACACAGAAGTCAAAAATTGAGGTTTGGGAACTTCCGCCTAGATTTCAGAGTATGTATGGAAACACCTGGATGTCCAGGCAGATGTCTGCTGCAGAGGCGGGGCTCTCATGGAGAACCTCTGCTAGGGCAGTGCAGAAGGGAAATATGGGGTTGGAGGCCCACACAGTCCCTACTGGGGAACTGTCTAGTGGAGTTGTGAGAAAAGGGCCACTGTCCTCCAGACCCTGGAATGGTAAATCCACTGACAGCTTGCACTATGCACCCGGAAAAGCCGCAGACACTCAACGCCAGGCTGTGAAAGTAGCTGAGAGGGAGGCTGTACCCTGCAAAGCCACAGGAGTAGAGCTGCCCAAGACCATAGCAACACACCTCTTGCATCAGCATGACCTGGATGTGAGACATGGAGTCAAAGGAGATCATTTTGGAGTTTTAAGACTTGACTGCCCTGCTGGATTCTGCACTTGCATGGGGCCTGTAACCCCTCTGTTTTGGCCAAATTCTCCCATTTGGAACGGCTATATTTATCCAAGCCTGTACCCCCATTGTACCTAGGAAGTAACTAACTTGCTTTTATTTCACAGGCTCATAGGCAGAATCGACTTGCCTTGTCTCAGATGAGACATTGGACTGTGGACTTTTCAGTTAATGCTGAAACGAGTTAAGACTTTGGGGGACTGTTGGGAAGGCATGACTGGTTTTGAAATGTGAGGACATGAGATTTGGGAGGGGCCAGGGGTGGAATGATATGGTTTGGCTGTGTCCCCACCCAAATCTCATCTTGAATTGTAACTCCCACAATTCCCACGTGTTGTGGGAGGAACCCAGTGGGAGGAACCTGGTGGGAGGTAATTGAATTATGGGGGCAGGTCTTTCCTATGCTGTTCTTGTGATAGTGAATGAGATTTGATGGTTTTAAAAATGGGAGTTTCCTTGCACAAACTCTCTTTTTGCTTGTTGTCATCTACATAAGACGTGACTTGCTCCTCCTTGTCTTCCACCATGATTGTGAGGCCTCCCCAGCCACGTGGAACTGTAAGTCCATTAAACCTCTTTCTTTTGTAAATTGCCCAGTCTCAGGTATGTCTTTATCAGCACCATGAAAATGTACTAATACAACTGCCCATCTTCTCTTAAATTTCTCTGAAAATGCAAAATAAGATTCCTTCCTACTGCACTGTGATCTACCTACAGTGGTTCATTTTAAAAGAATGACATGATTTTGTTACCAAGGTGAAAGAGACTGGTAGTGTTTAAATGAGGAACTCTGTGTACAAAGGCTCACATCTCTGGAAAGAGATCAGAAAGAGCTGGTCACTTGGCTGGTTCTCCTTCTGCATGCTTCTCCTAGGCTCTTGGCTTCCCTGTGTCTGTTAATTACAACTCATGGTCCCTCTCAGCATGGCCCACTTGAAGAAGTAGGTCTCGGTAGATAAGTTATTGCTTAGGCCATACTGCACTGTGGGCCATGTGTCCAGCTCAGCATTCCAACTAGAGCACTGTTGGAACAAAGTCTGTATTTTGCTATTGTAACTATTCACCACATTGAACTAGGAATTGCTGAATAAATACATTACAAAAAAAATGAGAATCAAAAACCCCAAATCAAATCTCTATCTCCTCAGGAGTCCTGCAGAGGGAGGAAGGGAGACACAGCCAGGGCTGAAAACATACCTGGCTTGACTGTCACGTTCACATAGCCTTCCCCATGGGCATTTTGACCCTCTACAATCACTTTGAATTCATACAGGCCTGGAGTGAGCTGCAGAAGTGAGAGAAGATCTCTTAGACAATCACAAAGAGCAGGAATTACATTTAAAATAAGATATATCTGAACTTTCCCAAGCTGAATCTTTCACTCTTTCCTTCCCCTATTTCCAAAATGGAAAAGGTAAAGTAGCCTGTAATCCTAGCAATTTGGGAGGAGGCGGGTGGATCACTTGAGTTCCTGAGTTCAAGACCAGCCTGGGCAATATGCCAAAACCCCATCTCTACCAAAAATACAAAAATTAGCCAGGTGTGGTGGCACACACCTGTAGTCCCAGCTACTTAGTAGGCTGAGGTGAAAGGAGGGCTTGAGCCCGGGAGGTGGAGGTTACAGTGAGCCGAGATCATGTCACTGCACTCCAGCAAGAAAAAGTAAACTAGCTGAAGAGATAAACAACGAACTGAAAAAAAAAAAAACCCTTTTAATGTGAATCTTATGAGTAGCTGACTCTAGAACAACAGAAGGGATTTCAAATATCTCTGTACTCCCATTTTCTTTTCAGAAGAACATTAAGGGCCCGAATATCCCACTCCACAGAGTTACGAAATTAAAATAATCATCACTTCAAAGAAAAACATTTTGTAAAGATACTAAATAGTTCCCAAATATCTGAATATTTTTCCCTCCTGATTTTTACTAATTTATAAACTTAATATAAAAAAAAAACAAAAAAGTACCCAGCATATCACTATCATAACACATCAACTCATCAAATTTCTCCATTTCCTTCTAACTCTTGACCACATATTAAAATAATAGTTGTGTACAGCTCATTCGTTTAACAAACATTTACTGAAACCAAATCATGTACCAGTCATTGTCCTAGGCTTGTAGTTTGGATACGAATAAGGTAAGATCTCTATCTTCAAGGAGCTCATATTTCAGTGGTATTCAAAGTTCTAGCTAAAATCAAGGTATCAAACTTTCTATTGTTCTTTCTTCCATTCATTTAGCATGAACACCTTCCCTACTATAATACAATCATACAATCTTTTTTTTTTTTTTGAGACAGAATCTCACCCTGTCACCCAGGCTGGAGAGCAGTGATGCAATCTTGACTCACTGCAACTGCTGCCTCCTGGGTTCAAGTGATTCTCATGCCTTAGCCTCCCAAGTAGCTGGGACTACAGGCCTGCACCACCATTCCCAGCTAATTTTTTATTTTTAGTAGAGACATGGGTTTTGCCATGTTGGCCAGGCTGGTCTTGAACTCCTGACCTCAGGTGATCCACCCACCTCGGCCTCCCAAAGTGCTGGGATTACAGGCTTGAGCCACTGCACCCAGCCACAATCTTTTTAATATTTATTTTAACGACCACAAAGCAGTATATGAACAAATGTGTCAAATTTCACATAAGCATTTCTAATTGTTCGATACTTGGGTTGTTTCCAAATTTTTACTATTATGACTAATGCTGTAACAAACATCTTCCAGGCAAATGTTTTTTTTTTTCTTTCTTTCTTTCTTTTGAAGTATTTTCTTTGGGTAAATACTAATTGAACCACAAGTAGTATCTTTGGCTATTTCCTCTTTATAACACTCTTCTTCTTGGCTTTTACTTCTGTGCTCACACTTCATTTCCTTCAGTTTCCTCTACCCTCCATCCCTTAAATGATGGGTGTTCCCAGGATTCCAACCTCAGCCTGCTTATTTCTTCACTCTGCACACTCTCCCTGGTTGATTTTATCTATTGCTGTGGCTTCAAAAATCATCTATTTGAGGTTGATGTGCAAATATATCTCTCCAGCCCAGACTTGTCTTTTGACCTCCAGTCCCTTTCCCCCAGCTACTAACAGGACAACTCAATTCAAATGTCTCACAGGTACCTCAAACTCACTCTGTCCAAAAATGAATTAATCATCTGCAAACTTCTCCTTAAAACTTGCTTCTCCTTCTGTGCTCCTCATTTCAATGAACATCCACCCAGATACCTAAGCCAAAAAGCTAGAATTATCCTGGACTTCTCTTCCCCAACATCCCCAACCAGTTCATCAATCATCAAATTTTATCAAGTCAAACTCCGTATTATTTTTCCAATCTACTCACTTGTCTCCATCCACACTGCCATCACCTTAGTTCTTAACCACTTGTCATAGCACAATTATTAAAGGCATGGCCTTTAGAGATGGAAAGCTCCAGTTTAGACCTACCATTTAATACCTTTGTGAACTCTGGCCAAATCACTTCATTTCTCCAGTTTTTAGTTTTGTCATTTGTAAAAAAGATAGTAATACCTACATCCTGGGATTGTTACGAAGATTAAAAGAAATAAGTGTACAAAATAATCGGCACTGGGTATGGCACATGGTATGAATTCAATAGGTGGTTTTTATTTTTATTTTTTGAGACACAGTCTCACTTTGTTGCTCAGGCTGGAGTGCAGTAGCATGATCATGGCTCACTGCAACCTCTACCTCCTGGGCTCAAGCGATCCTCCCACCTCACCCTCCTGAGTAGCTGGGACCACAGGCACATGCCACCACACCCAACTAATTTTTGTATTTTTTGTGGAGTTAGAGTTTCACCATGTTGTCTAGGCTGGTGGTTTTCAATTTTACTTATTTAGTTCTTTCACTCAGGCTACTACCATTTTACACCTAAATTTTTCAACAGATTCCTCACTGACCTCTATAGTTTGAGTCTTATCTCCTCCAATCTGTAGTCAGGTGATTTTTCTAATCTGAAGATCTAAACATGTGTTTCTCTTGCTTAAAGCCTTTCAAGGGCTCCATATTCCTTCTGGATAAGATTCAAAGTCCTTAATCCGGCATATAAGGCTTTTGCTCCATCTGGCCCCTGCATCTTTCCAACTTAGTCACAACCACATATAAATTCCCCTTTCCCCACATTTTCGCTCCCATTTTTGGCCCAGTGGACATGTTGCTTCTTCTGCTTGAGGTATTATCCCTTCACCCTTTACCTAGTAAGTCAGTCACTCTAAGAAATCCACTCTACCTTTCCAAGGCTTCATTGACCCTCTGCACTGACCTAGTGTGCCACCTGTTATAATTACCTGCTTCCTATCAGTATCACCTACTAGACTCTATTGTTCTTGAACATTAAAATTATAACTAATTCTCTGGTAAATCCCCAATGCCTGCCACATGACCAGTGTACAATGAATAGATGTAGAATGAATGACTAAATGAGACTGCTGGGCCAAAGAATACAAACTTTTTTCTTAGAGAAAAGATCTCACTTTGTCACCTGGGCTTTAGGGCAGTAGTATGATCATAGCTCACTGCAGCCTTAAACTCCTGGGTTTAAGTGATCCTCCCACCTCCGCCTCCTGACCGGCTGGGACTACAGGTATGAACCACCACACCCAGCTAATTTTTAATTTTTTGTAGAGACAGGGTCTTGCCATGTTTCCCAGTCTCTTCTCAAACTCGTGGCCTCAAGCAGTTGTCCCACCCCACCTCAGCCTCCCAAAGTGCTTGGATTACAGGCGGGAGCCACTGCGCCCAGCCAAATACAAACATTTTAGATCTGTCAATAACTGTACTTAGGCTGGGCATGGTGGCTCACACCTGTAATCCCAGCACTTTGGAAGGCTGAGATGGGAGGACTGCTTGAGACCAGGTGTTCAAGACCAGCCTGGGCAATATGATGAGACTCTATCTCTATAAAAAATACAAAAATTAGCCAGGTATAATGGCATGACCCTGCAGTCTCAGCTACTCAGGAGGCTGAGGTAGGAGGATTGCTTGAGCCTGGGAAGTCAAGACTGCAGTGAGCCGTGATCACACCACTGCACTTCGGCCTAGGTGACAGAGCAAGACCCTGTCTCAAAAAAAAAAAAAAAAAAAAAAGAAAAAACCTATACTGAATCCCACAAAGGCTGAGTGAATGTATGCAGTCATGTGGCCACAAATAACCTAGCTTATCCCAAATTCTAAAATCCTTAAGTTAGCCTTAAAAGCCGTTTAGTGTATATTTTCAGCCACCACTACCATGCTGGTACAGTCTTCTTACCATAAATGAAATTTTGAGAATCATACACTAACAAATACTGGATGTCAGCCAGTCAGATTTTTGGAGGATTCATTTCTAAAAGACTGTTTACAACTTAAGTGTAGACAGAAAATTATATGATATTCATTTTAGAAAACAGTCAACTCCTCTACCTTTGCCCTGCAAGTGAAAGGAGGCAAATTCACCTTCGATAGTTTGAGGATCTGGGAATGTTTCCCTTCCATTTCTCCACTGTAGTCTCTAGGATGAGTAATCAGCTGCCAGTCGTAGGTGTAGGTTTCTCCTATAGAAGGGCAGTTACAAAAATCATGAAAACACACACCAACACACAAAGAGGACAGCCACATAGCCTGCCAATAACAAATCTCTTCTGATCTTGACAAGGCTTTAGTTTTTAAGATTTCACCCCAAAGCCTGTAGGGAAACCAAACCATCTGCTGAAAGAAAGAGCGAATGCTGCTGACTCAGCTACAGTTAGGGCTTCTTCCAACTCTCTCCCAACAATGCTTATTCCTGCCCTATACCGACCCTCTCAGGGCCAATCCTCCCTAAAAAATACCAGGTTGCTCATGGTGTGGCATACCACTGAAAATACATGTCCGACCAACCATTATAGATGAACTCATTGGGAACAAAGGCCATTTTCTTGCAAAACTTCTTTTGCAACAAAGAACAGCAATGACTTCTAAATAACATGGTTCAAAAATAGCTTTTTACAGAGTGCTAACAATGCTCGTCTCACTGAGGTCATCACACCCTGGTGAGTTAAAAGAGCTACTTCATTCCTGCTGAGCTAAATAACACACTGCAGAAGATGGTAGGAGATGGCCCATTTAAAACAGGCCCAGTGAAATTAATTAAAATCAAATGAAGCATTAAATGGTACCCACTTGCAGGTCAGACTATATCACTAGGTAAGGCAATGGTAGGATCCTATCTAAATGGCATCCCTCCCCAGAAAAAGTAGTCTTAAATTTTTTTGGATCAAAATGCATTTCTGATTAGGGAAGGGAGGACTTTGGTAGGAAGGTTTAGTTTAAGTTACTAACCAAAAGTAAAAAAGAAAAAGGGGGAAAAAAAAACCTGAAACACTTAGCAGAGAGTGGTCATCTTTTTCTTATTTCATGAGTTCAAATGTTAAAATCAGTACACAGAACCTAATTCCAAGATATCCTTCATCTGAAGACCAATTTTATTTTATAATCCTGGGAGACAAGGTCTTCTTCCTTCCTTCCTTCCTCCTCCAAAACAAGAATTTTTTTGGCCAGTTGTCAGCGCCAACAGCTCTCACAAACGTATATAGTATGTAGTAGTTATGTTACGAGAGGAGACGGAAAGAAGCAGCACAAGCAGGACTTGTACTCAGAGACATTTCTTCCAACTGTAGCTGGAAATTCTTTTCCATGTAGAAAACAGTTTGGGAACAGATAATTTTATAATAGCTAAGGCTAGCAACATAAATTTCAAAACAGGACAATATTCCTAGGACAGAAAAGCTCAGGGGATGAATTATGCCTCGCAGGCAGAAATATGTTCAAAGGTAGGAACAACTGAGTGTAACTCTGTTAGAAAGAGTGCTGGTTGCAGTGACTGAGGACAGTCGTTCGTTTGTTCTATTGACTGACTGACTGATTGAGATGAAGTCTTGCTGTTGCCCAGGCTGGAGTGCAGTGGTGCAATCTCAGCTCACTGCAACCTCTGCCTCCCAGGTTCAAGTGATCCTCCTGCCTCAGCCTCCCAAGTGGCTAGGATTACAGGCACGTACCACCACGTCTGGCTAATTTTTGTATTTTTAGTATAAACAGAGTTTCACCATGTTGGCCAAGCTGGTCTCAAACTTCTGACCTCAAGTCAGGATCTGCCTGCCTCAGCCTCCCAAAGTGCTAGGATTACAGGCATGAGCCACCACGCCCAGCCGGACAGTGGTTTTGAAAATGGACCTGGAGGGATCCTAATGGGCTGCCATAGGGCAGGAGAAGGATAAAGAGCATGCAGAATTGGTCCTGCCTCATCACCCCCAACCTTTGGAAGTTTGAAACCATCCATCTCACATATCTAATAAAGGTGGAAGAACCTGGAGAGAGGACAGGAGAAAATAATCTATTTCCCTTTTTTTTTTTTTTTTTAATGAGATGGAGTCTCTCTCTGCCACCCAGGCTGGAGTGCAGTGGCATAATCTTGGCTCACTGCAACCTCCGCCTCCTGGGTTCAAGCAATTCTCAAGCCTCAACCTCCCCAGTGGCTGGGATTACAGGCGCCCACCATCACGCCTGGCTTACTTTTAGTAGAGATGGGGTTTCACCATGCTGGCCAGGCTGGTCTTGAACTCCTGACCTCAGGTGATCTGCCCGCCTCAGCCTCCCAAAGTGCTGGGATTACAGGCATGAGCCACTGCGCCCAGCCTTTTTTTTTTTTTTTTTTTTTTTCTTTTTTTTTGAGACAGAGTCTTGCTCTGTCACCCAGGCTGGAGTGCAATGGCACAATCTTGGCTGACTGCAACATCCGCCTCCTGGGTTCAAGCGATTCTCCTGTCTCAGCCTCTCAAGTAGCTGGGATTACAGGTGCCCACCACCACACCCAGCTAATTTTTTTGTATTTTTGGTAGAGATGGGGTTTCGCCACGTTGGCCAGGCTGGTCTTGAACTCCTGACCTAAGGTGATTCACCCACCTCAGCCTCCCAAAGTACCAGGATTACAAGTGTGAGCCACCGTGCCTGGCCAAAGAATCTATTTCTAAACTAACATGTTTTGAAACACTGATCTACAAAATGATAGTAACCCACAGAAAGGTACATGCAAATATGGGTTAGGAAAGAAAATACAGTAGAGCCAAACATGTCTTTCACAAAAGAATGGTAGTAATCAACAGCTCAAGGCAGTCCCTCACCTCCAACTTCAAAAGCCACTAAACCCAATCACCTTAACTTGTCACCAGAGGAAGAAAGGAAAAAGCTTCTCTAGAGGAATGTGAAATGAATTGATAAGGAAACCTCGATTTGAGAGCAGAAATATAGAACAGACAGGGCATTTTGCTTCTGGAAAAGTACTTTTTGCATTAATATGCTATTTGGTATTAGGCCTAGAAATTAAGAATACTGTATTGGAGATGTGTGTACCTAAAATGGAAGGACCCCATCCTAAATAGGGAAGGACATTCTACTTGACTAACCTTTTAATGATAACATAAACCCAACTGGCTCAATTTCCATCAAAGTATGTACCACTCAAGTCCTAAATAGTGTTAAGAGAACCCATATGTGTTTGTAAGTCAAACTTTGGTATATTAACACATACTTCAAAGGTGAAAGTAATGTTCATATTACAAAAGTTTTCTTAAATAATGAATTAATCATCCATACTTTATATATTTTATAAACTTGAATTTTGTATATCACATTAGGCTTAGCTTTTTTTTCCCCCAGGGACAGGGTTCTCACTATGGGAAACGATGGTCCTTACAACGGTCCTGTGAGGATAGGATATAACCCGGGTATGCACAAATATTTATGGAATATGAGAGGTACTATATAATGTAGGGTTTGAGATCACAGGCTTTGATGTCACGCTTGGGTTCAAATCTCAGCTGAGCCACTCATTATCTGTGTGAATCTAAGTAAATGACTTCTCTTAATTTCCATTTCTTTCTCAATAAAATGGGGATAATAATTCCTACCTCATAAGATTACTTTAAGGGCAAAATGAGATAGTAGATAAGTTACCAGTTTAGTGCCTAGCATATAGCTGATGCTTATTAATATAGAACATATTTATTAGGTTGTATTTAAATCCATTTTAAGAGAAAGAAACTGAGACTCAGATTAATCTGTTTATTTTGGTCAAACAACCAGTAAATAGCAGATGTAGAACTTAGAAAGAAGTTATTCAAGATGACTGCTAATATAAATTTGTAACTTAAAAAAAATACATTTTTTCCTGACAGGAAGTCAGAGGAGGGAAAAAGATAAGGGCCAGGAGTGGTAGTGTATGCCAGTAGTTCCAGCTACTAGGAAGACTAAGGTGGGAGGATCTCCTGAGCCCAGGAGTTTGAGACCAGCCTGGACAACACAGCAAGACTCCATCTCTTTCAAAAACAAAAAACGGTTATCCAAATGTAAGGGGATGTTTACCTTTAGGTGGTTCTTGGAGAACATATGCATTTAATTGAACTTCATTCTTAGGCAGGGTTATCTGGACACTCTCTCCAGCAGATACCACCAGTTCCTTTATAACTGGAAACAAAGTAAATATACCAGAGATAAGAAATAGATCCAGACTGTCTTATTTCTCTCTTTCTTTTGTGATCAAACTCCTTTCATGATCAATATTCAGCTACTGCCATCAATTACTAACTTTTTTCTACTCTCTAATTGCTTGAAATTTGATTCTGTCCCCACTTTTCCATTGAAAAGGATCTTTCAAAACTACTTCTTAGTAAATCTAACAGCTGTACCCTAATACCCTCATTCTTCATCTCACATCTCAGTGGCTTCTACTATTGCTAACTGCCTCCATCTTAAAACTCTTGGATATCATGACACCATATTATTCTATTTTTCCTCCTTTCTCTCTTTTCCTCCACTGTATTTTTACTACAGTCTGTCCCTAAGCCCTCCCTATATACTACATTCCACAGAGTTCAAATCCTGTTTCAAGTATCACCTTTATGCTAACAAATAACTTTCTAATAAGATACATATATAAAGTTTCTAGAAGGGAAGGCAAATGGTTACAAATCTGCCTTACTTTCTTTCCATTCCAATTGCTACAAGATTCATTGTTCACACTAGATTATTCCAAGAATTTTTTTTTTCTTTTTGAGTCAGGGCCTCACTCTGTTGCTCAGGATAGAGTGCAGTTGTGTAATCATAGCTCACTGCAGCCTCAAATTCCTGGGCTCAAGCGATCTTCCCACCTCAACCTCCCAAGTAGCTGGGACTACAGGCATGCACCACCACGCCCAGCTTGCTTATCCCAAGAATCTTATTTTATCTTCCCTCTGCTAGCTCTCTCTACTCCAATCTATTCTGTCTTCCTAAAACAACCAACACCATTAGTCTTTCCAAAATACTCACCCACTATGTTACTCTTCTATTTAAGACTCCTGCTCCCATATCATATTTAAGGACAAACTTCCAACCTGCCATTAGAGAACCATCATCTGATCTCACTGTCTTATCCTTCCTATCTAATTTTGCCTCTAGTTACATTGATTTTCCCTCTTGTGTTCCACAAAGCCACGGTCTACTCTCAGGGACTTTGCTAAAGTTATTTCTTTCAACTGCGGTGTTTGCCTTGCTTTATTCTAAATACAGCATTTTGTTTCTAGCTTAAAGTCTGTCTCCTCTCCAAGAAATCTTCCCAGACCATTTCAGTTCAAACTGATCTAATCTTGAAGTATGCTAGCATTTTTGGAACACTCAAGTCAGCAAAGAGCTATATACTGTCTTTATACTATTCACCAGCTATTTCACATATGTCAGAGTTTCTCAAGCTCAGCACTCCTGATATTTTGGACCAGGTAATTCTTTGTCATGGAGGGAAATGTCCTGAGCACTGTAAGGTGTTTAACAGTATCACTGACCCATACTCACCAGACGTCAGTAGCATCACTCCCCTCCCCCAACTAAAAATGTTTGCAGACCACTGAAAGCCACCGATTATATAAATCTTATTTCTCTGACAATAAATGTTCATTTGCTATGAGACTTCAAAACTAGGAGAGCTTAAAGCAAACAATAGGCTAGTCCACTCATATTTCAAGCCTGGGAGGCGAGAAGGGCTTCCTAGACAAATATGAAACTTGAGATTTATCCGCCTCTGCATGGGAACATTGCACTTGAGGAGAAATGAAACCATCCTTAATGGAAGCTTCAGCATTTGGATGCCCCAGGAGATGGAATAAGAACTCTCTGAAGTGACTTTCAAAAAAAGAAAAGAAAGAAACATGATACTCAGAGAAAGTATAATGAACCAAAAAATGGCTATTCAAAACAGTTCAACCCAAACCCTTCACAATTACACCAAAAATTACAGGCATCTTGACTGGATACAAAAATTACTTTGGTGCCTCATGATTGAACCCCTAAAATTTCATGTTCTATTACTACCAAAGGACACCCTGAAAAATTAAAAATTGGCAAAAATTCATTATCACTGACTTTGCTTTTACCCTCTTGACTTTTTCAGGGGATAAAGACCAACTTAGTTTCTTGATTAACCAATTCTTCCTAATACCTTAGAACAGCACCTGTGAAGCACAGATTTATTTATACACTATGTATAAATCTACTTCTTATGAATGGCTTTAAAAATAAAGATGCTTCTCCAGGACACTGGTCTGAGCAAAAAAAAAATTCTTGAGTAATACCCCACAAGGACAGGCAACCAAAGCGAAAATGGACAAACGGGATAACATCAAATTAAAAAGCTACTGCACAGCAAAGGAAACAATCAACAAAGTGAAGAGACAACCCACAGAATGGGAGAAAATATCTGCAAACTCCCCATTTGACAAGGGATTAATAACCAGAATATATAAAGAGTTCAAACAACTCCACAGGAAAAAATTTAATAATCCCATTTAAAAATGGGCAAAATATTTGAACAGGGATTTCTCAAAAGAAGACCTACAAATGGCAAACAGGCATATGAAAAGGTTCTCGACATCACTGATCATCAGAGAAATGCAAATAAAAACTACAATGAGATGGCCGGGCGCGGTGGCTCACGCCTGTAATCCCAGCACTTTGGGAGGCCAAGGCGGACGGATCACAAGGTCAGGAGATCGAGACCATCCTGGCTAACACGGTGAAACCGCATCTCTACTAAAAATACAAAAAATTAGCTGGGCGTGGTGGTGGGCGCCTGTAGTCCCAGCTACTCGGGAGGCTGAGGCAGGAGAATGGCATGAACCCAGGAGGCGCAGCTTGCAGTGAGCCGAGATTGCGCCACTGCACTCCAGCCTGGGCAACAGAGTGAGACTCTGTCTCAAAAAAAAAAAAAAAAAAAAAACCTACAGTGAGATATCATCTCACCCCAGTTAAAATGGTTTTTATACAAAAGACAGGCAATAACAAATGCTGGTGAGGATGTGGAGAAAAGGGGAACCCTCGTACACTATTGGTGGGAATGTAAATTAGTACAACCACTATGGAGAACAGTTTGGAGGTTCCTCAAAAAAATAAAAATAGAGTTACCATGTGACTCAATAATCCCACTGCTGGGTCTATACCCAAAAGAAAGGAAATCAGTGTATCGAAGAGGTATCTGCACTCCCATGTTTGCAGCACTGTTCACAACAGCCAAACTTTGGAAGCAACCTAAGTGTCCATCAACAGATGAATGAATAAAGAAAATGTGGTGCTTATATACAATGGAGTACTACTCAGCCATAAAAAAGAATGAAATTTTGTCATTTCCAACAACATGGATGGAACTGGAGGTCATTATGTTAGGTGAATAAGCCAGGCACAGACAAACACTGCTTGTTCTCACTTATTTGTGGAATCTAAAAATCAAAACAACTGAACTCATGGAGATAGAGAGTAATGGTTAGATAGATGGATGGTTACCAGAGGCTGCGAAGGGTAGTGTGGGGGTAAGAGGGAGGGGGGGATGGTTAATGAGTACAAAAAAAAAAGCTAGAAAGAACAAATAAGACCTAGTATTTGATAGCACAACAGGGTGACTATAGTCAATAATATTTTAATTGCACATTTTAAAATAACTAAAATAATATAACTGGATTGTTTGTAACACAAAGGATAAAGGCTTGAAGGGATGGATACTCTATTTTACATGATGTGATTATTACACATTGCATGTCTGCATCAAAGTATCTCATGTATGCCATAAATGTATACAACTACTATATATCCACAAAAATTAAAAGTTTTAAAAATAAATAAAAATTAAAATAAAGATGCTATAAAAATGAGAGACCTACAACCAGACTTTCAGAAGGTAAGCAAATACACTGATCCAAATCTTTCTTCCCAGTAGGCTCTGATTGATCACTTGAACATTATACTTAATTGAATCATGTGCCTTTAAGTCACAGTGGAATCTGGATCTGTGAAAATTAGCCTCGTAAATTTCCATAAGCTGGAGGCCTGCTGAGGAAAGGCTCTAGAGCCCCCAGTCCATGACTGCAGGGGCAATGACAGAGTTATTTTTTCTCTAACACACAGTATTCAAGTTATGCCTCCCTTCCTTCTTTCCTCTAAAAGGGAATACTTTGATCAAATGTTCTACTTTTTCCTTCTATCTCCAAGAGCAAAGGTCCTTACCTGGGTATGGTGCTGAGGTGCTCTGGAAAGAGGCCTGGGGGGTAGGGGTAGCATAACTGTAGGAGGGAGCCACTGGCTGGGGGACAGCAATCTGGGTTTTCTCAGAACTTTTTACTTGTTGAGTGCTGGGCGTAGTAGCAAGACCCTCTGATATTTCAGGTTGCACTGATACATTCTTTGGCCCACCAGACAGCTCTGCAGTCAGGTCTGTGGTTAGGGGACTGGAAATTGTAATCGCCTTGTGGACCTAAAGAAATAAAAAAACTAATTTGAGTAGGTAAAAGTTACATAATTTTTCAGGTTATGTCTCATGAAACAATAGTCTATTAAATGTTCTCTTGAAAAATGCAAAAATATCAAAAATATTAAAGAAACTAATCTCACCACCCAAATAAAAGTGGTGTTAAATGTTGAGATAAATCTTGAGTTTTTTTCCTAGCCAAAATGTTTTGTTTAAAACAAAATAGTAATTTTCTGCATTCTAAGTGTGCTGGAAAAGCAAAACAATGTATACTTTTACCCTGTTAACATTTCTATTCAATCTTTCTACAAATACTTATTGAGCACCTATTACAAAATAGCCCTTGTGGATCCAAAATATAAATAAAACTAATCGTTGAGCACTGAAAGCATAATAAGCCAAAATAGTAAATATACCAGCTAAGCATGGTGGCTCACGCCTGTACTCCCAACACTTTGGGAGGCCAAGACAGGAGACCACTTGAACCTAGGAGTTCAAGACCAGCCTTGACAATATGGCGAGACCCTGTCTCTACAAAACATAAAAAATTAGCTGGGCATGGTGGCCATGCCTGTGGTCCCAGCTACTTGGGAGGCTGAGGTGGGAGAATCGCTTGAGCCTGGGAGGTCAAGGCCGCAGTGAACTGTGATCATGCCACTGTACTCTAGCTTGGGTGACAGAATGAGACCTTGTCTCAAAAAGAAAAAAAAAAAGTAAATATACCAATGTTTATGATGAGCCAAAAAAAAAAAAAAAAAAAAAAAAACACAAGCTAAAGTTACTTAATCCATCTCCCTTTGAGGGAGAAAGAGTATGGAAAAGAATGATTTTTTTATTATTATTATTAAAGAAAAAGGCTTCCTGAAGGAGAAGAGCCCTAAGCTGAGTTTTAGAGGATAAACAGTTGTTTACTAGACAAAAGGCAGAGGGCAGAGAATGAATGTAGGCACAAAAAATGAAATTAACATGGTCTGTATTGGGAACTGACAGCCATAAGCAAAGTGAGAGGCAAAAGTAATAGAAGATGAGCTGGAAAGATAGAGGCAAAGACCAGATGGAAAAAAGCATTACATGTTATTTTAAGAAACTAAGTAATGGTAAGCAATTTAAGGGTTGTATGCAAGGAAGTAACAAGGTCGAGTTTCTGTCTTACAAGTCATTTCTTAGCGTATGGGTTTGAAGAAGTAAGGCAATAGCAGGAATATCACTTAGAAGAGTACTGCTTTCATCCAAATGAGAAATAATGAGTAGCGAAACAAGGGTGGTGGTATGGATTTTTTAAAAATCAAATTCGGCCGGGTGTGGTGTCTCACACCTGTAATCCCAGCACTTTGGGAGGCCAAGACAGGTGGAACATTTGAGGTAAGGAGTTTGAGACCAGCCTGACCAACATGGTGAAACCCCATCTCTACTAAAAATACAAAATTTAGCTGGGCATGGTGGTACACGCCTGTAGTCCCAGCTACTCAGGAGGCTGAGGCACAAGAATCACTTGAACCCGAGAGGAGGCGGAGGCTGCAGTGAGCCGATATCATGCCACTGTACCTCAGCCTGGGCGACAGAGTGAAACTCTTGTCTCAAAAAAAAAAAATCAAATTGGTTGAAATATAATTCACATAAACTACACACATTTCAAGTATATAAGGTCAAAGTTTTGATAAATATATATACCCATGTAACCACAATTAAGAGAGAGAACATTTCTATCAGCCCCCAAAATTCATTCATGCCCCTTTATAATAAATCCCTGTCTCCATCTCTAGGCTCAGGAAACCACTGATTTGTTTGCTATCAAAGTGAGATTAGTTTGGGTTTTCTTGTATTTCATATAAAAGGAAGCATATACATACTATTTTTGTTTCTGGCTTTCACTCAACACGTTTTTGAAATTTATTCATGATATTGTGCATATCAGTAGTACATTCTTTTTTATTACTGAGTAGTTTTCCATTATAGAAATACACAAAAATTTGGTTTACATTTATCTACTGATGGAATTTTAAGTTGTTTTCCGTTCTTAGTTATAAAAACTGCTATGAATGTTTAAGTATACATGTTTCTGTAAACACGTGTTCTAATTTATCTTAGGTAGTTACTTAGGAGAATTGCTGGTTATACATAAGTATATGTTTAACTTTGTAAGAAACTATGAACTGTTACCCAAAGTGGCTGTACATTTTATATTTCTACCAGCAACATACGAGAGTTCCAGTTGCTCTACAACTTCACCAACACTTGGTATTCCTGGTCTTTTTATTTTTTGTCATTCTAGTGGTTATAAAGTAATATATCACTGATGACTTTCCTGATGACTAATAATATTGAGCATATTTTCCTGTGCTTATTGACCATTTTTTCTTTGAAGAGGCAAAGAGGTAAAGTTTATCCAAATTTTTACCCCCCCTTTTTAAAGCTTTATTAAGGTATAATTGACATACAATAAATTGAACATACATAAAATGTACAATTTGATAAATTTTTATGTATGTATACACATTTGAAACCACCAGTACAATCAAGCTAATGCATATCCATCACTTCCAAAGATTCCTCATGCTCCTTTGTAATGCCTTCTCCTCCCCACCCTAAGCAACCATTCTGCTGTTTCTTTTTTTTTTTTTTTTTTTTTTTTTTTTGAGATGGAGTCTTGCTCTGTCGCCCAGGCTGGAGTGCAGTGGCGCGATCTCGGCTCACTGCAAGCTCCACCTCCCGGGTTCATGCCATTCTCCTGCCTCAGCCTCCTGAGTAGCTGGGACTACAGGCGCCCGCCACCATGCCCAGCTAATTTTTTGTATTTTTAGTAGTGATGGGGTTTCACCGTGTTAGCCAGGATGGTCTCAATCTCCTGACCTCGTGATCCACCTGCCTTGGCCTCCCAAAGTGCTGGGATTACAGGCGTGAGCCACCACGCCCGGCCTGCTTTCTGTTTCTATAGTTTGCATTTCCTAAAAGGTTCTATAAATGGAATCACAAAGTAAGTACCCTTTTTTTTGAGAGGGGCAGTCTGGCTTATTTCACTCAGAAAAATTATTTTGTATGAATAACAAAATACAAACAAAATGTTTTGTGTATCAATAATTCATTTCTTAGCATTGCTAAGTAGTTTTCTGCTTTATATTATATACTATAATTTGTTTATTCATTCACCTATAGATGAACGTTTGGGTTTATTCTAGCTTTTGGCTATTACAAATCAAGCTGTTATAACCACTCATCTACAGGTCTTTTTTTTTTTTTTTTGAGATGGAGTTTCGCTCTTGTTGCCCAGGCTGGAGTGCAATGGCGCAATCTCGGTTCACCACAACCTCCGCCTCCCAGGTTCAAGCGATTCTCCTGCCTCAGCCTCCCGAGTAGCTGGGATTACAGGCATGTGCCACCACGCCCAGCTAGTTTTGTATTTTTAGTAGAGACTGGGTTTCTCCATGTTGGTCAGGCTGGTCTTGAACTCCAGACCTCAAGCGATCCACCCACCTCGGCCTCCCAAAGTGCTGGGATTACAGGTGTAAGCCACTGCGCCCAGCCTCTACAAGTCTTTGTATGGACATGTCCTTTTATTTCTCTTAGGTAAATACTTATAAATAGAACCCCCGATCAATGTACCTTTAACTGTTTCAAGAAACTGCCAAACCATTTTCTGAAGTTGTTATGACATAATATAGTACCACCACCAGTGTATTTCAGTTATCATATAATCTTGACAGAATTTGGTGTGGAAATCTTTTTAATTTTAGCCATTCGAGGTATGTAGTGGTATCTCACTGTGGTTGTAATTTACATTTTCCTAGTGATTAGCGACATTGAACATCTTTTTATGTATTTATCGGACACCTGTATAACCTCTTTGGTGGACTATCTGTTCCAATCTTTTGCCTGCTTTTTAAAATGGGTTACTAGTTTTCTAATCAAGTTACAAGAGCTCATTTATTTCTATAAATGAGTCCTTTGTCAGACATATAATTTGCAAATGTTTTCTCAGTCTGTATCTTCCTTTTTCGTTTTGTTAGTGTTAGCTTTTCATTAACAAAAATTTGTAATTTTGATAAGCTCCAATTTATCATTTGTTTCTTTTACAGTTCATGCTTTCAGTGACATGGCTAAGAAATCTTTGCCAAAGCAAGATCACAAAAATGTTCTCCTGGGTTCTCTTCCATAAGTTTTATAGCTTTTACTCTTAAATTGAGATCTATGATCCGTTTTGAGTTGATTTTCCTCTAGAGGTAAGGGTCAAGGTTCATGTTTTTACATATCATTATCTAATTGTTCTAGCACCATTTGTTGAAAAGATTATCCCTTCCCCACTGAACTGCACTGGCACATCAATGGACCATATAGGTGTGGGTCTATTTCTGGACTCTATATTATGTTCCATTAACTTAATCTAGTTTTATACCAATACCACTGCCTTGATTACTGTGGCTATACAGTAAGTCTTCTAGCTAGATAGTTTAAGTCCTCCAACTCTATTGTTCTTTTTCAAAATCATTTTGATCATTCTAGATCCCAATCTGTATAACATGGTTATATTTGTTTCCTAGAGCTGCCATAATGAATTACTATAAACTTTGTGGCTTAAAACAATAGAAATTCATTCTCTCACAGTTCTGGAGGCCAGAAGTCTGAAATCAAGGTGTTGGCAGGGCCATACTGCCTCTGAAGGCCCTAGAGGAGAATCTTTCTTTGCCTCTTCTAGCTCCTGGAGGCTCTTAGCATTCCTTGGCTTGCGGCAACCTAACTCTACTCTTCACGTGGCCTTCTTCCGTGTCTGTGTAGATGGATCCAAAGCTCCCTTTCCTTTCTCTCGTATAAAGACACCAGTCATTATATTAAGGGCCCACCCTAAATACAGGATGATTTCACCTGGAGATTCTCAACTAATTACATCTGCCAAGACCCTATTCCCAAATAAGGTCACATGCTGAGGTTCCAGATGGACATGAATGCGGGGAGGGGAGGACATCATTACTTATTTCTCATATTCCTCTCAGCAGAGTTTTGTAGTTTTCAGTATACAGTTTTTGCACATATTTTGTTAAGTTTATGCCTAAGTGTTTCATGTCTTTGGGTGTTACACATTTTTTAAAACTTCAAGCTAGGTATGGTGGTGCACACCTGGAGTTCCAGCTACTTGAGAGGCTGAAGGAGGATTGCTTGAACCCAGAAGTTCAAGGCCAGCCTAGGCAACATAGTGGGACCCCTATCTCTAAAATAAATAAATAATAAAACTTCAATTCCCAATTATTCATTGCTAATATAGAAACACAAGTGATTTCTGTGTATTGCCCTTATATCCTGCAATCTTGCTAACTTTACTTAATAGTTCCAGTGGCTTTTATGCAGATTCTTTAGAATTTTCTAGAAATAATCCAATCATCTGTGAATAAAGGCAGTTTTGCTTCTTCATTTCCAATCTCTATTTCTTTCATTTCTTTTTCTTGCATTATAATTGGCTAGGACCTCTACTACAATATTGACCAAATGTGGTTAGAGCCACTTCCCTATTTGTTAAGTAACTGTCATCTCATTTTCCTTTAAACCTTTGAACACGATTTAAGTTTTTAATCATATATATATATATATATATATATATATATATATATATATTTTTTTTTTTATTATACTCTAAGTTTTAGGGTACATGTGCACATTGTGCAGGTTAGTTACATATGTATACATGTGCCATGCTGGTGCGCTGCACCCACTAATGTGTCATCTAGCATTAGGTATATCTCCCAATGCTATCCCTCCCCCCTCCCCCGACCCCACCACAGTCCCCAGAGTGTGATATTCCCCTTCCCATATTTTTTTAACAGCTATTTTGAAGTCTCTGCTAAATCTAATAGCTGGGCCTATTCAGAAATCATTTCTATTAATGACTTTTTTTTCCCTGAGCATGGGTTACACCTTCCTGATTTTTCCTTGCATGTCTTATAATATCTGGTTGAAAACTAGAGGCTTCAGATAATCTACTGGAGTAGCTATCGATTGTTTTATTTACCTGATGGGCTATTTATTGTTTTTAATAACTTGCCTATACTTAAACTGCAAAATCTAATTCTCCCATAGTATGTTGTGACTGATGCTCTGCTCGGTTTTTTTTTCTTGTTTTTATTTTAGCCTGGGTTTCTAGGGCAGCCTATGCCTGCATCATTTAGTAGTCAGACAATGATCTGGGCAGGGGTTGCTCATAGACCTCAAACCCATAAAGCTTTGCCATCTGCCAATCTATCTGTATATTGCCTGAGGAATGCATTCAAAGTTACAGCCAGTTCTCAAGTCCCCTTTAATTTTTACTTTTTATTGGGTTCCCTTGGGTCCCTCCTGCACATGCAGGTAACTTCCCTATCAGCCAGAGATATGTGGAGAGCTTATCGTAGCCCTTCTATGGCTCTCTTATTTTCAAGATCTTCCCATTTAGTTTCTGGCAGGTCCACCATCTACTCCAACAGGCACTGCAACCTTCAGCTAGCAAAGCTGTGGATTCTCTCCATTCATTCTCAACCAAGTTTGCCACTTTTAGTTGGCAAAGCTGTGAGTTTTCACCTGTCCCACATTAAGTCTACCCCCTCTGGCAGAAAATTTGCTAGTGTTATTTATTTATTTTTTTTCCTTTTCAATTGAGACGGGGTCTCACTATGTTGAGTTCCAGGCTGGTTGGAACTCCCGAGGCTCAAGCAGTCCTCCTACCTCAGCCTCCCTGTAGCTGAAATTACAGGCATGTGCCACTGCACTCTGGCTCCTTAAGATATTAGTTTTCATGTTCAGCCACACACTGGTAAAACTACAATTCTTGTCACCAGAGCTGAGTAATGGAGGTAAGGACAGATGGGAAACATTCCAAGAAGACCACAGACTTCCACTGTACCTACTCAAAGTATTACCAGCCTTTTAAGAATAAATTCTTAGGCTGGGGTGTGGTGGCTCAAGCCAGCGCTTTGAGATGCCGAGGCAGGAGGATCACCTGAGCCCACGAGTTTTTCAAGAACCTAGGCAACATAGTGAGACCCCGTGTCTACAAAAAATATAAAAAGTTAGCTGGACGTGGTGGTGCGCACTTGTAATCCCAGCTACTTGGGAGGCTGAGGTGGGAGGATGGCTCATGCCAGGGAAGTCAAGGCTGCAGTGAGCCATGATCACACCAACCTGGATGACAGAGTAAGACCCTGTCTCAAGAAAAAAAAAAAAAAAAAAAAAAGAATAAGTTTTTCTCAATTTGTTTCTGCTTCTATTTTATTTCTAGATATGTTAAAAATATTTGGTTTTAACAATTTTGCCCAGTTTTATACTTGTTTTTTACACGAAAACTACAGATCCCTTCTTGCTGCCATTTTGTAAGCCCTCTTGTTTCTATTTTCCCATTTTTAACATTTCTTTTCTGAAATTCTTCATCTGTTTACTCATTGAAACTATTTTCTGGCCCGATACAGTAGCTCACACCTGTAATCCTAGCATACTGGGAGGCCAAGGTGGGAGGATTGCTCAAGGCCAGAAGTTCAAGATCAGCCTGCACAACATAGCGAGACCCCATTTCTACAAAAAAAAAAAAAAAAAATTATAATTAGCTGGGAGTGGTGGCACACCCCTGTAGGCCTAGCTACATAGGAAGCTGGGTTGGCAGGATCGCTTGAGCCCACGAGTTTGAGGCTGCAGTAAGCCAAGATAGCACTACTGCACTCCAGCCTGGGCAACAGAATGAGACCCAAAAAAACAAAAACAAAACAAACATTTTCCTTTAATTATCTGAACATACATATGATAGCTACTTTGAAGTCTGACTACTATCTCCAACATCTGAGTCAACTTGGAGCCACCTTCTATTGACTGCCTTTTTTTCCCTGCGTATGGATCACCCTTTCCTGTTCCTGTGCATGTCTGGTAATTTTTGGTTTAACGTTGGACATTCTGATACATGTAGTGACTCTGGATTCTACTATATTTTCCTTGGGATTACTGGGGGAGGTTTTCCTAGTAGACAAATAACCTCCCTGGACTGAACTGTAGACTTTGCTCCTTACAGTGTTCAACAACTGATATCTCTGTGTAGTTCTCACAACTTTTTTTTTTTTTTAAGACAGTCTTGCTCTGTTGCTCAGGCTGGAGTACAACAGTGTGATCTTCTCAGCTCACTGCAACCTCTGCCTCCTGGCTTCAAGTGATTCTCGTGCCTCAGCCTCCCTAGTAGCTGGAATTAAAGGCATGCACCACCACACCGAGCTAATTTTTGTATTTTTAGTAGAGACGGGGTTTCGCCATGTTGGCCAGGCTGGTCTCTAACTCCTGGCCTCAAGTGATCCACCTGCCTTGGCCTCCCAAAGTGCTGGCGTAAGGCACCACGCCCAGCCTGGCCACTACAGGTCTGCCTGTGTAACTGATAATTGACCAAGAATTTGGCCAGAGATTTTACTCAGATTTGGGGCCTGTTCTCATTGTACTGTCTTTGTTTCTGGGGATTCCTCCCTAACTTTTCAGCCTTAAGATTACGTCCACTGACACCTCAAGTCCATAAGACTTCATATATCTGCCACCTGGTTCCCCATGGTTGGAGAATGCATTCAATTTTAAAAAGCAGCAAACTTACGAAGTTCACCTTGTGTAGATTCTGTCTTTCAAAGACAGAACTCTAATCTCTGCCTCCCTAATCTCTGCCTGCTTTTTCAGCAGGCCTCATGGAGTCTGCCCATGCAGGTGTAGTTTAGAGGTACATCCAGGGATTTTAGCAGAGTTCACAGTCAGGTTATGGGGGTCACCCTCTTCTGTGGTTTTCTCACTTTCAAGCCCTCCTGCTAAATTTTCAGATGCTTTTTCTATCATGAACTCTGTTTTTGCCACCATAAGAAAGTAAGGCTGGAGTTTTCCACTGCCACTTTCCTCTGCTGTGGGAGTTGTTGAATGCCCTCAGGAAAAAATTTTTTTAAGCTGCAAATTCACAATTCTTTTCACTCCCAGTTGCCATTTTTCAAAAGTAAGCGCTCCTCTAGCTTCTATCTGCTTTTGGAACCTTTCCAGTATCTTTTAATACATTTGTTTACAGATTTTCTAATATTATCTGTGGGAAGGTTTCAGAGACTACTTCACTCTGCCACCATTACTGGAAACTCCTCCTGTGGGATGGATTTTAAAATATTAAGAATCTAATATTTATGGAGCTGTAATAGATCTGGGGTTTGGGGAAGAGTCTGAGATGACACCCATGTTTCTAGCCTGAGTGAGGGACTGACTACAGTAGTATCAAAAACGAAATAGACTACAGAAGAGCAACTTTAAGGAAATTACAGGAAGTTATGTTTTAGACAAATTGAAGCTAAAATACCTCTGGGAAATTGAAACAGAAACTAAGATTTGGAATCATGCTCCTAAAGCCATGGGAGTGGATGAACTACGACAGGAAGAACATGTAAATAAAAGAAATAGTAATCAAAGAATAGAACATTTAGGAATACAAAGGCTGTAAGCTGATAAAAGGACCAACAAAATTGACTAAGAAGGAATCATCAGGAAGAAGGAAAAGGACCAGGAATGTGTGGTCCCCAAAGAAAGAAGGGACAATTGCAACCAGTATGAAATAATGCAGATGGGGCCAATCAAATAAAGACTGAAAAGAATACACTGCAATCAGCAACTGTGAAGTCACTGGTGACCCTGGCAAGAGTAGCTTCAGTGGAAACCAAATTCCACATGGCTGAGGATTAGATGTAAGTGAATAAAGAAGAGACAGCAAGTGCAGACTACCTTTGATATTTCTAGATAAAAAGGAAGAGAGACAAACGAATGGTAGCTAAAGATGCAAGGAGACAAGATCAAGGACATATTTGCAAGTATCAAGTTTGAACAATGAGCATCAAGTTCTGAGACTGAAAACTTAATGATAGAGTTGAGTATTATGCAAATATTTAGGAGAGCATCTGGGTCCAAACTTGGGAAGTAAATATCAGAGAAGGCTTCAAAAAGAAGTAAAGCCTAGGAAGACTAAGTAGTAGTTAGGTAGGTGAATGCCACAAGGTAAAAAAACAAAACAAAAACAAAAAAAAACATGGTGGACTTTCTGTTCCAGTCAAGAAGAAGTAACAGCAAGAAGATTTATCCTTCTGAAAAAAATTTAAAAACCAGACCAAATATATTAAACAATGGCGTTCAAGACACCAGACATCAGGTGATAAAAAACAGTGATCCCTAAGAAATGAAAAACAAGTAAGATCAACCCTATGATTGCCCCAGCTTACTGTCTAGAAAATGTTTTTGAGCCATGGCACAGGAAGAAGAAATCCAAGCACAGACCAGCAGTCTTTCTGAGTTGAAGAGCTGAACTGGAAGTCTGGGAAAGAAGAGTGCTATACAGAGACAGAACTCTGAAAATTTGAAGGAGACCCCCTTAAGTACTCAAGGGAATACTGATAATCAGATGTATATGGAGAAACTACAGAGGGTCAGGGAAAAACTAACCTGTATTCTTTGTTTTGTTTCTTTGGGTTTTTTTTTTTTTTGAGATGGAGTCTCACTCTGTCACCCAGGCTGGGGTGCAGTGGTGCAATCTCCACTCACTGTAACCTCTGCCTCCCAGGTTCAAGCGATTCTCCTGCCTCAGCCTCCCAAATAGCTGAGATTACAGGCGCCTGCCACTGTGCCCGGCTAATTTTTGTATTTTGAGTAGAGAAAGGGTTTCACCATGTTGGCCAGGTTGGTCTCGAACTCCTGACTTTAAGTGATCTGCCCGCCTCAGCCTCCCAAACTGCTGGATTACAGGCATGAGCCACCATGCCTGGCTTTTGTTTGTTTCTGAGACAGGGTCTCACTCTATCACCCAGGCTGGAGTGCCATGACGCGATCTTGGCTCACTGCAGCCTCGACCTCCCAGGCTGAAGCAATCCTCCTACCTCAGCCCCCCAAGTAGCTTTTTGTACTTTTTACAGAGATGAGGTTTTGCCATGTTGCCTAGGCTGCCCTGTAGTTCTCTTGATTACAGAGAAAAGTACTCAAGTTTAGACGGCTAAGAAATAGTACCTATTCCACAAAGCTAGAATGGAAAACTTTGTAATTCATAGGGCATCAGTTAAAGTACTAATAAAAGTCCTACTTTAGTAGGATAGAAAAATTAACCCTAGACTAAATGCAGCTCCGGACTCACATGACAAAGCTTAAAAGCAAGACTCAAAAGTATCACTGTTTGCAAATAATTTAACCACAGTCCAGAACAAAGCTCAAGAATATTCATAGTGATACAAAAATATCCAACACCCCAGTAGGTAAAATTTACAATGTCTAGCATTTAATCTGAAATAACCAGACATGCAAAGAAGCTGGAAAATAAATACTATAATGAGAAAAAAAATGTAAATCAATTAAAACTGATCCAGAAATAACAGAGATGACAGAACTGGTAGATAGGGATATTAAAATAAGTATTATGATTATATTTCTATGTTTAAGAAGTTATAGGAAAGGTTATAAGACATAAAAAAGACCTCATATCAAACTTTTAATATAAATATTACAATGTTTGATATTAAAGAAAATACACTTGATATGTTTTGGCTCTGTGTCCCCACCCAAATCTCATGTTGAATTGTAATTTCCAATGTTGGGGAAGGGACATAGTAGGAGGTGACTGGATCATGAAGGTGGATTTCCCCTTCCTGTTCTCATGATAGTGAGTGAGTTCTCATGAGATCTGATGGTTTAAAAGTGTGTGGCACTTCCCACTTGACTCTCTCTCTTTCCTGCATGTGAAGATTGTGCTGCTTCCCCTTTGCCTTCCACCATGATTGTAAGTTTCCTGAGGCTTCCCAGCCATGCTTCCTGTACAGTCTGCAGAACTGTGAGTCAATTAAACCTCTTTTCTTCATCAATTACCCAGTCTCACATAGTTCTTTATAGCAATGTGAGAACAGACTAATGCAATACTGTAGGAATTTAATGGCAGATTAAACAATGCAGAAGAAAAGATTAGTAACCTTAAAGAATTTCAATAGAAACTACTCAAAATGAAACACAGAGACGAAAAAAGACTGAAAATAAACGAATGGGGATCAGCAAACTGTGAAATAAATTCAATTGGTCCCAAAGGGAGAGGGACAGAAAAATATTTGAATAATTGTCAATAATTTCCCAAATTTGAAGAAAACTATAAACCCACATTCTAATCCAGATTAAAGTTCAACAAGCCCCAAGCACATGAAACATAAAATTACGCCATAGAATAACATAATCAAATCGCTTAAAACAGTGGTAAGGAGAAAATTATATAAGCAGCCAGAGAAAAAAGAAACATGATATATGTGGAACAAAGATAAAAACTAGAGCAGATATCTCAACTGAAACAATGCAAGCTAGAAGACATTGACACAGTATCTCGAAAGTACTGAAAGCAAAAAAATAAACCTGTCAACTTGGATTTGTTTAAACAGGGAAAATATTAAATGTAATATTTTAAAAAAAGGATTAGCGCAGAAATCAATAAAATAGAAAACAGAAAAACAATAGAGAAAAACGAATAAAACCAAACATGGTTCTTTGAGAAACATTAACTAGTCTAATCAGGAGAAATGAGACAGCAAGAGCCAGAGCCAGAGCAAGAGACAAGAAGACACAAATGATCAATATGAAGAATGAGAGAGACAATGTAACTAAAGGTTCTACAGATGTTAAAAGGACAGTAAAAGACTATAATGAACTTTATGCAAATAAATTTGACTAATGGCATGAAATGCATAAATTCCTTGAAAGACACAATCTGCCAAAACTCACTCAAGAAGAAAGAGACAGCCTACATAGCAATGTATCTATCACATAAATTGAATTTCTAGTTTAAAACTTTTCACAAAGAAAATTCGAAGTACAGATGGTTCACTGGAGAATTATATTTAACATTTAAGGAATAAATAATACCAATTCTACACAAACCCTCCAGAAAACTGAAGAAAAGGAAAAACTCCTCAACTCATTCTATGAGGCCAGCCAATAAACAGATGTAAAAATTCATGACAAAAATTTGATAAATCAAATATAAAAATACATCAAAATAATATCATGACCAAGCTGGGCGCGGAGGCTCACGTCTGTAATCCCAGCACTTTGGGAAGCTGAGGCAGGTGGATCACAAGGTCAGGAGTTCAAGACCAGCCTGACCAATATGGTGAAACCCCGTCTCTACTAAAAATATAAAAATTAGCTGGGTGTGGTGGCATGCGCCTGTAGTCCCAGCTACTCAGGAGGCTGAGGCAGGAGAATCGCTTGAACCCAGGAGGTGGAGGTTGCAGTGAGCCAAGATCAAGCCACTGCATTCCAGCCTGGGTGACAGAGCAACACTCTGTCTCAAAAAATAATAAATTAATTAATAATAATAATAATAATATCATGACCAAGCGGGGTTTACTCCAGGAATGTAAGGTTGGTTTAACATTTGAAATCAATCATATTATTCACCATATTAACATACTAAAAACAAAAAAAATCATCTCAATAGATGCAGAAAAAGCATTTGACAAAATCCATCAATTATTCCTGATAAAAACTCACATCAAACTAGGAATAGAAAAATTCCCTACAGCTGATGAAAGGTATCTTCAAAAAACCTACAGCTAACATCAGACTTATAGCTGACTTACAGACTTGTTGCTTTCAAAAAACCTACAGCTAACATGTAGACTTTCGCCACTTGGATTCAACACTGTATTGGAGGCCTGGCATGGCGGCTCACATCTGTAATCCCAGCACACTGGGAGGCTAAGGCAGGAAGATTGCTTGAAGCCAGGAGTTCCACACCAGCCTGGACAACAAAGCAAGAGCTCATCTCCACAAAAAGTAAAAATATATAAAAAACATTGTAGTGGAAGTTCTAGCCAGGGCAATAAGGCAAGAAAAAGAAATAAGAGGCATCCAGGTTGGAGAAGAAGTAAAGCTGTCTTTATTTATAGACAACATGATTATATATAGAGAAAATCCTATGGAATCTATACAAAATGCTAACAGAATGAATAAATAAGTTTAGCAAGATTACAAGATACAAGACCAATATACAAAAAGTAATTGTATTCCTATATACCAGCAACAAACAATCAGACACTGGGTTCTTTAAAAACATCAAATATAATAGCATCAAATATATGAAATACACAAATATATATACCTACTATGTACGTACCCACTAAACATTTTTTTAATGAAATACGGATCTGACAAAAGATGTGCAAGATCTCTGTTGGAGGAGGAGGTGCAAAAAAATAAAAATAAAGATGTGCAAGATCTGTACACTAGCTGGGTGCCAGTGTACAGATCTTGCACATTTTTAGATTTTTTTAGAATTACAGATAAACCTGACAAAAGACTGCAAGATCTGTACACCGGTGCCCAGCTGGTATACATGTCTTTCTTGCACATCTTTCATCAGATTTAGCCGTAATCCTAGCACTTTGGGAGGCCGAGGCAGGTGGATCGCTTAAACTCAGGAGTTGGAGACCAGCCTGGGCAACATGGTGAAGCAACAACTCTAAAAAAAATTAGCCAGATGTAGGAGTACACATTTGTAGTCCCAGCTAGTTGGGGGGCTGAGGCAGGAGGATCACTTGAGCCCAGGAGGTCATGGCTGCAGAGAGCCGAGATCACGCCACTGCACTCCAGCCTGGGTGACAAAGTGAGACCCTATCTCAAACAAACAAACAAACAAACAAACAAAAAGATCTGTACACCAAAACTACAACACGTCACTGAGAAAAATTATAGATTATTTAATTAAATGGAGAGATACACTGTGCTCATGGGTCTGAAAATCCAACATTATTATTAGGCTGTTGAGTTTCTCCAAATTGATCTACACTCCCAATACAATCCCACTGAAAATTCCAGAAGACTTTTTAAAAAGAAACTGACAAGATAATTCTAAAATTTATAAGGACATGCAAAAAACCTAAAATGGGCAATTTTGATCAAGAACAAAGTTTTAAACATCATCTGATTTAAACATATATTACAGCCGGGCTCAATGGCTCACACCGGTAATCCCAGCACTTTGGGAGGCCGAGAAAGGTGGATCACGAGGTCAGAAGTTCAAGACCAGCCTGGCCAACATAATGAAACCCCATCTCTACTAAAAAATACAAAAAATTAGCCGGGCATGGTGGTGGGCGCCTGTCATCCCAGCTACTCAAGAGGCTGAGGCAGGAGAATCACTTGAACCCGGGAGGCGGAGGTTAAGGTAAGCCAAGATCGCGCCATTGCAGTCCAGCCCGGGCAACAGTGTGAGACTCCGTCTCAAAAAATAAATAAATAAAAATAAAAAATAAAATAAAATAAACATATATTACAAAGCTAGAGTTAGGCCGGGTGTGGTGGCTCACGCCTATAATCCCAGCAGCTTGGGAGGCTGAGGTAGGTGGATTGCTTGAGTCCAGGAGTTTGAGACCAGCCTGCGCAACATGGTGAAACCCCATCTCCGCTAAAATAACAAAGGGAAAAAAAAAAAACAAACTAGCAGGCATGGTGGTGCATGCCTATAGTCCTAGCTACTTGGGAGGCTGAAGTGGGAGAATCACCTGAGCCCGGAAGGTCAAGGCTGCAGTGGGCCAAGACTGTACCATTGCACTCCAACTGAGCAACCACAGTGAGACCCTGTCTCAAAAAAGAAAGCTACAGTTATCAAGACAGTGTAGAACTCATGTCAATATAGGCAAACAGATAAATGGGACCAAACAGTGTAGAGAAGCAGACCTATAAACATACGCTTAACTGATTTTCAACAAAGGTAAAACGGCAATTCAGTGTAGAAAGGATGGAAAAAATACGGTCCTAAAACAACTGGATATTCATATGCCAAAAAAAAATTCCATCCATAGCTCTCACAATGTACAAAATAACCCTAGACCTAAATGTAAAACCTAAACTTATGAAACTTTTATAGCCAGGTGCGGTGGCTCATGCCTGTAATCCCAGCACTTTGAGAGGACGAGGCAGGTGGATCACCTGAGGTCAGGAGTTTGAGACCAGCCTGGCCAACATGGTGAAACCCCATCTCTACTAAAAATACAAAAATTAACCAGGCGTGGTGGTGCACACCTGTAGTCCCAGCTACTTGGGAGGGTGAGGCAGAAAAATCGCTTGAACCTGGGAGATGGAGGTTGCAGTGAGCCGAGATCATGCCACTGCACTCCAGCCCAGGTGAGACTCTGCCTCAAAAATTAAAAAATAAATAAAATTATGAATCTTTCAGAAGAAAACTTAGGAGAAAATCTTTCTCAGATACAACACCAAAAACACAATCCATAATAGAAATATTAATAAACCAGACTTCATCAAAATTAATATCTGCTCTTTGAAAGACACTGCTAAGAGAATGAAAAGATAAGTTACAGACTGGGAGAGAATATTTGCAAATCACGTATCTGAGAAAGAGCTTGTATGCAGAAAATATATATGTAAGAAAATAACACAGTTTTTTTGTTTGTTTGGTTTTGTTTGTTTGTTTGTTGTTGTTTTTCTAAGATAGGGTCTCACTCTGTCACCCAGGCTAGAGTGTGGTGGCATGATCAAAGCTCACTGCAGCCTCAACCTCCCAGGCTCAAGCAATTCTCCTGCCTCAGCCTCCTGAATAACTGAGACTACAAGTGTGCACCACCACACCCAGATAATTTTTTCCACTTTTTAAAAATGGGGAAAAATATTAACACTCTACAAAAAAAAAAAAAAAAACATGAATGGCAAATAAGCACACAAAAAATATTCAACATCATTAGTCATTAGGAAAATGCAAACCAAAACCACAATGAGATTCAATTAAACACCTATTACAATGTATAAAATTAAAAAGATTCACCATACCAAGTGTTAGCAAGAATGTGGAGCAACTGGAAATTTGATACATTAATCACGGAAATGTAAAATGGTACAACCACTTTGGAAAACACTTGGGCAGTTTGATAAAAAGTTAAATATACCCATACAATATAGGCCGGTTATGGTGGCTCACGCCTGTAATCCCAACACTTTGGGAGGTCGAAATGGGTATATCACTTGAGGTCAGGGGTTCGATACCAGCCTGGCCAACATGGTGAAACCCTGTCTCTACTAAAAATACAAAAATTAGCCGGGGATGGTGGCAGGTGCCTGTAATCCCAGCTACTCAGGAGACTGAGGCAGGAGAATCTCTTAAACCCAGGAAGCGGAAGTTGTAGTGAGCTGAGATGGTGCCAGTGCACTCTAGCCTGGGTGACACAGTGAGACTCCGTCTCAAAAAAATAAAAAATAAAATAAAACATACAATGTAATCCAGCTATTCCACTCCCACATATTTACCCAGGAGAAATTAAAATATATGCTATACAAAGACTTGTACACAAATGTTCCTAGCGTCTTAATCTGTAATAACCAAAATCTGGAAGCAATCCAATATCCATTAACAGGTAAATGGATAAACAAATTATATCTATACAATGGAATACTACTTAGGAATTTTCAAAAGCCAGCTACTAGGTGCTGGGTACAGTGGCTCATGTCTGTAATCCCACCACTTTGGGAGGCCAAGGTGGGCAGATCACCTGAGGTCAGGAGTTTGAGACCAGCCTGGCCAACATGGTGAAAACCCGTCTCTACTTTAAAAAATACAAAAATTAGCTGGGCGTGGTGGCACATGCCTGTATTCCCAGCTACTTGGGAAGCTGAGGCACAAGAATCACTTGAACCCTGGAGGTCGAGGCTGCGGAGAGCAGAAATAGTGCCACTGCACTCCAGCCTGAGCAACAGAGTGAGATTGTGTCTCCAAAAAAAAAAAAAAAAAAAAAAAGCAGCTACTGGCATATGTTATGACATGAATGGACATAAAAACATTACGCTAAGTAGAAGAACCTAAACACAAAAGACTACATATTCCATGATTCCATATTAATGCAAAGTCTAGAAAATGCAAATTTATAGAGACAGCAGATCAATGGATGCCTAGGACTGGGGGTGGGAATAGGGATGGCACACAGGAACTTTTGGATAAATGGGGACAAGGGAAGTTTTGGGGGGGTGATAGAAATGTTATCAAACTGTACGGCAGGAAAAAGACAAAAAAAAAAAAGATGAAATGTTATCAAACTGGATTGTAATAATGATTTACAACTCTATGCATTTACTAAAACCACTGAATTGTATGCTTAAAAGGAATGTTTCCTTATATAAATTATACCTCAATAAAGTCGTTAAAAAGAATACGTATGTAATGTATGATTCAATTTATTTAAAAATTACAGAAAATCTATAATGACTAAAAGCAGATCAATTTTCTAGAGGGGGTGAGAGGGACAGATTACAAAGCGGCAGAAGAAATTTTAGAGTTGATACATATATTCGTTATCTTTTTATGGTGATGGTTTTATAGACATAGAGATAGATATAAATAAACTAACCAAATTGTACACTTTAAACATGTACAGTTTATGATATGACAATTATACTTCAAAAAAGCTGCTTTCTAAAAGTATGGCACCCACAGAAGAACAAGTATTCCATGTGGGTGGAATGGAAAGGAGAAAGGAGTAACAAAAGAGCCATTCATGCACCCAAAAGCGTATTTATAACGATTGCACAATGTCCATTTTCCCCTCATTAGACAGACTGCTTTCATTTTTTTCATAAAATAAGTATCATCTCACCATTGTGTGCAAAGTTTTATTTAGAAACTATTGCTTTAGACAGATTCCCAGAAGTAGAAGAACAGTGTGACTATTTTAAAGTTAGGCAGACAGATTTTCATTTATTAAAATAATTTGTTTTAAAGAAAACCTTGTTTATCATTTTCAAAAATTTATGTACTGTATTTTTAAGGAAACAGAAACAGGAGACATGGAACAAATTATTTTATTTGAGAAACTATGAAGTAGGCTGGGCGCAGTGGCTCACGCCTGTAATCCCAGCACTTTGGGAGGCCAAGGCAGGTGGATCACCTGAGGTCAGGAGTTCGAGACCAGCCTGGCCAACGTGATGAAACCCTGTCGCTACAAAAATACAAAAAATTAGCTGGGTATGATGATGGGTGCCTGTAATCCCAGCTACTTGGGAGGCTGAGGCAGGAGAATCACTAGAACCCAGGAGGCGGAGGTTGAAGTGAGCCGAGATTGCACCACTACACTCCAGCCTGGGAAATAAGTGCGAAACTCCCATCTCGGGAAAAAAAAAAAAGAAACTATGAAGTAATACTAAAAATTTTTAGGGGATAATAAAGGGTTGGATGGAATTTCCTTGAGCAATTTTTTCTGGCACTGGATAGAAATAATAAAAACTAAACCAATTCTGAACAAACCTGTTTCTTCTTCAAGAATTCTTATTCATAATGATGAAAGGTTTCAATTCATATTCTCTTTCTCCATCTCTCCAATTCTCTTCTCTTCTTCCTTCTCCCTTCCTCCCTGCCTCCACTCTGAGGCTACCCTCTCCAAATCAAGTAAGCCAGGCCCAGCAATTAATGTCATAATTAAAGATAACAAAAGAAAACTCTCATCACTATCTATTCCATTTTGAGTAGGAGTCTGTAACGCCACACACAGGATGTTCACACTTACCTGGTTACATAATCACAATCCATATAGGGGTCCTCCTTGGTAAGGAACATGCTATCCTAGTTTCTACTTAATATTAAACAACAGTTTATAAAAATTCAGCTTTCAATACATTTTGATTTGAGACACAATGGTATTGAAATAAAAACCCACCACTGTCATTAATAAAAATCCTACCAATGGAAAGGAATGTCTTCCTGCAGTGGCATTAGTCGGGTCTTCTTCCTGCATTAGTGGGGTCTAATGACACACCACATCCCAATTCTCAGCAACTAAAGCTGAGACTGGAGAATATGGCAGGGTTTATCTTTATAGAAATTAATTAAAAGTTAGTCTTCTGAGAGTCTCCTTAGAGAAACTAAGACCATCCACTAAATAGGAAAGAGAGGGATGACACCTGTGGTGTTAACAAGAGATGGTCAAGTTCTGCCAGTTAGTAAGGAGTTGTTAAGGGACCCACACCAAAATCCCCATCAACTCTTGCTTCGTAGGTGCTACAGACTGAATGTTTGTGTTCTCCCAAAATTCGTATGTTGAAATCTAGCTAACCCCCAAAGTGATGGTATTAGGAGGTAGGGCCTTTGGAAGGTAATTAGGTCATGAAGTTGGAGCCCTTGTGAATGGGATTAGTGCTCTTAGAAAACGGACCAGAGAGAGTTTGTCTTCCTCTTCCACCGTGTGAGAACATAGCTAGAATGCAGTGTCTATGCAGACTGGCCCCTCACTAGACACCAAATCAGCCAGCACCTTCAGCTGGGATTTCCCAGCCTCCAGAACAGTGAGAAATAAATTTCTGTTGTTTATAAACCACCCAGTTTATGGTATTGTTACAGCAGCCTCAATGAATTAAGACAATAAATTAGCTTACAAAGGAGCCAATAAACGCAATTTCAAACTCACTGCACATACTAAAAACTAGATAAGTAGATTAAAGAACCAGAACTATTAGATTAGAGGAGAAAATGGGTAGCTATGAAGGGAAAAAAAAATAAGGAAAGGGTGTTGTGGTCCAAGAACTAACACAACAAAAACAAGCAAACAAGTAAAAACAAGTAAAAAAAAAAAAAAACCCTGAAAAACAAACCCAAAACAACAACAACAAAACATGAAGGGAAACAGCACTGCTTAGGTTTCTGTCATCAGTTACGTAAGATTATCCCTCTGTGGCTGCCCACACCCCACACCTCTATCTTCTGATAAGAGGTAAGCTCAGGCTTTACATGGAGCCAGCACAAGAGTTCTCAGAAAAAGAAGGCAGCAGATGGCTATCTGGGTGCTTGGCTCATTTATCCTCTAAGTCATTTATTTGTTCCACAGAAAGCCACTGGCTTGCTAAGGGTCAAAATGCCGTGTGTGATTATTGACTGGAAACAGGGAGACGATGCTGTTAGAGAGAACAACACTTCAGTCTTCCTACAGTCAAACCTTACATGCAGGGATACCTAAGTGGACTTTCATTTCCTGCGCTCAAATAAAGCACTTTTTTCTCTGGCACATAGCAGGATTGGCAGCAATTAATTGTCAGAACTGCTTAAGCTGTACACATTCTTATAATGTACACAATTAATTGGCTGAACTGCTTATACTGTACACGTTCCAGGACCCAATCAACAAGCCTCTGTGCTCCTCCTGCCAACAATTCAGAGGTTCATGGTACAGAAAGGGTGCAATACTTAAACTAAGCAGGACAGGCTTCACCCTCTTTAAGTTGAGAAACGGGAATATATTGATGACATTCCTTTCTACTTTTGGAATTGCAAAAGGTCCACAATATCTGCCTTTGGATTCAATATATGTATATTTCCAAAAGAGTGAAAAATGCAGACTGACAATCCAAATGCCTTTGCAGCTCTGCAGGCAGGCAAGACAAAAGCAATTTATGATACAATTTCTCTCCACTTTGGATGCAGAGTTGCTTGACCTACCTTAGTGAAAACAGCACAAACTAGAAACTGGTGCTGCTCGCCAGTCATCCCTAATTAGAATGAGATCTGCAGTGCATACTTTTCTCTTCCCTTCCCTAGTGCATTAAGCAGAAGTTTGAACTCCCAAGTTCTCTCCCAAAAGAAATGCCAAGGCAATTCTCAATGCACAAGGCAATCTTACCACCTTTCCAGAGCTATACATGGCCTTCAGGGTAAGAAGCTAGCTCCTAAGCATGATATATAAGGTCAAATATAACTTATCTGGATCTGAAGATTTCACTTTGCCCCATTTTTTTTTTTTTAGCAATACTTGCAGTTCTCAATATGTAATGCCAAGCTTTGTAATGCCTCCGTGCAACACTGCATGCAGCAAAAGCCCACTCCCAGTCCTGGGGTTCATAGTTCAAATTCAATATTCCTCCCCTCATGTCTATCCACTCTCCACATTAGACCACAAAGGTCTTGAAATCCTACTCACCAGCAGCAATTTCTTGCCACTGCCCACTAATGGTAAACTAGAAGAAAGAATTCTCTATAGCCAACACATCCTCAGGATCTTCCTTCCAGCATACACCTGAATTCTGTAAGACCCAAGTTTGAATTTTCACCATCCTCCAGGAGACTGTCAGATCTAAATCTACCATTTTTCTAACTTATCCATTTCTAATTTCACGGGCCATAATTATCCTATAGTATGCTGGAGGTATTTTCTTTGCTGCTGCTTCCCAATGTCCTCTGCAAACCATTATTCTTCTACCTCCCTGTGAAAACCTCTTCTCCTTTGCCATCTTGCTGCCACTTCAACTCTCATTGCAGCTATCATCTCCCAATTTACTCGTCACTCTTCCTATTTTACTGGTGACTTTGACATCTGGCTTTCAAAAGTCCTCCTCATCCCAAGTCCTACCTGAACAGTAAGAAAGGACAGGCCAGTAAGAGGACAGGCCAGGCGTGGTGGCTCACGCCTGTAATACCAGCACTTTGGGAGGCCGAGGCAGGCAGATCACCTGAGGTCAGGAGTTTGAAACCAGCCTGACCAACATGGAGAAACCCTGTCTCTACTAAAAATACAAAAAATTAGCTGGGCGTGATGGCTCATGCCTGTAGTCCCAGCTACTCGGGAGGCTGAGGCAGACGAATTGCTTGAACCCGGGAGGTGGAGGTTGCAGTGAGCCAAGATCGCACCATTGCACTCTAGCCTGGGCAATAAGAGCAAAATTCCATCTCAAAAAAAAAAAAAAAAGAGGACTGAGTCCGTACAGAATCAGCCTGCTTAGGTTCAAGTCTTGGTTGTACCACATACCTAGCTGTGTTGCCTGAGTTTCCTCATTTATAAAACAGGAACGGGCAGGCACAGTGACTCATGCCTGTAGTCCCAGCACTTTGGGAGGCAGAGGCAGGCGGATCACGAGGTCAGGAGATCGAGACCACCCTGGCCAACATGGTGAAATGCCATCTCTACTAAAAATACAAAAAAAGTCGCTGGGTGTGCCACACCCCTGTGGTACCAGCTACTCTGGAGGCTGAGGTAGTAAAATCACTTGAACCCAGAGGCAGAGGTTGCAGTGAGCCAAGATCGCACCACTGCACTCCAGCCTGGTGACACAGTGAGACTCTGTCTCAAGAAAAAAAAAAAAAGAAAAAAAAAACAGGAACAGTAATAGTAATTCACAAGATTTGCTGTATAGATTAAGAGTTAATACACGTAAAGGGTTCTGAATGGTACCTGGCATATAGTAAATGCTCAGTAAACATCAGTTATTGCTGCTGTCATCATCATCATCATCATCATCATCATCATCATCATCACCATCACCATCATTAAAGACTACCTCAGTGTCCACATGGGTAACTCATTTAACACGTTCTTTGAGCTTGCTGGGTTCTTTGAGCTCCTTGCCTCCAATAAACTTCTTCTCCACTCTACCCCAGCAACCCTCTTCCACAGCTCACCCTAGATTCTGCCATCAGAACTTTACCACCTCCAAAATCTTAAATTCAAATATTACATACTCTGACCACCGCCTCCTATCCTTCCAGCACTCACAATTACCCATTCCTCTGACATCTGCTTCCCATCATGGTAACCACTAAATGCCAAACTTGTCTACTTCTGTAGCGCCTTGCTATCTTTGCCTCTTTTTATACTTTCTCATACTATCTCTCATCACTCTTTTTACAACAACCTCGATTTCCATACCTCATTTTCCTTCTGTACAAACTACCTAGCAAAGTTCCTATCTTGGATGAATCAAATTATCAGGCTTTTCTTGACAGAGTTGCTGAGAGCTACTGAGGAGAATCACACAACTTAAAGATCAGTACCACTGTTATAAATGCATGATCTCCATCTTCAAGGCTACCCAGCAATATTTCTATTTTCTTACCTAGTTTGCCATCTTCTATCCTTCACGATGGCTATTTTAGACCTTTACCCCACTCTCTAAACCTCTGATTTTCCTGTCTATTACCCACTCCCCCCAATCCCATCTACCTCTACCTCTGTTTCTACTATCCATAAATGATCTATCACACTTAAGAAAAAACAAGAAAGAGATGAGAACTACAACAATTTCCTTCTACCCAGTATATAAACCCACCCTAGCTGTGTCCTACCCAATCCTTTCTCTCTGTCACAATGAAGGAAGTATCCTGCTTAAGACTAATACTGTACTCTGTGCTCAGTATTCTAACCTTCCTGCCCTATAAGGCAGTGGTTCTGGTCCCTGGGCAGCAGCATTGGCACACTCCAGGAACTTTCTGGAAATGCAAATTCTCAGAACATACTCCAGACCTACCGAGTCAGAAACTATGGAGTTGGGGCCCGGCAATCTTTTTTATTTCCATCTCTTCAGAGCAAGAAACAAAGACCAATTTATTTTTAACAAGGCCTTCAAGTGAGTCTGATGCATGCTAAAGTTTGAGAACCACAGCTCTAAGGGATTATTCATTATTTATCCCTTTTCCTGTCTTTAATCTCCTTTTTTAGTACAATGGTTCTCTTGCCTGAAAAGCCTCCTATTTTACCAGGCCATATACAGTTGGCCCTTAAACAACACAGGCTTGAACTGCGCAGGTTCATTTATATGTGAATTTTCTCGTGCCTCTGCCGCCTGAGACAGCAAGACCAACTACTCCTCTTCCTCAGCCTACTCAACGTGAAGACAATAAGGATGCCTATAAGATGATCCACTTCCACTTAATGAATACTAAGTATATTTTCCCTTGTGATTTTCTTTTTTTTTTTTTTTTGAGACAGAGTCTTGCTGTGTCGCCCAGGCTGGAGTGCAGTGGTGCAATCTCGGCTCACTGCAACTTCCACCTCCTGGGTTCAAGCGATTCTCATGCCTCAGCCTCCCAAGTAGCTGGGATTACAGGTGTGCACCACCTCACCTCGCTAATTTTTGTATTTTTAGTAGAGGCGGGGTTTCACCATGTTGGCCAGGCTGGTCTTGAACTCCTGACCTCAATTGATACACCTGCCTCAGCCTACCCCAGTGCTGACATTACAGGCATAAGCTGCCGTGCCCAGCCCCTTATGATTTTCTTCCCTTTTTTTTTTTGAGACAGAGTCTTACTCTGTTGCCCAGGCTGGAGTGCAGTGGCGCAATCTTCGCTCACTGCAAGCTCCACCTCCCAGGTTCACGACATTCTCCTCCCTCAGCCTCCCGAGTAGCTGGGACTACAGGCGCCTGCCACCACGCCCGGCTAACTTTTTGTATTTTTAGTAGAGACAAGGTTTCACCGTGTTATCCAGAATGGTCTCGATCTCCTGACCTTGTGATCCGCCCGCCTTGGCCTCCCAAAGTGCTGGGATTACAGGCATAAGCCATCACACCCAGCCAATTTTCTTAACATTTTATCTAGTTTAAGAATACAGTATATAATGCATATGACATACATAATATGTGTTAATCGACTGTTTATCTTATTGGTAAGGCTTCCAGTCAACAGCAGGCTTTTAGTAGCTACATTCTGGGGGATTCTGAAGTTTATGCAAATTTCCAACTGCACAAAGGGTTGACATTCCTAACCCCTACACTGTTCAAGGGTCAACTGTATATTCTCGCCCTTTCCAGTCTACTCACCACATAGCCACTATCTGATTATGTCATTCCCTACTTAAAACTCCCTAATGGTTTCCCACTGATCTTCAGATAAAAACCAGTATTTTAATAAGGCCTCAAGGTTCTGCATACCTCTCAAGACTTCTCTTTCACCACCAGCTCTCTTTCTCCGTTTGCCCAGCAACACCAGTCTCTCCCAATTTCTTGAGCTCGCCATATTCTAGGGCACCTAACACACTTTGAAATTGTTATTTCCTCTGCCTGAAATACTCTTTTTCCCTGTTTCTTTTCCGAATTCCTACTTCAAATATCAGCTTAAACTTTCTTTCTTTAAAGTGGCCTAACCTGACACCTTAGTTTGTATTAGGTGCCTGTTGGATGCTTTCACGGCACTCTGTATTTACCCTCTCATTACCCACATCAAGCTTATAATTATTATAATAATTTAATTATTAGAAATGTAATATTCCTTGCCAGAGTATAAGCCTTGTTAAGGCAGAAATGATATTCATCTTATTTATTGTAATATTCCCAGTATCCAGCTTAGTATAGTACCTCGCAAGTAAATACACAATGACTATGACCGAGCCTTTACATACACTGTGGCTCTGTCCAGAATGTTTTTTTACCACCATTAACCCCACCCCAGTACAATCCTACACATCCTTCAAGAAATGTTAAACATCTCGGAGAAGTCTTACCTGCACATACACACCACTTGCCTGCTGAAGTGAATCACTTCTTGTGTTCTTACTGCATTGTGTACATAAGTATGTTAATGCAATAATTATACACCACTGTAAATACCTATCTTCATGTATCAGTCTCCACTAGATTATAAACTCCCTGAGGGAATGAACCATTCTTATTCACCTTTGTATCTCTAAGGCTTAGAAAAGTGCCTGACATTGACAGTAGGTAGCCATAAATGTTTATGGGCATATTAAATCTAGGATTGTTCTCTAATACTGCACTAAAAAGTTTTTTTCTTAATATTAAATCTGGGTTCCAATTCTAGCTATGCTGCATGATCACTGGCAAACTGTTTAACCTCTCTGGGCCTCAGTTTTCTCACCAGGTAAACAGGGCTAATAATGCCTACTTGGAAATATTGCTATGAAAATTAAACAAAATGATACAGTGCAACAATTAGTACACAGAGCGCTTGGCATGTCATAGCCCACTCTGGCTTCAACTTGATAGAGACAACTAGGACAAAACAAATACAAAAATAAGTCACAGCAATCAAGGAAGACTGAGCAGAGAGTGAGTCATTCCTTTTAATCATTTCCCCAAGGAGATCAACAATGAAGAAACATAATAAGCAGAATAAACTCTACTGGTGGTATCTCCCTTGGCATATACAGCTTGGTGAGAATTCACTCCAGAGACCTCTTGGCTAATGGCCACATCCTGCTCCACAGCCCAGCAGGTCAGATCTTAATCTGTAGTACCAAGCATGGTTAATTCTGACTGGAATAGAAACTACCTCATAAAGAATGTGTTTACAGGCGAGAGATGGAGGAGAACTTGACTGTAACCACATCAATCAACTGTTTTGCAATTTGGCAGAAAATACTGCAGAATGGTTGGTGAATACTAACAGCCATACAACTGTACTTACCTGTAGCCAAGAACCAGCTTAGACTAGATAATGAGCAGCTTTCTGCATTTACCAAAACAATGGTCAGACCTACATAGCATGAACATCTCTAGGGTCAAATTACCCTTTGTACATCTGGGCAGCACCAAAGAAGCTGACACCAAGCAGCTTTATATATACACTCCTCAGCCTATGAGCACTGCCCGCAAGCATCAGCTTCATTGCTCATATATACCAAATGTAAGAGCAGATTTAACCATTTCTCTGCTCCTTATTCATAGCATGCTTACCTCTGCAGAGCCACTGGTAGTCAGACCACCTAATTCGTTGGAGTCATTCACTTTAGAATGCTGTGTCACTATAGGTGTAACTACGTCACTGGGACTACCTCTCTTCTGAAGCTTCCTGATTAAGCTCTGCTGGTCACTGGAAGATACAGCAGGTCTGAGTGCAGCTCTGGGTGGGCTCTGCCTCCAAGATGCCCAGTTCCAACCTAGCCCCAGAAGATGTGGTACATCATCTTCAGGTAGAAAGCCCAAATCATCTGCAGTTTGGAATTTTTTTAAAAACACCAGCATGGAATTGGAGGAGTGTGTCCTAAAAGCCCGGCAGCTCTGGGGCCTGCTGCAGTCTGCCTGAATGCACATCCCTTCTAGCCACCAAAAGACATGGCAGGCAGAGTCCTGGCAGCAGGCAGCCCAACATGACTGGAGAGAGGGGGTTCCTTCAAGAAGCCAGAGGTGATTTTCTCCCCCAGATCTCAGGCCAACTCCAAATTGTGTCTTCCCCTGCTGGCACCTGCTCTCACTGGCATCTAAAAACAAAGAATGAAAACATTTTCAGATGAAATAAAAACAGAGACTACTGCTCCATAAAGAGCCCTGAGAACCAACATTTGAGGTTATTTTGAAGACGAGTTTTTAAGAGGGTGAGAAAGCCATCTAGTGAGTGGAACAAAGGAAGTGAAAGAGAGTGTTTTTTGTCTTCGGATATTTTAGGTTCTAGAAATACTGCTCCACATTCATTAATTGTTCTCCTTCTCAATGAGTTCCTGCCATGGAGACCTTTTACACAGAATGTCACTTCATAAACAGGAAAACAAAAACAAAAACAAAAACAAAAAAAGAGGTATTCTGGTGGAAGCATATGCAGGGAAGTGGCAAGTTGGGAGGAAGAGGGCAGAGTCCCAATACCTGATGACCTCCCACTCACCTCCAAGGTATTTCTCAGGGACAATGTGAGAACTGTGGGACCAGAAGAACAGGTAGCAATGTGAGAACTGTGGGACCAGAAGAACAGTTTCCCCAGCAAACTGGCAGCAACACAGACTGAGTACTCTGAACCTCATGCAGTTAATAGGCACATTCATTCTTTAACCAATCATTTGCCAAAGTCAAATGGTTTTGCATATCATAGTATCAGCCAGAGTGGTAGTCAAGATTACCAAAAATTTTAACCACGAGAGCAATTCTGCTAGAAAGAACTTCCTAATGACAAGTCATGTCATGATAAGAAATAATGGAACCTAAGTACAACAGTGACATGCTATGGGTAACCTAAATAATATGATCCAAAATTCTGGCTAATGTTGCTGATGGATAAACTTTGGACTGTTTTAATTATTTCAGGTATGGCATTGATTTTTCTGAAATAGTATCTCACCTCTGTTTTCTTAGATGAAGTCAAAACTTGTTCTAAATGGAAGTGATTATGTGAGTTCATTTTAAGGTACTGGCTCTATAGGTGTCTATTACCAGCTATTGTCAGGGTTATATAGAAACAGAACTAGGGTGAGGCAAGAGAGGTGCCTCAGGCACAAAATTTAAGGAGGTGCTCACTTTCAGAGTCATTCCAGCAAAGGGTTGGCTCACAGGACCTTCATAGTGAGTGTCTCTTTAAATTCTGTGTTCTGGGCACCTCTCTCCTTACCCTAGTCCTGGCCCTGGGCTTATAACATAAAATATATGTTAGAATTACATAGAAAAAATATGCAATAGAATCAAAACACTGAAGATATGGATAATCATGTCTGCATGTACACACAACTGAAAAGACCTCTAACGAAAGCAACTGACAATCAGCCAAAGCCAATCTGACTCCCACGGAATACTTACTAAATGTCCAACGGACTAAATGTGGAAACTAATCAAAGATAAAAGGAAGGTAAAGGCAAGCTTCTAGAGTATTGAGTCAGGAGCACTATGGAAGCCAGCACTGGCACCAACCTAACACCAGACGAGGCAATTTAGAAGGCCACAGAAAATAGAACTCCCTTAAAAAAAAAGATGAAGAATACCAACTACGAAAAAAAAATCAAGCTACCAACAGATACAGAAATACCCCCTCATTTTTATTTATCCTTCCACACAGGCACCAATAGTAAGAATCTCGGTAACAGCTAACTGAGTGAACAGACTTTGTTGAAATCAAATTGTTTTATCAGTAACTACTATTTTTACCTTTATATCAATTTTCCTTCATTCTTCTCATAACTATTTTCTCATACTTAAGAGGTCAACACAGATGAAAATTATCTGTGCTTTTTTCTAAGCTGATATATTATTTAATTTTTAAAAATGCAATACAACTTCCACTTCTGCTCTTGAAGAAGGAATTGCTATGGGGCTTGCCTTCCCACCATGAATAACTAGAAAACTAGACAAAATATATAAAGCAACTGTTTTTAGACACTGGACAACAGGCAGTGCAGGACTATGATCCCTGAAAGGAAACAAACCAGGTGAGCTCTATGAATCCCTTGGCTTTCTGCTGGAGGCATGCTCCAGACTGTGGCACAGGCAAGAAGAAGGCAAGCATAACAGGGCAGTTGCTAAATTGAGGAGACGGAGTTCAGGGTGACTGGTAGTTAGAATGTTTAAACAAAGTACCAGAAAGGAGGAAGCTACACAGAGAAAGAGCTTCAGAAATCTGAACAGTAGTCACCTTCAGTTTTGGCTGAACACTGATTTACTAAGGTATAGGTTGAAACTGCATGAGGGAAATTAGAAAATATTTTGAACAGAATGAAAATAACACAATATATAAAAATGTGTGGGATACAGTTAAAGCAATGTCTAGAGGGACATTCGTAATTTTAAATGCTTATTTCAGAGAAGAAAAGTCTATAAAATCAATGATTTAGAGAGACACATGGAGAAAACGACATGTGATGACAGAGGCAGAGATTGGAGCAATACGGCTGCAAGCCAAGGAAAGCCAGGATTGACAGCAACCACTAGAAGCTAGGGGGAGGCAAGGAAGGAATTCCACCTCCAGTCTCCAAAGACATCAACCCTTCTAACACCTTGATTTTGGATTTCTAGCCTCCATAACTATTAGCATACACAGGGTTCTCTGCTCTTATCTGGGAGACAGTTCAGGAGACAGATGGCCCAAATCCAGGGATCACTAACATCTGGGGATGTGGCTGTGGCCTGCACCCAGGTCGAATGGAGATAACCTAATAATACACTTAACAGGACCTGTACAGCCATGTGATGCTGGAAAACTATGGGAATCTTGTGCCTGTGGGTTTCTCTCTTTCAAACCAAAACTAATCACCCAACTGCAGCAAGGAGCCTGGATGGAGGCGTCAGAACTGCGTCAGGTACCTCTGCAGTCCAGGAGTACTGGTTTGAAACAAAGATCTTAACCCTAAAGCAAAATACTCTGAAGTTCTGCAAGAGCAAACAAAAAGTGTCATGATAGAAAGAGGCCTGGATTGAGAGGGAGGAGGTTCCACAGAGATGCGGTGCTATAAATGAAAAGAATGTGGGAAAGTACAATTCGAATACAACTCTTCCTCTTTTAGCCACCAGAGCAATCATACTAGTGAGAAACCCCATAAATATAAAGAATGTGGAATAGTCTTCATGAGCAGACTATCCTACTATCACCCCTTTCAAATCATCATAAGCTCACACAGGCGAGCAACTTTACAGATGTACTGAATGTGGCAAATTCCTCAAGCACTCAACATTTATTAATCATCAGAGAACTTATTCTAGAGAGAAATACCAATAAACGTGAAAAAGCTTTCAGAAAAAAACAGCCCTTTCTTTTTTTTTTTTTTTTTGAGAAGGAGTCTCACTCTGTCACTGCAGAGCAAGGCGTGAGCCACCACGCCTGGTCAAAACTGTCCTTTCAAGTCATCAGAGAATTCATACAGTCAGGAACTCTACAAACACGACTGTGGGAAACTGTTCAGAAGGCAGTCGTTACTCATCAGGAGAGAAAACACAGTGGAGATAAGCCTTTTAAAAACATTTATTTATTTATTTATTTATTTATTTATTTATTTATTTAGAGACAGGTTCCCACTCTATTGCCCAGGCTGGAGAGCAGTGGCACATCATGACTCGATGCAGCCTTGACCTTCGGGCCCAAGCAATCCTCCTGACTCAGCCTCCCAAGATGCTAGGACTACAGGTGAGCATCACTGTGTCTGGCTAATTTTTTAACTTTTTGTCAGAGATGGGGTCTCCCTATGTTGCCCAGGCTGCTCTTGAACTCCTGGGTTCAAGCAATCCCCTGACCTTCGCTTCCCAAAGTGTTGGGATTACAGGTGTGAGCCACTGCGCCTGGCTGAAAAAAAAAAGCCTTTTAAATGTAAGGAATGTGGGAAAGCTTTCAGAGATAACTCAACTTTGTTGGAGCATCAGAAAAACCATCTTAGTGAAAAAGTACATTGGTGTAATAAATACAGAAAAGCCTTTAGTAAGAGCTTGACTCTTATTAGTCATCAAAGATTTCATACAGGAGAGAAACTCTATCACCATATTAAATGTGAAATCTTTTTCAGGTATAGAAAGATTTGCTGGGCAAATCTCCTTTGCTGGGCATCAGAAAACTCATAGTGGAAATAAACCCTATCAGGGCAATGACTGTAGGAAAGCCTTTACAAAGAGCTCAACTCTTATTGGACATCAAGGAATTCATACTGGGGGGAAAAAAAAACAAAAAACCAAAAACCTTTCACTATAAGAAATGTGGGAAAGCCTTCGGGTACAGCCAAGGCCTTGCTGAAAATCAGAAAATCCATATCTTATGAATGTAATGAATGTGGGAAGCTTTTCCCCAAAGTTCAGCCCTTAAACAACATAAGAAAATTTATAACAAAGTCATCAAGCCAGGCATGGTGGCTCATGCCTATAATCCCAGCACTTTGGGAAGATGAGGTGGGAGGACCACTTGAGCCCATGAGTTCAAGACCAGACTGGGCAACATAGTGAGACCCCATCTCTACAAAAGATAAAAATTACTAAAAAATAACATTTTTAAAAAGAATGGGTCATCAAATGTAGTGTGGTAAACATGCAAAAGTAGTTTATTTCTTCTGACCATCAAAGAGGAGATATTTAATAAGTGCACCGCTATCTAGAAGCCTTCTCATTTGTAAGGATGTTCACTGTAGTATGGTTTGTATTAGTGAAATAGCTGAAGAACCTAAATGTCTGTCAGTATGGAAATAGTTGCTGCAGAATACTATGTACCATTTGAAAGAAATGGCATAGAATTTTATATACAGCCATAGAAATATCCCCCCTCATAACTTAAGTGGAAAAAGCAAGTTGCAGAAAATCTATATATTATGTTCTTATTTATATTTTTAACAATGAAGCTATTTTTGTTTGTCCACATATATTACCTGGATTCAAAAAGATCTAAGCCAGGCGTGGTGGCTCATGCCTGTAATCCCAGCACTTTGGGAGGATGAGGCAGATGGATCACTTGAGGTCAGGAGTTCGAGACCAGCCTGGCCAACATGGCAAAACCCCGTCACTACTAAAAATACAAAAATTAGCCAGGTGTGGTGGCACACATCTGTAATCCCAGTTACTCAGAAGGCTGAGGCAGAAGGATTGCTGGAAATGGGAGGGGGAGTTGCAGTGAGCCAAGAGCATGCCACTGTACTCCAGCCTGGACAACAGAGCAAGACTCTGTCTCAAAAAAAATAAATAAATAAAATAAAATAAAAAGATCTGGAAAAATAAAAGCCAAACTTTGACCAAAAAAAAAAAAAATCAATGATCTTTGCTTCCATCATAAAATCTGGGGAAAAAAAAGAGTAAATTAAACCCCAAAGTAAGTAAAGGAAAGAAATGATAAAGAGAAGAGTAATCGAACAAAAAACAATAGAGAAAAATCAAGGAAACAAAAGCCTAGTTGTTCAAAAGATCAATAAAGCTGATAAATCTCTAGTCGGACTGACCACGGGAAAAAAAAGGAGTAGTCAAAAGTTACCAGAATCAAGAATGAAAGAAGGGACCAGGTGCAGTGGCTCATGCCTGTAATCCCAGCACTTTGGGAGGCTAAGGCAGGCAGATCACTTGAGGTCAGGAGTTCAAGACCAGCCTGGCCAACATGGTGAAACCCCATCTCTACTAAAAATACAAAAATTAACTGGGCATGGTGGCATTCACCTGTAATTCCAGCTACTTGGGAGGCTGAGGCAGGAGAATCACTTGCCTCACCCAGGAGGTGGAGGTTGCAGTGAGCCGAGATCGCACCACTGTACTCCAGCCTGGGCAACAGGACGAGACTCCATCTCAAAAAAAAAAAAAAAAAAAAAGAATGAAAGAAGGGATATTACTACAGATTCAATAAACCAGGGGCTATACACTATAGCCCAGGGGCCAATTTAGGCTGCTGCCTATTTTTATAAATAAATTTTTATTGGAACTCATTTATGTATGTGTTATCTATAGTTGCCTTTGCTCTACCATGGCAGAGTTAAGTAGTTGTAACAGAACTTAACAGCCCACAAAGCCTAAAATATTTACTATCTGGCCCCTTAAGAAAAAGCTTGTCAACCTCTGGTCTAAGAGAATGTACCTTTGTTTGATTCACTATTTACTACTGAGTAGAGCTTAAATTTAGACGTTAACTTATAGAATATGTTACAAATGATTTTGATTTATATATATATAAATCATATCTATATAACATATATATATATATATATATATTTTTTTTTTTTTTTTTTTCTGTCCAGTATAAAATATAACCTCTGGCTGCACATGATGGCTCACTCCCATAATCCCAGCACTTTGGAAAGCTGAGACAGGAGAATAGTTTGAGCTCAGAAGTTTGAGACCAGCCCAGGCAACATAGCGAGACCTTGTCTTTACTAAAAATTTTAAAAAATCAGCCAGGTGTGGTGGTGTGCACTTGTAGTCCCAGCTACTCAGGAGGCTGACGCAGTAGGATTGCTTGAGCTTGGGAGATACTGGCTGCATTAAGCTATGATAATGCCATCACACTCCAGCCTGGGAGACAGTAAGATCCTGTCTCAAAAAATAAAACAAAACAAAAATAATATACATAACTTCCAATGTTTTAGTTTTAGTGTTCTGTAAGATATTAATATTTCACATCTAACTTACAAACTTATTTCATCATTCTTTTCCTGACTGACAATATAAATTTGTATTTCTTAAAAGCAGCTTTACTGCCCACTGATTCCCTTACTCATGAGTTAAATCTCTGACAAACGTTTCCTTTATATTTGTGAGAGTGATGTCTTTAACACTTTGAAATTTATATACTCAAACACACAAGGTTCACATTCATTTACAGAGGCCACAAAACATAGGAGAATTACCAAATTTCAGGGAAAGAAATATTTTAAAAATATATTTAGTTCAATTCCCATCTAGAGCTAAAATCCCCTCTAAAACAATTCAAAGTATTTTCCAGCCTTTTAAATTACCTCCTGTAGTTGAGAATTCATTAACAAGGCAGGCAATTCTAAATTTGTATATTCTAGTCTATTAGTTCTTCCTGGGGTAATGGTTAAGTGAATTACGGCATAGCAACTTAACGACTATCATTAAAAGATCATTATAAAGACCAGGTGGCAAGATGGAAAATTGTTTACAATGTAACCCTAAGAGTAAAAAGCTAAATATAAAAGTGCACACATAGTCGGGCTGACAACCAAAATGTCTATAAATGGGCAAGAGATGAAAGTAAACACATATGAAATCAACAAACATTTACGAACATTTACTGTGTTGGAAAGTATCATCGATGCTAGGGATTAAAAAAAAAAAACAAAACTTACAAAATGGACTAAATGCCCCCACTTAAAAGGCACAGAGTGGCAACCTGGATAAAAAACAAGACCCAATGGCATTCTGTCTTCTCACTTCTCACTTGTAAGGATGAGCGACACATAATGACACTCACAGGCTCAAAATAAAGGGATGGAGGAAAGCCTACCAAGCAAAGAGCAAAGGGAAAACTGAAAAAAGTAGGAGTTGCAATCCTAATTTCAGACAAAACAGATTTTAAACCAACAAAGATCAAAAAAGACAAAGAAAGGCATTACAAAATGGTTAAAGGGTCAATTCAACAAGAAAACCTAACCATCCTAAATATATCTGGACCCAACACAGAAGCACCCAGATTCATAAAGCAAGTTCTTAGAGACCTACAAAGAAACGTGGACTCCCACACAATAACAGTGGGAGACTTAAACACTCCACTGACAGTATTAGACAGATCACTGAGGCAGAAAATTAACAAAGATATTCAGGACCTGATCTCAACATTGGACCAAAGGGATCTGATAGACCTCTACAGAACTCTTCAACCAAAAACAACAGAATATACATTCTTCTTATAGACACATGGCACATACTCTAAAATTGACCACATAATTGGACATAAAACAATCCTCAGCAAATGCAAAAGAACCAAAACTAAGGCCGGGTGCGGTGGCTCACACCTGTAATCCCAACACTTTGGGAGGCCGAGGCAGGTGGATCACTTGAGGTCAGGAGTTTGAGGCCAGCCTGGCCAACACGGTGAAACCCCATCTCTATTAAAAATACAAAATTAGCCGGGTGTGCTGGCACACACCTGTAATCCCAGCTACTTGGGAGGCTGAGATAGGAGAATTCCTTGAACCTGGGAGGCAGAGGCTGTAGTGAGCTGAGATCGTGCCATTGCACTCCAGCCTGGACAAAAAGAGTGAAACTCCATCTCAAAAAAAAAAAAAAAAGAACCAAAATTGTACCAAACACACTCTTAGACCACAACACAATGAAAATAGAAGTCAAAACTAAGAAAATCACTCAAAACCATGCAATTACATGAATTACATGAAAATTAAACAACATGCCCCTGAATGACTTTTGGGTAAATAATGAAATTAAGGCAGAAATCAAGAAGTTATTTGAAACTAATAAGAACAAAGATACAACATACCAGAATCTCTGGGACACAGCTAAGGCAGTGTTAAAAGGGAAATTCATAGCACTAAATACCCACATCAAAAGGTTAGAAAGATCTCAAATTAACAACCTAACATCACAACTGAAAGAGAAGCAAGAACAAATCAAACCCAAAGCTAGTAGAAGACAAGAAATAACCAAAATCGGAGCTGAATTGAAGGAAATCAAGACACAAAAAAAATTCAAAAGATCAACAAATCCAGGAGTTGGTTTCTTGAAAAAATTAATAAGATAGGCCACTAACTAAACTAATAAAGAAGAAAAAGAGAGGATATCCAAATAAACACAATTAGAAATGATGAAGAGGATGTTACCACTGACCGCCCAGAAATAAAAATAACCATTAGAAGCTACTTGATCACCTCTATGCATACAAACTAGAAAACCTGGAAGAGATGGATAAATTCCTGGACACATACACCCTCCCAAGATTGAACCAAGAAGAAACTGATTCCCTGAACAGACCAATAATGAGCTCTAAAACTGAATCAGTAATAAATAGCCTACCAACCAAAAAAAGCCCAAGACCAGATGGATTCCCAGCTGAATTCCACGAGATGTACAAAGAAGAGCTGGTACCTTCCTACTAAAACTATTCCAAAAAATTGAAGAGGAGGAACTTCTCCCCAACTCAATCCATGAGGCCAGCATCATCCTGATACCAAAACTGGGCAAAGACACAACTAAGAAAGAAAACTTCAGGCCAATATCCTTGATGCACATCAACACAAAAATCCTCAACAAAATACTTGCAAACTGAATCCAGCAGCACATCAAAAAGCTAATCCACCACAATCAACTGGGCTTCATCCCCAGGATGCAAGTTTGGGTCAACATACACAAATCAATAAATGTGATTCATCACATAAAAAGAACTAAAGACAAAAACCACAGGATTATCTCAATAGGTACAGAAAAGGCTTTCTATAAAATTCAACATCCCTTCATGTTAAAAACTCTCAATAAACTAGATATTGAAGGAACATACCTCAAAGTAATAAGAACCATTTATGACAAACCCACAGCCAACAAACATCATACTGAATGGGCAAAAGCTGGAAGCATTCCCTTCGAAAACCAGCACAAGACAAGGATTCCCTCTTTTACGAATCTTATTCAACACAGTATTAGAAATCCTAGACATAGCAATCAGGTAAGAGAAAGAAATAAAGGGCATTCAAATAGGAGGCGAGGAAGTCCAACTATCCCTGTTTGCATTCAACATGATTCTATATCTAGAAAACCCCACAGTCTCGGCCCAAAAGCTGCTTCAACTGATAAACAACTTCAGCAAAGTTTCAGGAGACAAAAATCAATGTACAAAAATCACTAGCATTCCTACACACCAACACCACCCAAGCCAAGAGCCAAATCAGGAAGGCAATCCCATTTGCAATTGCCACAAAAAGAATAAAATACCTAGGAATACAGGTATTCCAGAGAGAAGTGAAAGAGCTCTACAATGAGAATTATAAAACACTGCTGAAAAAAATCAGAGAAGACACAAATAAATGGAAAAACATGCCATGCTCATGAATAGGAAGAATCAATATCATTAAAATGGTCATACTACCCAAATCAATTTACAGACTCAATGCTATACCTATCAAACTACCAATGACATTCTTCACAGAACTAGAAAAAAAACTATTTTAAAATTCATTATGGAACTAAAAAAGAGCCCAAATAGCCCATACAATGCTAAGCCAAAAGACCAAAGCTGGTGGTACCACGTTACCCGACTTCTAACTATACTACAGGGCTACAGCAACCAAAACAGCATGGTAATGGTACAAAAATTGGCACATAGACCAACGGAACAGAATAGAGAGCCCAGAAACAAAGCCACACACCTACGAACATCTGAGTTTTGACAAAGCTGACAAAAACAAGCAATGAGGAAAAGACACCTTACTCAATAAATGGTGCTGGGATAACTGGCTAGCCATATGCAGAAGATTAAAGCTGGACCCCTTCCTTATACCATATACAAAAATCAAATCAAGATGGATTAAAGACCTAAATGTAAAACCCAAAACTATAAAAACCCTGGAAGACAACGACAACCTAGGCAATACCATCCTAGGAACATAGAAACAGACAAAGATTTCATGATAAAGACACCAAAAGCAATCACAACAAAAGCCAAAATTGACAAATGGGATCTAATTAAACTTAAGAGCTTCTGCACAGCAAAAGAAACTATCAACAGAGTAAAGAGACAATCTACAGAATGGGAGAAAATACTTGCAAACTATGCATCTGACAAAAGTCTAATATCCAGCATTTATAAGGAAGCTAAACAAATTTACAAGAGAAAAACAACCTCAATAAAAAGTGGGCAAAGGACATTAACACACACTTTTCAAAAGAAGACATACAGGCAACCAATAAGCATATTTTAAAAAGTTCAATATCACTGATCATTAGAGAAATGCAAATCAAAACCACAATGAGATACTATCTCATACCAGTCAGAATGGCTATTATCAAAAAGCCAAAAAATAACAGATGCTGGCAAGATTGCGGAGAAAAGGAACATTTATACACTGCTGGTGGGAGTATAAATTAGTTCAACCATTGCGGAAAGCAGTATGGCAATTCCTCAAAGAGCTAAAAGCAGAACTACCATCACTTCAACAATCCTATTACTGGGTATATACCCAGAGGGAAATAAATCATTCTACCATAAGACACATGCATGTGAGTGTTCATTACAGCACTATTCACAACAGCAAAGACATGGAATCAACCTAAATGTTCATCAGTGACAGACTGGATAAAGAAAATGTGGTACATATATACCACGGAATACTATGCAGCCATAAAAAAAGAGATCATGTCTTTTGCAGGAACATGGATAGACCTGGAGGCTATTATCTTTAGCAAACTAACGCAGGAACAGAAAACCAAATTCTCACTTATAAATGGGAGCTAAATGATGAGAACGCATGAACACAAAGAAGGGAACAACAGACACTGGAATCTACTTGAGGGTAGAGGTGAGAGGAGGAAGAGGAGCAGAAAAAAATAACTATTGGGTACTAGGCTTAATACCTAGGTGATGAAATAATCTGTAAAACAAACCCCTGTGACACGAGTTTACTTATATAACAAACCTTCAGATGTGCCCCCGAACCTAAAATAAAAGTTAAAAAATTGGCCAGGCACAGTGGCTCACGCCTGTAATCCCAGCACTTTGGGAGGCCGAGGCAGGTGGATTACTTGAGGTTAGGAGTTTGAGACCAGCCTAGCCAACATAGTGAAACCTTGTCTCTACTAAAAATACAAAAATTAGCCGGGCATGGTGGTGGGCACCTGTAATCCCAGCTACTCGGGAGGCTGAGGCAGGAGAATTGCTTGAACCCAGGAGGCGGAGGTTGCAGTGAGCCAAGATCAAGAGCAAGACTCTGTCTCAAAAAAAAAAAAAAAAAAAAGGCTTCCTTGCTCAAATTCTCCTTACAGTTTGACTAATGTCAGAGGATGATGAGTTATGGGGCTATTTCTTACTTAAAACGAATTATGTGGCATATTTGGTGTAGCCCATCTGAATGCCCTAAAATTATCTTGATTTAACAGATAGAGAGACAGGTATAAACCAGGCAAATCTGGTGTCCCTGGGAACGTGAAATTTTGAGAGGAAAATAAATCGAAACAGGTAGGAGGTAGAAACTAGAATACTCAAACAAAGGCCCAGAGGCTTAGAAAGAACATGGTAAGAATTAAAAGTGATTGTAAGCTATATTTGTTTAAAAAAAATAAAATAAAAGTGATTCAGTACAGTGAAATAAAGTTTTTTTTTCCCCTGTATAACTTCAACCATATGATGGCTTCTAATTCTACGTAAACTTCCACTGCTCTCAAATGTGGATCCACATTTCCAGCTCAGGCTGCTTCGCTGCTGCCTTTCAGTAACAATTAAAACACCCAAATTATTTATCTTCCTGTTACATGAAATAAAAGTAAAACCACTTAACAGAGCAGACCTTGATTATATGGTGCTTAGGTGACCTTCCTGAACCTCACACAGTAGCCTTCAAAATTCTGTGTGGCATGGCCTGACCTCTGCCTCCAGACATCTCTTATCATTCTCCAGACCAGGATCTATGTGCTCAAACCAGACCAGTGAAAAGAACTCTTTTCAAAGTTCTTTTTAAAAAGAACTTTGCTCTCTCTTTCTTCCCACAGGAAACTAAAACTATGAGCATAGATGAGATTATTCAGGAAGAGAAAGAGGAGATACGTTTCAGATTCATCTTATCTGTCCTTATTCAGCTCCAATTCTATAGTCCATTGCTTCAACCTCTCCAGCACTGATATTCTCCACTCCTTTGCCCTGGCTATCTGGGAAAATGGCAGTCATGGATGAATCTGTTCTGAGAGCTGGGAAAAAAATGATCCAACTTCACAGACTGATCTCACTCTAAGTAAATGGTCTCCATTCTTATCAGCAGTGGGCTTCCTGGTCATTCTCCGAGTTTCTACCTTCATTATTTATTTCATTTCCCACAGTAGCCACCCTCAAATCTTCTTTTTTCTTTTCTTTTCTTTTTTTTTTTTGAGACGGAGTCTCACTCTGTCGCCCAGGCTGGAGTGCAGTAGCACGATCTTGGCTTACTGCAACCTCTGCCACCCGGGTTCAAGCAATTCTGCCTCAGCCTCCCAAGTAGCTGGGACTACAGGCATGTGCCACCACGCCTGGCTAATTTTTGTATTTTTAGTAGAGATGGGGTTTCACCATATTGGCCAGGCTGGTCTCAAACTCCTGACCTCATGATCCACCCACCTCAGCCTCCCAAAGTGCTAGGATTACAGGCATAAGCCACTGCACCCGGCCTCTTTTTTTTCTTTAAGACAGGGTCTCATCCTGTCACCCACACTGAAGTGCAGTGGTGCAATCATAGCTCACTGCAGCCTCAAATTCCTAGGCTCAAGCAATCCTCCCACCTTAGCCTCCCAAATAGCTGGGACTACACATGTGTGCCACTACACCCAGCTATTTTTTTATGTTTTATTTTTTTGTAGAGATGAGGTCTCACTATTTTGCCTAGGCTGGTCTTGAACTTCTGCCCTTTAATGGTTCTGCTGCCTCAAGAATGAGCAACCTCAATGACCTCCATTCTTTTCAAAATTGAAGCACCCCTACTTCCCTCCTAGCTATTATCCTCATCTTTTTATTCATTCATCCATTCAATAAGTGTTTTTGAGCACCTGCTGCATGCTGGGAATTACTTTGGTAGAGTTTATAAGTTAGATGGGGGAGACAGAGATTAAAAGACAATAAATATGTAGGATTGGAGACTAATATAAATGCTCTGAAGAAAAGAAATTCAGCCTATATAAAATAAAGGTAGCTAAACTTGGAATTTATTGTACAAATAAACTAGCACTATGTGACACGATATCAAAAATATTCACTGCATACTGTTTGAGATAGAAAATAATTGGAAACAACTTAAACATTCATCAGTTGATAACTGGTTAAATAAATTACAGAAGGCTGGGCACAGTGGTTCACTCCTGTAATCCCAGCACTTTGGGAGGCTGAGGCGGGTGGATCATTTGAGGTCAGGAGTTCGAGACCAGCTTGGCCAACACAGTGAAACCCCGTCTCTACCAAAAATACAAAAAGTTAGCTGGGCAGGTGCACACCTGTAATCCCAGCAACTGGGGGAGGTTGAGGCAAGAGAATCACTTGAACCCAGAAGACGGAGGTTGCAGTGAGCCGAGATTGCACCACTAACCTCCAGCCTGGGCGAGAGAGCAAGACTCAGTCTCAAAAAAATAAATAAAGCCGGGCGCAGTGGCTCACGCCTGTAATCCCAGCACTTCGGGAGGCCAAGATGGGGAGAACATGAGGTCAGGAGATCTAAACCATCCTGGCTAACACGGTGAAACCCTGTCTCTACTAAAAATACAAAAAATTAGTTGGGCATGGTGGTGGGCACCTGCAGTCCCAGCTACTCTGGAAGCTGAGGAGGGAGAATGGCGTGAACCCGGGAGGCGGAGCTTGCAATGAGCCAAGATGGCGCCACTGCACTCCAGCCTGGGTGACGGAGAGAGACTCCGTCTCAAAAAAATAATAATAATAAAATAAATAAATAAATAAAAATAAATAAATAAATAAGTAGGCCGAGAGCGGTGGCTCACGCCTGTAATCCCAGCACTTTGGGAGGCCAAGGTGGGCGGATCACGAGGTCGGGAGATCGAGACCATCCTGGCTAACACAGTGAAACCCCGTCTCTACTAAAAAATACAAAAAATTAGCCGGTCATGGTGGCGGGCGCCTGTAGTCCCAGCTATCTGGGACGCTGAGGCAAGAGAATGGCGTGAACCCGGGAGGTGGAGCTTGCAGTGAGCCAAGATCACACCACTGCACTCCAACCTGGGTGACAGAGCGAGACTCTGTCTTAAAAATAAAAAATAAAAAATAAATAAAGAAGGAAGGAAGATCCATGCAACCGCTAAAATAAATAAGGCCACTCTGTATAGTTCTAACATAGAATGATATCCAGGATACATTATGTGGGGAGGAAAAAGGTTCAGAGCAGTATGTATAGCATGCCACAATTTGTTGAGGGGGGAGAAAATATATATATATGCACATATAGGCTATTTTTGGAAGAATATTCATGAAACTTTAGGAGGGGAAGCCAGGTGACTGAAGATGAAAGTAGGAGACTTATTTGTTCTTTATCCATTTATCTATTTATTTGTTTGTTTATTTATTTATTTTTGAGACAGAGTCTCACTCTATCACCCAGGCTGGAGGGCAGTGGCACTATCTTGGCTCACTGCAACCTCCGCCTCCCAGGTTCAAGTGATTCTCCTGCCTCAGCCTCTTGAGTAGCTGGGATTACAGGCACGCACCACCACGCCCAGCTAATTTTTGTATTTTTAGTAGAGACAGGGTTTCACCATGTTGGTCAGGCTGGTCTCGAACTCCTGACCTCGTGATTCGCCTTCCTTGGCCTCTCAAAGTGCTGGGATTACAGGCGTGAGCCACTGTGCCCAGCCTATCCTTTTATATCTTTTGAATTTGTACAATGTACCCGTATTATTTTCTTTTGAAAAATAAGTTTTAAAAATTTAAACAAACAAAATTTTCAATGACTTCCCAGGCCTCTTACAATGAAAACCAAAATCTTTAACATAACTTAAAAAGATCTTGTATGGGCCGGGCGCGGGGGCTCATGCCTGTAATCCCAGCACTTTGGGAGGCCGAGGTGGGTGGATCATGAGGTCAGGAGATTGAGATCATCCTGGCTAACACTGGGAAACCCCATCTCTCCTGAAAATACAAAAAAAATTAGCCGGGCGTGGTGGCAGGCGCCTGTAGTCCCAGCTACTCGGGAGGCTGAGGCAGGAGAATCGCTTGAATCCGGGAGGCAGAGGTTGCAGTGAGCTGAGATCGCACCACTGCACTCCAGCCTGGCAAGAGTGAAACTCCACATAAAAAAAAAAAAAAAAAAAAAAAATCTTGTATGGTTTGGACCCTACCTACCTTTCTAGCTCCAGCTTGTATCACACATTCCCTCCTTCCCTATGTTCCAATCTACCAGCCTTCTTCCATCCCTGAAATGGACCATTCTTCCTCCCTTTACTGTGCCTTTGACATGCTGCCTCCTCTACCTAGAACTCTCTTGACTCCTTTCTCCATCCAGTTAACTCCTCACATGAGGTTTCAGCTCAACCATTGGCTCCATGTCTTTGCCCCTCACTACACTGTAACCTCCAGGACCATGTTTGGTTTTCCATCTTCTTTTATTCTTTTACCCCTGCATCTCTAATTCTAGCATAGAGTTTGGAACATTACATTGTAGGTGCTCAAAAAATCTTTTTCAACAAATGCATAAATAAATGCATATGTGTATATGAATGAAGTATTGAAAGAATGAATGAACAAAAGAAATGTCAGGAAACCAGATGGCCAGGTATCAGGTGGGTCATACTGAAGACATCCAGGTTGATGATGGGACTTTGAAAGGAGATGAGGCCCATATGCTACAATAAATGAGGGTGGTAAATGACGGTTGGTAGATGAGTAATGATTACGGGTAGAACGTGGTATAAATCTCAAAGAGCAGAAGTTTTTGCATGAAAGTGGAGGAGGAATATTCAAGAAGTGACAGTGAAGAGTGTTAAAGACATTAACCCTACCTCCCAACTCAGAGATACATGGAATATGAGAGAATGAATGGCCATGGCCTGCAGACCAGAGGAAAAACAGTGTCTTTTTCTAAGAGAAAGCCAGTCTCAAAATATTCTATCTAATGTCTTCACTAATAAGTCTAAGTATAGATGGGGTTTATTAACTCAATGGATTCTAGTCACAGTTTAAAAGTTGGGAGGGGAGGGAGAGTTAAGTGCAAGTGAGTCAAAAAGCACCAAGTTACACAAGAATGTCAAATGAGACTGACAAATCATAATGGTTAAGGCACTTTACAGCAAGAAAAAGAAGAGGATGGAAAACTAAAAGGAACTAATGACAGGATGACTACCTATTCGTCTTTGGTATAAAATGGCAAAAAGCTCTGAGGCAAATCATGGGGCAAGTCTTACAAATTGAACTTGGTGGAAACAGATTTAGACTCGGGGAAATAGTCACAGGGACTAACAGGGATTACTAGGTCAAAGAAAAAATAACAAAAAATTATATTCCCTGGTTGTTGCTAGCAGCTCTGGTAAAATCCAGACCTTTGAAATAGGAGACAAAAGCAGGGGAGAAAGTTGTAAGACTGGTTTGTCCTGAAAATGCCTTCTTTTGTGTCCATGGTTCCCTCAAGAATGTCACATAAGCTATACAATTATCGGGGTATAAAAAAGAAATGTTTCATAACCAAACATTGTCCAAGCTTTGTCAGGTGACCCTGGAAGCCTCTGTTAGAGACCTCATCCATTACTCTAAGGCCCAAGTGAACATGTTCAATGAGGGAAGAAAGAACTTGAGGAGTCATACAGAATGTCCCCAACTCTCCCTACTTGACTGTACCTCTTGACTGTTTTATTCCTAAATTATTGCTAGAACTTAGTACTGGGTGAGATCTCTGACTTCTGCAATTATCTGACAAACTGGATCCTTTGCCTTATCTCAAGGGAGTAGAGCCTAGGAAAAGAAAGATGATCAGAAGCACATCTTTTTAAAAAATGTTTTATTGATAAAGTTTGTACATATTTATGGGATACCTGTGAGTATTTGTTACATGCATAGAATGTGCAGTGATCAAGTCAGGGTATTTAGGATATCCATCACCACAAGCATTTATCATTCCTATGTTTTAAGAACATTTCAAGGCCTCACTTCTAGCTATCTTTAAATATACAATACATTGTTGTTAACTATAGTTACCCTACTCTACTACAGAACATTAGAATTTGTTCCTTCTATCTAGCTGTGTGTATATACTCATTAATTAACCTCTCCTCATCCCCCTACATGCCCTACAACTACATCCTTCCCAGCTTCAGTTAATTATCATTCTACTCCCTATCTTCATGAGATCAACTTTTTTAGCTCCCCCATTTGAGTAAGTATATGCAATATTTGCCTACGTCTGGCTTATTTCACTTAACATAATGACCTCTAGTTCTATCCATGTTGCTGTAAAATACACAATTTCATTCTTTTTTAAGGCCAAATAGTATTTTCCACTGCATAAATATACAACATTTTATTTGTCCATTCATCTGTTGACAGACACTTAATTCCATATCTTTGCTATTGTGAACAGTCCTGCAATAAACATGGGAGTGCACATATCCCTTTAATATACTAATTTTCTTTCCTTTAGATAAATAATACCCAGTAGTGGGACTGCTGGATCATATAGTAGTTCTATCTTTAGTTTGTTAAGAAATCTCCATACTGTTTTACATAATGGCTGTACTACTTTACATTCCCTCCAATAGTATATGAGAGTTCTCTTTTTTCCGCATACTCGCCAGCATCTGTTCTTTTTTGCCTTTTTGATAACAGCCATTCTAACTGGGGTAAGATGATATCTCATTGTGGTTTTGATTTGCCTTTCCCTAATAATTAGTGATGTTGAACATTTTTTCACATATCTGTTAATCATTTTTATGTCTGGATATGTAGATCCTTTGCCCACTTTTTAATGGGGCTATGTAGGGTTTTTTGCTGTTGAGTTGTTGGAATTGTGTATTATGGATATTAGTCCCTTGTCACCAGACAGATATTTTGCAAATATTTTCTCCCATTCAACGGGTTCTCTCTTCACTTTGTTGTTTCATTTGCTGTGCAGAAGCTTTTTAGCTTAACATAATCCCATTTGTCTATTTTTGGTTTTGCAGCCTGTGCTTTTAGGGTCTTAGCCATAAAATCTTTGCCTAGACCAATATGCTAGAGTGTTTCCCCTATGTTTCTTCCCAGTAGTTTTACAGTTCTGGGTCTCACATTTAAGTCTTTAATCCATTTTGAGTTGATTTTTGTATATGATGACAGACAGGGGCTCTAGTTTCATTCTTCTGTGTATGAGTATCCAGTTTTCCCAGGACCATTTGTTGAACAAGATATCCTTTCCCCAATGTGTGTCCTTGGCACCTCTGTCAAAAATCAATTGGCTATTAATACGTGGGTTTATTTCTGAGTTCTCTGTTCTGTCCCATTAGTCTATGTGACTGTCTGTTTTTATACCAATACCATGCTGTCTGTTGTTTTGGTTACTAGAATTTTATATACATATATATATATATGTATATATTTAAAACCCACATATATATGTACATATATACATATGTGTATGTGTGTGTATATGTATATATGTACGTGTGTGTGTGTATATATATACATACATATATATATACATACATATATATATATATATATATATACACACATACATATATATATGTATATATATATATATATATTTGTGGGTTTTTAGAGACAGGATCTCGCTTTGTTGCCCAGGCTGGAGTGTAGTGGTCCAATCTTAGCTCACTGCAGCCTCAACCTCCTGGGCTTAAACAATCCTCCTGCCTCAGCCTACCAAATAGCTGGGACCACAGATACATACCATCACCCTTGTCTAATTTTTAAAATTTTTTGTAGAGATGAGGTCTCACTAAGTTGCTCAGGCATGAGCCACTGTGTCCAGACTATCATATATTTTGAAGTCAGGAAGTGTGATGCCTCCTGCTTTATTCTTTTTGTTCAAATTGCTTTGGTTATTGGAGTCTTTGTGGTTCCATAAAAATTTTAGAGGTGGGGTACAGTGGATCATGCCTGTAATCTCAACACTTTGGGAGGTCAAGACGGAAGGATTGCAGGAGGGTCACATGAGGCCAGGAGTTAAAGACCAGCCTGGGCAATATAGCAAGATCCTGTCTCTGCAAAAAATTTAAAGAATTATTCAGGCATGGCAGCATGCACCTATAGTCCCAGCTACTCAGCAGGCTGAGGTGGGAGAACTGCTTAAGCCCAGGAGGTTGAGGCTGTTCCTTCTATGCCTAACTTGTTGGGCATTTTTATCATGAAGGGATACTGAATTTTATATTCCAAAAGCATTTGTGGAAACAAAGGTTGTTGAATTTTATAAGTTGCTTTTTCTCTGCCTATTGAGATAATCACACGGTTTTTGTCCTCCATTCTGTTGACATGATGTATCATTTTATTGATTTGCATTTGTTGAACCATCCTTGCATCCCTGGGATAAATCCCACTTGATCATGAAGTATCTTCTTGATGTGCTGTTGAATTTGTTTTGCTAATATTATGTTGAGGATTTCTGCATCTATGTTCACTGGGGATATTGACCTGTAGTTTTCTTTTTTTGTTATGTCTCTGCCTAGTTTTGGTATCAGGGTAATGCTGGCTTCATAGAATTATGAAGAATTCTATGAATTAGAGAGAGTTTCTGCGTCTTCTATTTCTTGGACTAGTTTGAGAAGAACCAGTATTAGTTCCTGCTTATTAGTCCGGTAGAATTTGACAGTAAAGCCATCAGGTCCTAGGCTTTTTTGGTTGAGAGACTTTTTATTATTGATTCAATCTTGTGACTTGTTATTGGTCTGTTCAGGTTTTCCATTTCTTCCTTATTCAATCTTGGTAGGTTTTATGTGTCCACGGATTCATCAATTTCCTCTAGGTTTTCCTGTTTGTTCATGTATAGTTCATGTTCTCTGATATCTTTTGCATTTCTGTGATATCAGTTGTAAGGTCTCCTTTTCATTCCTGCTTTTGGCTCTTCTTTTTTTCTTGGTTAGTCTAGCTAGTGGTTTATTGATTTTGTTTATCTTCTCATTAAACCAACTTTTCATTTCTTTTTTTTTATTTCTTAGTCTCTATTTTGTTTATTTCTGCTCTGATCTTCATTATTTCCTTCCTTCTACTAATTTTGGGTTTGGTTTGTCCTTGCCTTTCTAGTTCCTTAAGGTCCATCATTAGGTTATTTGAAATCTTTCTACTTTTTTTGATGTAGGTGTTTATTGCTCTAAACTTCCCTCTTAGCACTGCTTTTGCTGTATCCCATAGGTTTTGGTATGTTTTTTCCATTTAAATTTAAGAAATTTTTTTTCTTCTTTTTGGAGACAGGGTCTAACTCTGTCACCCAGGTGGAGCAAAGTGGCACAATCATGGCTCACTGCTACTTCAAACACCTGGGCTCAAGAGATCCTCTTGTCTCAGCCTCCTGAGTAGTTAGGACTACAGGCATGTGCCACCACACCTGGCTAATTATTTTTGTAGAGACAGGGTCTCAATATGTTGTCCAGACTCATCTTGAACTCCTGGTCTCAAGTGATCCTCCTGCCTCAGCCTCCCAAAGTGTTTCAAGAAATTTATCTCTTCTTTTTTCATTGATCCAATGGTCACTCAGGTGCATGTTGTTTAATTTCCATGTATTTGTATAGTTTCTAAGTTCCTCTTGTTATGGATTTGTTTTATTCAATTGTGGTCTGAGAAGATACTTGATATGATTTTGATTTTTAAAAATGTGTTGAGGTTTCGTGGTCTGACATATGGTCTATCCTAGAGAATGTTCCATGTGTTGATGGGAATGTGTATTTTGCAGTTGGTAGATGAAATGTTCTGTAAATGTGAGATCCATTTGATCTAAAGCATAGTTTAAATCCAGTGTTTTTTGTTGATTTTTCTGTTAAGATAATCTGTCTATTGTTGAGAGTGGGGTGTTGAAGTCCCCAACTATTATTGTATTAGAGTCTACCTCTCTCTTTAGGTCTAATATTTGCTTTGGGTGAACTGGTGTTGGGTGTATATATATTTAGAATTGTTATATCCTATTGCTGAATGGATCCCTTTATCATTATATAATGACCTTCTTTGTCTCTTTTTACTGGTTTTGACTTAAAGTCTGTTTTACCTGATACAAGTAAAGCTATTCCTGCTCACCTTTGGTTTCCATTTGCACGGAGTATTTTTTTCCATCCCTTTACTTTCAGTCTATAGTTATCTTTACAAGTAAAGTGAGTTTCTTGTAGGCAGCATATAGTTGGGTCAAGTTTTCTTATCTATTCTGACAGTCTGTTATTGTTGTTGTTATTTGGTAGAGATGAGGTCTCACTATGTTGCCCAGGCTGGTCTCAAACTCCCAGGCTCAAGCAATCCTTCCCACCTTGGCCTCCTGAAGTACTGGGACTAAAAGAATGCGTCCACATGACTGGACCAGTCCATATCCTTTAAGTGGAAAATTTAATCTGTTTACATTCAAGGTTATTATTGATATGTGAGAACTTACTACTGTCATTTTGTTAACTGCCTTCTGGTTATTTTCATATCTTTTGTTCCTTTCTTATTGTTATGGTTTGATGATAAAATGAGTGAGTCCTTACTCTTTCTCATCTGTGTGCTTGCTCTATTAGTTAGTTGTATACTTTCACGAGTTTTCATGATGGTAGATATTATCCTTTCACTTCCGAATGTAGGACTCCCTTAATCTTTTATTGTAGGACTGGTTTAGTGGTTATGAATTATCTGTTTTTCCCTGTCTGGGAAAGTCTTCATTTCTCCTTTATTTATGAAAGATAACTTCACTAGGTACAGTATCCTTAACTGGCAGGTTTGTTTTTTCCCTTCAGCACTTTGAATATATCATCTCATTCTCTCCTGGCTTGCAAGGTTTCTGCTGAGAAATCTGCTGTTAGTCTGATCAGGATTCCTTTAGATGTGAACAGATGCTTTTCTCTTGCTGTGTTTAGAATTCTTTTTGTCTTTACTTCTGACAGTTTGACTATCATGTGCCAAGGAGATCTTTGTGGGTTGTATCTGTTTGGGAATCTCTGAGCTTCCTGTATCTGTATGTCTAAATCTCTTCTTAAATTTGGGAAGTTTAAAGCTATTATTTTGTTTAATCAGTTTTCTATGCCATTAAACTTCTCTTCACCTTCTGGGATACCCAAGACTCAGATTTTTGGTCACTTTATGGTATCCTATATGTCACAATGCCTTTTTTTTTTTTTTTAATCTAACTGGGTTATTTTTAAAGACCTGTCTTCAAGTTCTGAAATTATTTTTTTTGGAGACAGGGTCTCATTGTCACTCAGGCTGGAGTGCAGTGGCACGATCACAATTCACTGCACCCTCAGCCTCACAGGTTCAAGCAATCCTCCCACTTCAGCCTCCTGCGTAGCTGCGACTACAGGCATGCACCACCATGCCCGGCCTTTTTTTTTTTTTTGTAAAGTCAGGGCTTCACTATGTTGCCCATCTAACTCCTGGACTCAAGCGATCTGCTTGTTTCAGCCTCCCAAAATGCTGGAATTACAGCCATGAACCACTGCACCCAGCCCGAGTTCTGAAATTCTTTCTTCTGCTTTATCATCTAGTTTATCGCTAAAGCTCTCAATTGCCTTTTTTATTTCATTCACTAAGTTCTTCAGTTCTAGGATTTTTGTTTGGTTCTTTTTTATGCTATCTCTTTGGTGAATTTCTCATTCATATCCTAAATTGTTTTTCTGATTTCTTTGTGTTGTTTATCTGTGTTCCCATGCATATCACTAAGCCTCTTTAGTATCATGATTTTGAATTTTCAGGCAGATCATAAATTTTTCACTGAAGTCTGTTATTGGAGAATTATTGTGTTCTTTTGGAGATACCATATTTCCTTGCCTTTTCATGTTTCTTGAGTCCTTTTGTTGATAACTGTATATCAAGTGTAACAGTCACTTCCAATTTTTTGTATTGGCTTTCACAGGGAAAGATTTTTTCTTACAGATGTATCTACAGTGTTGGTTGGGTAGGGCACTTTGGCTTTGATTCTGGATGCATGCGGCAGTGTAGTCTCCATACGATTTCTTCGGCAACGAACACCATCCAGCAACGAACACCATCAGTGGCATCTGTGATTTTCTCAGTGGCTTAGGCTACAGTTGTTAGTGGGCAGCATACTTGATTGGCATGGCAACAGCAGCAGCAGTGCGCAGGGAAAGGCTGTCCTCAGGGTGCGTGAAAGTGTGCAGCAGCCCTACTTGTGGGAGACAAGAGGGAGGCAGGGCTGCTGTCTGTAATAGTCACCCCAGGCAGGTAGGTTTCAGGCTCTGGGGAGCATAAGCTTCAGCTTCTGGCAGCAGCAGTGGCTGTAGCAGCTGGCAAGGAGATCCTGTCCTCATGGCACATGAAAGTACATGGCAGCCTGCTGCTGAAGGGTATGGGGTTGCTGCTAGTGACAGTGGCCCCAGGCAGGCAGATTTCATACTCTGGGGAGCTTGCACTTTGGCACCCTTTGTCCTGGGAGCAGCCTCCCTGATACACTACACTGCCCTTTCCCTGGTATACAGGACATTGTGTGGACCCTGTGGTTCCTCTGGGCCCAACCAGTGTCTTGCTGCTAGAGCCCTCTAGGCAGATACGAGGGAATGTCAGGGGGGCTCCAGGGATGTAGAGAGGCAGGGGCTATTGGGCCCCAGGGCAGGATACAGTTTGGTGAGAGCTGGACTCTCAAAATGGTCCTGTGTCCCACTAGGGACCTGGGGGATGCGTGGGACTCAGTGTGCATTCCCTTTCTGGAGCAATGCCATCACACAGGCTCCAGGGATCTCCCTCTGCCAGTATCAGGGCCCACAAGGGTCAAAGCACTCTCTCGTGGCTAGGATTACAGGAGGTGGTGAGAACGTGGACTGTTGGGGATTGCTCACTTATTCTGTCTCCACGTTGGGAAGCCCCTCTGGCTCCCAGCCAATCTTGCCTGGGTTATCCACCTCGCTTCCCTCTCCCTCAGTGCCTCATGTGTTTTCTGTCACTTCTCTACTGAATTCTATACCTCTAGTCGGTCATCTTGAAAGACTCGGGCCCTTATATCTTCGACAATGACTACAAGTAAAAAATGTGAGGCCTAGGAAAAAGCTAGCTTCTATAAAAGAAATGTGAGGCCCAGGGGAGGTTAGCGGGCTATAGTGTTGCTAATAAAACTAATCTCAATGGTTTCCAATAAGAGGAAGAGGTAGGCCTGGCGCGGTTGCTCAGACCTATAATCCCAGCACTTTGGGAGGCCAAGGCAGGCGGATCACTTGAGGTCAGGAGTTCGAGACCAGCCTGGCCAACATGGTGAAACCCCAACTCTAAAAAAATACAAAAATTAGCCGGGCGTGGTGGTAGGCACCAAGTAGCTGAGGCAGGAGAATCATTGAACACAGGAGGCAGAGGTTGCAGTCATCAAGATTGTGCCACTACACTCCAGCCTGGGCGACAGAGTGAGACTCCGTCTCAAAAAAAAAAAAAAAGAGGAAGAGGTACTCTGATCTCTCAGTTCACATGTTTAATTCGTGGGATTTTGACTGAGTTTTTAAAAATTAAATGTTATTTAATGTTGTTACATCATGTGTTCAATAATAAAAATACGAAAAGAAAAAAACAGTTCTTTTTCATCCATTCCCTGAATCATAGTTCTTTGTCTTAGGTGGTTAAAAGACAGTTAACATCTTAAATGATTCTAGTTTCAGCTCTAGGTCCATCATTTACCAGATAGTTAACCTTTGAAGAATAATTTAACTTAAGATTAAATTTTCAGTGTTGATACTCTTGGGACAAAGAGTTCATAAAAGGAGGAAGCAGAAAGGCATTGGTAGAGTCAATATTGGATTCTAGAAGTAACTGGGATAAAAGGTAAGATGAAAATATACTCCAATTTTAGATCAGTTCCTCTCCCTGCCCACGCTGCCATACCCTGGCTCTGCTCCCAGGGCCCAGGCAAAAGCAATATTAAATCTTTACAAAAAATGGCTTACAGTTGGTAGAACCTTAGACTGAAAATCTTTTGGGAAAGTCTGGAATGCACTGTTGGTAGGAGCATGTAGAAAGCTTACCCAGGGTGAGAACAGTGGAGCAAAGCCAATTCCCCTCTTTCTAAAATCATAGCAAAGCAGAGAAAGCAGTGCTCCCATATGTATTACCTGGAGGATCCCCAAAACAGGAGGCTCTGGAACTAGCAATGCTTACTTACATCACCACCTCTCAAAAGACAGAATTCTAATATATCTGGCACAAAATCTAGACCAGGTTTCATAATTCCAAGTAGCAGAGTGGAAAAGTCTACAGGATATATGAATTATTGCCAGAAGGAAATTCATTAAATACTTTTAGAAAGCTGTGAACAACTCTGGAAATATTTAAAGACAGTGCTGTTGGCTCTGGCATTCTTAAATCTCAGGTAATAAGCTTGGCTTCTCAAGCAAACTTGAAAACTGCCCTGGTTAGCAACCAAGTAGGGAGCAGAGACAGAACGTCCCCTGTTTCAGGAGTCATACTGTTAGTGTCCAGAAATGTAAATTCTAACTAAATTCATCAGACTGTATCCCAAAGGAAAGGCTGTGATGGTGGAAATAAGAGTAGAGAGAATGAGCTACCAGTATTATTTCAAAAAAGAAAAAAAAAGCAGTTGATAAATTCTTCTCTTCGGTGGGGTTTTCGCTGCAGAAACAAATACATGGTTAGAGTATTCTGTAGAAAAAATTTGCAATTAATATTTACCGTCATTGAAGCTAAAATTCTTTTCTTGAAATCTCACAATTTTCTAATATGGTCAAGACTTCATTCAAAGCTTTCCCTTGATAATTATACCTATAAATGAACTATTATCAAGGAGAAAGGCACAGCCTTAAATTTGTCTCTTTATTCAGTAATTGAACTATGGCTCTACACCATCTGTCTTCCTACAGCTATCATCAAAAGTATGCATTCTCTCAGAAGCAATGGGTCTCAGCCAAGATGGCTGCCACATGAAAATGAGATAAGCAGGCACATTATCAATCCCAAAAACAACTCACAGGAACCGTTCAAAAACAAACCTCCTCAGGGGGCACCCTCCACCTCCCTTTTGACTGTCAGCATGTCTGTCACCTGCACACCCACTAATAAACAAATACAAAAAAAATGGTTCCACCTTACTCTCCACATCAGTTCTACCCTGCAGGGGTTAGCACATTCAGAAACAAGGCAGAGGAGGTAACTAAATCCTTTGAAGGACACAATCAGGTATTACGAAGTTTGAAAAAAGCCAAGGTAATAACCATTGCCCTCTCTCCTCCTTTTCAAAAGGGGTAACATTTTTTTCCTCAACTACACACAGGTTGGATTGAAAGGTGGCAGCTGCCTCACAAAGCAGTCCTTTGAAAATAATTACTACTCACTGCCTTTGCTATGTGCCTAGCTTTGCTAAGAGTACAGTTTTTTAAATGTATGGTGTAGATGATTTGCTGAAACTACACTAACTGCTACACAAGAATTAATAGGCTTTGTGTACATATTCTGACTTCTTTCCCTTCACCGTGGTATTTCCATTTTTCCTAAAGATCATTCTGAACAAAAACAAACTCCTCATGGAACTACTTGCCCAACAGATACATATCAGCTACTATTCACACTAACTCTTGATTATCTGCTAGATGGAAAACAAGCTTCCAAGGACTCAATCACAAAACCTGAATCTTGCAGTACTTTGCTGGTTAAGAATGCTTACAACAGCAAGTCCTTTCCTATAACACTGTCACTAAAAAGCCTCAAAGATACTGGATTGTGACAAACTGTTGAAAAGAATAACAATCGGTGGCCGGGCGCAGTGGCTCATGCCTGTAATCCCAGCACTTTGGAAGGCCGAGGCAGGTGGATCACGAGGTCAGGAAATCGAGAACTTCCTGGCTAACACAGTGAAACCCCATCTCTACTAAAAATACAAAAAATTAGCCGGGCGTGGTGGCAGGCACCTGTAATCCCAGCTACTCAGGAGGCTGAGGCAGGAGAATGGTGTGAACCTGGGAGGCAGAGCTTGCAGTGAGACGAGATCGGGCCACTACACTCCAGCCTGGGTGACAGAGCGAGACTCCGTCTCAAAAAAAAAAAAAAAAAAAAAAAAAGAAAGAAAAACAATCACAAGGTCAGGAGTTCGAGACCAGCCTGACCAACATGGCAGTCAAAAAATCAGCCAGCTGTGGTGGCGCATGCCTGTAATCCCAGCTACTTAGGAGGCTGAGACAGGAGAATCGCTTGAACCCAGGAGATGGAGGTTGCAGTGAGCCAAGATCACACCACTGCACTCTAGCCTGGAAGACACAGCAAGACTCCGTCTTAAAAAAAAAAAAAAAAAAAAAAAAAAAAGAATAACAGTACCCAGTACCAGAACATCTCCCTAGAAGAGGGCAATATTTATAGGCAGAAGAGTAGGGGAAAGTCCTTTTACTCTACCTACTTGAAACAGAATACTTATACTTCACAGGCTAAAGAAAATATGAAAACCACCCTCATTTAGTCTAGGTGAGAAAATAAATTCATTCCCCAAGGTAATGTTCATACATGTCCCTCATAACATTGAGTTGAAATTTGTTTTCAAACAAAATCCCCTATCAAGATCAACAGCCCTATTCCACAATTGCTCTCTTCTATCTTTTGGCCCCCACCCCAAAAATCTGTGGTTAAAGCTTTAGTTCCTAAAGCTGAGATTCCTGCATTTGAATCTCAACCCAGTCACTTCCTAACTGTGTCATCTTGGGTCAAATTCCTTAGTTTTTTCATGTGTAAAACAGGAATAATTTTAACAGTACCTACCCTACAGAGTTATTAAAGATATAAAGGAGAAAATATATGCAAAGTACTTAACATGAGCCTGGCATATAGTATTAAAAAGCTCAGTATATATTAGTTGCCATTATTTATGTTGTTGTTGTTATACTTCATTTTAGCTCGGCCACCACTTTTTCCAGGAAGGCTTCTCCCATGAAACCTTCACCCCAAGATGCCTCTCTTCTGTGCATCCTACATATACCTCTATCATAGCATTTCTCTCACCAGATCATATTTGTTTGTCTACCTCACACACTCTGCCCTCTTTAAGTGCTGGGGTTGTATATTGTATGTGTAGGCCCAGAAAGATGCTTAGCACATAGTAGACATTCAAGGAGCTTTCTTGTTAATTTTAAAAGTTCACCCAATATTTAAATAAATTTGTGGGATTTTTTCTATACTAACAAAATCAAGCAAAAGATGTCAGCTCCAATATGGAATATCTTGAGTTATAGTCATTTGAATCAGATCCTTAATGTTAATTAATTTCCTTGGCTGAAAGAAGGAAGAGGCAAGAGAGAAAAGTAAAGTTCCTGGTTCACTAACAAATTAGAATGAGCTTTTCCAATTAAATTGGGGAGTGCACTGAATAGGAAATATGAGAGATGTGCAAAGAAAGAAACTGAAGAAAAGCAGAGTGGATAAAAAAGAGATAACTGAATAATATAACCAGCTGGGAAACAGCCTTTCCTGTCTAAACTCTAAACTAGAAAATCCTTTCAAATCCCAAAGAAATCTTTCCTCATGAAAGGACCAACCAAATTTCAGCTCCCTGAGCTACCTATTTCAGACCATTCGACTTCACTCAAAGGTGACATAAGCCTTCACCATGAAAATTTCTGAACAAAGCAACAGTGGAGAATAGCTTCCCAGTTCACCTAGGCAAAGAGCCATGCATCACTGATGACATCTAGATCCATTCACCTTCCCTTGTCCTGAGTAATGATGAAAAAGGAAAAACAGAAAAAGATACCTCAAAGTTCTGGTCACCTAGGTGAAAACAGGGAAACCACTCTATCACAATTCTAATGCCTTTAACTTCTACCTAAAACAACTTAATAAATCAAAAGTTTGCATTAATTGGATACAGGTGCTATTCCATTTCAAAAGACCCATCTGCCAAGGTTTAGCCCAAAGGCATTTTTCACAGCCAAGTATTAATCAAATCACTGGTGTAGCTGAAAATAGCTCTCCTACCATAAAGTCACCTGTTCAGAAACAATCCAGTCATCAAGGGCTTTATAATATTTAAAGGCAGATTGAAGGCAAATGATTAAGCTATGCACTTAAAAAAAAAAAAACAACTGTAACTAGGGGGTTACACTGCTGCATATGATGTACTCAGAATCTCCTGCTTCGCTTTTTCTCCCACCACCTTATGACTAAAAGACTCTGGAGAATGCTGTCAGCAAGGAGAGCACGCCTCCAAGCCACAGCTTGAAGGAGCCCACACCTCTCTATGTAATACTGTCTTTGTACTTCAAAAAGCACAGGTATTAAATTATAACAGATAAACTTTTGCCTATACATAAAAGTGGTTCTAAAAAGAAAGAATTGTTTTTCTAAAAAGAAAAGCACCTAGATATGATGTCGTGAATCTACCAATTCCCTGTGTAGCCCACTTGTAGATGGTATTGTTAAGAATCTGCAGTTGATTGCCATTTCTCATTGCAGTTATTACCGGCTGATAAATTATTTGCATTCAGCACAATCATACCAACCTCCCTTGGAAACCCACACAAAGAACCCTGAATCAGAGCACTATTTTGTTTTTTGGGAAGGTTTTTCCTTTCCTTTCCTTTTTTTTTTTTTTTTTCTGGCTTGTTTTGTTGTTTTTAAAGAGAAGGTCATTTAGAGGGCCGCAGCAGAAATATGTAAATTAAACAGAATTGTAGGCTTGGGAGGAAGTAAGGAAATAATATAGCTAGCCATGAAGTGTTATTTCAGCAGATATGGCCAATAGAGGAAAAGTTTATATCAATTTACCCATTGAAACTCTCTCTTTTTGGAGCATTATGTAAGCGCCATTAAAAAAAAAAAAAAAAAAAAAACTGCAGTGGGCTGAACTGGGACATGTGAGGACTCAATACAACCAAGCTTCAGATACTTAAATATCTCGAACCACTTTTTGCTTATAGCAAATAAAATGCAGAGCTACAGATGCTTTCTCATCTGTGTGTAAATGAAAGCAAAACTGTGTGAGTAGTTAGTATTCTTAGAATTTTTGAGAGCCAGTTTATTTAAATTAAATCAAAGCCAATCTGTATCTGTACAGAAATAATTTCTTAGGGCTCTTATTCTCTAGACTTACAGAGCTGTACAAACTCTTCCCTCTATCCCTCCCTCTAAGATAAAAAAAGTGAAAAGAGCTCTGTGGGTTAAAAGCCACTTCAAATGAATCTGGGAGGAGGAGGTTCAAAGGGATTAGAACATCCCATGTCTTACCAGCCTGCTATAAAACAGGGTTCAGCTATTCTCTGCCCCATTCTTTGTGTTCCCATAGCACATCTCGGAATTGATCATGCTTCTTTATGTTTCTACATCTCTCTCTGCCTCCATAGTGTGACCTCTCTAATGGCAGGAACTTGGTTTTATTTAGCCTGATATATTATTTGTTGACCTAAAATGCGTGTATCTATAGTATATATATAAAATACCTAGATATTAATTATCATTAATAATGTGAATTAAGCATCCTAGAGAAGGTACAAAAATGCAGTTAGGCCAGGCACAGTGGCTCACGCCTATAATTCCAGCACTTTGGGAGGCCGAGGCTGGCGGATTGCCTGAGGTTAGGAATTCAAAACCACCCTGGCCAATACAGTGAAACCCCATCTCTACTATAAATACAAAAATCAGCCAGGCATGGTGGCACGTACCTATAGTCCCAGCTACTCGGGAGGCTGAGGCAGGAGAATTGCTTGCAGCTGGGAGGTGGAGACTGCAGTGAGCTGAGATCATGCCACTGCACTCCAGCCTGGGCAACAGAGTGAAACTCTGTCTCAAAAAAAAAAAAAAAAAAAAAAAAAATGCAGTTAGCTTATTTTAAGGCACTGACTGAATGTGAGATAACACATATAAAGAGCCAGAGACCACAAATATTAGGAGAATGTAATCTAAGTCAACACCATAATGTGGCACTGACATTCGGGTAATTTCATATTGTTTGGTTTATTTATGGCAATCATGTGGCTTTTAATAGACTTCATTTTTCTGACGTGTTTTTACTTGTGTTTTTTTCTTATACCTCCATTTTCAAGTTAATTGTAAGTCACATTCTACTGACAGAAATGAAAATATGGGCAAATTGGTCAACACTCCTGACTGCCAAATTATCTAGTATAGACTATCTCTAACTGCACGGAAACTGGCGTTTCCTTATCCTCATCTGTATAATGGCAACATTTCTCTGCTGCTTCAAAAAATGGTATTAATTCTAGGCAGGGAAATAAGAACACCCAAATGTTCTTCAGTGTCTCTCTCTTTCTTTGACACACACACACTACCCACAGGGACACAGCAAAGCCCTGGAAACATATCGTACACATACGGCCTTTACTCTCCACCACTTCCTCTCCACTGACAGAGGCAGCCATGCTGCCAAGGTAGCAACCCCCACATGAAATACAAAAGAGTGGAGGCGAAACAGCTCAATCAAAACAGCTTGGGAACGGAAAGGAGGGTATGCTTGTCAGAGAAAGTCTCCAGGGATAGGCCAGAAAACTTTTGTTTCTGCCTTGAACATCCTGAGCAAATAACCCTGTTCCAGGTCTGCAGACCTCAGGTCAGGGGCCAACTCCTCCCTTTAACTTTTCACAGAAGGCGTAATAGGAAAACTCGCTGTTATTTGAAAAGTCCATTGTGAGAAATGTCAGAGTGCAGCTTATAAGCATACCCTGGGGAGCACAGCTGAGAGCAATTTTGAAAACCAAGCAGTTAGAAACTGATGAAGTAGAATGCACAGGTAGAAGACAGCTTGGCACTGCTTCAGCATATGGGGCTGCTTGCTTCAGGCCAGATGCCACAGACTGACCCAGCAGGATGCAGATTACTCAACTTTCTGAGATGGAAGCTGGCTCTTCAGCTTTTCTCTACAAGGCTGCTTCATTTATTCTGATTAAGATTCATTCACTGTAGCCACCCCACTTCCATAAGCCTCCAGCTGACTCTGGTTGCCCTCAGTTAAGGACAATAAACATTGAGCTGTATCAAAAACAAACAAACAAAAAACAGAGGAGCCATTTCTTAACAGGCAGGATGGCAGTCCTCTTGAAATGGTGAACTTGAATCTGAAATTAAGGCTACAGAAGTGAAACTGAATCAATGTTACCCCCCACTCCATCTCCCAGGTCTGGTAATATTAGTCATTCCCCTTATTACCTAAAAGTGAAAGAATTCATAAGCATACATTTATTTCAAACTCAAATGTGCTGCTGGATTAGAATCAAAACATAATGTTAAGCCAGTTGGAAGAAAGAGAGCATTCCTAAAAATCCTGTCATCTGCTGAGGGAGTTTAAAAAGGGGAACTGAAGTGAGATGCACTGGGCACCCATCTTTAGGGCAGAGTCTGCAGTGGGTAGAGTTCCAGATAGGCCTTGGCTGGCATTCCTCCCTGCTTCTGTTTCCCTTTGGACAGCGTCTGTGATGGCTAACTCACCATTCAGGGACATTCATAATTCTTTCTCTTCTTAGGGCATTTTATAGTTTCCTTTTGTGATTGGCCAGGGAAGTTCAAGATTTATATAATTGGTGCTTGCTTCATGCTAAGCATTGGAATGGTTCACCTAAGATCCTGAGTAACAAACCTGATGCCAAAAGGGCAGGAGCACCCTAATGCAGAAGACTTTCAAGTGCTGATGGGCTGGGTGTATCTAACGCCCATGAAATCACCACAGGAACACACTTCCAACTTGGGGGCAAAGGCTGCAGCTATAGCACTCTTTCCACATTTCCAAATAACCACTCTAACTGCTTATTCAGGAAATGTGGATTATTAAAGGTGAGAGAGACAGAGCACTGGATAGAAAGGAAAACTGGAGATATACCATCTTGTGGACAGGAACTTCACTTACATAATTCTTGGCAGAAGGTTATTCTATTAAGACCAGCTTGAGACATCAAATTGTCTAGTCTCCTACATTCCCAGGATTCTGCAAAGAAGACTAGGTCTCTATTGTCATGGCATTACCTTGGGACCCTAGGGAAGCCTCAAACTCCTTGAAGGGAATCTTGATGTCAGCAATGCCATCCCTCTCAAAGGGAATTTCTGTTCCCTAAGAATGGCAAAGGTATTAACAGACTGCAAGCTTCATGAGGGCAGAAACCGTATCTGTCTTGCTCACCAATGTATTAATTTTCCCTTTTTTTTTTCTTGAGACAGTCTCACTCTGTGGCCCGGGCTGGAGTGCAACAGCGTGATCATGGCTCACTGAAGCCTCGACTTCCTGGGCTCGAGCGATCCTCTTACCTCAGTCTCTCAAGTAGCTGGGACCACAGATGCACACTATCAAGCACAGCTAACTTTTTATTATTTTTTTGTTACAGGGTCTCACTATGTTGTCCAGACTGGTCTCAAACTTCTGGCCTCAAACGATCCACCTGCCTCGGCCTCCCAAACTGCTGGGATTACAAGCATGAGCCACTGCGCCTGGTCTTACCACTGCATTTCTAATGCCTAGGATAGCAGGCACCTGATAAATATGTTTTGAAGGAAGGAAGCACAGGACAAACTCTGCAAGCTACTTCTTTTTTTTTTTTTTCCTTTTTTTTTTTTTTTTTTGAGATGGAATCTAACTCTGTCACGCAGGCTGGAGTGCAATGGTGCAATCTCAGCTCACCGCAACCTCTCCCTCCTGGGTTCAAGTGATTCTTCTGCCTCAGCCTCCTGAGTAGCTGGGATAACAGACATGCACCACCACACCTGGCTAATTTTTGTATTTTTAGTAGAGACGGGGTTTCACCATGTTGGCCAGGCTGGTCTTGAATTCCTGACCTCAGGTGATCCACCCACCGCAGCCTCCCAAAGTGCTGGGATTATAGGTGTGAGCCACCGCGCCCAGCCTACAAACTACTTCTAACCCAAAACCCAAAAGTGTTGTTGAATCAGCCCCAGTCAAAACACTGTCCTGACCAAAGACAGAGCCAACCTGGCCTACCACAAGGCCTTGCCAAGCATGGGCACATATCAGTTTTGGGGGAAGTGAACTAGGGCAGAGAGCAAGGTGGAGTCGTGGCAGCAGAACAGAGTCCTCTTCCAGAGGAAATGTTTCCTTAGCTGGGGGAAGAAACAAGTGGCCCATCATGCTCCTCAGTGGCATATTACAATCACGGAAAATGCACAATACAATTCATTCTGTCATGGGCTTCAATTAGTCTCAGACCTGTAAAGCTATATGAATGGAGGCCTACTTTCCCCAATAATACAGAAGGCCCAGCTGCCTACCTCATACTTAATAATGTGCAGACAAAGCTCCCACTGGACAGAGGTTTAAGAAGCTAGCAGAGAACTCAACCCTCCTGCCTGCTGGGTCATCTGGCGGTTAGACAAGAATTTAACCATATTAAACTTTTACGTTATTGCTAACAATTGCTGAGTTTTATTTATGTACCTGGGAGTAGGCTAAGCCCTTTGCATGAATATTTTATTTAATACTCACAATCCTGTTAAGAGGTACTGTCATTTCCATTTTATAGATGAAGAACCTGATGGAAAGTATGTTTCAGTAACAGCACCCAGTACATTATAAAACCATGACTGAGACTTGTCTGACACCCAAGTCCATGCTCCACGCCCTTCGCCACTCTGTCTCCTATCTCTTGCTCAGCTGATGAAAAGGCAGGTAGTCAAGACCAATTCTTACAACCTCTCTCTGGAACTTATCCAGTACTATCTGGAGTCAAAAGTGGCTACAGGACCTTAACCATATGGGCTTTTCTTAGGAAAGCTGTTGGAAGAAGGATCAGAAAGAAAGTTCAAAAGGTAGGTCCTCAAATCAAGAGCTATCCATTCTGACCCAAACCCTTCACTACTGTTCATCTGAAAATAGGTGTGCACAGGGAAGAGCTGAGGCTTTAAAAAAATAAAAAAGTGTCCAAACACTAACCACACACATAGTTCTTGACTATGTTCCTGCCAGTTTCACACAATGCCTTGAATTAGAAGCTGTTCCAATTACTGAGATTTTAATAAAATCTCCAAAATAAGCCAAAAGGCTATGCTTCGGCCCTGCAATTGTTGTTTGTTTTTATAAACTCCTCTGCTGTTTTATTATTTCCTCCCTTAAGGAATTCCTGAGGAGAATAAATTTAAGATAGTTTTTAAATTGAGTTGGATTTACTGCCCAATTATGCTAATTTTCTCATCCCTCTTCATTTTGTCACACAAATGGGGAAGTAAGTTTATATTTGCACAGGTCTTCTAAAGGGCAAAAAGAACCCACCAAAATTATGGTTTTCCAAGATAGTAGGATTTAAGATGATTATCTTTCACTAAAGTGTTTAAGCAAGACACAGTGATTTAATTTCACTGAGAGAGAGACCAACTTTAGCAAATTCTGATTGGCCTTACTTATGTCAATTAAATCGTGATATAACAAGACACCATAGACTTGCTCAATGCTAGCTGAATTTTAGAATCAAAAACCTTGCATGGTTTGTGTTAACAGCCAGAAAACTCTACCTTCCCCCAAGTGACATGTACTCAAGTCATTATCCTACAGTCTGAGGAGACTGATTTAGGATTAATAATTTATTACCTTCCTGTACTGCAATGTAGTTAAGAATATAGGACAATTTGGCAGGAGAAAGTTCCTGTTGAAGACTCATTGCTGTAAGATATATTCCATTAGTCATCTGCCTCAATTTGGGTGCCCAACAGATACATGAAGAGCAGAGATATAATGCCACCTAAAAAGTCTCCTGAAAATGCTTTTCCCCTGAAGATTAAGACCAATGCATATTCAAAATATACCATTCTCTTAAAGGAAAAAGACACCACTGGCTCTGACTGGTACAACAGAGGCTACAGCCCTCAAAGTAAGGGCAAACGAGGCAAGTGAGGGCAAGGCCTACAGGTACCTTTTTCCTGCCAGGGACACTTACTTGGGTTCAGGAATACAGGCAGGTATGAGAACAACAACAACAAAAAAAGGCAACTAGTGGTAAAGAGACCTCTTGCTAAGGCAGGAGGTGATTTTGTCCCATCTGCAGTCTCTGTAGAGGTTGAGGGTGATAATTAATCTCTCCCACCCAGAGTTTGGGAATAATTAAAATACAAAGCATGGCAGTTAGGTGCAGATGAAGATCAAAATATTATCTTTATAGTAAGTGATAAGGATGACTGGAGAACATGGCTGAGATGTGTAATCACAAATGGCCTTTCTTATACTTTCCTATACTGAATTCAACTTACCTAACTGGACAAAATGCAGGCTGACCTGGCATGGGCAGACCGGCTAGAGCATGGAAGTGGGACAAAACATAAAAATCCTGAAGACTGGGCCGGGCATGGTGGCTCGTGCTTGTAATCCTAGCACTTTGGGGGGCCAAGGCGGGCAGATTGCCTGCGCTCAGGAGTTCGAGACCAGCCTGGGCAACACAGTGAAACCCCATCTCTACTAAAAATACAAAAAATTAGGCGAGCATGGCAGCATGCACCTATAGTCCCAGCTACTCGGGAGGCTGAGGCAGGAGAATCGCTTGAACCCGGAAGGTGGAAGTTACAGTGAGCCAAGATTGTGCCACTGCACTCCAGCCTAGGTGACAGACTGAGACTCAATCTCAAAAAAAAAAAAAAAAAAAAAATCCTCAAGACTGGCCACTCCATACAATAGGATTCTTTTCTAATCTCATCAATCAGAAAAATCACTCTGCCACTCATGGAGTGAGTCGGAGGAAAGGCAGAGGATATAGCAAAAATTACTCCCCAAAACTTGTTCCCTCTTGGGGAGTGAAGTGCCCACTTAACAGGCTGAGGCTGAAAAACAGAGCAGGAAAGAATGATGTTCCCTAACATGTATATTCCAAGGTACATTATCTTTAATCCAACAAACCTTTATTGCCACCTACTACAGCAGGTATAGTGCTAGATGCTAGAGATGTAACTATGAGTAAAATAGTTTCATGGAGTAGACAGATACATAAACAACTAATTAAAGTAGACTTCTGCTCGAAGCCATAATGGAGTAGCTGATATCAGACTCACCGTCCTGCCGTAAACAACTACAAAACTGGACAGAAGATACAATCCAACTGTTTTTAGTCAGGAGATAACAGGCAGGGCAAGGTTGCAATCCTGAGAAGGGAAACCTGAAGTGAGCCCCATAACTGCCCAGCTGTATGTTAAGGGACAATTTCCCAACCATGACATAGGAAGCCGGAACCCAAACAGAACACATGGGTCTCACTGAGCCCAGGAAGCGGAGATGTGAGTTTGGCTAGAAGGTGAGGGGTAAGAATTTGAGAGGAAGGAGCTGTGAAGAAAGGGGGCCCCAGAAGTCCAGTGGGAGGGTCCCCTGCCAGTCCGTGGCTAGACTACAAAGGCATGCGGCAAGACCACATGATGTTTATTAACTAGATGGTAGATGCTACAGGGCTGAGAGGGAGACTCACTAGAGGTCAAGCAGTGCCCTCTAGGGGGGCAAGAGGAGCATGCTGGAACTCTGGCCCTCTGCCAGAGTGAAGAGTGAAGCAATCACATTAATGCCATACACCAGCAGAGACACCAGAAAGGCCTCACCTTAGGAGTAAGGACCACACTCTAGAGCAAAACCTACTCTGAACCTCTCCTCACAAAGCCTAAGGCCACACAGAGTATAACATGGTATAATCATAGAGAGATGCATAGATATTATGAGAACATTAGAGAAGTCCACACCAGGGGTCTCAGGGAAAGCACGAGAAAGGAGCTTATGTTTATCTGAATTGGAATACATCAGGCAGAATGGTAATGCCATATGCAGAGAAATGGAGCCCTCTACACAGAAATGTGAGATGAACTGTGACATGCATGTGAAGGACAGAAAAGAATAGAGAATGACTTAGGCAGCCAGGTGCGGTGGCTCACACCTGTAACCCCAGCACTTTGGGAGGGTGAGGCAGGTGTTTGAGACCAGCCTGGCCAACATGGTGAAACCCTGTCTGTAGTAAAAATACAAAAATTAGCCGGGCGTGGTGGCAGGTGCCTGTAATCCCAGCTACTCAGGAGGCTGAGGCAGGAGAATCGCTTGAACCTGAGAGGCAGAGGTTGCAGTGAGCCAAGATTGTGCCACTGTACTCCAGCCTGGGCGACAGAGCAAGACTGTGCCTTGAAAAAAAAGAAAAATGACTCAGGGATTTCAACCTCAGAATATGGCTAGAGGTGGTCTTTTCATGGTTATAGGGAATAAAGGAAAAGAAAGGGGGTAAAAGATCACAGGTTCAGTTTTGCGATACTAAGTTAGAGGTAGCCATGAGACATCTTGGCTGGAGATGTGCAGCGTACAGATGGCTAAGTGGTCTGGAGCTCAGGAATAGCTATAAATTTGGAAGTAGTGAGCACACAGGTTACAAGTGAGGAATGAATGAGACTGCCCAGGGAGACCACAAGTGGGACAAAAAAGGGTGAAACAGAACCCTGACAAACAAAAGATGTAAGGGAGAGAAGGGAGTGGGGGAAAAATAATAAGAAAGTGCTGTGCATTGGCTAAGAGGAGGACAAAACAAAGCATGGTGTAACTTAAGGCAAGTGAGGAAACGGTCTCAAGAAGGTAATCAAAGGTGTCAAATGCAGTAGAGATGTTAAGTAAGGTAAGAAATAAAGGCGTCCAACTAGGAAGGTCAGTAGTTACCCTGGCAAAAGCCAAGGTTTGGGCAGAAGCCAGACCTTACTGAACTCAGAAGAGGATGAAGGTGGGAGAATGGAAATAGCAAATGTGGTCTACTCTTTCAGAAAGCTTCACTGACTGCAAAGATCAAGTCAGGGAACTGGACAGCAATCTTTCACGAAGAACAGTGCCTGCCTCAATAAATATTTATTGACTGAGTAAGTAATTTTAAAAATGAACAAAAGAATGAAGAAATCTATACCCATCCAGTTGTTTCTCTAGTCCTTGTCTCCAACTGTGTCAGTTTGTCCATCTATAAACTGAATACGTATTAGGCCCAAGCCAAGTTCCATTTCCTCCATGAAGCTTTCCTTGATTTTTCTAACCTTCAACAACCTTCTCTACTATAATAGAAAAGATGAATAATAACAAGTGTTGGCAAGGATGTAGAGAAACTGGAACCCCCATACTTTACTGGTGGAAATGTAAAATGGTGCAGCTGCTATAGAAAACAGTTTCTCAAAAAAGTTAAACCAAGAGTTACCATAACATCCAGCAATTCCACTCCTATATATAAATATATATATAAAAGTGAAATTTTATATATAAATTTATATACATATATAAATAATGGAATTGCTGGATCATATATATATTATTACATGTTTATATACAAATAGTGGAATTGCTGGATCATATATATTATTACATATATTATATATATGATCCAGCAATTCCACTATTTATATATGTAATATATACATATATAATTACATATAATTATACATATTATACGTGATTATATATAATCCAGCAATTCCATTTATATATAAATTTATTTCATATATATTTATATATAAATTGCATATATATTTTACTATAGTGCAATTGGATATATACATATAGTGGAGTGGAATTACATATATACATTATATATATATATACACATGATCCAGCAATTGTACTATTTATATGTAAATACATGTATTTATATATACAGATATCCAAGAAAATTAAAAACATATGTTCACACAAAAATGTATACATAAATGTTAAGAGCAACATTGTTCATAATAGCCAAAAAGTAGAAACAACCCAATGTCCATCAACTGATGAATGGATAAACAAAAGTGGCATATCCATAAAGCAGAATATTATTCAGCCATAAAAAGAAATGAAGTACTGATACCTGCTAGGATATGGATGAACCTTGGAAATATTATGCTAAATGAAATAAGCCAGACACAAAAGGCCACGTATTGTACGATTCCATTTATGAAATGTCCAGAATAGGCAAATCCATAGAGTCAGAAAGCAGATTTGTGGTTTCTAGTAGCTGGGGGAGGAGAGGATAGGGAGTGACTGCTAATGGGTACAGGGCTTCTTCTAGGGGTGAGAAAAAAGTTCTGGAATTAGATAGTGGTATATCTCAATTTTAAAAAACTTCTTGGCCAGGTGCAGTGGCTCACGCCTGTAATCCCAGCACTCTGGGAGGCCAAGGTGGGTAGAATGCTCAAGGCCAGGAGTTTGACACCAGACTGGCAACATGGCAAAACCCCATCTCTACTAAAAATACAAAAATTAGCCAGGTGTGGTGGTGCACCCCTGTAGTCCCAGCTACTCGGGAGGCTGGGGTAGGAGAATTGCTTGAACCCTGGAGGCTGAGGTTGCAGTGAGCTGAGATCGTACCACTGCAGTCCAGCCTGGGCAACAGAGTGTGACTCTGTCTCGAAAAAAAAAAAAAACTTCCTCTAATCTCTCTACTACAGAACATCTAAATTCTACCCATCTCTTTAGGACTACCTCTACTTGTTTGTATTGAATGAAATTACTGAGAGGTTCCTTGAAGACAGAGTCTCATCAACTTTCTCCTGGACTATTTCATTAACATGCTAATGGATACCCTAACCTCTAACCCTGACCTCCCTCCCTTTTCCATCCATCTCCATCTCCACAATTACCACTTTTCTATACTCCTGCAAAAATTATTCAGAAATTTACCAGTATTATAGTATATTTAATACAGTATTAATAGTTTTATATTTAATACTAGCATTAAAGTATTATAGTGTTTGCCTTAAGAGGTGCACAAGACAAATCCCTCGGGCATGAAAAGAAAATATTAGAACTCTTCATATTTGCTTCTGTCAATCCCTTTAACATTTTGTTTTTGGCATCTCTTACACATATATAAGACATTAGTATAAAATTACGTGTTATAATGTATAAATTTATATACAGGGGTACATTCTCAATTTTTCAATGGATTAAAGTGCATCATGAAAAAAATTTATAGACCATCTACCTAAAAAGTTTAAAATTGAAGCTTCTTAGCATAGCATACAAGATCCTTTGTGACCTAGCCACCACCTACCTCTTCTGGAGCTGCCATACCAGCTTTGCTCTTTATATTCCAGTAGTGCTAAACTGCTTGTGGAGTTTCTTCTATATACCAGGCTGTTTCACTTTTGTGCCTTTGCTCTTGCATTCCCATTGCATGGGAATACCCTTTGAATCCTTCAAATTCAACCTTCACAACTCTGTTCAGGCATCAGCTTCTCTAGAAGATGCTTCTCTAGAAAGAACTCCTTAGAGCACCCTCTTTGCCTCCAAGCTAAATGCTTCTCCTACGGTTCCAGTAGCACTCTGTGCGTTGCATCTTTTTTTTTTTTTTTTAAGAGACAGGGTCTCCCTCTGTCACCCACACTGGAGTACAGCGACATGATCACAGTTCACTGCAGTCTTGAACTCCCGGGCTCAGGTGATCCTCTCATCTCAGCCTTTCGAGTAGCTAGGACTACAGGTGCCCACCACCACCAGCTAATTTTTTTTATTTTTGTAGAGATGAGGTTTCACTATGTTGTCCAGGCTGGTCTTGAACTCCTGGCCTCGGGTGATCCTCCTGCCTCAGCCTCTCAAAGTGCTAGGATAAGCCAATGCACCTGGCCTCTACCTTTTCACTTGCTACTGGTAGTTATTCCAGAGAAAGGATTGTATTGTACTAATCTTTATTATCCTGGTGCCTAGTCTAGAAGCAGACTCCTAGTAAGTTCTCAAAAAATGGTTCTGAATTGAATAATTTATCTCTGTACTCAAAATACGTATTAACTAACTGTATAATCTCCTTCCCAGAGGTAGGGAAATGTCAGTACAAGTTTTCATAGCCAACTGTTAGCTCTGGGCCTAAGGACATTGGCTTCAGTGATTCTCCCTGTTTCAGATTTCTAGGGCCAATTAGGTCCTTGCATCCCCCACAAACATGCACACATAACTCTTCAGATGTATACATTCTTTCTTTGTATGTGTTAATATATTTGTTAAGATTTTAGTCAATCTTGTTGGTCTCAAAAGCATTGGTCTCCTTAAAGTGCCTTTCCATATCTCTGCTCTGATTTTGTTGTTTTTAAAGCTTAATTCTCAAAGAACAATTCCCTTATTGGTAATTTATTAATTTATTCAGTCAACAAATATTTTATGCATCTACTATGTGCCTTGGTACCCGCTAAGAATATCTAGCATAACTAAAAGAGGCAACATGTCTGCTCTCAAGAAGCTGACAATCTATTGTAGGAATTTCCAAAACTCCTGGGATCACTTCCTATTTGTCTCCAGATGAGAATCCCCAGGTCCAAAACACTATTTTTCAAGCCACTTAACAATAAAATTAAACAGAAAAATAGCCATTCCATGGCACACAAGGAAAACACAGACAGACCATCTTTTATCAAATTGTAATCAATGCTTTCTAACAGTAGGGCTTCAGTACTGAACCCAAAAGTGGAAATAAAAAAGCTCACCATGTCTAAGTCAACAGCTGCCTGGGGCTCTACCAAAGATGGAGCAAACTCCTAAGTGGTAAGCGGGAGTGGAGGATAACTGCAGAGCTGCCTTAATTTGGTTAGTTTTTCAGAAATAATCCATGAGCTAAATAACAGCAGGAATCAAGAATGTATTTTATCGGAAAAAAATGTAAACACTCAGGTAAACACTGAGTAAACTCATGAGTAGAGAAATACTGACTCAGGCTCCCACCAATAGGTTTTTGCTGTTATTATTTTGTTGTTGCTTTTTCAAGTAGGTTGTTTTCCCCCTTATATAAAAAGGAATACAAGTATACCAAAGAAAGGCCTGGAAAACACAGAAAAATATGAAGAGATAATAATTCCTCTAGTCAAAAAAATACATAAATATTTAGTTGTACATCTTGTTTCAGACTGTTTTCTATTACATAATTTTTTCTTCTTTTCACAAAATTGACAGCATATTGAATATGTAGTTGCATAACTTGATTTTATCATTTAATATTAGGAGCATTTTCCCGTGTACTTTTTTTTTAAATTATTAAACATTTTTTAATTCTAAAGAGACAGGGCCTCACTATGTTGCCGGCTGGTCTCAAACCCCTAGGCTCAAGCAATCCTCCCATCTTAGCCCCCGAGTAGCTGGGACTAGAGACGTGTGCCACCACACCCAGCTTTTCTTTTAAAATATGAATTTTAAGACTGGATAGTATCCCACCATGTGGAGATGCAAAGATTTCACCACTCTCCTATAATTAAGCAGGTTTCAGCAATATTTTGCAGCACAGAATAAATGACTGTTGATCAGTGCTCTCATTCACAACTATCTAAGTGTATCCTTCAGATAAATTCTTAAATGAAGAATTAAGTCGAAAAATATGAATTTTTTTAGGGCTCTTGATATTTATGCCAAGAAGTTCTCTTTTCAAACTCCTCAGCACTATATGAGGACAACCACATCACCCCTTGGCAGCACTGGATAGTTTTACTTTAATTTTCATCAATATGATAGATTTAAAAGGATATCTCATTTTAATCTGTCGTTTTGATTGGTAATGAGAACGAACATTTTAAATATATTCATTTTAACTTCTTATTTATGGCACTCTGTTTATGCCTTTTATTTATTTGTTCTTTTTTCCTTTCAGATGGAGTCTCGCTCTGTTGGCCAGGCTGGAATGCTGTGGTGCGGTCTTGATTCACTGCAACCCCCGCCTCCCGGGTTCAAGCGATTCTCCTGCCTCAGCCTCCTGAGTAGGTGGGATTACATGTGCATGCCATCACGCCCGGCTAATTTTTTGTATTTTTAGTAGAGACGGCGTTTCACTATGTTGGTCAGGGTGGTCTTGAACTCCTAACCTCAGGTGATCCACCCGCCTCGGCCTCCCAAGGTGCTGGGATTACAGGCATGAGCCACCGCGCCCAGCCCTATTTATTTTTTCTATTAGGATATTCCTTTTAAAAAAAAAATGGGAAGGAGCTCCAATTAAATCAAAGTATATAACAAATATGTCTGTCACATGTTGCTTGCATGTTCCCTCAATTTGAACATACATGGCTCTTGATCTTTTAATTTCCATGATAAAAGCTCCAAATTTTTCTAAAATAGAACTGGCATAACCTAATCCCCACCAGAACTACACCTAACACCACCACCTTTGCACTTCTATACTTAATTAGGGTGCTGTTTTTAAGCACCAAGCTCAAGGTTACTAAAGACTTGCACAATGAGCCTACAATGCTGTGTTTAACCAAGTGCTAGATTGGAAAGCACAGAAAGACTTGGAATTGCTTCTTCATCCTCTATACTTTGAATCCCTCAAATAGGAAGCTGCTTACCATGGTACTGGGTAAAAAAAAAAAAAAAATTGCCACCAGGCATGGTGGCTCACGCCTGTAATCCCAGCACTTTGGGAGGCCAAGATGGGCAGATAACGAGGTCAAGAGATGGAGACCATCCTGCCAACATGGAGAAACCTGGTCTCTACTAAAGATACAAAAATTAGCTGGGTGTGGTGGCATGCGCCTGTAGTCCCACCTATTCGGGAGGCTGACGCAGGAGAATCACTTGAACCTGGGAGACGGAGGTTGCAGTGAGCAGAGATCGCACTGCGCCACTGCACTCCAGCCTGGTGACAGAGTGAGACTCCGTTTCAAAAAAAAAACCTTTGGTCCTCCAAAACATCCCCTATGGTTGGAAGGCAGAGTACCAGAAGAGAAAGAGTATGAGCTCTACAGTGGACAAACCTGGATTTAGAATCCTACCTCCACCATGTTCTTGCTGTGTGACCTTGGCCAAGTCATTCTGCCTCTCTAGGCCTCAATTTCCTTATCTATAAAATGAGAAGAAAACTATCTATTTTTGGGTTATCATGAAGATTAAATGAGATAAGGTATGTAATGTTTACAATTAGGAGTCTGGTATGTGGTAGGTGTGCTTCAAAAAATGTGATTTACACCAGGCATGGTGGTTGGTGTCTGCAATCCCAGCTATTCAGTAGGCCAAAGTTGGAGGATCGACTGAAGCCAGGAGTTCGAGACCAACCTGGGCAAAACAGCAAGACCCCATCTCCTAAAAAAATGTACAAATTAGCCAGGCAGACGGGTGTAGTTGCTCACATCTGTAATCTCAGCACTTTGGGAGGCCGAGGCATGCAGATCACTTGAGGTCAGGAGTTTGAGACCAGTGTGGCCAACATGGCAAAACTCTACCTCTACTAAAATATAAAAAGGATAAAATATAAAAATTAGCCGGGTGTGGTGGTGTGCGCCTGTAATTCCAGCTACTCAGGAGGCTGCGGCAGGACAATCGCTTGAACCTGGGAGGCAGAGTTTGCAGTGAGCCGAGATTGTGCCACTGCACTCCAGCCTAGATGATGGAGTGACACTGTCTTAAAAAAAAAAAAAATTAGCCAGGCATACTAGCTCATGCCTGGAGGCTGAAGCAAGAGGACAGCTTGAGCCCAGGAGTTTGAGGCTGCAGGCAGCTATGATGGCACCATCGCACTCCAGCCTGGGTGACAAGACCCCATCTCTTTTTTTTAAAGAAGTGATTTTTCCCTATTCTGATGGTGCTAAATCAATTACTTATTTAATTCTAATGATCTTATATAAAATGTTGACCTGAAATAGTCAGCTGTCCCAGCAAAGCATCATCTGGGGTAAAAAAAAAAAAAAACCATGTAGATCAGCTTTCTGTCAAGTACAACTTCCACTGCTATAATTATGCAATCATCAACCATCACTGCAAGACAACAAAAACCCCAAAGCTGATGTTACTGAAATTGCTAAATACAATAATTACTAGGGTCTCAAAATCATGACCACCAATTCCTTTAGGAAAGCAACAGAAATCTTTGTAATTATAAGGGAAAAAGGCTGATTAGTTATCCCAGATGGTGGTCTCTACAGCAGAAGGTTTTTGGTCACTGGCCAGAATGGCAGCATACACAGAAATCTTTCTCATATTGCTGTTTTCTCACACTCATACTATGAAAGCACAATATCAACAAAAGAACTTGAAAGAAAGAAAGAAAGAAAGAAAGAAAGAAAGGGCATTCTCCTTTGAAATTTAGCCTTCTTGGCACTGATTCCTGGCAAGAGGCTTTACCCTGGTGAAATAATCTCTAGGAGGAAAGCATAGTCTAAAAAATCTATCAACATAGCCCCTCTCTATGGAAAAAGTAAGGAACGCATTTTTCCCATAAGTGTAGATTCCTTTAGGAAAGGAAAGGAAGCTCAAGACCAGCCTGGGCAAATAGCAAGACTAAGCACCCATGCTGAGTGCTGTGCTACATGCTTTAATTATACTATCCCTCAAATCAAACCATGAGGTAGATAATAACCCTTCCTCAAAGATAATAGGTAATTTGCTCAAGGTTTTATAGTCATTAAGTGGAAATACCCAGTTGACTTTTATCAAGTCTTAAAACGGTTGTGCCAATTCTCCCTTATGAAAAAGAATCCAATTTAAACTCTGGTTCCAAAACAAAACAAATAAATAAACCCAACAGACCTCAGTCACCAAAAGGATGACCATTTCTGTCAATTAGCAGATTGTTTTTTCTGCCTCCTAATAGTCCTTAAAATGAACTGAGGGACTCACATAAAATGCCCTTTTCTAAAAAAAAAAATCTTAAATCTATAAAGAAAATAGTACCTGTTGACAACCACAGAACGCTGAAGCAAAAGCAAGTATAAAACAGGTACAGGCTTCTCAACCACTTCGCAGATGTCTGCCAATAATATCCTGATAAAATCCAGGAAGCAGGATTTGGCTTGACTCCCAGCCTCTTCTCCATGGCCCTCCAGACAGGCAGAACCAGTACACTAGAAGGACAGAAAGAGAAGAAATTACATGCCGAGTAATTAATAATTAATTCCTGGAAATGTGGAATGCTAGAAAATATGACAGATTAGGGGAAAGAAAAATTTCAAGTTTGTCTTTAACGGCTCAACCCTGCCTATAAATTTTAAACCTGGGCTTTGAGGTAGCCTATAATTATCAGAATAACAACACAGCAAGGGATATCAAATGAATCCACTGAAAACTGAAACTTTATATTCCTTTTTTTTTTTTTAATCTAACAGTAAATCACCTATGTGGTAGAATGGAAAGAGTACCAGCCCGCAGACAAGAAGATCTCTGAGTTTTAGTTGCAGTTCTGCTACTAACAGCTTTGTGACTTTGACCAAACACACTTTCTTACTTTTGAGGAGAAGAGGTTGCACCCTCAGAGGTAAAGTAACCTGAGGGTTATGTCTGGCCCAGTATTTTTTAAATTTCTGAATGCAAATGTCTTTAGGCAGGGCATGCACTCTCCAGTCTGCTACTGTCTCCGCCCACCACTATTATCATGAAAATCTATTCAATTTACACCTCAATGCTACCCACCCCAATCCCTGCATTCAACAGATACTTACGTCAGGCACTATGCTGGCTACTCCAGAATCTAGGGGCTGGATTATTTAGGTCTCTTCCAGCAGAAAAACTCATTTACCATAAATTTCTCCCCTCATATAAAACTTTGCTATATTGTCTAAATTAGTACGTAAATATTGGCAACATTATGAGGGTTGACTGAGTTCTGAAGAAGCAATTCAAAAACTTCTGTCCAACTATGTACCTGTCATCTACATCCAGCAAACGACACAGGCTGCCAACCCCTAACTCCTATCCACGGCCAGCATACAGGGAGATCAGCATTGCCTGGGCTGGATACCAATACTGACTAATACCAAGAAACAGCCACAGACATACACACAGCTGCAAAACTAAGGTGCAGCCCACCCAAGAAAAGGCTTTTGCAGAACCACATGCATCTGAAGGACTTCATCGTTCTCATTCACTTCCATCCATTCCTATTTCTAGTTGTTTTGTAGTTGTATTTCAGGGAGCAGGGGGCAGAAAGGAGGTGTGTGGGCCAGAGACATGTTCAAGAGATTATGAAATGGAGCCTAAGTTAGAAAGTACATCCAGCAATTTCTCTAGCCTCCCAAGAGGGAACGAGTGAGTATGCATGTGTGCATGTATGGGTGTGTATGAATCTTACCCAACACATTTCTGCCTACCACAAAAGGATTTAAAACTCAAGGTGACTCAACAGCTGTCATCAATAGCCTGACAGGTGGGTGGGAGAAGCAGAAAAGAAATGAATAGCTTTTGAAAAATGGAGTAATAAACACCACTGGACTAACAAGCTGATTAGAAGTGCCATGTCTAATAAATCTTGCGTCTAAGAGAAAGGCAGAGTTAATTTCATTTGAACTCCTAACCAGTCATTCCTCTGAAACCTATAATTGCCTAAGGGCACAAATCACTGCTAGGGTCCAGTTAAAGGCTTGCTGACCAAACGCAAGAACAACAACACATCACCAAGATCCGAATAGTTTGTTACTGAATCAAAGGGTAACAACCCAGGGAGAGAACACACACCCCCACAATACTTGACAAATGAAAATCTAGAGAAGCTCACAATAGTTCTGGCATTTAGGGCGTTACAAGTACACCCAAAATAAAAGCACTCTCTGTTGCAGCAGCTGTTCAGACAGAGCAGGGGGTAATGTTTACTTAATACTTCAGGTTGATGGGGGATGTATCACAGTTCAGTCTGTCAACTACATACGTGGAACTCCATTTATGTACACAGCGATAAGATATGTTTGAACAACGATGGAGCACGTCTGAAACAATCTATTCAGTTGGTATGAGTAATCGAGAATAAAGCTCTTTTTTAAAAAGTCTCAGATATTTGGGAAAGTTACAGAACAGACTGCCATGAATAGCTTTGCTTATATTTGCAGACACTGTTTTCCAAATAGCTGGAAAAATGAACAGATTGTTCTGGGAGGTCGTCTTTCCAATTTGTTCCTAGTTTTCAGTCTGTTAATCACAGGAGAGAGCACAAGGAGAGTCAGCTAATGCTCTTCACTAACTGCAACTACTGTCAGTTGGACACAACCACTATGAGACCAGAAGCCAAAGAGTTCCTGGAATCCCGCCAGAGGTTATCAATTTTGACTTCCTTCATTTCACCTTTGTGCTCACTGCAGCCACTACAGGACCCTCTGTGGGGCATAATTTTCAAAATCGTGGATGAGGCAGGTTTCACATTATAATGGACACATCGTGCTCAACCCCATCCCCTCTTCATTCTGCACCAACTTTCTATCTCGGTGGAGAGACCAAACATCAGAGACAGCAACTAAAGACTAGGCTGCAGAGGTCGAAGGTGGAAGAAGGACGGCAGCGCCCCGAACCCCGGCTGTCTGCCTGGCTCTCAGGGGATGGAGGGAGCTGCATGACTAGGCCCAGGCCCGAGAGAAGCGGGGTTCAGCCTGGGACCCAAGCTGCGCACCTGCAAGGACAGAAGCAGCTGGCTGCCCTGGCCGAGCCAGGGGCGCCACCTCCGGACCCAACATCCGGCCAGCGCAGCCGCTGACATCGCCCGTCCCGCTTGCCCCTCCCCTGAGCCCATGGTCCTCGGCCTGGCAGCCAGCCGCCCCCGGCCACCTACCGGGGCTCAGGGCCACATAGCGGGGCCCCGGCTCTCGGCGGCCTCCGCCTCCTCCTGGTCCATGGGCTCGGGGACCCCCAACCTTCGCTCCCCTCACCCGGAGGAGGAGGAGGAAGAGGAAGAAGGTAGTGCGGGCTCCCCACCCGGACAGCTACCTCTCGCCTCAGCCTCCCTGGACAGCGACGGCGGCCGGAAACACCGCCTCCTCCCACCTCCCCGGGACCGACCCGGAAACACACTCTCCATGCTAACCAAGCCCTCCCGCCCCTCCCCCGGGAAGGGCAATGCCGGCCGCGAGACCAAGGGGGAGGAGGGGCAGTGCTGGGCGGGTAAAACTACGCACAAGCGAAGGAATCTGGGCCCCCAGCCTCTCGCCGCCCGCTCTCCAGAGGCAGTCTGCACCTTGCCTCCTTCGCTCGAGCCCCAGCCCCCAGACTCGGGCAATACCCACAAGCAAGATGGCGGCAACGGCGGCACCCCCTACTGCTTAGCACCCTGACTTGCCATTGGCCAGAGCCCGGAGTGAAGCAGCCGCGGATTCGTCAAGAGCGGTGCGGGGGTGGGGGTGGAGCTGCAGCAGCCTGGAGCCAGGAGTGGGCAACGCGGCGTGAGCAGCGGCCCGAGGCTCCCGGAGCATCGCGCTGGGAGAAGACTTCGCCGCTCGGGGCCGCAGCCTGGTGAGCTCAGCCCCCTTCGGGCCCTCCCCTGCATCCCAGCCGGGGCCTCTCCGAGCCGGCGCTGATCGATGCCGACACACCCCGGGGACCCTATCGCGACTCCATCGCGCCATATCGCGACACCATCGTGCCCTGTCGAGACTCCATTTTGTCACAGCCCTTTTCAATATATATCTTTTTTTTTTTTAATTTGCCCTGTCATCTTTGGGGGCTGTCTCCCATGTCGTGATTTTGACGTGATCTCTCCGTGACATCACCGCGCCATCGTGAAGTGTGATCTCATCGCCGCCCTGTCGTGACTTCATCAATGTCGTGTTGTGACCTGGCTGCGGCGGGACAGGTGGTGACCGCCAGGAACCCTCCTCCCCTTCTCATCTCCCCATCTCAGCAGCCCTGCTTCGATTATCCGGCTTTTGGATTCTCCGTTGTCCTGGGAACTATCCGGGACCCCCTCTTGCTTCTCCAGCCCCTGCCGGCATCCACAGGCTGGTAGCGGGACGGGGAGGGCGAGAAGAGGGAGCGCAAGGGGTTAATTCTGCTGCTGCCGCCGCCGCTGCTGCTGCTGCTGCAGCCTCTACCCGAGGGAGGGAAAGGAGAGGAGGCAAGGAGCCTGCGGGGGCGACTGAGAGCCCTGGCTGGAGGGGTGGGGTCCCCAAAGGGGCCTCCAAGCCTTCCCTGTTGAGCGTCTTGTATTCTCACTTCTGAAGCGTATCTCTGCCTCTGAAGAAGGGAGGGGAAAGGAAGCCTGGGGTGTCCTTTTCTCCCATGTCAGCCTGAGTCCGGATAATCGAACTTCACCCATGTATGTCTCCATTTCTCCCTGTCTGTCCTCACCACTCACTCCCTCTGTGTCCCTGTGGAGGGAGATAAAACCCAGCCTCCGGTGCCAGGGGGACAGCTGAGCAGTGGGGCCAGCTCCCGCCCACCCCCAGGAGACTGGTGAGGAGAGCTGTCCGGCTGAGCAGCAGCATGCATGGTCCTTCTTTCCCGCTTTCTGGAGGTGACCTTGGACCAGGGTCCCTTCTTTATCCCTAAGGATTTGCAGATCCAGCCCCTTAAAGGGGCTTCTGGGGGGAGGTCAGTCCTGAGGAGTCCACCCCTCCAGATTCTCTCCTCCCCTCCCTCTGTGCTAATCCCTCCCTCCCTCCATCCTCCACTCTCACCCCCACCCCACCCCCGTCCCTCCTCTGCAGAGGGATGCTCAGTCCCTCTTGTGTTCACAGTTGGGCAAGGCGAGCATCATGGCCTCGGATTGCGAGCCAGCTCTGAACCAGGCAGAGGGCCGAAACCCCACCCTGGAGCGCTACCTGGGAGCCCTCCGTGAGGCCAAGAATGACAGCGAGCAGTTTGCAGCCCTGCTGCTAGTAAGGAACTGGCTGAAAATTGGGAGGTGGGAAGGGCTGGGTGGTTGGGCCCCCAAGGAATGGGGTCAGTGAGTCCCCAAGGATATGTACGTAGTGCTAGCAACCCTGGAGGCACCAACGAAGGCCCAAGACCCCTACCTTTGTGCTCTTTTTTGCTCCCCCTGAGAATGGGGGCAAAGAGGAGAATGGGACTGAATAAGGCTGTGGCACTAGGGGCTGCCTGGGTCTGTTTTCTGGGGCGTCCCAGAGCAGATGGAAGCTGACTCATAGGGTAACAGCAGCAGGTAGTAACTAGTGCAGAGTACTTGAGGGCTGGGGATGGTTGTTCTGGGCCTGGAGAGAGTAGCAGGGCTGGAAGTGGCTGGGGAGGGGTCCTAGGGGAAGGCCAGGATGGCAGTAGGTAGGTTAAGGAATGGGAGCTAGTTTGGGGCTTAGCCTTTTTGGAGGAACCCAAGCTGGGGACAGCAGAGCAGAAGCTGCAGTGCTAGGAAGGGGGGGTTGTGTGTGGGGGGTGAAGGGAGGAGGGAGTACAGCCGCTGCTTGTTTGCCATGGCAACAAGGAGAAGGCTCTGGAGTCAAGGGCTCACACTGCAGCAGAGGAGGTGTTTAGGTGAAATGTAAGGGGAAATGTTTTGACAGGCGGAGCGGCGAGACACAGGAGCCATTTCCCCTGAGAAGGTGGCAGAAATGGATCAGGGACTTCTCTGGAGGGAGCAATTAAGGAAGGACTTTAAATCCTTGGGAGATCTTAAAACATTGAGTTCTAAGCCCCTTCCATCCCAGGTTGTGGGCATTTAGACATCAGGAAGAACTTCTCAACTGGCCAGGTGTTGAAATGCTCAAATGAATGGTTGAGGAAGACTAGACCTCACTTCCATGGGACAGTCACAGATGAGAGGGATCCCAGAGGTCACATTTATCTGCCTCTAAGGAGAAAAAAGGAGCTGGATGAAATGACCTCAGATGAGTCCTGTTGCATAACCTCATCTTGCTAGTCCTCAGTGCCCCAGGATGCAGGAGAGGGACAGTCTTTCCCACTTCTTCCTTTCATCCTGATGATAGCACATACCCCCTATAGGTGACCAAGGCAGTCAAAGCAGGTGACATAGATGCCAAAACTCGGCGGCGGATCTTCGATGCTGTCGGCTTCACCTTCCCCAATCGTCTCCTGACCACCAAGGAGGCGCCGGATGGCTGCCCTGACCATGTTCTGCGGGCTTTGGGTGTGGCCCTGCTGGCCTGCTTCTGCAGTGACCCTGAACTGGCCGCCCATCCCCAAGTCCTGAACAAGATTCCCATTCTTAGCACCTTCCTCACAGCCCGGGGGGACCCGGACGATGCTGCCCGCCGCTCCATGATTGATGACACCTACCAGTGCCTGACGGCTGTAGCAGGCACACCCAGAGGGCCTCGGCACCTCATTGCTGGTGGCACCGTGTCTGCCCTATGCCAGGCATACCTGGGGCACGGCTATGGCTTTGACCAGGCCCTGGCACTCCTGGTGGGGCTGCTGGCTGCTGCCGAGACACAGTGCTGGAAGGAGGCGGAGCCCGACCTGCTGGCCGTGTTGCGGGGCCTCAGTGAGGATTTCCAGAAAGCTGAGGATGCCAGCAAGTTTGAGCTCTGCCAGCTGCTGCCCCTCTTTTTGCCCCCGACAACCGTGCCCCCTGAATGCTACCGGGATCTGCAGGCCGGGCTGGCACGCATCCTGGGAAGCAAGCTGAGCTCCTGGCAGCGCAACCCTGCACTGAAGCTGGCAGCCCGCCTGGCACACGCCTGCGGCTCCGACTGGATCCCGGCGGGCAGCTCCGGGAGCAAGTTCCTGGCCCTGCTGGTGAATCTGGCGTGCGTGGAAGTGCGGCTGGCACTGGAGGAGACGGGCACGGAGGTGAAAGAGGATGTGGTGACCGCCTGCTATGCCCTCATGGAGTTGGGGATCCAGGAATGCACTCGCTGTGAGCAGTCACTGCTTAAGGAGCCACAGAAGGTGCAGCTCGTGAGCGTCATGAAGGAGGCCATAGGGGCTGTTATCCACTACCTGCTGCAGGTGAGGGTGCAGTGACCCACAGAGGGGGCCCAGTATGGGGGGAGCCAGTGCTGGAGCTGGGAGGCAAGGGGGAGGAGAATAATGGGGAGACAGCGAAGCTGCATGTCCACACAAGCTGATACTGTAGCCAGCACTCCAGGGAGTAGTGTGCGGCCCAACCTCCCTCTCTCTCCCTCCCTCCACACAAGCACCATACCACACACCATATGTGCACTCACATCACAGTACACACACACGCACACACACACAACACAGTAACCTCCCACTCAAACGCTCCCCCCAATACACACACACTACACGCCACACACCTCTCCCCAACACATGCACACAAGATTGAAGCAGTCTGTTCTGCTCACTCCATAGCATTGTTTTATACACGCACACACCCGAACTTCTAATGGTGCAGGGAAGAGAAGCAGGGCTGCCTGGTTCCTGGCCTCTATAGAGGTCTGGCTAGATCAATTCGCCTGCCTCCCCTACATCCCCTCCTGCCTCCCCGCCTGAGAGGCCAGCTGTCCTGTCCCACAGGGATTCAGTCATGACTCTGGTCTCTTTAATGGCCTGCTCCAGCCACCGAGCTCACCAGCCATATATTCCATGCACCACGCTAAGCTCATGTCTTTTTTCTGACTTAGCACAAAAGAGAGCATCCCCTCACTCCCACCATTGGGAGCAGTTACACAGTAGCCAGGAACCTGCCCTCCCACCCCAGGTCAGAGCTGCTGTAAAGGGTGTTTAACTTAGCTTTTGACCTATGAATTTCCTTCTAGCCTTGAGACACTCCAGAGGTAGGGAGTTAGGGAGATGTGACTGGAGCCTCAGCGAGTACGGGGGCATGTCACTCAATTCACTCAGGCCCAGTTCACTCAGCAGACGTGTGTGGAGGGCCTGGCTCACTCTGTGCCAGTCCCTTGTGTGCGTCCCTACCACATGCTAGGTGCTGGGTTCATGGGACAGAATAAAGGTTGGGGCCTGCCTTTGAAAGGCTCACAGGCCAGAATTTCCTTCTAGTTGTATTATTTCTAGCTGGCTGGCCTCTGGCAAGGCAGGGAGGGTCCCTGGTCCTGCTCCATCTCAAGGGGGTCCTGTGGCAACAGGTGGGGTCAGAGAAGCAGAAGGAGCCCTTTGTGTTTGCCTCGGTGCGGATCCTGGGTGCCTGGCTGGCCGAGGAGACCTCATCCTTGCGTAAGGAGGTGTGCCAGCTGCTGCCCTTCCTCGTCCGCTATGCCAAGACCCTCTACGAGGAGGCCGAGGAGGCCAATGACCTTTCCCAGCAGGTGGCCAACCTGGCCATCTCCCCCACCACCCCAGGGCCCACCTGGCCAGGAGACGCTCTCCGGTGAGTCTGTAGTTACAGTCTGTCCAGCTAGATCATTCTACCGAAAAGCGTTAACACAAGGACACCCCTCCCCACAAACTGAGCTGTGCCAGGCTTCCTGATTGGGCCATGAGATATCCCTTAGGGTTATTTCTGTTTTGGGGGGCTTGTTCCCACAGGACTCCTCGGCTGCCAGGTGTCACTTGCCAACCCCAGATTTCTCAGTTAAAAGAGAACTTATACTTATTGAGCACCTACTACGAGCCAGGTATTTTGCTATACCCTTTACCAAAATGATCTCATTTGGTCCACGTGGTAAATATAACAGAAGTCTCATTCACATATGAAAGATTAGGAAACTGAGGCTCATAGAGATTAAAGTCACTTGCCCACAGTCACACTTTGTGGCAGAGCCCAAGTTTGGTCCTGGGTTGTGCGACTCTGAAGCTTGTACTTTTTCTGTGGTACCTGCGAGGATGTGTCCTTCTCCCCTACTTCCATTTCTCTTAGGCAAGGTGCCCTAAAAAGGGAATCTATGTGCCTTCATCTCTCCCAATCCCACACACGTCTGTCCCTTCCACATCCCCAGGCTCCTCCTGCCTGGCTGGTGCCACCTGACCGTTGAAGATGGGCCCCGGGAGATCCTGATCAAGGAAGGGGCCCCCTCGCTTCTGTGCAAGTATTTCCTGCAGCAGTGGGAACTCACATCCCCTGGCCACGACACCTCGGTGCTGCCTGACAGCGTGGAGATTGGCCTGCAGACCTGCTGCCACATCTTCCTCAACCTCGTGGTCACCGCACCGGGGCTGATCAAGTGAGGGGCTCGGGAGAGGTGGGGGAGGAGGCCGGAGGAGGCAAAGGAGGCTGCCCAGTTGCCTCAATTCTCAGTCTCCTACTTTGCCCCCCATGCCCATGGATTTGTTAGTGGTAGCATGGGGGTCTCAGAGTAGACATAGCCAGCCCCGCACAAGGATTCGGCATGCTGGAACCCCCAGGTACTGTCTCAGCATGTCTGCTTGTTCCAATCTCTGCCCCCCAGATGCTATGTTTGGGGCCCAAAGTTAATCACCCTACTGCCTAATTTCTTGCCAAGGGCTTGATTTGGCTGTACTAGACCCCCACCTACCTCCATCCTTCCCCCCTTTCTTTTCCAGGCGTGACGCCTGCTTCACATCTCTAATGAACACCCTCATGACGTCGCTACCAGCACTAGTGCAGCAACAGGGAAGGCTGCTTCTGGCTGCTAATGTGGCCACCCTGGGGCTCCTCATGGCCCGGCTCCTTAGCACCTCTCCAGGTAAGAACTGGGGATCCAGTCCTGATGGGTGAGGACAGAAGACCTGGGTGGACCTCCTGTGTTTGGGGCAAAAGTCACCATTTTTAGAAGATGGTTTTGCAGCATTTTCTAAGCAAGAGGAAATCTTTGCAGTGTATCTCCATCCCCTACCCCCACCGTTCTTCCCAAAATGCTAACATTCTCTTTCTTCTGAAGACTTTTAAGGCAAAGTCTGGTGGGTGTTAAGTACAGACCTGCTCACAGGCACAGGCATAGGCACCTGGAATCCCTGGCAGCCAGAGGAATCTGAATCCAGTGTTTTCAAGGTGGAGCCGCCCCCACCCAGGCCTTGAGTCAGAAACCTGACTTCCTTCCATTGATGTTTTTCTCTGCTCTGCTCGGTACCTCACCCCCATCAGTGACAGCCTTCAGCACTTGGTGTCCCTCTATGCACACCTTCTCCCTAGCTCTGCCTCACTCTGGCTGTTTGCAGGGGGAGGGACGTCCCCTCCAGCCCCTGGCAGCCCTCCGTGTCTCCCTCTTTGGCTGTGGGTGTCTGCTTGGGTCCCTCTGTCCCTGCCTGTTCCCTGTGCCCCATCTGTCAGGTTGGAGGAGCTGAGCAGATGCCTGGGAACAGGGCGTAACATGCCCGTACCTTCCACTGCCTCTGTGTTCCTTTTGAGGGGTTCCCAGCAGGGTACCCCGTCATGGGAAGGGGTGCACATCCCTGTACACCAGGAGCCCACTCTGCACTCTCAGTCCCAGGCTGCATCTCTGCAGCCCCCAATTTCATGGTCCCAGTTCTGGCTCACCCTCAAATACCACCAGGTTAGGTTGACAGCTTCCTGGAGAGCACCTGCAGTGTGAGGGTCACCCCTTGAACAGCCAGTAAGCAAAGCAGGGTCACTTGCTTATGTTCCTCTCTGGCGCCCTCTTCTGGCCCAAGGATCAAATGGTGCAACTCCCTTAACCTGTGTCTGAGCTCTGTGTCCAGAACCCTGAGGGGTTCTCTCTCCCATCTGACCCTGTGACTCACCCCCACCTCCAGTGCCGGTAGAGGTCTTGGTGGTTGAGTGTACCAAGATGATCACATTTAATTCTCACAACAAATTTCTAAGATGAGCACTATTGGCCCATTTTACAAGTAAAGAAACAGACCCAGAAAAGTTAATTACCCAAGGTCACACAGTGAGCATCTAAGGCAGGGTTTCAACGCAGGCAGTCTGATTCCAGGCTGTGCCCTGGCTCCTGCATGTGTCTACACAGAGGACTAGGGAAGGGTCTGACACAGCAGCTGGCCTGTCCGATTCATGCCCCACTCCTTCCGTTACCTTGCAGCTCTTCAGGGAACACCAGCATCCCGAGGGTTCTTCGCAGCTGCCATCCTCTTCCTATCACAGTCCCACGTGGCGCGGGCCACCCCGGGCTCAGACCAGGCAGTGCTAGCCCTGTCCCCTGAGTATGAGGGCATCTGGGCCGACCTGCAGGAGCTCTGGTTCCTGGGCATGCAGGCCTTCACCGGCTGTGTGCCTCTGCTGCCCTGGCTGGCCCCCGCTGCCCTGCGCTCCCGCTGGCCGCAGGAGCTGCTCCAGCTGCTAGGCAGTGTCAGCCCCAACTCTGTCAAGCCCGAGATGGTGGCCGCCTATCAGGGTGTCCTGGTGGAGCTGGCGCGGGCCAACCGGCTGTGCCGGGAGGCCATGAGGCTGCAGGCGGGCGAGGAGACGGCCAGCCACTACCGCATGGCTGCCTTGGAGCAGTGCCTGTCAGAGCCCTGAGGGGTGTCCACCGGGGACAGACCCAGGGGCGGGCAGAGAGGGAAGGAGGGAGGAGGCATCTTCCCTGAAGCCCCCAATCTGGCCCCCCCCTCCCCAGACTTCCTCCCCAAAACACCCCAGCTTTCTGGCTTTTCTGAGGGCAAGGGCATGGTGCCCACCCCTCAAGTGTAAGGAACTGCGTTCCGCCCCTCAGGCCCCCATGGGGGCAGGGATCGGCTTGGAAATCAACGTGGTTGTCCCCGCCAGGCCGGGGAAGGTTGGAGCAGCCCCCAGGGAGGGGGGCACTAGGTGTCATTGTGCCCGATGTCTGGCTCCCCTGCAGGAGGGAGGCTCCAGGGTAAGACAGGGCTGGCAGGAGCAGACTGCCTCAGCCCATGTGCCCTGCCGGCCAGGGCGTGGGCTCCCCTCGGCTGTGGTGCCTCCTCTGGCCCCCCAGGTCCACGTCCTTTAAATTGGCCCTTTGGCTCTTGCCCTTGGCTCCCTTGGGCAGACAGCAGGCTTAGGCCATTGATATCGCAGTTCTTCCTATCAGCTTCAGTGACCCAGGGTCTGAACTGCCTCCATCCTAGGGCAACCTGGGGCAGACAGGCCTGGTGGGGGGTGGGGAAACCTCCTTCCACCTGAGCTTGCTTGAAGGGACCCAGAGTCTTTGGGCCCAGATCTTTAAACCTTTGTGTCGTGTTGCAGCAGAGTGACGATGGGGGTTGGGGGGTTATTTATTTTGCCTGTCCTTATCCCTGCTTGGACACCTGAGCATCTGATTCCTGTCCCCCTGGTGCCATCTGGCCTGGCTGGAGCCAGGAACAGGAGGGACACTTCCCCAGAATCCGCATGTTTCCCCAGTGATTACACTCCACTGCCACCGTGGTGCCTGGCTTTAACTCCCACCCCTGCTATGACTCCTCTCTGCAGAGACGCGACTGGCGGCTCCAGCAGGGACTACCTTTCTTATAAACCCAGGGGGACCACACACACACACACACACACACACACACACACACACACACACACACACACTCTTGATCCCTTGCTTCCCTCCCCCAGTGCGTTCTGTGATCGCCAAGTTCAAAGCTGTGCACATGTGGACACTCAATAAATGTTCATTGGTGACGAGAAGCCTCCTGCGTGGTCTGCCCTGCACCTGCTCTCTCCCTTCCAGGCTCCATCAGTTCACAGCTACCAGGTGCTGAACACATGCCCTGCTAAACACATCATGAGACCTCATTCAGCCCTTCCAAGAATCCTCTGAAGGGTTCTGATTTTACAGACAAAGCAACTTTGGCATGGATAAGTGATTGGCTCAAGGTGTTGCCGCTAGTCAGTGCCAGAGCCAGGACTCCACACAGGCCATCCGACTCCCCAGCCCACATCTTTCACTTGTACAGCAGATTGCCAAACTCATGTTGATGTGGCCAGGCCTTGTGGGGGCTCTGGTGCTCTCAAGTACAGATGAAACACTGCACCCCCGCCCCCATGTCACTGGGTTGCTGCCAAGTGGCCCTGCCATATCCTCCCATTTTTAAAGAAGTCAGGAATCCTAATTTGTATGTGAAACCCAACTTTTGAATGTCAGTAACTATCTTTAATTAAATAACTACTGATCCAACAAAACATGCAGTCCAAATGTAGCTTTCAGGTTACCAGCTGTTGATCCTGTATGCCAAATGAGAAGCCAGAGGGCCTGCAAGCTTCAGCAGATGAGCCAAGTACCCACTATGGGTACTTCACCAGTCCTGAGCCAAAGCTGTGAGGTTGGAGCCAGACAGGCCCCAGACCCATACCCTCCGCAACCTCCTCCACCTAGGCCCTCAAACCTATAAGCACGTGCTGAGCATAGCCTATGTGCCCACCTGTGGTTGGCTATGCATAGACAGGAATATTTATTTATTGACTGGTTGTACTGAAAGCCATCTTCTTAGCATGGATTCTCTGGGGTAAATATGAAAAGACATAGAGGCTAGGTGTGGTGGCTAACGCCTGTAATCCCAATACTTTGGGAGTCTGAGGTGGGAGGATCACTTGAGCCCAGGAATTCAAGATCAGCCTGGGCAACACAGTGAGACTCCATCTCTACAAAAGAAAAACAATTAGCCGGGCATGGTGCCTCGTGCCTGTAGTCCCTGCTACTCCCGAGACTGAGGCGAGAGGTTCTCTTGAGCCCAGGGGTTTGAGGTTATAGTGAGCTATGATCACACCACTGCATTCCAGCCTGGAAGACAGGGTGAGATCCTGTCTCAAAAAAACAAAAACAAAAACAAAAAAACTGTAAGCAGTGGCTTCTATGTAGGTCCAAACACAGTGTGGCTGGAGCATGCGAGCCCCTCAGACTGGCCAAACGATTGCAGGAAAACTTACAGCAACTATGTGCTCTGAGACTTCAGGGTGAGGAGGGGCTTGCCAGGCAGACACGAAAAGGAACAGCAAGGTCTGAAGGCATGCAAGCTTGAGAACTACGAGTAGTTTCGCATTCCATGGTGTATAGAGTGTGAAGTGTGGAGTGGTGGAAGATGAGGTTGAACCAGCAGGCATGGACCAGATCCTACTGTGCTGTGCTCAGAAGCTTAAACGTGGAATCATGCTGAGAGATCAAATTGCAGTTTTGTTTTTTTTAGAAGCAGGGTCTCACTCTGTTGCCCAGCCTGATCTCGAAACTCATGGCCTCAAGTAATCCTTTTGCCTCAGCCTCCCAAAGTGCTGGGATTGTAGGCATGAGCCACCATCCCCGGCTAGACTGCAGATTTTTTAGCAGATTGAATGTGATCCCGTTTGCATTTTGGGAAGATGAGGCACTGCAAGAGGAATGGCTGAGCCAGGGAGCTCAGAGAGGAGATGCTAAGTCTGAACTAAGCCAGTGGCAATGAGGCTGGAGAAGATACAGGTAGGAGTTAATAGGACTTGGTGATTAACTGGAAGTGAAGAGGGGTAAAGAGAAGGGGAGTAGAACCAAGGATGACTCCCAGATTCCTGATCTGGGAGACTGAGTGGATAATGGGGCATTCACTGTCACTGGGAACACTGGGACAGAGACAGATTTGTGCATACCATACACAACTCAACTTGGTAAATGGCGAATTTGTGCTGCTCATGGTATATCCAAGGGGTAGTTGCTTTCTATGGTCTGGAGCTCAAGAAAAGTCTGGGCAAGTGACAGATTTGGGAGCTGTCAGTATAGAGGGTCCCTAAAGTCATGGGAGGGACTGAGATCATCTGGGGAAGTGAAAAGAGAAGAGAAAGGTCCCAAATAAAGTGACAGCCACCCATGGTCCCTGCTGTCAGGGTGCTCTCCCTCCCATAGTGGAGAAGTCAAACCCTGCAAAGCTTCCTAATACAAGGCAGACAGAGTTCTGTGCTTAAATGAGGTATGGTCAGAGAGTTCTGGCTTGCTCTTGGTATTTCAGCGGAGTGGGGAAAAGGGAGATCTGAGCTGCAGTTGTGAGATCTAACCACGAGATGGCGCCTTGGCATCTCCTTGTGCCAGATTTCCCCACCCTGCAAACACTCAGCCTGGCCTGGAGCAGGAGGTGATCAAAGGCTGGGAGGATGAGGGTGGCTGTGTCAACAATAAATGAGGCAGATCAGAGTTTTTTCTTAACATAAAATCCAAATGCAAGCTCACTTTTTGAAAAGAGAAGGAGCCTTGGAGAAAAGCAGTATGCCAAGTGTGCCAAATGGGAGTCCACGTATGTTTGAGCATGCAACTCTATGTCAATATATGTCCCATGTTCCTATGTGTACTTGTGTTTCCCATGAATGTCTCTGTGCAAGTTGTGTGCCCCATGTTCCCAAGGCTGTCTGCATGTGTACCCCACTGCACCCCAGGCCTCCACATGTGTGCATGTGTCCCAGGGAGCAGACAACCAGAAATCTCCACCTCCATGCCTCAGAGAGTGAGGAGTCCCTTGGCACTGAAAGAAGTAGTCCTGAGTCTGAAATCATGGGACTCTGATGTTTTAGGGAGACTCAAAGCAGCAGCAGACCATGGAGAACATCCCTCTCCCCAGTAGCCATAATCAAAATCACTCACTTATCAGATGATCTCTTCAGATTATACCTGGGTTCTATGTGTAGATACCCAGGATCATGTTCACATAGAGCCTTCCTAAAGGATCCCTTAATAGGCCAGTGGATTCATAACACCATCCATTGATGTGTTTATCATTTACAGTATTTAATAAGCATTCATTGAGTTCCTGCCATGCCCCAAGCACAGCGCTAGATACATTTTCTGTTTCTCCTTTAATCTTGTGAAGCAGTTCCTGAAAGAGGAAAAGTAAGTTAGTCACAACTGCAGAGTCTGGAATGCTCATTAGAATGTTTAAACTTTTTTTCCCCCGAAGATGGGTCATGGGGAGCCCTAGGAAAGTTTTCAGTAGGGAGGTAACATGGTCCAGTCACTCTTGTGGAAGTTGGAAATTGATCAGAAGAGATATGAATAAAGTCAGGAGACCAGTTAGAGAATTGTTGCAATGGCCTAGATAGTGGTTCTTAAACTTTAATGTGCCTCTGAGTCACCTTAAGGACTTATTAATAACACAGGTTGCTGGGCTCCACCCCCAGAGTTATTGACTCAGAAGGTCATGAGTGGGATCCAAGAATTGGGACTTCTAGCAAGCTCCCAGATATTGTTGGTGATGCTGGTCCAGGAACCACTCTTTGGCTGTGTTGCCCAGGCTGGTCTCAAACTCCTGGGCTCAAGGGACCACACTTTGAGAGCCACTGATCTATGAGTAAGAGTAAGGTAGTTTAAGGTGCTGAGACAGGGTGCCATGTGCCCTCTGGGATACCTGCCTCAATTCTCCACCACATACCTTCTGTGGGTGGATGTTTAAGGGTTAGAAATGGCAACACTCCATAAGGATTAGCTTGTGGGGGTTAAGGAAAGGACCTACGCTCTTCTGGGATGACTAGCAAGTTTTGAACTTGAAAAAGGGTGGTGTCATTTATGAAACTACAGAGCAAAGGAGAAGCAGGTTGGGGTTGGTGCTGGGGATAGAGGAGATGTTGAGTTCAGTGTTGGACTTGGAAAATTTCAGACAGCTGCAATGAGATGTCTGGAGAAAATACGCAGCTGGCAGCTGTGTCTATGGGTCTGGATCTCTCACTAGTGATTCAGGCCAGAGATAACACAGTTGGGAGATAACAGTAGACAGGTAGTCATTAAAGACTTGGGCCGGGCGTGGTGACTCATGCCTGTAATCCCAGCACTTTGGGAGGCTGAGGCGAGTGTTCACTTGAAGTCAGGAGTTCGAGATCAGCCTGGCTGACATGATGAAACCCTGTCTCTAGTAAAAATACAAAAGTTAGCCGGGCGTGGTGGTGGGCCCCTGTAATCCCAGTTACTCAGGAAACTGAGACATGAGAATCGCTTGAACCCGGGAGGTGGAGGTTGCAGTGAGCCGAGATTGTGCCACTGCACTCCAGCCCAAGCAACAGAGTGAGACTCTGTTATAAAAAAAAAAAAAAAAAAGACTTGAGAGGGGATGAGCTCACTCATGAAGAGTGCAGGAAGAAAAAGAAGCTTCTCTGCTCTGAGAAAGAATTACCGACATTAAGCATGTAGGTGAAAAGAGAAACAGAAAAGAAGACAGAAATGGTCGGAGTAGGACAATGAGGCAAAAAGGGGCTATCAAAGGTGTAGGAAGTAGATTGAGAAAACCCAAGGAAGCCACAGACAGGCAGCACATCCCGCCACTCTGGCCTTCCCAAGCTGCTGGAGAGAGCAGGGGCATCCCCGCAGCTGGGCACAGGCATCATCTCCTTTGCGGCTCCTAGACTTCTCCCAGAGGAGTTCATCAATTTCTATTCACGCACTGACACCTGTCCTGGAGCTTGACTTCTGATGCCCTGTGGCTGGGGTTGAGGGAGGGAGGAACAGGGCATTGCCACAGACTCCCTCATATATAGATACACACAAACACAATCCTGATCTCTGACCCATCTCGAGCAGGAAAGTTGCAAAGCTTCCCAATTCCGCTTCATCCTCTGGAACCTCGCTGGCGGTTCCAGACTTCAGAAAGTTCTTAATGATGAATCCTTGGCTTCTAGCCTCCTTCTTTCCCCACCACTCCCCAGGCTGAGATCATCCAGCCCTGAGCTCTGCACCTGCCATGTGCCTTCTGGGATACCCACTTGGAACCATATATTCCATGAGTTAATGGTGTCACTATCACCTCCTCTTCTATATCAATAATTTTACCTTAATCTTCTCATTTACTACTTCACTAAAAAGGGACCTAAAAAAACAACTAGTCTTCTCTGCCTTCCCCTACTTTTTTATTGGTGTTGTCGAAGTTGCAGAAACTGAGATCACAGAGGAAACGGGATGTAGCTAGGATCACACAGTTAGGCAGAGTCAGGACTAAATCCAAGCCCCTGAGTCTGAGGCAGTAGAGAATAGTGATTCTGAGCAGAGAGGGGCCAGGGGCAGATCACCCCAGCTCTGCCACTTAGCTGCTTGACCTTGGGCAAGCCATTTAACCTCTCCATGCCTCACCCCTCCCCTGAAAATGGGGATGATATGGGTATCTCTTTCATAGAGCTGCTGTGAGGGTTAAAGAACCCAATATTCGTGAAGCACTTTGCACAGAGGCTGGCACATTCTGTAATAAGTCTGCTGTGATTATTTCTACTTTGCCCTGGTCTGCACATCTTGCTTTTAAAAAACATCTTTCTTCTGCTTTCTTAATTCCTGTTCTCCTTAGCATTCCTCTCATTTGTCCATCTTTAATCCCTGTCTCTGCTTGTCAGGAGGGGAGGGTTGGGTTTGGGGAGAAAGAGAGAGTGACTACAGAGACTGGAACTTGCTTGACAGCCAGGGAGTGCCTGCCATGGTAACACAGGAACATGTAGCCTGCGCATGTTAGTGTAACAATCACACGGCATCCATGCTAGTCAGTTACACACAGTCACTCAACAGTCTCTGGGTATCTCATGCCCACACTCAATCAGCCCAGGACCCTGTGGCTTCAGAAATATCTTGGCCCCTTGTCAGGTGGAGCTCATACCCAAACCCATCCCAGGCAAGTCTCTCTCTCTGTCTGGCCAGCTTCTGTCTCCAACTCCCTCAGAGCCTGGCTTGGCTTGGAAGTTTTCAGCCCAGGAAGCCTGAGAGCGAAGTGGGCACCTTCGAGGGATTTTGATCCAGAACCATTCAGGAAAGACTGTGATGGTAGACCCCCTAAACACACGCACTGACACTGTGTGCGCATGAGCAGATAGGCTGGAGTCTTCAGCTCACAAACTTCTTCCACGTTCCCGATTACCCACCTCATCCAAAGTCTCTTGAGGTGCTTAGAGAAAGGATTGATACCTATTTTACCGAGGAAGCTGAGGCCAGCGAAGAATAGTGCTTTGCTTAAAGGCAAGGATGTGATAGAGCCAGGCAAATGTAGGGCCCTTGCGTCCCAGCCTCGAATATTTCTGTTTCACTGCAGCTGCGAGCTGCGAGCCCAGAAGGCGGCTCTGATCAATGTGGGCTGAATTCACGCCCCCTACCCACCCTACCCGATCCCGCCAAAGCCACTGCCTCCCCTGTGGCAGCCGCTGGGGAAAAGGGAGAGAACTGCCATAGCTTGTCTCTTTAATGCGCGCCCCCGGAGGCCCGGCGCGCCCCCGCCACTATAACTGGAGTGCATGGAGCAGGCTACGCTCAGAGGAGGAAGGGCGGGCGCTGGGCACCCGTTGACCGACTTTTCCAAGTGCGATCAGTGCCCGTCCGTCCTGCCTCCATGGACCCGCCCGGGAACGGCCACCGCTGAGGACCCCACGCCCACTAGGATCCCGGCTGGGTCGCACCCAGCTACCGCACCGTGACCTCCGCGGGCTGTGCCGGCTCCCGGCGCCTCTGCCCGCAGCGCTCGCCGTCGGGCTAGGGCTCCGCCGCCGCCACGCCTCGCGCCCGGCACTCACCGCCCCATGCTGGTGCACACCTACTCCGCCATGGTGAGTAGTCTCGGGCCCGGGACATATTCGGCCGGGGGATCGGGGCGCCTGAGTGCTGGACTTTCCAACCCTCCTGTCCCGCGCTAACGAAATCTCGGAGGGAGGGGGCCGCAGGGACTTCGCCAGCTGAGAACGCGATGCGCAAGTGACCGCTGTCCCCAGCCTGAGGCTCCTGCGCCCGCGGGTGGCTCGGAAATAAACCTCGGGCCCCAAGAAACGGGAGGGACTGCAGCTGAACCCTCCCGAGCTGAGGAGGATCCTTTCAGGCTGGGGTCCTTTCAGCTGCCAGTGGGTCACCTAAGGCACCCCTCTCCTTCCCCAGGAGCGCCCCGACGGGCTGGGAGCAGCTGCCGGCGGGGCCCGCCTGTCGTCTCTGCCCCAGGCGGCCTACGGGCCGGCGCCCCCGCTCTGCCACACGCCGGCCGCCACAGCTGCCGCCGAATTCCAGCCGCCCTACTTCCCGCCGCCCTACCCGCAGCCACCGCTGCCCTACGGTCAGGCGCCCGACGCCGCCGCAGCCTTTCCCCACCTGGCAGGGGACCCATATGGCGGCCTGGCGCCCCTGGCGCAGCCGCAGCCTCCTCAGGCCGCCTGGGCCGCGCCCCGCGCAGCCGCCCGCGCCCACGAGGAGCCTCCCGGCCTGCTGGCACCGCCCGCCCGCGCCCTGGGCCTTGACCCGCGCCGTGACTATGCCACTGCCGTGCCCCGGCTCCTGCACGGCCTGGCCGACGGCGCGCACGGCCTGGCAGACGCACCTCTCGGCCTTCCGGGGCTGGCGGCGGCCCCCGGTCTGGAGGACCTGCAGGTGAGACCCGAGGGATCCGGGATGGGTCGGGACTGGCCGCGGTGGTTTACTACCATGGCTGGAGGCAGAAGGTGACAAATGCAGGAAGCCGACTTTTCTCCCAGCTCGCCACATCTCACTGGTGACTCCGAGGATGTGTCCCACCTCCTGGGTTAGACGTTGCCTGGCCATCAAGGCTGCCTGGCACTGAGTCCGCCAGCAGTGCGTGGGTGGCAGCAACCCTCGGCAGGGACCGAATCACTTCTTTTCTCCCCGCTGCCACGTGTGGCATCCATGGGGCAGCCTGCACCTGGGGCGAAGAGAAGCATAATAGTTACCAGTGTAAGATTCAAAATTCCCTTTTTGCACTGCACAGTGAGATGCCCAGGGCTCCAGCTCAGTGCCTGGACATAGCGATTCCTGGGCCTGCCCGTCGCCGCCCCAAGCGAAGCTGGTGCGCCTTGGGCGGAGCAGACAGAGACCCTGGGTGGCAGGGGCTTGGGAAGACATGGGCGGCTAGGGCTTTATGCGCCCTCACCGCTGCCCTCTGCTATTTGCAGGCAATGGACGAGCCGGGAATGAGCCTCCTAGACCAGTCCGTGATCAAGAAAGGTAAGGAATGGTCTGTCAGGGCAGAGCCCGGCGAGATGGTGCAGGCCCTTGGTGCACAGATCCATTTTCTTCACCGGCCGTGCCTCCTGTGTGTCGCCAGGCTGGGTGTCCACCAGGCACTCTTCCTGGCCCAGCCAGATGTTAGGCAGACGTGCGGGCTTGGTGAGTTTGCCCAGCACCCTGTGGCCTGGGGTGGGCCTCAGCGGATCAGCATTCACTGGGCTGCAGCACTGGGAGCCTGGCCTCTCCCCGCCGAGGGGGAGGGCACTCTTGTGGATCTGGAGTTGATTTGCAGAACGAGTTAAACCACTTCCCTGTTTCCCTAAGAGATGGGAATGGAAGTGCTGTTCCCACGGAGTTGGGGAAATGATTTTCACTTTACAGTGCCTTAGCATTTCGGTGCCTGGCGGGCACTTTCTTCCTCTTCCTTCCAGGCAGGGCCTTGGAGGCCTCTGGGGGAATTTTCTTTCTGTGGGAGTCTCTTGCGGCATTTAGACTTAGGGGAGCTTGTGTGTGAGTACTGTGTGTTAGGCTGTGTGCACCTGAGTCAGGGCCCACCTGCTCCTGGGTGTCTGTGTCCATGTGAGTTCAGGGTCCTGTGCATGTCTGAAATGTTCCCTTCATGGGTGTCTTAGTATTTCTTGGAGTGTGAGTGTGTCTGTTTCTGTGAATGTGTTTGTGAGGTGTGTCTCTGTATGTTGGTGTGCATTTCTCTGCATTTGGGGGATGTACACATTTCTCAATATGTACAGTATCTCTGTTGTGTCCTGCACTTTGTTCTTTGGTATCTGAGGATTTCCAAGCATGCGCGGGCCCTCTCTGTGTATATATAGGAGTATTTATGTGACTCCTGGCATTAGTAAAATCCAGGGACACGGGATCCACCTTTTCTGGCCTGAGGACCAAGTACTGGCCATGACAGGGGAAGGTGAGAGACGACAAAAACAGAGAGACAGCCAGAGAGGAGCAGAGAGTCAGAGGGGCCCAGGCATTGGGTAGCAGCCTCTTTACATTTGGGGCAGGTGCCCGAAAGAATTCAGAGGTGCACATGAGCCTGAGGTGCCCCAGGCAGGCACTGCTCCCACAGGGTTTGGCTTGAGTTGTTTTTCAAACGAGTGAATTCAAGCCTGGGCTCTATTTGCCCTCCACTTGTTCTCAGGGGAGGCCAAGGTGGAAGTGGTGGTAGCAGGGCTGGGGCTGGACTTCCAGGAGCTGGGGCTGAGTTACCAGGAGCTGGGGGTTGGGTGGATGACTTGGAGTGTGTAGCAGGGAAGATGAGGCAACAGGGCAGGAAGTGGGTGGGGGGAGGTGGAATTGGGGCTGTGTCCTGTGTCGCTTGGAACTGGGAGTGTGGGAAAGACACTAGGAACCTGGTTGCAGCGCAGCTCTGCTGGTGGGGCTTGGTTGGCTTACTGTACAGAGCCTTTCTTGACCCCTGAAGAAAGAGATCCGTCTGCAGTGGGCAAAAGCCTGCCTGGACTTCCTGGCCACCAGAAATATGAGCATGGTGGTGGTCCCCAGTTCCCTATTCATGCTTGGGCTCAAGAGACTGGGAGTCTAGGTTCACTGACTCCCTGAGAAAGACTAAGACCCTGCATTTTAGAAAGAGGTTTGGGGATCTCTGCCCTGCGCAAGGGTAGAAGGATCAGCTGTTCCTCTGAGCACCTTAACCCGGAACCCCGGTCCGAAGCCGAGACAGGAGACTGGATGCGAGGCCCTCCCAGAGCTGGTTTCTCTCAAACAACTTCCAAAACTCCTAGATCCTAGGGGTACGCCGAAATCCCCCAAAGCAGTCCAAAGAACACAACGAGAGTCCTAACATCCCAGGTGGCGGCGCGCTGGCTCCCTGGAGCGGGGCGGGACGCGGCCGCGCGGACTCACGTGCACAACCGCGCGGGACGGGGCCACGCGGACTCACGTGCACAACCGCGGGACCCCAGCGCCAGCGGGACCCCAGCGCCAGCGGGACCCCAGCGCCAGCGGGACCCCAGCGCCAGCGGGACCCCAGCGCCAGCGGGACCCCAGCGCCAGCGGGACCCCAGCGCCAGCGGGTCTGTGGCCCAGTGGAGCGAGTGGAGCGCTGGCGACCTGAGCGGAGACTGCGCCCTGGACGCCCCAGCCTAGACGTCAAGTTACAGCCCGCGCAGCAGCAGCAAAGGGGAAGGGGCAGGAGCCGGGCACAGTTGGATCCGGAGGTCGTGACCCAGGGGAAAGCGTGGGCGGTCGACCCAGGGCAGCTGCGGCGGCGAGGCAGGTGGGCTCCTTGCTCCCTGGAGCCGCCCCTCCCCACACCTGCCCTCGGCGCCCCCAGCAGTTTTCACCTTGGCCCTCCGCGGTCACTGCGGGATTCGGCGTTGCCGCCAGCCCAGTGGGGAGTGAATTAGCGCCCTCCTTCGTCCTCGGCCCTTCCGACGGCACGAGGAACTCCTGTCCTGCCCCACAGACCTTCGGCCTCCGCCGAGTGCGGTACTGGAGCCTGCCCCGCCAGGGCCCTGGAATCAGAGAAAGTCGCTCTTTGGCCACCTGAAGCGTCGGATCCCTACAGTGCCTCCCAGCCTGGGCGGGAGCGGCGGCTGCGTCGCTGAAGGTTGGGGTCCTTGGTGCGAAAGGGAGGCAGCTGCAGCCTCAGCCCCACCCCAGAAGCGGCCTTCGCATCGCTGCGGTGGGCGTTCTCGGGCTTCGACTTCGCCAGCGCCGCGGGGCAGAGGCACCTGGAGCTCGCAGGGCCCAGACCTGGGTTGGAAAAGCTTCGCTGACTGCAGGCAAGCGTCCGGGAGGGGCGGCCAGGCGAAGCCCCGGCGCTTTACCACACACTTCCGGGTCCCATGCCAGTTGCATCCGCGGTATTGGGCAGGAAATGGCAGGGCTGAGGCCGACCCTAGGAGTATAAGGGAGCCCTCCATTTCCTGCCCACATTTGTCACCTCCAGTTTTGCAACCTATCCCAGACACACAGAAAGCAAGCAGGACTGGTGGGGAGACGGAGCTTAACAGGAATATTTTCCAGCAGTGAGCAGGGGCTGTATGGGACGCGGGAGGAGCTCAGAGGAGGCGCGGAGAGTGCCCGAGGTTGGGTGAGTGCCTAGAGGGGAGATAGTTGAACCGGGTTCAAGAGGTGCTTAGTGGGTGTTTGTTGAATGAATGAGTGATGGGCTTTGAAGTCTGAGTGCATTGAAAGAGGGGGTGTGTAAAAAGGGCTCCTTTCATCACACAGGACACAGCATATGCAAATCCTCTCCCTGTGGAAAAGCCAGACAGGTTAAAAAGGTTACAAACAAATTAGCCGGGCATGGTGGTGCGCGTCTGTAGTCCCAGCTACTAGGGAGGCTGAGCCAGGGGAATCGCTTGAACCCGGGAGGCGGAGATTGCAGTGAGCCAAGATCGCGCCACTGCACTCCAGCCTGGAAACAGAGCGAGACTCCGTCTCGGAAAAAAAAAAAAAAAGTTACAAACCGTGTGTGGGTTTCAGGTTATACAATCAGAGCTGGAGGGGAGTGGTCAAGGATGAGAACTGAGATGGATCCCTCGTTCCCTCTGGAGGAGAGTGGGTGGTTGCCTACTTGGGGGTGGGGAATCCCTCTCCACGGGCTCAGCTGTCCAATCTCAGGGGATCTCTAGGACAGGAGCTGATGTAAACAGTCGCCCTATTCCTTGCTGTCTTTGGCCCTGGAGAAGGAGGAGGGAGCTGGGGAGGGTCTCCACTTCCCAGACAATCTCTAAGCAGCCAGGACATGGGTGAGATGAGTGAGATACTGACTTCTGGGACAGAATTTGAGAGGGTGCCAAAAAACTCAGTAATCAAGATAAATAGGCCGGGCGCAGTGGCTCACGTCTGTAATCCCAGCACTTTGGGAGGCCGGATCACTTGAGGTCAAGAGTTCGAGACCAGCCTGGCCAAGATGGTGAAACCCCATCTCTACTAAAAATACAAAAATTAGCCCAGTGTGGTGGCGCTAGCCTGTAATCCCAGCCACTCAGGAGGCTGAGGCAAGAGAATTGCTTGACCCAGGAGGCAGAGGTTGCAGTGAGCCGAGATCATGCCACTGTACTCCAGCCTGGACAACAGAGGGAGACTATCTCAAAAAAAAAAAAAAAAAAAAAAAAAAAAAAGAGGCCGGGCGGCGGTGGCTCACACCATGTGATCCCAGCACTTTGGGAGGCCGAGGCGGGTGGATCACCTGAGGTCTGGAGTTCGAGACCAGCCTGGCCAATATGGTGAAACCCCGTTTCTACTAAAAATACAAAAATTAGCTGGGTGGGGTGGCAGGCACCTGTAATCCCAGCTACTCCGGAGGCTGAGGCAGGAGAATCCCTTGAACCTGCGGGGCGGAGGTTGCAGTGAACCAAGATCACACCATTGCACTCCAGCCTGGACAACAACAGCAAAACTCTGTCTCAAAAAAAAAAAAAATCTTTTTTTTCGAGACACAGTTTTACTCTCTCGCCCAGGTTGGGGTGCAGCACCACGATCTCAGCTCACTGCAACCTCTGCCTCTCAGATTCTCGTACCTCAGCCTCCCAAGTAGCTGGGATTACAGGTACCTGTCACCACGCCCAGCTAATTTTTGTATTTTTAGTAGGGGCGTGGTTTCACCATGTTGGCCAGGCTGGTCTTGAACTCCTGACCTCAAGTGACCTGCCCGCTTCAGCCACCCAAAGTGCTGGGATTACAGGCGTGAGCCACCACGCTTGGCCTTTTTAAATGAAAATAGTGCAAAAATCCACGATAAACAAAATATCAAAAATTTACTGAACTTGCACTTCCACAACCCTTTCTCACCTGCCTCCCAGGCTACTCTCTGCCCCAGAAAGCAACTTAAAAAATGTGCAGATGGAGTTTGGACTTTACCTGAAAATGGTGGGAGCTATGGAAAACCTTGGAGCAGGGGAGTGAAGGATAGAAATTATATGTAAAAGAAACCCTGGGCCGGGCGCAGTGGCTTATGCCTGTAATCCCAGCACTTTGGGAGGCCGAGGCAGGTGGATTACCTGAGGTCAGGAGATTGAGACCAGCCTGACCAACATGGTGAAATGTCATCTCTACTAAAAATACAAAAAAAATTAGCCAGGCATGGTGGTGCACGCCTGTAGTCCCAGCTACTCCGGAGGCTGAGACAGGAAAATCGCTTGAACCCGGGAGGCGGAGGTTGCAGTGAGCCAAGATTGTGCCATTGCACTCCAGCCTGGGCAACAAGAGCAAAACTCCATCTTAAAAAAAAAGAAAGAAAGAAACCCTCTGGCAGTTGATGAGAAGGAAACTTAATCGGCAGGTCCCAGCAGGGGAGATGAGGAGACTCTAGGGAGGGCATTTGCACATGCTGTGCCCCAGTGTGGGCCAGGGAGCAGGTCACTACTCCTCCCGTCTACCTTCCTCTTGCTCCAACCCCTTCAAGCTTTGGACCAGTGGTACCCTAAGTGTAGTCCAAGGAACCACATGCATCAGGACCCCCAGGGGGTGCTTGTTAAAAATGCAAATTTTGGCCAGGTGCAGTGGCTCACACCTGTAATCCCAGCACTTTGGGAGGCCGAGGCGGGTGGATCACGAGGTCAGGAGATCGAGACCATCCTGGCAAACACGGTGAAACCCCATCTCTACTAAAAAAACAAAAACAAACCAAAAAAAACATTAGCTGGGCGTGGTGGCGGGCGCCTGTAGTCCCAGCTACTCGGGAGGCTGAGGCAGGAGAATGGCGTGAACCCGGGAGGCGGAGCTTGCAGTGAGCTGAGATTGCGCCACTGCACCCCAGCCTGGGCGACAGAGCGAGACTCTGCCTCAAAAAAAAAAAAGCAAATTTCTTGGGCACCACCCCACATTGACTGCATGAGAACCCCTGGAAGTATGGCCCTGGAACTTGCATTTTTTAACGATTTTTTGAGGTAAAATTTACATACCTAAAATTTACACATTGTAAGAATATAATTTGATGATTTTTAGTAAATGTAGAGTTGTGTAACCATTACCACAAAAAAATCCATTTTGAGGCATTTCTGCCATCCCCAGAAGTTCCCATTTGTAGCTACTCTCCATTCTCACCCCAAGCCTTAGGCCACCACTGATCTGCTTTCTGTCCATAAATTTGCATATTCTGGACATGTTCTATAAATAGAATATATAAATATGCAGACTTTTGCATCAAGCGTCTTTTGCTTAGCATAATATTTTTGAGGCTCGCCCCAAACATTATGCTAAGTAAAAGAAACAGCAATAAAAAGAAACAAACTATTATCAGCAGTTTGTTTCTTTTTATTGCTTCATAGTATGCCATTGTACGGGTGTAACATATTTTGTTTATCCATTGGTCAGTTGACGGGCACTTGGGTTGTTTCCACTTTTTAGCTGTCTTAAATAATGTTGCTATGAACATTCACATACATGCCTTACTATAGAAATATATTTTTAGCGCTTTTGAGTAAACTCCTAGGAGTGCAATTGCTGGATTATATGGTCGGTTTAGGTTTAATTTTTAAGAAACTGTCAAGCTATTTTCTAAAGTGGCTGTATTATTTTGCATTCTCACCAGCAATGTGTGAGGGTTCCACTTTTCCACATCCTACACTTAGAATTGTCTTTTTTTTCTTTTTTTTTTTTTGAGATGGAGTTTCACTCTTGTTGCCCAGGCTGGAGTGCAATGAGGTGATCTCGGCTCACCGTAACCTCTGCCTCCTGGGTTCAAGTGATTCTCCTGCCTCAGCCTCCTGAGTAGCTGGGATTACAGGTGCGTGACACCACGTCCGGCTAATTTTGTTTTTTTAGTAGAGACGGGGTTTCTCCATGTTAGTCAGGCTGGTCCTGAACTCCCGACCTCAGGTGATCCACCCGCCTTGGCCTCCCAAAATGCTGGGCTTACAGGTATGAGCCACCATGCCTGGCCTTTTTTATTTATTTATTGTTTTGAGATGGATTGTCTCTCTGTCACCCAGGCTGGAGTGCAGTGGCACAATCTCGGCTCACTGCAACTTCTGCCTCCTGGGTTCAAGCAATTCTCCTGCCTCAGCCTCCCCAGTAGCTAGGATTATAGGCACGCACCACCACACCCAGCTAATTTTTGTATTTTTAGTTGAGACGGGGTTTCACCACGTTGGACAGGCTGGCTGGTCTCGAACTCCTGATCTCATGATCCATCCACCTCAGCCTCCCAAATTGCTGGGATTACAGGCATGAGCCACCGTGCCTGGCCCCTGTCTTTTTTATTATAACCATCAAGTGGTATCTCAGTATAGTTTTAATTTGCATTTCCCTAATGACTAATAATGTTAAGAACTTTTTCATGTACTTATTTAACCATTCATCTCTCATTTTTAGTGAAATGTCTATTTACATATTTGGACCATTTTCTATTTAGGTTGCTATCTTATTGTTGAGTTATAATAGTTCTTTATATAATATATTCTGAATACAGTCCTTTATCAGATATATGATTTGAAAATATTTTCTTCCAGTTTGTGGTTTATCGTTTTCTTTTCTATTTTTAAAATTTTAATTTTTTTTTTGCATTTTTAAAAATTATCTTTTTTTTTTTTTTCATAGAAACAGGGTCCCGCTATGTTGCCCAGGCTGGTCTCAAACTCCTGGCTTCCAGTGATCCTCCTGTCTTGGCCTCCCTAAGTGCTAGGGTTACAGGAGTGAGCAACTGCTCTCTTTTTTTTTTTTAATTAAAAAACTTTTTAGAGATAGGTCTCACTAAGTTGTTCAAGCTGGAGTTTGGTGGCTATTTACAGGCAAGATCATAGCACACTGCACCCTCGAACTCCTGAACTCAAGTGATCCCCCTGCCTGAGCCTCTCGAGTAACTGGGACTACATTCTCATGCTACCATACCATGCTATTTTCTTAATAATATCTTTTGAGGTGCAAAAGTTTTAGACTTTGATGAAGTCCAGTTTATCATCATTTTCTTTCTTTCTTTCTTTCTTTTTTTTTTGAGACCAGTCTCACTCTGTCGCCCAGGCTGGAGTGCAGTGGCGCTATCTCAGCTCACTGCAACTTCCGCCTCCCGGGTTCAAGCGATTCTCCTGCCTCAGCCTCCCAAGTAGCTGGGATTACAGGTGAGTGCCACCATGCTGGGCTAATTTTTGTATTTTTAGTAGAGACAGTTTCACCATGTTGGCCAAGTTGCTCTTAAACTCCTGACCTCAGGTGATCTGCCCGCTTCAGCCTCCCAAAGTGCTGGGATTCCAGGAGTCAGCCACCACACCTGGCCTATCATTTTCTTTTATGGGCCTTGCTTTTGGTGTTGTATCTAGGAACTCTTTGCTCAACCTGAGGTCACGAAGATTTTTCTCCTAAGTTTTCTGTTGTTGTTGTTGTTGTTATTTGTATTTTTAGTAGAGATGGGGTTTTCCCATGTTGTCCAGGCTGGTCTCAAACTCCTGACCTCAAATGATCCACCCGCCTTGCCTTCCAAAGTGGTAGGATTACAGGTGTAAGCCAGGACGCCTGGCCTTCCATGTTTTCTTCTAGAAAAAACTTGCAACTTTAACAAGGCTTCTTGGAGAGTCTGTTGCACACTTGCCTAGGTTCAGAAGTCAGACCATATCTACCACCTGCGGACAGAGTGCCTTGTCTGACAGGTTGAATAACCGGGAGCTCTTGTGTCTGCAGGAGTGTGTGTGTGTGTGTGTGTGTGTGTGTGTGTGTGTGTGAATGGCTTCTGCATATGTGACCAGCAGGACACCATTAGATCACTTCAGCTTCAGGAGTCACCACAGGGAATCCTGTTCTGTGTGTGTGGGAGACAAACTTTAGTGTCTCTGCTTTGCCCTGTGTGCTAGTTTAATTCCTACCTCCACCACTGCCCTTCTGTGACCGACCTGCTTCCCTAACCATGGATTCCATCCCTCTTGCCATTTTCAAGGGAAGAAGCTCTGAGAAAAAAAGGGACAGGTGGGGGAAGCAGCAAGGTCAGTCACTCATATACACAAACACATGAGCAATGTCATCTCTGCCCTTATATCTAGCAGCACCTATGTTTGCATAAATCTGGCATCAACAGGAGAAAGCACTTGCAAATATCCATATCTAGGCTACCACATTCCTCCATACTCCAGCTCATCCTCATTGCTGTATTTATCACAAGGGCATACAGTTCTTGTATACAGTCATCCTTTTTTATTTTTTTTGAGATGGAGTTTCGCTCTGTCGTCCAGGCTGGAGTGCAGTGGTGCAATCATAGCTCACTGCAGCCTCAAACTGGGCTCAGTCATTCTGTGGCCTCAGCCTTCCGAGCAGCTGGGACTATGGGCACATGCCACCATGCCTGGCTAACTTAAAAAAATTTTTTTTTGTAGAGATGAGGTCTCACTATGTTGCCCAGGCTGGTCTCAAACTTCTGGGCTCAAGTGATCCTCCTGCCTCAGTTTCCCAAAGTGTTGGGATTACAGGTGTGAGTTACCATGCTCAGCCAGCCTGGGCCCTAGGTTTTAATAGCAGTTGGATGGAGAAGGCTGCTCATCCTTTTTCTCCAACCCCTACTTCTGGTGAGGGGTGATGGGAGGGAAGACAGTTACTTTGCCCTTCTTTTTATTTTTAATTTATCAATTTTTTGTTTTTGTTTTTGTTTTTGTTTTTGAGACAGGGTCTCACTGTGCCACCCAGGCTGGCATGGTCAGCTCACTGCAACCTCTGCCTCTTGGGCTCAAGCAATCCTCCTACCTCAGCCTCCAGAGTAGCTGGGACTGCAGGCATGTGCAATCACGCCGGGCTAATTTTTGTATTTTTTGTAGAGACAAGGTCTCATTGTATTGCCCAGGCTGGTCTTGAACTCCTGGGCTCAATCCTCCCACCTCGGCCTCCCAAAGTGCTGGGATTACAGGTGTGAGCCACCGTGCCTGGCCTCATTTGTAGTTTTATTTGTTTGAAGTCAAGCTCGAGGTATAATTTTTTTATACATACAGTATAGTTCAGTTCGGGTTCCCAGAGCCCTTGCATCATTAGCTTATTTCATATTCACTCATGGCCACCTGTGCCAAGACCCTGCCCTCCACACACTCATGCTTGGTAGGGAAGACACCCATGGAAACAGACCAGGAAGGTTCAGTGCGGTAAGGCCAGGGATGGGGGTGAGAGGGAGCTGGGGGGCAGGGGAGAGAAGCTCTGCACAGGGGTTGGTGCCTAAACTCAGTAGAGTGGAGCAGGACCCCTGAGAACCGAAGGAGCACTGTGGGGCTCAAAGAGCTCACACCCTGGGAGTCACTACATCCCAGGAGGCACTTCACACTTGTTCCATTTGGCCTGTGCTGGGTTTTTAAATCTTTGAATCATTGCCAATGCTTAAAACTCCAGAGATTTCACAGAAAAATCCAGAATCCTAGTTTCAAAAATCAGCAAAACAAAACAAAAACACAAACAAACCAGGAGCTTTGTGTCTTGCTTGGCGGGACTTTGCATAAGGTGCCCCTCTAGCCTGCCAACCTCCCCCACAGCCCACTTACTATGTTACCTGTTGAGCCCCTCCTCCCTTGAAGCCTGGAGCTTTGCTGTCCACCAAGTGGCCACTATAGCCACGAGTGGCTCTTGAGCACCCAAAATGTGACTAGTCTGAATTGAGATGCGCTTAAGCATAAAATGTCCATTGGATTTTGAAGGCTAATTTCAAACAATGTAAAATATCTCACTAATAATTTTTAAAATATTGATTACATGTTGAAATGATTCTATTTTTAATATATTGGGCTAAATAAAATATACTAAATAGTAATATATTATTTACTATTATATTGATTAAAATTAACTTCACATGTTTCTTTTTACTGTTTAAAATGTGGGCCAGGCCTGGTGGCTCACCCCTTTAATTCCAGCACTTTGGGAGGCCAAGGCAGGCAGGTGGATAGCTTGAGTCCAGGAGTTCAAGACCAGTCTGGGCAACATGGTGAAACCCCATCTCTATGAAACATACAAAAATTACCCAGGCATGGTGGCACGCACCTGTAGTCCCAGCAACTTGGGAGGCTGAGGTGGGAGGATTGCTTGAGCCTGGGAGGTGGTGGTTGCAGTGAGCTGTGATTGTACCACTGTACTCCAGCCTGGGCAACAGAGCAAGACCCTGTCTCAAAAAAAAAAATGGTGGACACTAGGAAATGTAAATGTATACATGTGGCTCACATTATATTTCTCTTGGTCAGCTTGGGTCTAGAGCCTAATGGACAAATGGGGACCCAGCAAGAGGGGCAGGCAGAGCCAGAACACAAGGGAGGGTGAAGGAGGCCATTGTAACATGATGGTTAAAGCTGTGAACTCTGGAGTCAGTGCTCAGAGTTGAAGGTTCATTTCTGCCCCTTACTTGCTGTCCCACTTTAACCTCTTTGAACTTTCAGCACCTGGCACTCATTGACAGGTGAAATTATAGTTGGCACTCATTGACAGGTGACATCATTTTGTCTAGCTCTGGAGCTGGGATTTGATTCTCAGGGAACTGACCGGGCTCTGATGAGTTTTAGGCTGAGTTTTTGGCTGCAGAATGATGCATTCAGATGGAAAGATCCCTCTGGACTGGGGCAGGGTGACCAGAGCAAGGTCTGTGGAGAAATTCACATGGGAAGGGAACCTGTGTCTGTGTGCATGCAGAGGAGTGGCCACATACAAGGCACATAAAGAAATGAAAGTCGTAGGATGGGCAGGGGTGGGAGAAACAAAAAAAGAAAGCTGTAGGATCTAGTGATGGATGGGATGTGGTGATGGATGGGGTGTGGTGATGGATGGGATGTGCTGGGGGAGAGGGTTGCAGAGGGTATCACAGAGGTTTCTGGCTGGGCTGCTGGGTGGAGGTGGGGAGGTTTATCCAGAGAGGGAGAGACTAGACGTTCTGCCAGGCTACGGATCAGGCTAGCCTTTCCTACTTTTGTATTCCTCAGCCCTGGCACCATTCTTGGCATGAAAGTGCTCAGCCAATATTGCCAAGTGGCTGGAAGGCTAACAGCACCGCCTTTGAGACTGCAGTCTTGGGTTTGCTACCGGTTCTCCGTCTACCAGCTGTGTGATCTCAGGCATATTACTTCACCTCTCTGGACATCAGTCTCCTCATCTGTAAAATGGGAATAGTGATAAGTGTAGCCCCTTGTGGGTTGTTCCAAGGACTGAGTGGGTTTATATACGGGAGCACACAGCAGTGAGTGCTCAGTAGCTGTTAGTCCCAGACTCCACACCCGAGCCTCACTCCTGATGTACACACGAGGCCTTGTCTACCAAGGCTGTCACCTCCTTAAAGGAAGAAAAGGCCAAAGGGTTCCGCTAAAGAAGCAAGTGCTTCGATATTCTCCCTTCCCCTGAGGCTAAGCAGGAGGATGGAGGTTAGACTGCAGGAAGAACTTTCTTTCTCTTATAGCCAAGAATGTCTAAGTGAATTTTAGAAAATTAACTTCTGGCCGGGCACGGTGGCTCATGCCTGTAATCCCAGCACTTTGGGAGGCCGAGGCGGGTGGATCATGAGGTCAGGAGTTTGAGACCAGCCTGGCCAATATGGTGAAACCCCATCTCTACTAAAAATATAGAAATTAGCCAGGCGTGGTGGTGGGCACCTGTAGTCCCAGCTACTCAGGAGGCTGAGGCAGAAGAATCGCTTGAACCCGGGAGGCAGAGGTTGCGGTGAGCCGAGATGGTACCACTGCACTCCAGCCTGGTGACAGAGCGAGACTCCATCTCAAAAAAAAAAAAAAAAAAAAGAAAGAAAGAAAGAAAATTAACTTCTCAGATTCCTTCTCTGGTCTTCAGACAATTAGTAGATAATTAGGGAGTGTTTGGGGAGGGGGTATAGGGCCTATCTCCTGGTCTCCTTTAGCATTCGCAGAGTGACTTGGCAGGAAGAGAGGGCCAGGGCTGAAGGCATTAACAGGGCAATAACCTCCCTGTCTCCAGGATGTGGAGCCCACAGTCTCCAGGCCCCTCACCGATGCAGGGGTGAGGTGGGGTGGGAGGGCAGAGAGGAAAAACGTGGGAATCACGAATGGGAAGAGGGGATTTGGGGACTCCCTGTGATTGCCCAGCCCTGGCCTGACCCTGCTGCAGGGCCCCAGGGGTCCTGCCTCCAGCTCACACTCATATCCTTACATCCAGGTCCCTCTCTGATGGCATCCGCTAAAACACCAAGATTCCGCTGGAGCTGTTTGAGTTTAAGATAGGACCAGCCTGGTTCAGTGAGGGGGACACAGATTCAAGAGCCAGACAACTCGGAGTTCAGTCTCTGAGTTCACATCCATCAGTTGAGGGAACTTGGGCGAGTCACTTTCACCTCACTGTGGCTCAGTTTCTCCCTTCATAAAGCAAGGATACCAGACCCTCCCTTGAGTGGGGCTGTGTGCGGCAGCCACTGGCTCAGCGTTTCCCTCTTCTCCACAGTGCCCATCCCCTCCAAAGCCAGCAGCCTCTCAGCCCTCTCCTTGGCCAAAGACAGCCTGGTGGGCGGCATCACAAATCCTGGTGAGGTCTTCTGCTCCGTGCCCGGCCGGCTTTCACTGCTCAGCTCAACGTCCAAGTACAAGGTGACGGTGGGGGAGGTGCAGCGGCGACTCTCGCCTCCCGAGTGCCTCAACGCCTCCCTCCTGGGGGGTGTCCTCCGCAGGTAGGAAGGCCAGCCCACAATTCCCCGCCTGATTGGATCCCTGGCCTCTTCAGGCCTTCTCAAGGCATCAGAGAGGAGGCCAGTCTCACCTAGGCCCTCTGCCTCAGTCTCCCTGGGAGGGGAGGCCCCGGGGACTCTGGATTGTGCATGTTGTGGGGGCCGGCCCAGGTCCCTGGTGGCTGCCACATGTCTGTGGGTCTGGGGTAGGGAGGTGGGCAGAGAAAGAAGCCTGGGCACAGAGAAGGGATGGAGAACTCATCCACACTGGTCAGGACGAGACTGGGTCTGGGGAAGAGAGAGGGCCATCCTCACCCCCTCTTCTAGGAAATGAACCCCAGGACCCGAGGCCCATTCTGCGCGGCAGCATAGGCCCTGTGTGTTTTGGGGTGTGGAGCATGGTAGTCCATGGTTCATCTTCCTAGACCTGTGTCTCTCTCTCTCTGTGCATGTCTTTGTGCCTGGGAAGGGTATTTCTGCTTCAGGGCCATGAGCTTGGATGAGTCTGAGGATGGTGTGGACATGTGTGTGCGTGTGCATGTGTCTATAGTAGCGGATGGCCAGGAGCATGTGTTTCCATGAGTGTGAGTATCCTGTGTTTCTTCTAGTGGGATGTGTGGCCTAGGGTGTGTCCTGCTCTGTGTGTGTGTGTGTGTGTGTGTGTGTGTGTGTGTGTGTGTGTGTGTGATTGCCTGTGCATCTGGAGCTAGTCATATGGATGTTTACATATCTGTGCCACTGTGTGGGAGTGGCATGTGTGCAGTCATAGGGGTTATCTCCTTACTCCTAGCGTCTTGGAGGATCTCTGTGAGTCCCTGAGTGTCTGTACATGTGTTCCTGGGACCCTGACTTGGTGTGATCCTGTGTCTCTGTGTCCCTGGGTGTCTGAGTCTGTGTCTCTGCATGTCTGTCTCTATTGGTTCTATGTGTCTCTATTCTTTCACGTGTGTGTGTGTGTGTGTGTGAGAGAGTCACCAGGTGGCTGTGTGTGTACCTGTGTCTCCCCATGTGTCTCTCTTTCTGTATGTCACTGCGTGTCTCTACATATAGGTCTGTGTATCCCCTGGTAGGTGTGTGTGGCCCTCTGGTGTGCTAAGGTCCCCAGGATGCCCCACCCTGGCTGCCCCTGCTGTTGAGAGGATTAGAGTGAACTGAGGGGCTCCTGGAGCTGGGTGCTGGCCCCCCTGCCTCTGTCTTGGCTGCAAAACCATGGAGATTAGTTGCGCCCTTGCTGAAAGAGACCTCAGAGCATCCCCAGGACCAATCCCAAACCTCAACAGGGGCTGGTGGAGGCAACAAGGCCCTTTGGCAGCCACTTAGCTTCCATGCGTTTCTCTTGTCTTCATAGTTGTATGTCTGTCTGTCTCTGTGCATGTCAAGGGCCAAGTCCAAAAATGGGGGCCGGTGTTTGCGGGAACGGTTAGAGAAGATTGGGCTCAACCTGCCAGCTGGCCGTCGCAAGGCCGCCAATGTGACGCTGCTGACTTCGCTAGTGGAAGGTGAGTGAGGCCTGAAGGTGGGCATGGGAGTGGATGTGAGGGCAAGTGAGTTGTCTGGTGTGACTGTCTCTAATGCAGGAGGGTGTGTTTAGTGGTGTGTGTGTATCCGTGTAAGTGTTGCAGTATCTGTGTGCGTATTCTCTGTCATGTATAAGGTGTGTTTGTGATTTCTGTGTGTAGTCCTTGTACATGTGTGCATGCATGTGCAATGGAGACCTACTTGCAGTGTGCGGATGTGTATGTGGGTGTGGGTGTGGGTGTGTGGGTGTGTGTGTTGGCGGGGAGTGGCCAGTGTTTGGATGTGGTAAAGGGATGAAGGGGGTGACAGCCCCCTCCCCTGGAGGTTGGTGCCTCTGGAATACATGGTGGGCCCAGCTCCCATCTCTGAGCTCAGAGCCCAACCCTAATGGCCCCAAGGTGGGGCAATGGAATGGGGGCTGGAGCTGGGCTGGGAAGGAACATCAGAGGGGGCATCTACACAGGCAGGATGGGGCAGGATACCCCTGACCAGGGGGTCAGAGGTTCAAAGCTGTGTTCCAGGCGCAGAGGTACACCCTGCAGTAGTGACAGCTCCCCTCCCCCCAGGAGAGGCCGTGCACCTGGCCCGAGACTTCGGTTACGTCTGTGAGACGGAGTTCCCAGCCAAGGCAGCTGCCGAGTACCTGTGCCGACAGCACGCTGACCCGGGGGAGCTGCACAGCCGCAAGAGCATGCTGCTGGCTGCCAAGTGAGTGAGGGCACCCTGCACAGGCACACGTGGGTGCCATGCACAGACAGACATCATGTATGGGCACAATGGACACCACTGTGTACATGAGCAGTGGGCACACATGCGTATTTGCGCACCACTGTGTACACGAGCAGTGGGCACACACACATACGTGCGCACCACTGTGTACATCAGCAGTGAGCACACACGTATGTGTGCGCCACTGTGTACGTGAGCAGTGGGCACACACACGTACGTGCGCGCCACTGTGTACACGAGCAGTGAGCACACACACGTACCTGCGGCCCATGTGGCACCACACATGGGCACACCTAGGCTCCCTGCTTAGGCTTTCCTGGGCATATGTGTGCATGCCACCTGGGCACACTTGGGTGCCACATATGGGTATATTTGGGCATCATGTTTATCACTCAGACATACATGAACACTCTTCACAAGCTCCTGGAGCACACATAGACACTACATGTGAACATATCTGGGCTCCTGCATCAGGAACAGTGATGTCACATACTGGCTCACACAGGCTCACGCATGGGTCCTACACTCACATACACTCCCAGGACACCACCAGCCCTACTCCCCATCGCAGGTCTGAGGCTCCCTCTTCTAGCCTTGCCCATCAACCCTCTGCTCCAGTGACGTCCATCAGGCCACCAAGTCACACCTGACTGTTCTGCAAATCCCATTGTGCCTCCCTCACTACCGTTCACATGCTGCCACCTCTACTCAGGTCTTCATCTCACTCCTGGACCTTCACCCCAGAGCGTCCCTGTTTCCAACCTCCCTGCACGTGCACCCGCCCCACTGCATAAGAATCTTCAATGGTTCCCGCTGCATTGATTTTCAAACTAGGTCTGCGAGGGCACCTCAGGGCCTGTTTAACAAACTAGTATTCTATTAAGATTTAGTTTTGTTTTTGTTTTTTGAGATGGAGTTTCGCTCTTGTTTCCCAGACTGGAGTGCAGTGGCGCAATCTCAGCTCACTGCAACCTCCACCTCCTGGGTTCAAGCAATTCTCCTGTCTCAGCCTCCCGAGTAGCTGGGATCACAGGCGCCTGCCACCAGGCCCAGCTAATTTTTGGTATTTTAAGTAGAGATGGGGTTTCACCATGTTGGCCAGGCTGGTCTCGAACTCCTGGCCTCAGGTGATCCACCCGCCTTGGACTCCCAAAGTTCTGGAATTACAGGTGTGAACCACCACTCCCGGCCCCAAGATTTAGTTTTTCAGGCCAGGCAAGGTGGCTCACATCTGTAATCCCAGCACTTTTGAGAGGCTGAGGCTGGTGGATCGCTTGAGCCCAGGAATTGGAGACTAGCCTGGGCAACATGGTGAAACCCGGTCTCTAGTAAAAATACAACAGTTAGGTGTGGTGGTGCACTCCTGTAGTCCCAGCTACTTGGGAGGCTGAGGTGGGAGGATAACCTGAGCCTGGGAGGTCAAGGCTGCAGTAAGCCATGATTGCATCGCTGTACTCTAGCCTGCGTGACATAGTGAGACCCCATCTCAAAAAAAAAAAAAGGCGAAAGATTTAGTTCTTCCAAAAGAGTTCTTGTCTTAGTCCATTTGGGCTGCTATAACAAAATACCATAAACTGGGTAGCTTATAAACAACAGAAATTTTTATTTATTTATTTATTGAGACAGAATCTTGTTCTGTTGCCCAGGCCGGAGTGCAGTGGTGCAATCTCAGTGCACTGCAACCTCCAGCTCCTGGGTTCAAGCAATTCTCCTGCCTCAGCCTCCTGAGTAGCTGGGATTACAGGTGCCTGCCACCACATCTGGTTAATTTTTGTATTTTTAGTAAAGGTTTCACCATGTTGGCCAGGCTGGTCTCAAACTCCCGACCTCACATGATCCACCTGCCTTGGGCTCCCTAAGTGCTTGGATTATAGGTGTGAGCCACCACGCCCAGCCAACAAGAGACATTTATTTCTCATAGTGCTGGAGGCTGGGAAGTTCAAGGTCAAGGCAGATTCCGTGTCAGGTGAGGGCCTGCTTTCTGGCTCATAGACAGCACCTTGCTGTGTGTCCTCACATTGTAGAAGGGAGAAGGGGTTACTCTCTGGCTTCTTTTATAACAAGGGCATTAATCCCATTCATGACGGCTCCACCTCCATGACCTAATCACCTCCCAAAGTCCTCACCTCCTAATACTATCACCTAGTGGGGTAGAATTTCAACATACGAATTTTGGGGAACATAAGCATTCACACCATAGCAGTCCCACTGCAAGAAAAGACAGAGAGAGGAGGGGGATAGAGAAAGAGAGAAAGAAAGAGAGAGAGACTGAGTGCAGTGGCTTATGCCTGTAATCCCAGCACTTTGGGAAGCTGAGGTGATCAGATCGCTTGAGCCCAGGAGTTCAAGGCCAGCCTGGGCAACTTGGCGAAACCCCATCTGTACTAAAAAAAAATTAGCCAGGAGTGATGGTGCGCACCTGTAGTCCCAGCTACTCGGGAGGCTGAGGTTGAGACTGCAGTGAGCTGGGATCACACCACTGCACTCCAGCCTGGGTGACAGAGCAAGACCTTGTCTCGGAAAAAAAAGAAAAGAGAGAGATAAATCTGAGAACTACCAGTTGGTAGGCTAAAGTTCAAACTCTTTTGAGGGCCCCACAGTCTGGCCCACACAAACTCCACCCACTTCTGCCAACCCTGTCCTCACATCCTTGGGTTTGTTTCCGGCTTAGAACATCCAGTCCTCCCACCTAACACAGTCCTTCAAACTGACAACTCCACCCTCCTGCCTTTGAGGCTTTCCTCAAGTGCCCAAGGCAGAAGAGGAAGCACAGACTCCTGGGACTGCCAAATGGAGAGACCTCTGAGGCTGCTCATACTGTGGCTGGAGAAACCTAGCCAGGACGGGGCTCACCTCGTTCACTTATCAGCTCATTCATCAAGCACTTTGTGGGTCTCAGTCATGTGTAAGATACTGGCTGGCTTTCATGGTGACACAAAGATGAATGATGAGTGATTCTCTTGCCTGAGCCACACACAGGACGCACAAAGGAATGAATAATGAATGGCTGCAAACTAGAGCTAGGTTCAAATCCCAGCTCGGTCACCTTGACAGGTCATCCAACCTGTCCGAAACCAGTTTTCTTGTCCGTATGATGGGGATAATAATAGTATAGACTTGTTATGAAGATTAAGATGATGCAGACAGTGTGGTTGGCACAGCATCCAGCCTTCAATTATATTCACTGCTAGTTATTATTTCCGGCAGATTCTGGATTGTTTCCTGATAGCTTCAAAGACAAAGTTCTGTGAAGCATTGAGTGTTTGGGGTGGGAGAGGGAATCCAGGAAAGTTTCCTATATAAGGTAGTAAGTAGCTGAGCTGCACTTTGAATGAATATGGGCCAGACATCCAAAAAAGAAACATTACAGGGTGATCGACATGTGCTGTTTATTAGCTGTGTGATACTGGGCTAGTCAAATGACTTCTCTGAACCTTAGTTTCCTTTTCTGTAAAAAACAGTATGGTCATCATTTGCAGACTGTTGGGAGGGTCAGCAATTGTGTAGCTAATGTCTGTAAAATGCCTAGCATGTAGCAGGTCCTTCTCTGGGCTCAGACTTTTGTCCTCCAACCTCTGACCCTCCTTCTCGCACCAGGCAGATCTGCAAGGAGTTTGCAGACTTGATGGCTCAGGACCGCTCACCGCTGGGCAACAGCCGCCCAGCACTCATCCTGGAGCCCGGAGTACAGAGCTGCTTGACACACTTTAGCCTCATCACCCATGGCTTCGGTGGGCCTGCCATCTGTGCTGCCCTCACTGCCTTCCAGAACTATTTGCTGGAGTCACTCAAGGGGCTGGACAAGATGTTTCTAAGCAGTGTGGGCAGTGGGCATGGTGAAACCAAGGCTTCGGAGAAGGATGCCAAGCATCGGAAATAACTGCTTCTCCCACCCCATCCCTAAGGGGCTCCCAGGCCCTGAAATAGGGACTTAGCTCTTGGGGGTGGGCCTGGAAGGACTGAAAGGTGGGATTAGAGTCAGGCCAGAAAGAGAACATTCATCCAGAGATCCCAGAGTTGGGGATCTGGCTTGGAGTAAGGGAGGGTGGCCTCTCTGTGGTGGTGTGTTGGTAAGTTAAGGGCCCAGGTATTTGTCTCATGTGTGCAATTTTCTGACCTTTGATGGTTGAGAAGGGTTTGGACAGAAAATTGACATGAAAAGATCTGGCTCATGGGGCAGAGCCCTTTCCATTAGCGTGGCTGGGTGGCCGTGGGTGCTTCTAGAGGCCAAAGCCTTTGTGTTTTTCACTGGTGGCAGGAGGAAAATTGATAAATCAGAGGTGCTACTGAGGAGTTGGTGCCCCTCATTCCAGAATCTCCTACCCCCAGAAAAGGGGTGCTGGAAGGAGGCCCCAGTGGACTCTTTGTACCCTTCCTACTCTCAGAGAGAAGTGGGCAGGAGGGGTCCTCAAGGAACAAAGAAGATAAAGCACAAATCGCAGAACTTGAATCCAGGCTGCTGCTCATCATAGTCCTGTTGCTGTCTGTCCTATTTATTTATGTATGTTGTAATTAAATTTGAAATTTTAAAATGTCCAGTGCAACTTATTTATCCCAATGAGTTGGGGATTCATTTCACTGTTTTCTGGCCATACACTGATATGTCCAGCTGGACCAGGAGGGAGAGGGTGTTTTTGCTGGCAAAGGGCTGTGGGTGGGTTGGGAGGGAAGAAAGGTGTGTCAGGCACCCTGAGGTTGTCACTGGGATCTTGTATTTGTGGTTATTTTGCCCCTGCAGTTGATGTACCTCCCCATGTCCCCATCTCTCATTCTCTTAATAAAGCCTTTCATTGGATATGAAGCCCTCCCTGTCCTTCTTTAGCCCAGGCCTGGATTTGCCTCCTAAGAGGGCAATGTCACTGGGGAGAGGCAGGGCCTGGGAATTGGGCAGGGGGTAGGATTGGAAGGGGCCCCTAAGAGCATGGGAGGGAACTGGGGGCCCCTCTGTGTGAGAGGAGGTACAGATGTTGGTCTATCTGGCATGTCAGTGTGGCTATTAGTTGCTGTGCCTGTGTGTGTGTGTGTCAAGTGAATACTGTATGTGTATTCCTGTGACTTGGTGGGCTGGTGGGTGTATGTGTCAGTTTGGCTGTTACCATGCCCGTTGGTGGTGGATTTGTTACCATGCCCGTTGGTGGTGGTGTGTAGGTGTCAGTCGGAACACTGGTGACGGTGTGTGTCTATCAGGCCAACGCTCATCCAACTCTCGTCTTGAGGATTACACTCTTCAGTCATCTTTTCTGTCCTGTATCGTCAGTGTCTCCCTCTCTACAGAATGATTACTGGATCACCCCACAGAGTACAAATGTTCTAGGATCTCTTACCTTACAAAACATAAATCCTTTCCCCATTTCTTTATTTCCTTTGCAGTTAAAGTTCTTGAAAGATTGCTATACCTATACCTCCATTTCTTCACCTCCAATTTCCTCTTCAATCTGCTTTTTTCCCGACCAGTCGGCTGAAGTCCACTCAGCATGGTCATCACAATGTCAAATCTCAAGGCCTTTTTTCTGGATTTAACAGCAGCAGTCAATGGATATGGCTGACTACTTGCTCTTTTCTGCAACTCTTTTCCTCTGTGGCTCCTAACTTCTGGTTTCCTATGACCTCACTGGTCCCAATTCTGCCTACTTAGCTGGCTACTTCTCTACTTGACCTCTAAATGATGGCTTTCCTCAGGTCCCTCTCTATACTGTCTCCTTAGATTGGTCTCATTCAATCCCATGTCTTTCAATATCTCAATACTGCCAATTCCTGAATGTTTATCTTCAGCCCAGGCTGCTGCCTGAACTCCAGACTTGGAGGTACAACTGTCTGCCAGCTTGGCTAGTAGGCATCTCAAAACTCATGTCCAAAATGGAGCACATGACTCAAGTACTGAAATCGTGACCTCTTCCAGACCATCCCACCACAGTAGATGACACCACCTTCTACCCAGTTGCTCAAGTCAGAAACTGGGGAGTCCTATTTAGTTCTTTCTCTACACTCAATCCTTCAGAAAGACCTATGGATTCTGAGTCCATCTTCTTTCTTCTCTGCCAACACCCTAGTTCTCTGGACTGCTATAGTAGTCTCCCAACCGGTCTATTTTCTCTGGTACACCTTCAAAGTCAGGTCCAGCAATGATCTAACTTTGCCTGATTCTCTAGCCTCATCTTATACTACTCTCTTCATCACTCACTTTGCTCCAGCCACATTGGTTTCCTTTCTGTTCCTCAAACTACCACTTTGTTTTATGCCCCAGGGTCATTGTATTCACTGTTGTTTGCCTGGATTGCTGTCCCCGTGTCTTTGCAAGTGTGCTGTCAGGGAGAGATGGGGTGCTTTGCAAGTGAAGATTGTGCTAGAAACACAGGGTCTAGGCATCATTTCTCAGGATAAGGGTCCAAAGATGTGACTTCTTTTCCCAAGAAGCTGCAATGCCTCAACGTCCCCATGTGTCCAGTGAAAGCTCTCCAGACACAGTGGGGCCTCCTCTGGGGGCCTGTCCCTCATGCTAAATGCATGGGGACCCTCAATATGTTCTAACCCTGGCCCTGCCACTCACTTGGTGTGCCACTCTAAGCTTCAGGTCCCCTGGTATGTACCCCCCCCCAGCAGGATGTTAGGTGGTGCTGATACCTTGAGGCAGTATCCAGATGTGGCACTAAAGAATTCTCAATCATGCGGGAGGAAGTTCTGCCTTTCTCCAGCCCCTTTCAATCAGTCCTTCTGAATACATCAAGAAGAAAGTCTCCATTTGGGGCTGGCATGACTTTAACACCTAATATTTGCTTTTCCTCATTTTAACAAAGAGCTCAGTGCCTTCCCCAAGTATCCCTATCTGGGTTATTCAATCCTTTCTGCAGAAAGGAAGAGAAAGGAATGTGGGGGAAGGCTGAAGTATGCTCTGCTTTAACTGAAGCCTAGGGCCTGGCAAGAGACATCCTACCTCTAAAATTATCTTTGACCATGGGAAGTTGAGGGGATTAAATAAGATATACAACGCTTCTATATAATGCCTGGAATATAGTAACAAATCAATAAAAGGTTATAAATACCCAGAAGAAATTAGTTTATCAAAAACTTTTCAGGGGCTGGACAACTTTCCCTAAGGAAGGATCATGTAGTCCTCAACAAGTCCTATTTTAGAAACAAGAAAGTTGTAGATCAAAGCAACTTGCCCAAAGTCACTAAGCAAGTGATCACGCATACGTGTGTGATCCGACCCTCCCTTCATTTCCACTGCATCACATGGCCGTCTACAGAAGGGCTCACAGGCCTGACCCCAGCAAGGGGAAGCAGGTCCTCCCAGGCCCTTGTGCCCCAAGGCTCTGCTAAGCCAGCATATGGTCAGGATAGTTAACAGTGCAGAGGAAGCAGTATGGTATGGACACTAAGTGGCCTAAGAAGCTCCTAATGAGGTCTCAGCATTTGATTCTTCCCATTAAGTTGTTTTTCTTTTCCCCACAGCAAAATAAATCACGTTTTAGCCTCTAACTGGGTCTAGCCCTAAGGAAAAGTAGATGATGAATAAAGTTTACACGGGGGCTGGGTGCAGTGGCTCGCGCCTGTAATCTCAGCACTTTGGGAAGCCGAGGCAGACAGATCATTTGAGGTCAGGGGTTCCAAGACCATCCTAGTCAACATGGTGAAACCCTGTCTCTACAAAAATATAAAAATTAGCCGGGTGTGGTGGTGCACGCCTGTAATCCCAGCTACTCAGAAGGCTGAGGCAGAAGAATTGCTTGAACCCAGGAGGCAGAGGCTACAGTGAGCCGAGATCGTGCCATTGCACTCCAGCCTGAGTGACAGAGCAAGATTCTGTCTAAAAATAATAATAATAATAAAATTAAATTAAAAATTAAAAATAAAGTATACACAGATTGTTTACATGGCTTCTTTTTTGCAAACAAGTATCTGTGAATTAAACGGAGAGTGTTTAGACTGGGTAAGCATTCCAATTTGGAGTTTAAAGACTTTCCTACTTTCTCTTAAAGGATCATAGTGTTCCAGAATAAATATGAAAAGTGCAGTCTTTGAAAACATTCCCTCCCATGAAGGAAAGTAAGTGAAGGCAAGTTGCAGGTTTCTCCTCCCAAACACACTAACACATAATTTACACACTGGACTAAGCAAGCAGCAGACATTTAGAGAGAATCCAAGAATGCACCTCTTTCTCTTGCTTGGGCACTGCTGCTGCTTTGGTCAAAAGGCCGAGGGGAGCAGAAGTGAAAGGACTCTGGGCTCCAGGCAGGGCAGACCTAGCAGTTGCTCAGCTAGCAAGACCAAGCTCTTGGGTCATTTCAGTGGCCTCTTCCATCTCTCAAAGGTTTCTGCCTTCCCATACCCTCTCTAGTAGGGTTTAGCTTCCCTACCCTGAGGCAAAACAGCTGCTCTCTTCTCCAACCTATCCCCCCTCCCACCCCGAGCCTGGGAAGGAATAATTTGTTTTTCTGTGTATTAATCACCTGAAAGCAGATGGGAGCTAATCAGAACTCCATTCTGAACAGTGTTTGGCCAGGAGTGTTAAATAATGGGTACATTCCCAGTGTTTTTTAAACTTCAGGAAATTGATTTAGGACACAGCTGGCATTTTAAAAACTAAAATCCAGCGGAAGAAAACAGAAGTTACCAGAACACACTACATCATGACTCCACACACACATCCCTCTGTAAGAAAAGTTCCACAAAGCAATGCTTACCCTTCTTATAGTAGGTATATATAGGTGTGAAGTCAGGAGTGAATGACGAGGCCATGTAAATTTAGTTGGAACACAGGCTTTATGAGGTGTAAAGGAGGGAAAGGAAGTGGGGAGTTAGGTTCGGAGAGGATTATGGAATGCCTAGCATGTCAAATCAAAGAATTGGGCTTTATTCTCTTAAGCCATGGAAAACCACCAGAAAGTTTTAAGGGCAGAGAGGAATGGATGGTGAAACTAGTTTTTTAAAATATGGAGAAAGACCTGGAGAGGGAAGAGATTAAAAGTAGAGTGAAGTTAGGAGGCTGTTAAATAGTCTAAGAAACGATAGGGGGTGAACCAGAGTAATGGGGATGGAGATTTATAAAGATTAGGCTGGGTGCAGTGGCTCACATCTGTAATCCCAGTGCTTTGGCAGACCAAGGTGGGAGGATCACTTGAGGCCAAGAGTTCGAGACCAGCCTAGGCAACATGGCGAGACCCTGTCTCTACAAAAAATTTTGACAAAATTAGCTGGGTGCAGTGGTGCACCCCTCTAGTCCCAGCTAGTTGGGAGGCTGGGGTAAGAGGTTCACTTGAGCCCAGGAGTTCAAGTGAACTTACTGCAGTAAGCTACGATCGTGCCACTGTACTCCAGCCTAGGTGATGGAGCAAGACCCTGTCTCTGAAAAACAACAATAAAAAATTATAATAAAATTAAAAGATTTAGGATGTAGAAATGCCAGAACTTGGTGGCCATGTAGAGACAGGAGATAAAGAATGGCATAAAAATGATGCCCAGCTAAATGCAATGTTGTATCTTGGATTATATCCTAGAACAGAAGAAAATTAGTGGAAAAACTGGTAAAATCTGAATAAAGCCTGGAGCTTAGTAATACTAATACACCAACCAATGTTGGTTTCTCAGTTTTGACAAACATACTGTGGTATATAGAAGATGTTAACATTACAGAAACTGAATAAGGGGTATAAGGACACCATATTATCTTTGCAACTTTTCTGTAAAACCAAATTTATTCCAAAATAAAACATTTATTAAAAATAAATGATGCCTGGGTTTCTGACTTGGGCACTTGGGAAACCAGGTAGCTCTAATTCTCTAAGACAGAATGTCATAGAGGCGGTTTGGAGAGGGGCAGATGGTAAGGCTCAGCTTTAGACATACTGAGTTCGATGTCCCTAAATCTGGAGGGTGAGCTATCTAGGAATGAGTTGATTTGGAGCTCAGGAAAGAGATCCAGATTGGCAAAAAAACACTGAGAGTCAGGATGGGTTTGCAGGCTTGCCTGAGATTGCCCTGGGGACACTTACATTCAAAGGCAGAGAACCGTATGTCATCCCTGGTGAGGCCTGAATGCAGAATAACAAGTTTACCAATCATTATACACTTACTGAGCACTTACCACATGCCAAGCCCTGAACTAAATGTTTACCTATATTACTTCATGGAATTCTCATATCTACCACATAGAATAGGTGCTATTTCAGTCATTGTACAGATGGGAAAATCATGTAGCAGGATAGTCTGTGCTTTAGTAGCAGCACTCCACTGGGTAGGGCGTCAGAATCATCTGTGGCGCTTTTTTTTTTTTTTTTTTTTTTTTTTTGAGACAGAGTCTTGCTCTGTCAGCCAGGCTGGAGTGCAGTGGCATGATCTCGGCTCACTGCAACCTCCCTCTCCCGGGCTCAAGCAATTCTCCTGCCTCAGCCTCCCAAGTAGTTGGGTTTACAGGCGTGTGCCACCACGCCTGGCTAATTGTTATATATTTTTTTAGTAGAGATGGGGTTTCACCATGTTGGCCAGGCTGGTCTTGAACTCCTGACCTCAGGTGATCCGCCCGCCTCGGCGGGCGGCCAAAGTGCTGGGATTACAGGCATGAGCCACCGCACCCGGCCAACCTGTGGCACTTTTAAAATAGATGCCTTACACTCAGGAATCTAGCTAAAAGCTCAAACCTATGCATATTCATGGTGGTGTTGGAGGTTGAATCAACTGTAGTGACGTGAATCATCTCTTTTCTCCCATTTACTCAATGATTAGCTTTCTTCTTATGGTGTAAGGCATTTATCATTGGCGTATTAAATAGTGTATAAGACACCCAAATCTAATGTTAACCCAATACTTTAATATGAACGTTATGATCAGTAGGTAGTATCTTAGATGATACATTTAATCACAGACAAAACAAAAACCTATCTGTATATGATATTAAGAGGAGCACAGAATTGGATAAAGTAGGGTTTATCTTAGTCGGAGACCAAATGGTTTTGATATGTGGTTCCTAGACCAGCAGCATCAGTAGCAACTGGAAATGTGAGATGAACATTCTGAAACACACATCTGGTCAAGAACCACTGTTTTAATAGCTTTAACCACAAAACATCCACATTGTTCCCTAAAGTTATGCTAAGAGTAAAACGAGTAACTGGTTAACTGCCCATGATACATCAATTTAATGGAAAATTATGCAACTGTCAACAAGAATAAGCATATCTATATGTATTGATATAAAACAATCTCTAATATAGTGTTAAGTGAAATAAGCAATATGCAGAACTTAAAAATACTTTTTAGCCGGGCACGGTGGCTCACGCCTGTAATCCCAGCACTGGGAAGCCAAGGCAGGCAGACTGCTTGAGCCCAGGAGTTCAAGACCAACCTGAATGACATGGTGAGACCCTGTCTCTATGAAAAACACAAAAACTAGCTGGGCATTGGTGGTGTGCGCCTGTAATCCTAGCTACTCAGGAGGCTGAGATGGGAGGATCACTTGGGCCCGGGAGGCGGAGGTTGCAGTGAGCCAAGATTACGCCACAGCACTCCAGCCTGGGCTAGAGTGAGACCCTGTCTCTAAATAAATAAATAAATCTAAAAAATTTAAAGGGGGCATGTGTCTGTATGTATGTATACTTTACACAGTAACAGAATATCTCTTAAAAAACATAAGAAATTAGTAGCTGAAGTTTCCTCCAGGAAGGGAAGCAGGAAGCAGATGACTGGATTATAGGGATGGAAGAAACATTTTTCCTTCTTTTTTTGAGACGGAGTCTCACTCTGTTGCCAGGCTGGAGTACAGTGGCGCGATCTAGGCTCACTGCAACCTCTGCCTCCCGGGTTCGACCGATTCTCCTGTCTCAGCCTCCCCAGTAGCTGGGACTAGGGGTGCGTGCCACCACGCCCAGCTAATTTTTGTATTTTTAGTAGAGACGGGGTTTTACCATGTTGGTCAGGATGGTCTCGCTCTCTTGACCTCGTGATCCGCCCGCCTCGGCCTCCCAAAGTGCTGGGATTACAGGTATGAGCCACCACACCCAGCTCTGGAAGAAATATTTTTCACTACATGTTTTTGTACTGTTTGCATGTTACATTAAGTGCATGTATTATTAATTCAGGTTAATTAATTTAAAAATTTAAGTTTAAGGGCAAAAAGAACCACTACTTTAGAGAGAATGGAGATACTAGCAAGTAAAATATATGAAAGAGCTAGTTGGAAAGGAAGCCAAGCATGGAGTAGAACGTGGGGCCGTCAGCTGCTAAAGGGTACTGAGCGTTAATGGAGGGCGGAGCAGGAAGAAAAGTCAGACCTGGCAAAAAGATCATCTTCCCTCCATATCCTTTCTGAGGTAATATTAGGTAAACTGAGACCTGGACCAGAGGGCTCAATTATATCCATAGTCACCTTTATTCTGAATTAACCATTTATCAAGAGTGCGCCTGAAAAGAGTAGAAAAAAATAAAGGAGCCCATCAAAAAAAAGTTCCCTGGCAAGTGGGAGGGAGGACATGATGTTAGGAGCCCTGTTTGGGGAAGGAAATGTTATCCAGGTCATGGATGCCATTTTTGTCAATGATTCGAACACTGAAGGTTGGCAGATTCAGGATGAAGCGTTTCTGGAGCTGCAGAGAGACATGGAGGAAATCAGTCAACAAATGATTACTAAGTTCTATGTGCCAGGCTCTGTTCTAGACACTGGGGATACAAGCAAACAAAAATCCCTGCTTTTGTGGAACTGATATTCTACTGGAGGCAGTTGGCAGTAGGGCACTAGTACTCTAGTGGTAGAGGGTACCCAAACAGCAGCTGGAGGATGACTGGGAGGCAGGGAGGCTGAACTGGGAGGTGCAACTAAGAGCCTGTCTCTGGTCAGTCAGCTGACGAAAGAATGAGACAATCCAGTGTTCTGTTCCCCATAGTCTGTTACCCATCAGTCTGGTAAACACAGACGTCTCTCTTAAAATGTCTCAAGATAATAAGCTAACAAAGAGTGATTGTCCTCAGAACGAAGCAGAGGCCAGGAGCTGTGGCTCAGGCCTGTAATTGGGAGGTTGAGGTGGAAGAATATCTTGAGCCCAGGAGTTCAAGACCAGCCTAGGTAACATAGCAAGACCCCATCTCTTAAAAATAAAATGAGCTGGGCATGGTGGTGCCTGTCTGTAGTCTCAGCTACTTGGGAGGATCGCTTGAGTTCCAGAAATCCAGGCTGCAGTGAGCTATGATGGTGCCACTGCACTCCACTCCAGCCTGGGCAACAAAGTGAGATCCATCTCTTAAAAAAAAAAAAAAAAAGCGGGGGGTGGGGTGGGCACTGTGGACTGAAAACAAAAGGTTTGTGTAAGAAGCAAACTGACATTACTCCCAACGCTCCTGCTCTTATCTTCCTACTCTCTTACTAAACCACGAGGTCAAGTTCATCCTTAAGCCACAGGAACAGTAAAAGAATGAAAAAAACTAATGTGGCTGGTTTTTGACCTCCCCATTCCCCCATTCTCCATCTATACCCAAAGCCTTAGACTCTAAGGAGTAGTGTTAGAAAGGGTGTGTTCTGTAATCCTGTCCTCGCAAGCCAAAGTCTACTCTCCCCTTCTGCCCAAAGCTTCCTAGTTGCTTTCTATGGTCCTCCTGAATTCTTAGGGGAGGCTTTTTCTCACAGATTACAAAGACTCGAGCACTATTAAGGGAGCAGGCAGTATGGCAATTACAGGTGGCACAAGAACAGAGCAGGTATAAAGTCTAGGGCAGGGATGGGCGTGGTGGCTCATGCCTGTAATCCCAGCACTTTGGGAGGCCGAGGCAGGCGGATCACCTGAGGTCAGGAGTTCAAGACCAGCCTGGCCAACATGGTGAAACCCTGTCTCTACTAAAAATACAAAAAACTAGCCGGGCATGGTGGTGGGCAACTGTAATCCCAGCTACTCGGGAGGCTAAGGCAAGAGAATTGCTTGAACCCAGAGGCGGAGGTTGCAGTGAGCTGAAATCGTGCCACTGCACTCCAGCCTGGGCAACAAAAGCGAAACTCCGTCTCAAATAAAAAAATAAAGTCTAGAGCAGAAGTTCTTCAAGTACAGCCTCAGTTACCACCTGTAGGAAAATCACCTGGGACTGCCAGTTAAAGCAGAGCTTCCCAGTTTGTACCTCAGAACAGTGGACTCAGAATTGAGGGTTGGGGCAGAGATGGCAATCTGTTTAACAGGTTTCCCAGGTGATACTTACACACACTAAAATTTGAGAACCACTGGTTTGGATAAACCAGAAAGAATTAAATTATAAAACTGACATTGAGGAGGTAATCTGTGAGAGAAAAGTGAGCTTGCTATCCACACCAAACTCTATCCCTGGTAGCAACTTCACATCTGGTTAGTGGGTATGTATTACACCTTCTGGCAAAAATCTGAAAAAATATAACTGAGGAACAGGAACAACACTGGCAAACAGAGAGACAAACATTCCTTTCAGGATCCTATGGGAACTACTCACCTCCTCCAGACATTTCCTAAGGAGTTCCACTGCCCTCTCACGTGAGATAGCTGAAAGAGAACACAGAGACCAAATACTTCCGGTGCTGTCATTATATCCAACTCTCAGAAGCTTTTGATTAAGTTCCAAATCTGGCTTCTTCAGGTCTCAGTGCCACACAAACGTAAAAGGCAAAAAATGCTTTGCCTTCTAGCCTGCAATCAACTTACTCCACATGCAGCTGGGGGGGCCCCAGACCCAGTGCTCCAGCAGCTATAAGCCATTGCAAATTGATTTGCTACAGTAAAGGGTGAGCATGAAGGAATTCTGCCTCCCCTGGCCAGGGCCCACCTCTGAAGAAGTCCAGCAGCCTGTCTCTCTTTATCATAACCCACCCCTTTCACTCCCCCTTAGTCCAGGGTTTGAATCAATTCCATCTGCCCCAGTCAGCTGCAAATCAGGGAAAGAGACGATGGGGTCAGAATTTCAGCCTTGTTTTCCCAGCTGGGTCTCTGTTTAACAATGGGAAGAGAATTCATAGGATGGGGCTGAGACTCTCCCCAAATAGGAGCCAAAGGAACTGTCTGTGGGCGTGGCAAACTGGGACGACATGTTATGCACTCAGGCTTCAGGGGTGGCTAGTAGTTATTTTGGTGGGCAAATCAGCTGTATTACTGACAGATGCCAAATCAAGAAAGTCACTGGGAGGCCAGGCTAATTCTTTTCAGGATGTGGCCTGGAGCTCTAGCGTGGCTAAGGTTGAGCGAGAGGGCAGCACCAAAAAAGAATGAACATGCCAGATTCTTACGATACTGACAGTGAAGAATGGAATGTAAGGAGAGAAGTGGTTATCTGTGCTTCATCTATAGTCTGTAAAAGCTAAGAATTCCAAAGTACCCACTGCCCACAGAGGCTAAAGTCGAGGTTAGGACTGGGGTCAGAAGATGGAACTTAGCACAAAAGCATCCCTGTGTCTAGGAAGTCCTAACCAGAGCACTTAGGCAAGGGGAGGAAATAGAGTACCCCAATTGGAAAGCAGGAAGTCAAATGTCCCTATTTGCAGATGACATGATCTTCTATATAGAAAAACCTAAAGACCCCACCAGAAAACTCTCACATCTGATAAATGAATTCCATAAAGTTGCAGGATACAAAATTAATATACAAAAATCAGTATTTCTATACACAAACTAGCTGAAAAAGAAATCAAGAAGGCAATCCCATTTACAATAGACACAAAAATCAAAGAAAATAAAATACCTAGGAATAAATTTAACCAAGGAGATGAAAGACCTCTATAACGAAAACTATAAAACACTGATGAAATAAGCTGAAGAGGATACAAGCGAATGGAAATACATCTCATGCTCATGGATCAGAAGAATTAATATTATGAAGATGACAACACTACCCAAAGAAATTTATATATTCAATGCAATCCCTATCAAAATGCCAATGACATGCCTCACAGAATTATGGAAAAAAATCCTAAGATTTGTAAGGAACCACAAAAGACTCTGAATAGCTAAAGCAATCCTGAACAAAAAGAACAAATCTGGTAGTTGATACCACTACCAGACTTCAAAATATATCACAAAGTTGTAGTAACCAAAACAGTATGCTACTGGCATAAAAATAGACACATAGACCAATTAAACAGAATAGAGAAATTAAGAAATTAAGCCACATATCTACATTTGACTTTTGATGAAGGTACCAAGAACACTCATTGGGGAAAGGACAGTCTGTCTCTTCAATAAATGGTGCTAGAAAAACTGGATATCCATACACAGAAGAATGAAACCAGACCCTCACCTCTTACCCTATACAAAATTCAACTCAAAATGGATCAAAGACCTCAATTTAAGACCAGAAACTAGAAGAAAACACAGGGAAAAAGCCTCAGGACACTGATCTGGAAAAAGATTTTATGAATAATCTCATGAACACAGGCAACAAAAGCAAAAATAAACAAACAGGATTACATCAAACTAAAATGCTTCTGCACAGCAAAGGAAACAAGAGTGAAAAGGCAACCTACAGAATGGGAGAAAATACATGCAAACTACTCATCCAACAGGGAGTTAATATCCAGAAAATATAAGGAACCGAAATATCTCAATAGAGAACAAAAATTCATTAAAAAATGGGCATATCATCTCAACAGACATTTCAAAAGACATACAAATGGCCAACAAATATATGGAAAAAATTCTCAACATCACTAATCATCACAGAAATGCAAATCAAAACCACAATGAGGTAACACCTCATCCCAGTTAGGAATAGCTATTATCAAAAAGACAAAAAACAACAAATGCTGGCAAGGATGTAGAGAAAAGGAAATTCTTTATACACTGTTGGTAGGAATGCAAACTAGTATAGCCACTAGGGAGGACAGTATGGCGGTCCCTCAAAAAACTACAAATAGAACTACCATATGATCTGGCAATCCCACTACTGGGAATTTATCCAAAAGAAAGGAAATCATTATATTGGATGAAATCATTATATCACTGGGGAAATATTGCACCCCAGTGTTTACTGCAACACTATTCACAATAGCCAAGATATGGAACCAACCTAGGTGTCCGAGAACAGATCAATGGATAAAGAAAATGTGGTATATATACACCATGAAATACTATTCATCCATAAAAAAGGAAATACTGTCATTCAACATGAATGGAACTGGACGGTATTCTGCTAAGTGAAATAAGCCAAGAACAAAGTTAAAACACTGCACGTTCTCACTCATATGTAGAAGCTAAAAAAGCTGATCTCATAGAAGTAAAAAGTAGAATAGAGGATACTAGAGGCTGAGAAATCCTCTGTAAGGGATGGGGGACATTTGTTAAAAGATACGAAATTGGCAGGACACGGTGGCTCACGCCTGTAATCCCAACACTTTGGGAGGGCAAGGCGGGTGGATCACTTGAAGTCAGGAGTTCTGGACCAGCCTGGCCAACATGGTGAAACCCCATCTCTACAAAAAATACAAAAACTAGCCAGGCGTGGTGGCACACGCCTGTAATCCCATCTACTTGGGAGGCTGAGGCACGAGAATTGCTTGAACCTGGGAGGCGGAGGTTGCTGTGAGCCGAGATCACTCCACTGCACTCCAGCCTGGGCGACAGAGGGAGACTCTGCCTCAAAAAAAAAAAAAAGATAGAAAATTATGGATAGACAGAGGAATAAGTTCTATTGTTCTATACCACTGTAAAATTACTATGGCTAACAATATATAGTTTCAAATAGCTAGAAGGAGGATACTAAATGTTCCCAACACAAAATGATAAATGTTTGAGATGATCAATATACTAACTACCATGATCTGTTTACATTACATGTATTGAAACATCATGATGTACTCTATGAATATATGTACAATTATTATTTGTCAATTAAAAAATAAAATTTTAAAAAAGCATCCCTGTATCTGAAGTTTTGCCAAACTGACGCTTTACGGACAAGTAGAGCGACGGCTTTTTCTTTCAAGAGGAGGCAGCCATTAGGTGACAACCAAGGGAAGGCTCAGATTTGTAGCCTTAGAAAGCTTTGATGTTTAAGCAAAGAAACCTTCAGTTGTCATGCTGGGGACCTGTTCATCCTTGCAAGTTCCAAACAAATATACAGCTACTTGCTTTACCCACTCATTCTTTACTGAGATGCCAAAAATCTAGGCAAAGCAAAATAAGTGAAAAAACTTGAACTCTTAGAAATGAAGGATTTTAGAACCCAATAAAAATGTTTTATTCACTGTGACATCTATTCCAATCCTCCTTCAAAACAAAACCCAGCTCTAGAGATATGTACTATCTCATTTTGAATGGCAAAAAATAGAACTTACATCAGCTTTTGGAAGACCCTACTGACTGACAGAAGAGTGCAGCTTCCAGAGGGGAACCTGGTTATGCTTCTTAGGATCCATCCTATTCAAGCCCTGGCCACCCAACTCCAAGAGTGGACAAACCTGGGAAGCAGCTGAGGGCAGGGCTCTGCCACTGCTCCCTCCCTAGAGTATTAATACTTACTCGGTGTGTAGTATCGGTCGAGGATACTGAGAGTCAGGAAGGCACCATAGCCGTGGGCTGCAAAAGGGGCCTTGGCCAAGGCTGCCAGGTAGTCCATGTAATACAGCGCTGGCCCTTCATGCTCATCATAGCCAGCCAGGAGGAGGTTCACATGATATGGGGTCTGCAAAGAAAAGATATGGCAAAGTGATAACTAAAGCAGAACACCAACATCTCTTCCCATGGCAAATGAGAATATTCTGACTCTTCATGAGAAAGAAAATATTAGCAGCAACTGAGTAAATCACAATGAAAGTAAAAATGTAGGGAAATCTAGAGGACCTGGAGTATGGTAACAGGTCAAGGGACGTCAGCTTGTTCTCTTTGAAAGGAAGGGCATTTGGAGCACTTTAAGGTATATGAAAAAGCTGCCATCTTCTTAAAGTCTATGGATGAGAACCTGTATAAAAGCACTTCTTCAAAAAGTATTTGATAGCAAAACAGAGTGACTATAGTTAATAATAGCTTAACTGTATATTTTAAAATAACTAAAAGAGTATAATTGGGTTGTCTGTCACACAAAGGAGAAATGATTGAGGTGAGAGATACCCCATTTACCCTGATGTGATTATTACACATTGTATGCCTGTATCAAAATATCCCATATACCCAATATATATATACACACATACGATGAACGCACAAAAATTTAAAATAAAAAAAAATTTTGCAAGCACTGCAAAGGCAAAGCATAGGTGCTCTTTTGTCATTCCTAATTGTTGAAACCAACGAACAATTCTGAGAATGCCAGGCCACTGACTGAAAAAAGCAGATGCTCCAACCACATCAAATGAAATAAACAAACTCAGTCTGGGCATCTGGACCAATCCCAAATGGTAAACTGCATGCCCACTACTAAAGAAACAACTTATAGCTGGGCACAGTAGCTCACAGGTATAATCTCAGCACTTTGGGAAGCTGAGGTGGGAGGCTTGCTTGAGCCCAGGAGTTTCAGACCAGCCTAGGTAACACAGTGGGACTTGGTTTCTACAAAAAAACTAAAAAATTAGCCGGGCATGATGGCGCGCACCTGTGGTCCCAGCTACTCAGGAGGCTAAGGTGGGAGGATCACTTGAACCAAGGAGGTCAGGGCTACCATGAGCCATGACTGTGCCACTGAACTCCAGCCTGGGTTCAAAAAAAAAGAGAAAGAGAGAGAAAAGAAACAACTCATGAGGTAGGGAGGGATAGTAAGTCTCTTTCTTTGTTGTTGTTTTTTTGTTTTTTTGAGACGGAGTCTGGCTCTTGTCCCCCAGGCTGGAGAGCAATGGTGCGATCTTGGCTCACCGCAACCTCTACCTCCCAGGTTCAAGCGATTCTCCTGCCTCAGCCTCCCAAGTAGCTGGGATGACAGGCGCCCTCCACCACACCCGGCTAATTTTCGTATTTTTAGTAGAGACAGGGCTTCATCATGTTGGCCAGGTTGGTCTCGAACTCCTGACCTCGTGATCCGCCCGCCTCGGCCTCCCAAAGTGCTGGGATTACAGGCGTGAGCCACTGCGCCCGGCCATAAGTCTCAAATATTTAAATCAAATCACCAGACTTAACTGAAAAGTAATTTTGAGACAAATAAAAAGCAACAAAAAATAATTATAACTTGGATTTATAGGTATCCTTTCTTTGTATTACCTGCAAATCTAAAAACATAAGTTTTATAGAGAACCATGACTGAGTCTGCGTTGCTCTTCATCTCCAAATGGATGATTTTTTTTTTCTACACCAGCTGCGCCATTTACCATGTTAAATTCAGTCTGTCTATGCCCCCAGGCATCAGGGGTGGGACTTCCATTTTATATGGCTTTCTTTTTCTCTGCAGGATGTGTTTCTCCTCTTGCCTTTGCTTCAGCGGGTAGTAAGCAGGCCTTGCCCATGGATATGTCCCCATCCCTAAATTTGTCTATGTATTTAATTAAACGCACAGTAAGTGAGACACCTCATTATGAAGCATGAAGTGTAATAGCTAATGGTCCTAAAAGTGGCATTTAACATTCTTTGAACACTGATTAACACGGCCACTTGGCAGCCTTAAAAAACTCATGGTTTTTGCTTTTTTTGGGGGGAGGGGTTGGGAGGGGAGTAACAGGCTTTTGTTCTGTCGCCCAGGCTGGAGTGCAGTGGTGCAATCATAGCTCGCTGCAGCCTCAAACTCCTAGGCTCAAGTGAATTTCCCACCTCAGCCTCCTGAGCAGCTACGACTATAGGCACCTACCACCATGCCCTGCTGATTTATTATTATTTTTTTAAGAGATGAAGTCTTGGCCGGGCACGGTGGCTCATGCCTGTAATCCCAGCACTTTGGGAGGCCGAGGCGGGCAGATTACTTGAGGTTAGGAGTTTGAGACCAGCCTGGCCAACATGGTGAAATATTGTCTCTACGAAAAATACAAAAATTAGCCATGCGTGGTGGCACGAGCCTATAATCCCAGCTACTTGGGAGGCTGAGGCATGAGAATCGCCTGAACCTGGGAGGCAGAGGCTGCAGTGAGCCGAGATAGTGCTACTGCACCACTCCAGCCTGGGCAATAGAGCAAGACTCTATCTCCAAAAAAAAAAGGAGAGAGAGAGAGAGAGAGATGGGGTCTCACTATGTTGCCCAGGCTGGCCTTCAACTTCTAGGCTCAAGTAATCCTTCCACCTTGGCCTCCCAAAGTGCTGGGATGACAGTCTTGAGCCACCGTGCCTAGCATGAAACTCATATTATATACTTACTTGGAATTCTAAGCCAGCTGTGCTAAGTAGAAAGGGTTCCTAACATCGCCTGGAGATTACAGAGTAGTCCTCACCTCCAAATAAGTTTCTGTTTTAGTGATAGGACAGTGGGTAGTCCCAGAGAGAAATAAGTTGACCAGCAGTCAAGACTTCTGAGAAAATAATTATCTGCCTATTGTATTTCCCAATGAGTAGCGTGCGGCACTCTGCCAAGCTCTGGAATTCTCTGTGCATTCTGAGTACCTTCTTAGTAAAGCTGACCTTAGGCAAAAAACTTAACCCCTATGAGCTTCTGGGTTTTTTTTTTTTTAACATGTAAAACTGGGTTAATTAATCTTTCTCCTTTCTATCTTCTAGGAAATATAATGAGAAAAAATAATAACGGTAAAACAACCCAAACTCTGGAAGAAAAGATGCTACCAAAATTCCTACTACATAACTACATCCCAGTCTCTTTTTGAAAGCTTATCACTTTAAACAACAACAAACCTGCTTAAATTAGCTACAGATTTTAAAAATGCTATTAGTTATATATAAGTGTGAAAACAGTACTGCAAAATCTGGCAGACATAGAATACCTTGGTGTTCTTACAGTTAAAATTAGAAGAGAGAAAGAGGGAGGAAAAGAGGCAGAATAGCAAAGAGAAACTGGTATCCCTCCCCAAGAGAATTAATAATACAGTCTTTTACCTATCACAAAGTAAGTTAAATCTTTTTGCTAAGAGGATAATCTCTACTCTTCTCTACTAACTAGCCAGAACACTCACTGTATACTTAGCCAAGACAATTTCATCAAGTTGCAATGGTATATTAAGTATTCCCCCAGATACTCAAAGAGGCCTTGTTAGAACCCAGATGTTTTGTCTTCAATGAAGATCTTGTCCATACTATGAGATTAAATTGTTTAGAACAATAAATGTTATTTAAAATCCACTACCAGAAAATTTTAGATGAAATAGGATGTCAACAGAATTTCAGAAGCAAACTCCATCACTTAATTGGTCTATATAGTATCATTTACTCATGCTTAGGCATCTGACGCACACATATACTTACCAAAGTTGGTATTCAGAAGCTACAACTCCTGGTATTGAAGATAACTCACAAATTATTGTGTGACTTTGAATTACCAACTTTTGCATGTGTGAGATGCTTAAGCATAAATAAATGGTGTTATCTAGACTAATTAAATCAATACATCTGTGCAACAACTTGCAGTTTGTAAAATTCTTCTGACAATGCTCCACCAAAGATCTCTGGCTTGGCTGAGCACAGTGGCCCATGCCTGTAATCCCGCACTTTGGGAGGCCAAGGTGAGAGGACTGCTTGAGCCTAGGAGTTCAAGACCAGTGTAGGCAAGATGGCAAGACCCTGTCTCTATGGGAAAAAAAAAAAAAAATCTAGGTTAGGGGGCTACTTGGAAGGCTGAGGCAGGAGGATCCTTAAGCCCCGGCATACAGTGAACTATGATCCCCCCACTGTACTACAGACTGACTAGCAACAGAGTAAGACCCTATTTCTACCAAATAAAAAGAAAAGTCACTAAACAAATGTGAGAAAGCAATAAGTGCTACTTCTGAGAAGTGGTTCAAGTTTAAGTCAACTGCCAGCATCTCCATGAATGTACATCTATTGTTGCTTTTTGCTAGGCTTGGGTCCTTCTCTTTCTACCTCCCTCTAGACACAGGGTGCTAAGTAAAGAAAAGCTTAGGATACAGGCCAGGCATTCAGAACTGAACAAAGAGGAGACCAATAGCATAAATAAATAAGAAAGAGTTGGGCTGTGACTTTAGAAAAGTTAGTCATTTAATCTCTCTGAATTTTAATTTCTCATTTAAAACATGGGATGATCCCTACTACAAAAGGGTTGCTGCAGTGAGGATTCCAAAAGATAATGCATGTGGATAATAAGTGTAATGCCCGAAACAGTAAAGACTCTATAAACAATGCAAGTACTCAGGAGAAGCCCAACTACTTCTGGCACTGAGATACGAGGGAAATTCCTATGTGTCTTCATAAAGGGATATGGAAGGATGTTAGTGCCCAGCACAGTGCCTGACACATGGTAGAAAAGCAGTCAGTAAATGAGTTTCCTCCTCTCTCATTCCTGGGACTCTTTCCAGGGGCCCTAGGGTAATGGTGTTCAGTGTCACAAGCATTTGTACTAGACACGTAGAGCATATCTACTTCATGGTCAACCCTCCCTAACCATGTCATTTCTTCCCTTCCAAATGTGTCTACTCTGAGTGGTAAAGCTACTTTCTAGACAGTTTTTCATCAGTTCCCTTAGTTCCCCATGATGTTACATACTTAAGGATTTGCCTAATTATCTGGGGAAATGAAAACATTAATCAATAATGAGAGCACTGCCAGTGATCCTCTTGACAAAGAATCTCTTACAAAGTAATCCTTCGCAAAGATTACCAAGAATCTTTTAAAATGAAATCTCTATTCTGTACATGATATAATCTAGCCTTTGGTTGTCTCCACTATTCTAATTGTTTAGATAGTAAGTCTAAGTAGTAAGACAAAGTTTTGAGGTCCCCAAGGGGAAGAACTGCAACATACAAGACTAGGCTTCTTCCACACCATAAGCTAAGACTGAACATTATATATAGTATTGAATTAACCTAAATATCCAAACATTCATCCAAGTGAACCCAAACATTTAGCTAAGATACTCTCTACCCAAAGGTCTTGGCAATCACCATCAATGGTCTGCAATGCAAACACCAACATGTTTAAAGTTGTGTCTAATTGATATACAAAGAAAAAATTTTAAATGAACCAGCCTGGGAATTCAGAATGAACTTCAGCTTCTAGCATGAGGTACCACCAAAATTTTGCCTCTTAATAGAAGGCAGTGAGGGTGGGGTGAGGACGAAACTAGACAAATGTATCTTTTCCTCCTTTAATGAGTACATGAGTTTATTTTCACAGTGAAGTGCATTTAGGTCATTTTGAGATTTCTTCATCTGTATAATAAGGATAATAAAAGTACCCATCATTATAAGGTTGTGGTAAGGTTTAGATAAATACATGTAAAGTGCTCAGTGCAATGCCTGATATATTGTAATAATGCAGATTGACTATTACCACAACACTACCACCACCACTTTTAGGATTTGACTGCATTATCAACAGATTTGACTAGATAGTAAGATCAAGAAGTGGGCTACAGAGAGCCAATAAAATTGTCCAACTTTTGTTGGTTACTAAAAGATCAAATTTAAGAAGACAGGGGAATTGGCTGATAAGCACATCTCTTATGTACTTCTTTCCGAGACTGAAATAGACTTCTTAAAAACTTCTGAGCATCTGAGTCCCACAGAACTGAGCTCAGTGCCACTTTGGACTCTTCTACATTTGGGGGTGGCGAGTGTGCACTGCACACAGGCAAACTTTACTTAAGTTAGATTAAGTGTTCCCTTCCCTCCAACTCTTGTGCATATGACTCCTTGTATATTCCCTCTCTTATGAAAAAGAAACACTGTAGTAACTAAGAGCGTGAAATTCCATAAATTTTACAGCTAAAGAGAATGGTTGTGATAAATACACTGAAACAACAAAATCAGCGACAAGAGTCTGAGCGGTGACAAGCAGCGGTGTGACATCTGGCGGAAGCTAAAGTCACAGCAAGGGGGAGAGAGGTGGGCGTGAGGAAGCATCCTGCCAAGCGTGGACACAGAAAAAGAGAGGAATTGACAGTCTTCCTTTGGAGCCAGGCCAGCCTTTGCCACCTCTAATTGAATGGGACGACACTGCTATGAGTGAGGTGCTTTGGAGAATGGTGCAATTTCTTTTTTGATGTGTTGCACCTTGGAATGCTAAGCAGTGTGTGAGGTCAGTAATTTGGAAGAAGATGCAGAACCACCAATGAGACAAATGAGTTTGTCTAGAGATGAGTGTTTTCATAAACAGACTTCTAAATATACTAAACAGAGACTGGACTTTGAAAGGAACAGTACATCTGCTATTTCTTTTAGTCCAGGGGATTGTCAAAACTGCCTAAAATTCCATCTTTAGCACTGAGAGGATTTCATGAAAATGCAATTTACAGACTTAGATAGGATAGAAAACCTCAACTAGTTTACCCAGTATCCCTTTTACAAATGTGGGGACTAAACTTCAAAGAGGAAACAGTAACTTGCCCTAAACCACACAGGTAATTAGCATCAAGGGTCAGGTCCAGAATTCAGGCCTCCCAACTGCAAGTCCTACATGCTTTTCCAGGAAATCATGCTGCCTCCACAAAATGGAAATTAGTGTAAAAATATGATTTGGTATGTAAATGCAGTTTCACACTCATATATTTCAGAATGCACTATTTTGCATACTAGCATCTACTGCTCTCTATTTCACTTATCACATCTTTATATGACCAATAACATTTTAAGGATTTTGTTTGTTTATTTTGGGAGACAAGGTCTTGCTATTTTGCCCAAGCAAGTGCAGTGGCTATCCACAGGTGCAATCACAGCACACTATAGCCTCAAACTCCTGGGCTCAAGGGAATCCTACCTTAGCTTCCCAAGTAGCTGGGACTACAGGTGGGTGCCTCCATGTCTACCTAATATTTTAAGTTTTAAAACAGCAAGTTTAAAATATCATACAATTACGACTCCTCTATAGGATCTAAAACTATGTGGTAGTTCAATAAATACCCATGATGATAGATTACCAACACCTTAACTGCTTTGCCAATCCCCAATTTTTCAATTTCACTAATAAATAAAATGAATCAATTGTTATTTTCTTACACTAATGTTCTGAACTCTGGACTTTGTTTGCCATAACTAAAAAAATTCACTAGCTATCTTTTTTGGGTGGGTTTGGTGGTATAATTTTAAAATCTCAATTTCAATTTTGCTATTTTAATTAAAGAAGGACTTCATATGTGAATTGGAATCCACTATTTCAAACACCTAAAAAAATCTCAAAGATTTCAGCAACTTCCAATTATTGTGACCTAGTACCTTTCCTAGCTCTAAAAGACTATGGTTCTATGGATGGGGAAGCGGGTAGAGAACTACCTAAGCAATATGGAATCATTTATACCCTGACTTTTTTTTTGAGACAGAGTTTTGTTCTGTTGCCCAGGCTAGAGTACAGTGGCATGATCTCGGCTCACTGCAACCTCCACCTCCCGGGTTCAAGTGGTTTTCCTGCCTCAGCCTCTGGAGTAGCTGGTATAACAGGCGCACGCCACCACGCCAGGCTAATTTTGTATTTTTAGTAGAGACAGGGTTTCACCGTGTTGGCCTGGCTGGTCTCGAACTCCTGACCTCAAGTGATCCATCTACCTCGGCCTCCCAAAGTGCTGGGATTACCGGCATGACCCATCATGCCCGGCCTTGTACCCTGACTTTAATCCTCTTGGCTATATTCCTTTTTAAGGAAACCCATGTGTAGATTCAATCTCTTTTAGCTTTAAGTAAAAAATACACAGTTTATAAAAGCCTTCAACCAAATTCCATGAGTTCCCTGGGACTACAACATAGAATAATTATTAAATGGGCAGATGTCCCAACTAACTTCATTTCCACATTTGGAATGTGAATAAGTTCAATAAATGTTTATTTAGCATTTATTGTATGAGAAGCATCATGCGACATGATGAAGATGGGAGTCTGGATCTGGAAGGCACTCATAAGGTAGATGTGGATAGGAAGGACTCCAGATAGAGGAAACAGTATACGTGAAGACAAAGAAACAGAGGAATATGGAATGTCTGGATACTGGTGAACATGGGACACATACACCTGGAGAATTAGGTGACTTCAGCAGGAAGTAGGGAGAGAAACTGGGATGACACTGTCACTGGCCTCCTAAAGAATATTTACATTAGTATGTAAACCATACAGCAACCAGTGAACATTTGCCACTTCCATCCCTCTGCTGATCCAAGCCTTTTTTCATGACATAGCACATTGGTTAATTGGTGCCAAGGAACCCTGATGTCCCAGCCATTTTCCCTGCTTCTCTTAAATAGAAGACTTTTAGAAAGGAAATACAAAACAGATTGCCATTTTAGGATGGTAATTGACAGTTACATGAAAGATAGACCGGGATTAGGACTGAGAGGAAGGGCGGATGGTTAGAGGATCTACAATAGTCTACTCTAGACAGACGATGAGGACCAAACTAAGGAAAAAGTAGAGGGGGCGGAGAGAGAGGTATGAAATATGAGATATATTTAGAAGGTAGAAATGATGGAACTTCATAACAGTAGAAGAGGTGAGGGAGAAAGAAGAGTGAGGACTCTCAATAAGGGGGACAGTGGCAGTCCAACTGAAAAGAGCTCAATTTGGACCTAATGAGCTTAAGCACAGTTGTCCAAAGACAGATGGGAAGAGAAAATAGTGTATAACCCAGGTCATGAGACTGAATGAAGAGCCAGCCAGTGAAGAGTTTCATTCATATGAACACATACAGTCTCACACTCGCACATGGAAGAAAGTAAAGAAAATGATTACAACGGGACACTATGGCAAAGGTATACCTAAGTTGCCATAAGAAATTGAGGGTGACATATGTGGTGGGGGGTGGGGGAGCAAATACAGAAAAAACTTCCCTGATAAACGCTGAGTTTAACTGGAACTGAAGAGCGAGCCACGTTAGGATGTTGGTGCATTCAAGGGGGAAGACTAGCAAAGTGCTGGAATGACAAAAGCAGAGGTGCGAGAGAGAACCCAGGGCCGGTTAGGGTCCTGTTATCTACAGTTGCCACTCAGAGTGGAGAAGGTATGGAATTGGAAGTTGAAAACAATTTTCTCTTAATCTTGTGACGGAAAAAAAGTACAAATGTAAACTGATCAAAATCAGAATACTATAATGAGCTTCACAAACAAAAAGTTAAACACCTGACTTTCTTGTTCTTTCCTGTTCCAAATGCATTTATTTTTTGTAGCACTAAAAAACAAACTGGCCCACGTTTATAAATTCTCATACTATACTGGGAAATAAGGAGGCAAGTGTGCCTCAAACAAAGCAAACCTTTCACTTCCAGAGGACCAAGACAAAATAAAAGAAACACTGCTCTGAAAATGAGACTGTCTAAACAATTTTTTCCTTTTTCTTTTCCTTGCCTTAGGTCATTCTCCGAAAGTATATTTGGTATACCTGTTTGATGCTGGCAGATCCAAAATAAAAATATAAAAATTGTCTTTGTTTTCCTTTAATAACAATTAGCTCATGTTCAAATGTTTTTGCTTAATACACTGGTAAAAACTCATATAACGGTTGAGTTCTTGAACTTAAGCTCAGGAATGTTGCTGCATTTACAACCAATATTTTAAACTTTAAAAGAAAAACATCCTTTAAATTACTACTTGGATAAACTCTGCTTTTAAATGCCATAAGTCATATAAGATAGGCATGTACTTCTGTGACAAAGCAATGAAAATCGAATGTGGCTTTATCACCTTACAGTTGTGTTACTTGAGATAGGCCACTTGGAGTCTTGAGTGCCCCATCTGTAATGTGGAGGACAGTACTGCTTGCTTGACAGAGCTGTGAGGAATTCAAGTGCTCACTCGTGTTAAAGTTCCTGGAAGAAGACTTGCTAAGTAGTAGGTGCCCAATAAATGTGAATTTTACAACCAAAAAAATTTAAATATTGTGTATATTTCAATTTTTAACTAAATTAGATTTTAAAGGTCTCCTCAGTAATTCCAAAGTTACTATAAATTTTACTTCTCTAAAGCTATCAATGACTCCAAGTTTGATTGGTTTTCCTATTACAGTTGTAACTTATCGTAATTAGAAGTTTAGAAATTTAATGAGTTGAAATGCAACATGGCACAGATGCCTTATTATACCAAATAGTTAACACAGTATTTGTTTTCTACATTAATTTTACTTGCTAATCAAAAATACTGCTTCCCCCCAAATAACGTCAAAATAAAATTGCTGATTGTGCAATGATAAAACCAACACCATGTTTGCAACAAGGACACTTGAATTCTTTTTTTTTCATGAGCTGGCAGATTCTAGGAAAATTTAAGATTCCATATACCGTTAAGTCAGTTTTTAAAAATCTCAAATGCAGAAACCATGCTTTGCTACACGCTTGCACACTACAAGGCATATATTAAGTTGTGCATGCTAAGCATGCCCATGAATATCTAATCTATGAATTCTGAACATCAAAGCTGATTCATCTCTCTGAGCTAATAAATAAGATGGTCTTCTAGAAAAGAGTAGTTAGGACTATATATGATGGTATATGTTTTCAGATATCCATAGAGTATTAAGGAAATTCTGAGGAAAAGACTATTTAGGAGCCCTTCTATTAGAACCATGTTCCCCATTAGCACCCCAGATCCAACAAAAGTTATTGCTACGGCTTTAACTGACATGCAGGCCCCTCATTGGTCTCCCCGCTTCCTTCATTCTTTCCCCAAATGCTCCATCAAAGAACAGCCAACGAGCTAATGATCTTACCAATCTCATCTGATCATGCTAACACCCTCTTAGCCAACAGGCTTCCAGAGAGGCCCACTGCTTGTATTTATTTATTTATTTAGAGACAGAGTCTCGCTCTGTCACCCAGGCTGGAGTGCAGTGGCACAATCTTGGCTCATTAAAACCTCTGCCTCCTCGGGTGCCTGTAGTCCCAGCTACTCAGGAGGCTGAGGCAGGAGAATGGCGTGAACCCGGGAGGCAGAGCTTGCAGTGAGCCAAGACTGCGCCACTGCACTCCAGCCTGGGCGACAAGGCAAGACTGTCTCAAAAAAAAAACAAAAAAACCCCTCTGCCTCCTGGGTTCAAGCGATTCTCCTGCCTTGGCCTCCCGAGTACCTAGGACTACAGACACCTGTCACCATGCCCAGCTAATTTTTGTATTTTTAGCAGAGACGGGGGTTTCACCATGTTGGCCAGGCTGGTCTCGAACTCCTGGCCTCAGGTGATCCACCTGCCTTGGCCTCCCAAAGTGCTGGGATTACAGGTGTGAGCCACTGTGCCCGGCTGACTTTAGATTATCGATTTTATGTATGTAGTATAAAATAAATAAATAAATATATATATTTATATTTGTTTTTAATCAGTAGAGCCCTATTTTGTACACAGTATCCCACAACAGATGAACTTATGAGGAGGCCCAGAGAAGTATTTATCCCTGCCTTGACTACTGTTAACAAATCACTGTGCCTAACCTAACATACTCTCAAACACCTTGGTCTGTGCTTTCAGTTTGCCCTTTTGTTTCATCTTTGCATTCATGACAGCAAGTCCTTTGAGGCTCAGGTTAGGCTCTGTGCTCCCAGAGTACCCTGTGTATATGGCTATCTTAGCACTTGTCACTCTGCAGTGCAATTGACTGTTTACTCCTCCATTTCTCCATCTGAAGGCCCACATTGAGGTGTGCACCTTTGTTTCCTCAGCCCCAAGGACAATGCAGGCTGGAGACTGGCTGAATGAATATCAGCAGGTATGGAACATCCTGGCTGTAAGAAACCACATCCATCAGGAAGCGTCAGAAAAGGAAGTGTAGAATTCTGCTGGATCATTTCAGTTTACAAAGACTCAGAGACTATTATCTCCTTTCTTCTTTCCAATCAGTTAATCCTATTTGCTCTGTTGTCTACATTCAAAAGTAATGGTAAATCTGGCCCTTTTTTTTTCATTTTTAGGTTAAAAAGTAATATGTTTTCCCACCCTTTTAGTCTTCCTTTTCATTTTCTTATAGCTTTTTATGAAATAACTCATACACATAAAAATGCATAAAATAGGCCAAGCGTAGTGGCTCATGCCTGTAATCCCAGCACTTTGGGAGGCCAAGGCAGATGCATCACAAGGTCGGGAGCCTGGCCAACACAGTGAAACCCCATCTCTACTAAAAATACAAAAATTAGCTAGGTATGGTGGCATGTGCCTGTAGGCCCAGCTACTCGGGAGGCTGAGGCAGGAGAATTGCCTGAACCCAGGAGGCAGAGGATGCAGTGAGCCTAGACAGCACCACTGCACTCCAGCCTGGGCGACAGAGCGAGACTATGTCTCAAAAAGAAGAAAAAAAAAAGCATAAAATATACATGGTATAGCGAATGAACATAGTAAATATACACGTAACAACCTCTCAGGTCAAGAAATAGAAAAATCCACCTTTCCCCTTGTGAAAAGCCTTCCCACTGCCCTTCATTTTAGGTAACTGTTTTTTGGGAGAGAGTAAAGAAAACCTCATGAGGTTGTTGAGATCAGCCCCTAAATTCATATTCCTACATGATCTTGGGCCAGGGCAGGTAAAAAGAGGCACCAAGATGCCAGGATATTGTGTGTGTTTGTATCTGTGAGTATGTGGGAGGGCATGCCCACACCTATGCCTACCCAGACTGGGGCAAGTGATTTAAAGCAATCTTAAAAGTTGGGGGTAAATCTGCACTTCTAATAGTAAACATTTTAAAAGTAAAAGCACATTCCTACTAAGCAGACACAGCACTATCCTGCCTTAGGCTTAAACCAAACCTTAATAGGAAATCACAAAATTTTTAAGACACGAGTTTTAAAACAATATAAATCTAGACCAAGTACATATACTGCTTCACTCCCATTGTGGATAGGAAAGATGCTTTAAGTGAAAAGTTGGCATTATGGGGCTGCAAAATTCCAGCCATCCAATAGGCTTATTCCATTCAATGAGCACGGGGGTTCTCTGGGCTCGCAGCAGGCATCCAACAGGGTAGCACATATATGCTCTCTGAGTGAGAAAGCAACACCTTCTCACATACAACCCCCTGGAGAGAGACAGGGAAGGGGAGGGGGAGGACTTTACACCTGCAAACTCCTAACTAGCTAGGGCTAGGAAAAACAGCACATTTAAAAAAAAAAAAAAAGAAAGAAAAAGAAAAAAAAATTTCCTGATAAAGCCAGTAACTTTCAAATAATCTTCCCAAGTTATTTTTTTTAGGATCCTAGTAAGTGTAATGATTCAACAGCCAGTCTTTGTCTTCCTAATGGACTTAGTCAAGCTTTAACTAATGCATACGCATACTGCTTAAAAGGGCAGCTGTCAGAATGCTTACTCCTCCTAGTAGAAAAACACTATAAGCACAAAGTGTTGTCATATTAATTGAGACACCTCAACTTCAAGGCACATCTGTCTCTGGGTCTTTGGATAATCAAAATGACCACTAAAAACAGAACAGCGGTATCTCCAATGGGGCCAACATGAGCCACCCCCAATCCTAAGAGACTCCTGTGAGATGGGACCTGGGATACACATATGTTTTGCAGAACCAAACTGAGTATCCATCTAAATGTAGCCATTTGTTTCCAGTTTTTACTTTATGTCCTGTTAAGGCTGGGAGACAAAAGTAATGAACAGACACGTAACTCTTGGCCTACAGTGACAATCCACAGTTAGCTCACTAGCTGACTAAGGTTTGGTAGGGAAGAAAACTGCTCCCCAGGTCTAAAAGGGCTGCTGCTTGCACTGACAGTCCAAGAGCTGCATAATGAACATCTTGGTTTTCGTTTTTTATTTTTGAATTTCCGCATCACCAAAAGTAAGCTGGCTCTGTCTGTCAAGATGCCCAGGCTGTGTGGCAGCAGTGTCAAAGGCTGCCTCTTGCTCCAAGGCACTGCCATCTGCAGCAGCACAACATTTTGTCTCCGGAAAATAAACACATCTGCCTTTGCCAGTGTCCTCCCACTGTGCTGCCCATCTGGAGCAGGTGAGCTGAAGGCAAGCCTCGGCATGGGTGAGACGGGGGCAAGTAGAGAAGATGAGGCCTCAAGGGAGATGGCACATGGAGGAAGAAGGCAGTGCTGCGTCATGTCACATCCTGCTAACCACGTTTGCCAAAAATCATGTGAAATTACCCTTGTTAGTGATATTTCAATCACATGTAACAAATGGTTGGTAGTGTATAAGGGACAAGACTTGCAAAGTCAGGGTTTCACCTGGGCCATCTGTTCACAGGACCTCACTGATACCAATAAACAGATGATGCCTTTGTGCCAGCCACCTAAGGCATGAGAAGAATAATTCTCATGGTCAGAATAGAAGGCTCAAAGCAACAGGTTTCTTCTAGGACAGGAGCATGCTATACATGCCTACTACTAACCAGACCAAACAGCCTTGAATTAAGGCCAGAGTGTGGGGATAAGCTTTGGTCACTGCTGGAAATGACTAAGACCTGAAATCCTTTCCTACATATTCTTTCCCATTCCCTAAAAAAATAAATAAATAAATAAAAATTCAAGTCTGGTTGTGGTCTTGACATAAGATTTTTAAATCATGCTATTTGGGGGCTGGAACAAACCCTAAAAACCATCCAATCAAATGCTTGCTTTCTCCCAAGGTTTTCAACTAACTCACAGCAGAGCTAGTATTAACCCTCCTATTGCAGGGCTCTTTGGTGGTAAGGGAACAGTGATGGCACCTTTTCAAATAAAACTTTACCTAGAATTCCTATCTATCAAATAGATAAAAGCTGAGTTGAGCTATATGAAGCAGAGCTAAAGTGCTGAACACTTGGCTGGGTGCAGTGGCTCATGCCTGTAATCCCAGTACTTTGGGAGGCTGAGGTGGGCAGATCACTTGAGGTCAGGAGTTGGAGACCAGCCTGGCCAACATGGTGAAACCCCGTCTCTATGAAAAATACAAAAATTAGCCAGGCATGGTGATGCATGCCTGTAATCCCAGCTACTCAGGAGGCTGATGCAGGAGAATTGCTCAAACCCAGGAGGCAGAGGTTGCAGTGAGCCGAGATTACACCACTGCATTCCAGACTGGGTGAGAGAGCAAGACTCTGTCTCAAAAAAAACAAAAACAAAAACAAAAAAACGCCAGGCACGGTGGCTCACGCCTGTAATCCCAGCACTTTGGGAGGCCGAGGCGGGTGGATCACGAGGTCAGGAGATCGAGACCATCCTGGCTAACACGATGAAACCCCGTCTCTACTAAAAATACACAAATTAGCCAGGCATGGTGGTGCACGCCTGTAGTCCCAGCTATTCGGGAGGCTGAGGAAGAAGAATCACTTGAAACTGGAAGGTGGAGGTTGCAGTGTGCTGAGATCATGCCACTGCACTCCAGCCTGGGTGACAGAGCGAAACTCCACCTCAAAAAAAAAAAAGCATTGCACACTGGTCTTCCTTGGTGAGTATCCTGAAGCAGCTTCACAGAATAAAGTTTGAAAACCACTACATCAGGCTGGATATCTTTTCAACTTATTATTTCTACTGTTTACTTGCTAAGCATTTACAAATAAATAGGTAAAAAGATAAATTACCAAAGGCTCATGAAACACTTCGGAAAAAGTTCTAATGAAAACTCTTTGGCCAGTGTGGCAGTGAAACCCGACGATTACACATCATGGAGGCCAGCATCCTACTCTAAGCCTTGCCACAAAATTTCACGTTCCCAAGGACACCAGATTTGCCTGGTTTATACCTGTCTCTCTATCTGTTAAATGGAGATAATTTTAGGGCATTCAGATGGGCTACATCAAATATGCCACATAATTCATTTTAAGTAAGAAATAGGCTGGGCATGGTGGCTCATGCCTGTAATCCTAGCACTTTGGGAGGCCAAGGCGGGTGGACCACGAGGTCAAGAGATCGAGACCATCCTGGTCAACATGGTGAAACCCCGTCTCTACTAAAAATACAAAAAAGTAGCCAGGCATGGTGACGGGCGCCTGTAGTCCCAGCTACTCAGGAGGCTGAGGCAGGAGAATGGCATGAACCCGGGAGGTGGAGCTTGCAGTGAGCCGAGATCGTGCCCCTGCACTCCAGCCTGGGTGACACAGTGAGACTCCGTCTCAAAAAAAAAAAAGAAAAGAAATAGCCCCATAACTCATCATCCTCTGACATTAGTCAAACTGTAAGGAGAATTTGAGAAAGGAAGCCTTTTTTTTAGACAGAGTCTTGCTCTGTCACCCAGGCTGGAGTGCAGTGGCATGATCTCAGCTCACTGCAACCTCCACCTTCTGGGTTCAAGCTATTCTCCTGCGTCAGCCTCCTGAGTAACTGGGATTACAGGTGTGTGCCACCACATCTGGCTAATTTTTTGTATTTTTAGTAGAGATGGGGTTTCACCATGTTGGCCAGGCTGGTCTTGAACTCCTGGGCTCAACTGATCTGTCCATCTTGGCCTCCCAAAGTGCTAGGATTACCGGCATGAGCCACTGTGCCTGGCCGAAGAAAGCAAGCCTTGAGCATAGTATAAGCCCTTTTTCTGCTCTTTGGGGTCTAACCAACAAGAAGAGACCATCTTAAATGTATACAAGCATTTAAATAAACAACTAAACTGAAGGCTTCTGAATTTTTTCCCCATCTGTCTTTTTTCGTCTTCTGATGATTTCATGCCTTTAATTCCTATACAAATTAACATCCATTTATTAAGAATACTTCTTCCGGTATTCCATTCATTAAGAATTCCCTTCCAGTGTATAAATGCATAATTAATATTCTCAGCAGAATATATAGACCTAGCTGGATGACACTTTTTCAGCAAACACTTATTGAAAACCTACAATGGACATATATTCAAACTTATCTATATAATACTATGTGCAATTTCGACATTTTAACAAAACTGAACATTTCATGTTTCCCTAAATGCACAAATACACTTGTACATTAGTCCACTAATTAATAAAGAAGACACCATGAAAGAGTTTGATATTTGAAGCTGGAATCTTAACCTTTAACATAGTATATATGTGCTTTGGAAACATATCTAAGAGAAATACTTAACATCCTTGTAAGTAAAATGGGGATAACACACATCTTATGGTGTCATAATAAGGATACTTAATAACAGATACATATGTAAGTATTTAGAATAGCACTGTCCAAGAGAACTTCTATGATGATGGATATGTTCCAGATCTGTGATGTCTAATACAATAGTTGTGGCTATTGGGTACCTGAAATGTGGCTGTGACTGAGGAACAGAATTTTTTTTTTTAAGAACAAAAGTTGATTTAGCATTCAGGCAAAGTCTACCAGGAGATTTTCCACCAGAAACTGAATTTTAAGTTTTATTTAATTTTAATTAACTTAAATTTAAATAGCCCCATGTGGCTAGTTGGCTACCATACTGGACTGTGTAGATCTAGAAAAATCCTAGCACATAATATATGTTCAATGTTATTTTACTTCTATTTTCCCTATCAATACCAGCATGGTGGCTTGGCGCCTGTAGTTCCAGCTATTTGGGAGGCTGAAGTGGGAGTATTGTTTGAGCCCGGGAGGTTGAGGCTGCAGTGAGCTGTGACTGTGCCACCTCTTAGGTGACAGAGCGAGACCCTATCTCAAAAAAAAAAAAAAAAAAAAAAAAGCACAACAAATGATCCCTCACGAAAAACTAACTTATAGCCATTAAATTGCTTCTTTGACCAAACAGCAATCGCAGCATAAAAACACAAGTGGGCTGGGCATGGTGGCTCATGCCTGTAATCCTAGCACTTTGGGAAGCAGAAGCGGGAGGATTGCTTGAGCCCAGGAGTTCGGGACCAGCCTGGCAACATGGAGAAACCCCATCTCTACAAAAAATTAGCCAGGCATAGTGGTATGCACCTACAGTCCCAGCTGCCAGGGAGGCTGAGGTGGAAGGATCATCTGGGCCTGAAAGGTCAAGGGGCTGCAGAGAGCTGTGGTCATACCACTGCACTCCAGCCTAGATGACAGAGTGAGATCCTGTCTCAAAAAAAAAGTAAGAGCTTTGCATTATTACCTTATTTAATCTTCATAATAACTTTTTGAAATTGGTAAGTAGGGAAATTAAGCTTAGAATTTGTCCAAAGACATCCAGCTAGTAAGTCAGTAAGCAAATATTCAAACCCAGGTAGTCCAATTCCAGAGACTATGCTCTTAACCACAATGCTAAATTGCCTACATTTTAATGAACCAGTTTATGTAAGATTCATTATATACTCAGTGGTAGTAAATGTCCTCCCAACCAAACCACCACACATACACAGAGCAAATTAGAAATCAAACAATTTGAGCTACAGACACAGAAGTTATACATGGTAACTGGCTGACCCAAAATGAGTCACATCTGCCAACTGGTGTGACCATATAAATATACTAAATTTGGTGACTTTGCACTTATTAGGAACACTGACAAACTATCATCTCTCTTCCCAGAATAAGACGACTAAAATATAAATTCATATTTTAGAACTAAGAATCTATTTTGATAAGGAGATGGGGGAGCAGAGATTGGACCTACTGGAAAAGCTCAGGCAGAGGTAGTCAATATTTACCAGAGCCCCATGTCACTGTCTACAAGGGATATTTGTTAAGACATCAAACATTTCTGCTAGGAGAAGATTAAACCAGATTCACTGCATTTGCATGAAGCACACTGCCATTCTTATCTCAATTCCAAAAAGGAGCTTAATTCACTTAATGTCTGTGATATTTATGACACAGTATTTATTGTGCCCAAAGCTGGAATTCTTACTCCGGTTCTGCCTGATAAGTCAGAGGAACATCGTACATGGCAAGTCATAAAATGCTGAACACCACAGGAACTTCTGGGTGACAGAAAAACTAATATCTGACCCATTTTCCTTTCTCAAGGAGGAGTGAAGAAAAGACCACTTGGTGACAATGACTTTCTTGGAAGAAAAAAAAAAAAAAAAAAATATATATATATATATATATATATATATATATATATTTTTTTTTTTTTTTTTAAAGAAAAGACTACTGATCTTTCACCCAGGACAAAACAATGTATGTAAATTTGCCTCCTCCTCTCAATCCTACATGTCTCTAGCTTCTCTTCAAACTTCATGATCCCTCAGATTGTACAAGCCCTTGGTCAAAGCTAGCACTGAGAGGTACTATTTATTGAGAAATTATCAGTCAAAGATTATTAGGCACTAGAAAATAAACTGCTTTATAGATCTGTAGTAAGTAACTTTAAAAAAAGTAACTTGTTATTTTAAGCAAGTACAGATGAAAACTCAAACCATAATAAAAATATGAATAGCATCAGTGTTCTAGAAACACTACTGAAGAACCAAAGGCAGAATAGTCAAATAATTATGGCACCATTATTTTAGCTTTGTCTGACCTGCTGTGTGACCTGGAGCTAGTCCCTTTGACACTTTATGCCTTTCACTTCATCTCAGTGATAGAGACTATCTTTCTCAGTGGAATAGTGAGTAGATTAAATTATTAAGCAAAATGCTTTGGGCAAAAGTCACATGAATGTTAAATATTATGATTTACAAGCATTCATTTTCCTGGCACCCCTGTGGGGTTAGGAAGTTATCTCCATTTCATAGATAAGTAAACAGGCACAGGGGGTGAGATCACGTGGTAAGGCTCTATTTATTTAGTCCCTGTGGGAAGGGAATAACACACACCTTTAGCAACCATATGAACTTTCCTAGCACATCCTACACAATCTTTAATGCATTCAATCCTTAACTTAGTGTTGCATCTTTTAACATGCTGTCGATGAAATGGAGACAGCTCTAGAATAGCAACAAGGCTAGAATAAGTAAGGAGGAACAATGCTGTATGCTTTGGGAAAAAGTCATAGAAAAACACAGGTAAGTACGCCAGGTACAGTGAGTGGCTCATTCCTATAATCCCAGCACCCTGAAAGGCCAAGGCCAGCAGATTGCTTGAGTCCAGGAGTTCAAGACCAGCCTGGGCCACATGGTGAAATCCTGCCTCCACTAAAAATACAAAAAATTAGCCAGATGTGGTGGTGCACACCTGTAGTCCCAGCTACTTGGGAGGCTGAGGTGGGAGAATCACCTGAACCCGGGAAGTTGAGGCTTCAGTAAGCTGAGATCACACCACTACACTCCAGCCTGGGCAACTGGAGTGAGACCCCGTCTCAAAAAAAAAAAGAAAAAAGAAAAAGAAAAAAAGAGAAACACAGATAAGCAATCTCGAGATAAAAATCCACATTACCGGCCAGGTGCGGTGGCTCGCGCCTGTAATCCCAGCACTTTGGGAGGCCAAGGCGGGCAGATCACCTGAGATCAGGAGTTCGAGACCAGCCTGACACCTGACCAACATGGAGAAACCCCGTGTCTGCTAAAAATACAAAATTAGCTGGGCGTGGTGGTGCATGCCTGTAATCCCAGCTACTTGGGAAATGGAGGCAGGAGAATCACTTGAACCCAGGAGGCAGAGGTTCCAGTAAGCCAAGATTGCACCATTGCACTCTAGTTTGGGCAACAAGAGTGAAACTCCATCTCAAAAAAATAAAAATAAAAATAATCTGAATTATTATTTTCAAAGTTCTACTTTCACTAACACATAGAGACTTTCAGTCACAGGTATTAAGTAATATGGTTTGTTACAAAAACACTTTGAAAAAACTAAACGTACTCTTACTATATGATCCAGCAATCACACTCCTTGGTATTTACGCAAAAAAAAACTTATGTTCAAACAAAAACCTGCACATGGATGTATACATTAGCTTTATTCATATTGCCAAAACTTGGAAGCAACCAAGATGTCCTTCAGTAGGTGAATGGATAAATAACCTGTAGTATATCTAGACAATGGAGTATTTTTCAATGTTAAAAAGAAATGAGCTATCAAGCCATGAAAAGACATAGGGTAACCTTAAACGTGTATTACCAAATAAAAGAAGCCAATCTGAAAAGGCTGCATAATCCATGATTCCAACTATATGACATGATGGGAAAGGCAAAACCATGGAGAAAGTAAAAAGATGAGTGGTTGTCAGGAGTTGTGGGGATGGAGAAGGATGAATAAGTAGAGTACAAAGGATTTTTAGGGCAGTGAAAATACTCTGTATCCTGTAATGGTAGATACATGTCATTATACATTTGTCCAAACCCATAACATCCACAACAGCAAAAGTAAACCCTAATGTAAACTATGGACCTGGGTGATTACTGTCAATATAGGCTCATCATTTGTGACAATGTATCACCCTGGTGGAAGATGCTGATAATGGGGAATGCTATACATGTGGGTGAGGAGGAATGTGGGAAATCTTTATACTTCTTCTCAATTTTGCTGTGAACCTAACACTGCTCTAAAAAATAGTTTTTAGGGGGAAAAAAAAAGGGTAAGTTGTCACAGGCCTTCATATTGGTGTGTCCCAACCAATTCTCTGGGAATGAATATTTGCCCTTTGGGCTGTACCTATTAATAACAACTGTGCACAAAGACATTGGACTTAAGAATGAACAAGTAGCAACAGGAGGGGTTCTGGAAGGCCAAAAAAGGGCAAAAATACTACTCATGTATAATGAGAATATAAAAGAAGCACAAAGGATTTTTCTGCTCTATCTAACAATGTCTGATATATTACTTACCCGACTCCGAAGACAGTCAGCCAGGTTTCGGCGTGTGAAGTTAGCTGCTGCCGTGGGAGACAATTCATATCCTGGTAGAAGAGATAAAGAGTCATACTTAAAGTAAAGCAGAAGGAATAACAGTGCCCCAAATTATTCACTACCCCTGTTCCTAAAGCCCACCATCTTTTGTACACTCAGAGTAAACAAAGCATAGACTGAGGGGTACAATCCTACTCTAGTCCCTTTCCTCATGCAACAGCTATGAAATAGCTGGTTAGTACTGACAGCAATTCTTGGCCACAAACAGAACCAGTTCTATAGTGGAATGAAACTTCTAGCAGCCTTGCTTAAACTATTCATTCATCAACACACTGTGGTTTCTGCCGTAGAAGGAAAGGAACACGAATACACAAGAAGTGAAAAAAAAAGAAAGGCGTCTTAGATGCCAATCTTTTAAAAGTTTATTTTAAAAAGGATATTGGGGGCCAGTCACAGTGGCTCATGCCTGTAATCCTAGAGCTTTGGGAAGCCAAGGTGGGAAGATCGCTTGAGCCCAGGAGTTTGAGACTAGCCTGGGCAACATAGTGAGACCCCCATCTCTAAAAAAAATTTTTTTTTAAATTTCTAGGCATGGTGGTACATGCCTGTAATCCCAGCTACTTAGGAGGCTGAGTGGAGAGGATCAATTGACCCCAGAAGTTCAAGTGAGTTATGACTGTGCCACTGCACTACAGCATGGGTGACAGAGCAAGACCCTGTCTCTAAAAAAACGAAAACAGGAACAAAAAGGATATTGGGAAAAGAGAGGCTAGAAGTTAGGACTACCTCAGAGTCATAGTTTATTAAAAAAATATTTTAAATGTTACTTTATTAAGAAGTATAATATGACTTTCAAAAGTATAAGCCACAGAAAAAGAACATTTCCATCATTCTGCAGTATTTTTAAAAATAGAGTATCTCAAGTGTTAAAACTTCAAAAATAAAAGTTGTCATACCAACAAAGGTACAACCCAGAGGAATAGCATCAGGTGTGCATGTAATAACGCATTCACTTTGGAGCTTAATCCCCCTGTAGAATGGGACCAGTGCCAAAAGGCACAAGAATGATCCATAACTCAGTGGGCCCACACAGAAAATGTCAGTATGGAAAGACACACAGCAGTGTGGTTAAGTAATTGCTTACAACATTTCAAATACCACTGTCAAATTAGGAGAGATTCAGATTCAAATCCTAACAAATATTTATTGAGCAGCAACTATGTTTCAGGGTCTATGCTGAGTGTTTTCACATGTATTATTGTACTTTATCCTCACAAGTCTATTAGTGCATATTAAATCATAATGAAAGCAATCCTTGGCCAGGTGCAGTGGCTCATGCCTGTAATCACAGCACTTTGGGAAGCGGAGGCAGGCAGATCACTCGAGCCCAGGAGTTTAAGACCATTCTGGGCAACATGATGAAACCCCGTCTCTACTAAAAATATAAAAATTAGCCAGGGGTGGTGGTGCACACCTGTTTTCCCAGGTAGTTGGGAGGCTGAGGTGGAAGGATCACCTGAGCCTGGGAATTCGAGGCTGCAATGAGCCATGATTGTGCCACTGCACTCCAGCCCAGGCGACAGGAGTGAGACCCTGTCTCAACAACAACAACAAAAATAATAATAATAATTTAAAAAAAGAGGCCAGGCACAGTGGCTCACACCTGTAATCCCAGAACACTTTGGGAGGCCCAGGTGGGTGGATCACCTGGGGACAGGAGTTTAAGACCAGCCTGGCCACCATAGCGAAACTCTGTCTCTACTTAAAATACAAAAAATTAGCCAGGCATGGCGGTGCATGCCTATAATCCCAACTACTCAGGAGGCTGAGGCACGAGAATCACTTGCACCCAGGAGCTGGAAGTTGCAGTGGGCTGAGACTGCACCACTGCACTCCAATCTGAGCAACAGAACGAGACCCTGACTCAAAAAAGAAAAAAAAAAAAAAAGAAGGAACCTAGACAAGTGGGAATACTATTCAATTCTTTACTTAACCCCCTAAACACCACTGAAGATCTGACCATTATCCTAAAGGCAGAAAAGTCATGCCTGATTATCTGCATATAGATTTTCTCTTTCTTTCCCTTATTTTAGCTCAGTTCTTTAACTTATATAAGAATTACTATATAGAGTTACATACACAAAACTGTACTTGGCAGGTAATTTAAGGGTCTTTAAGGGCAATTTTAACCAAACACAGTTTTTGTCTGTGCACTGACTTTAGACCCTAAAACCCAGTAACAAACAACTCTTGCTACTCTTGTTCACTCTTCTCCCTCTCTCAGGACAGCCAGTGAAGTCATACAGTACCTACTGGACTTCAGAAGCATTACTGACATACTTCATTTGTTATGCAGGCAAAAAGTGGAACCACTGGAAAAAAAAGCAGAATTCTTGAAATATTCTAAACCTGCATAAACCTAAGTACCATGTACTTTATGTTCCTGAATGTCAGGACTAAGCCTTATTCATCTTTGAATTCTCTTAAGTATTAAGCAGAATGCTTACCATAGAAGAGGCCCTCAAAAGTATTTATGGAATTGAATACAAATGCTAAATCCACTGCCCAAACTATGTGAATAGATCTTTGGTCATTTTACACATGCAAGTATATTCAAATTAACTTCCTTCATAGCTCCATATTATACCAGTGCAGTGTATAACGTTGTTATTGAACTGTGAGGTAAGTGGAAATAAGGTTTTCTCTGCCAGACCACCACTACAAACATTCCTGGATCAGAGGCCTAGTGGCTAGTATCGTTTGCTAGGGAGGTTTTCCCAGTGGATAAGAGTTCATTAGCCCCAGAGAGAGCTCACAAAATACTTCACAAAAGTCTTAATTATCTCTCTAGAAGGAAACCTACCAGAGAGTAAGGCAGAACCCTTTTATGGCACAGTAAATACTTATAGTTAGTTACACAATGCTTTAGGTTTACAAAATATTTTCATATGTATTATTCATTAGTATTATAATTCATTTCAGAGATAAGGAAAATAAAGTCCCAGAGAAGATAAATGACTTATCACATAAAAAATAGTAAAGCCAAGGTTTACTTAGGTTTTTTGACGCTGAGATTCAGATTTTTTTGTTTCTTTGTTTTGAGACAGGGTCTCACTCTGTCGCACAGGCTGGAGTGCAGTGGCACTATCATGGCTCACTGAGACCTTGAACTCCTGGGCTCAAGTGATCTTCCCACTTCAGCTTCCTGAGTAGCTGGGACTATGGGTGTGCACCACTGCACCCAGGTAAATATTTTTATTTTTTATAGAGCCAGGGTCTTGCTTTGTTGCCTAGGCTGGTTTCAAACTCCTGACCTCAAGTGATCCTCCCATCTCAGCCTCTCAAAAGTGCTGGGATTACAGGTGCTAGCCACTGTGCCTGGCCAGGTTCAGATACTTTTAAACTCAAACCACATCCTCTGAGATATCTAACACTTAAAAAGTCTGATACTACCATCCCTACCTCCAAGATGGTGTTGGGTTTTTTTTTTTTTGGTTGGTTTAAAAAAATTTTTTTTAGAGACAGAGTCTTGCTGCCTTCCAGAGTACAGTGGCACAATCATAACTCACTGCAGCCTCGACCTCCTGGGCTCAAACGATCTTCCTGCCTCAGCCTCCTGAGTAGCTAGGGCTATAGGTGCATGCCACCACACTCAGCTAATTTTTAAAAACTTTTTTGTAGAAGGCCGGGCGTGGTGGCTCACACCTGTAATCCCAGAACTTTGGGAGGCCGAGGTGGGCAGATCATCTGAGGTCATGAGTTTGAGACCAGCCTGACCAACATGGAGAAACCCTGTCTCTACTAAAAATACAAAATTAGCCAGGCGTGGTGGCACATGCCTGTAATCCCAGCTACTTGGGAGGCTGAGGCAGGAGGATTGCTTGAACCTGGAAGGCAGAGGTTGCGGTGAGCCGAGATTGTGCCACTGCACTCCAGCCTGGACAACAAGAGTGAAACTCCATCTCAAAAAAAAAAAAAATTTTTTTTTTTTTTGTAGAGATGAGGTGTCACTACATTGCTCAGGCTAGTCTTAAACTCCTGGTCTCAAGTGATCCTCCCACCTTGTCCTCCCCAATTGCTGGGATTACAGGCATGAGCCATCATACCAGGCCGATGGTGTTAGTTTTATCTATCAGCTATCAGTGTTACAACAGTTCTCTGCTCTAGGATTTTTGTAGAAAATCTTTTATGAAGGATTAGAATCTTTAGGGTCTAGACAACTTCTTAAACACAGAAAACTCTAATGAAAATATGGGCTGGGCGTGGTGGCTCACGCCTGTAATCCCAGCACTTTGGGAGGCCGAGGTGGGCAGATCACAAGGTCAAGAGATGGAGACCATCCTGGTCAACGTGGTGAAACCCTGTCTCTACTAAAAATACAAAAATTAGCTGGACGTGGTGGTGCGTGCCTGTAGTCCCAGCTACTCAGGAGGCTGAGACAGGAGAATCGCTTGAACCTGGGAGGCGGAGGTTGCAGTAAGCAGAGATCGCGCCATTGCACTCCAGCCTGGGCAACAGAGCGAGACTCCGTCTCAAAAAAAAAAAAAAAAAAAAAAAAGAAAATATGACCACATAAGTCTTAAAGAATATTATTTTTCAGTTCAAATTTAAAGACAAACCAATTGTTATAGGCTGAATTTTGTCCACCAAAAATTCATATGTTGAAGTCTTAATCCCTAGTACTTTAGTATGTGACTGTATTTGGAGAAGGGATCCTTAAGAGGTTATTAAATTAAAATGAGTTCCTAATTCAACATGACTGGTATTCTTAGAAGAGAAAATTTGGATATAGTACAAAGAGAAAAATCACGTGAAGACACAGGGAGAAGATGGCTATCTGCAAGCCAAGGAGAGAGGCCTCAGAAATCAACGCTGCCAACACCTTAATCTTTGACTTCTAACATCTAGAACTGTGAGAAAATACATTTCTGTTGTTTAAGCCACCCAGTCTGTGACTTTAGTAATGGCAGCCCTAGTAAACTCATATGCCAACTAAAACTGTAAGTCTTACCCACCATTTCGCATCTTATAAAGTTGCACGTTTTTCTGAATATATTCTGCAAACTGTACAGTGTCTCCAGCCTCTCCAACACACAGGAGTAATATCTTTTCACTCATCTTAAACATCTTGTCATGATCTGCTCAAAGAAGAAAACTGTGTTAGAAACTGCCTTAACAGACATTGACCGTCATTATTTATGTAACCATAAACAGGTTTATTAATTACTACAGTTGGCCTTCCATATACATGGATTCTGAATCCACAATTCAACAAACTATGGATCAAAATTATTCAGAAAAAAAAAAAAATGGATGCTTGCATCTATCCTGAACATGTACTGACTTTTTTTCTGGTCATTATTCCCTAAACAATATGGTATAACAACTATTTACATAGCACTTATGTCATATTAAGTATTATAAATAATCTAGAGATGATTTGAAGTACACAGGAGTACCTGCATAGGTAATATGCAAATACTATACCATGTATATAATGGACTTTAAGCATCTATGGATTTGGGTATCTGCAGGGGTTCTGGAACCAATCCCTACAGATACCAAGGGACGACTGTATATTGAATAATTTAACTAATTATTGCTTTTAGAAGATTTTAATAGGTAATGGTATCAATTTTTCTCTTTCACTCTTCATGTTAAACCATCAGCATATTGTGTAATGCCAATTTCGGTTGGAGAATATACATGAAAGCTACCAATTGAAAATACAATTTAAAGCATTTAAAGGCATTTGAAATGCAAGGAACAGAACGACAGAAGAAACTGAAGGAATCCAGCCAATGGCGATTATCTTTAGGCTCATGATAACAAAGCCCTAAAATGTTTCCACAACTACAAATGTTAGTTATTATATTTATACACATACAAAAGCATATATGAAAAGGACTGGTGCTATAATTAAAATTAAGGAACCATTTCAAGAAAGAATAGAAAATCAACTGAGAATATTAATCACTTTAAAAAGTAAACAAATTCCACTTCCAAAGAAAAAGAGAAAATTAAAATGATTGCCAAAGCAAAAATTCTAGTGAATATTTTGACAGTAAGCTATTTAAAATACCTCACAAAAATCCTAATACTCTAATCTTATCTAGCTGAACCAGAGTCATTCAGATTAGACAGATAAATAAATATTCAGGTTACAGTTATTGCCTAAGGAAGAAAACTCCACATTCAGTCTGCAGCTTCAGAAAAGGCCTAAATCTTCCTATCTCACTTTCACTTTCACTTTTCATTTTTCAAATAGTGCTGAATAATCCTCCCTGGGAGACACGTTTCCTGTTTGAAAGCTTCTGAAATGCCAAAATCCTTTAATAGGATTTAAAGAACAAAATGCTACTGTCAAATACTTTACAAGTGTTTCAGAGTTGTAGATACCAGTAATATGGCTTCTTAGACTTGGAGGGAAAAAACACACAAAATGCACCTGTAGATAATATCAAATTGCCTCAAAACTCCTAAACAAACACACTTTTATTTGTTATGCAGGCTAGATTTAAAGATTGTTAGTTTGCAAACTTGTTAATAAACGAAAAACATTCACTTATATTATCTATGCAAAGAAAAAGGAGCAGAAGGGTATATTCTAAGTGCTTGCCAGTGGTAAGAGTATGGGCAGTTTTCGTTTCCTTCTTTTGCTTGTTGGTTTTTCCTAAAACTTCTATACTTAACATGCCTCACTTTTATAAGAAAGCATTATTCAATAAGTTCGCATTATTTTTATAATAAGAAAAAAGATATTTTTATTTGAAGGGGGAGCTTGTTTACAAAGAACTTATGTCACACTTAGAAGAAAGGCTAAAATCCTAGGCAGTAACCTGTTCAACTTTAAAATTAGCTTAATACAAGGCCAAAAATGTTTTTTAAACACTGAATATGTCCAATGAGTAGCAGAGGGCAACATATTTAATAAAAACACAAGAGATAGATACTTAGAGACCCCTGAGTTGTACAGGAAACTGCCTGTGTAGCTCTGGGGAATTTCTGATTCTTGACGAGGAACTTACGAGATCCACATACATGAAACAAATGGCCAACAAAATGAACAACATTAGCATGTCATACTGTGGAAAACCAACTGAACTAGAATCCAAGAGACCTTGGTTATGATGTGGACTTGGCACTCTGAACTTCGGCAAATTACTTGTCCTCTCTAAGCCCCAGTTTCCAGATGTGTGAAATGTTATTTCCAAATGTGTGAAATGTTAATAATATGACTTACCCCTGTCTAACTCACAAGTGAGAAAAACTAATGAATTCTATACATGTCCAATATTATGATACTCAGTGTTAGATAATGTAGTTCGGATTATACATGCTATAGGAATTCAGAAAAGAGAGAATTCTGTGTGGGCTGGAGTACTCCGAGTAACTTAAAAGCAATTCTACATAGGCCAAGAGAAAAGAGACATGAAATGCGGCATATAAGCAAACCAAAAGTTATACCACTTAATAAGGTGGCAATCCTCAGCAAATGTCTACTCTATAGTATCAAAATGTTTTTACAAAGTGACATACTGGACAATTGATTGGAAGTTGTATTATCATTTTATACTTGGAGAAAGGAGTCCCAGAAGGTTACTATTTTTTCAGCATTCTTGCCTACTCTAAACAAGCTCCATCGTGAAATGAATGATTAGAAAAAAGTCATCAGACGGCTGGGCACGGTGGCTCACGCCTGTAATCCCAGCACTTTGGGAGGCGGAGGCAGGTGGATCACCTGAGGTCAGGAGTTTGAGACCAGCCTGGCCAAACTGGTGAAACCCCGTTTCTACTAAAAATACAAAAATTAGCTGGGCATGGTGACGGGCGCCTGTAATCCCAGCTACTTGGAAGGCCGAGGCAGGAGAATCGCTTGAACCCAGGAGGTGGAGGTTGCAGTGAGCCGAGATCGCGCCATTGCACTCCAGCCTGGGTGACAGAGCGAGACTCTGTCTCAAAAATAAATAAATAAAATAAATAAAAAAGTCATCATACAATACTAAAATTTCTATTATAATTTGTTTTATACCAGAAAAGACTATAGGGAAAATTGGAATGTGCAGAGTGCAACTATTTCCAATTATTTTTCAAGAACTAACTCAAATTCATCTTTCTCCCATACCATAGTTATCTTTCTTTTATTACTCTTAGGATTTGCTCTTGAACTCATTAATTTAAAAACCAACCTACTACTAACTAGTAATACTTCTTTTATTATATAAAATCATCTTGCAGCATTTATTTCCTTGTTTTCTTAATGTCTTGGACTCTTCTATGGGTTATAAGTAATATACTGCATCCCCTATAATGACTAAAAGTACTGTGTACATAAGTAGGCTTAAAGCACATTCTACTTTTCAATGTGATTTCACATACATTTGGGATGAAACAAAAGACCTGTAAAGATAATGATTATTGTTCTACCTAGACATGACTTAATGTTAAAATCACTTGCTTGTCAAAGACCTTAGTATTCAAAATAATGGACAAATTTACTCTCAAAACAAATTCACTCCTTTGGAAGGACTGGCTTACAAACAAAACTTCTACAAACTAATCATAGAATTTCATAAAGTATAAGGTGCTATGTTAAGTGATTTACATTAATTCATTAACCTTTTGAGATAGGTGCTATTACATTACCACCTTATAGATGTTAGCTCTAGGGCACGGAGTTAGAGAAATTTGCTTAAGGTCACAAGTGGCAGAACCTGGGTTCAACCTATGCAGTGAGTCCAGACATTTTGCCCCTAAGTACTATAATATACTATACTATACTATACTATACTATACTATACTATACTATCTATACTAAATTACTCAATACATAATTTTAAGAAGATTTTGGTTGTTTTTCTGCAGAATCTAAGTTTGTTTTCCTTAACTGATCAAAGACGTGCTACTGTTGAAAAAGTATTAAGCTTTGGTTCAGATGACTTAATGGTCATTTGACAAATATGTTTGGGCACCTACGTACACTTAGTATTATTAAGTACCTGCCTAGTGCTAAGGATTTGCACATAACTCATTTACTAAATCCTCCCGACAAGTTTGTGAGTTTGGTATTGCTAATCTTAAAGATGAGGAAATCTGGGCACTGCAAAATAACTTATACAAACTCATAAGGCAAATAAATGACAGGGCTCCAATCTCTTAACTCCATTAACTACTTAAATATAAGGAAAACCTGGCAGCCATTGCTCTGGAAAACTGGAAAAGAAGAATCGGGAGCCACGGGAAGAAGGAAAATGCCAAGCTTCTGGTCCCACAGTCTCACTCTCCCCAGGATCCCACCTTATGCCGCCAACAAACTAACCTCATTACTAGCGACACCAGGAAACTTATCAGAGATTCGGGGATCTAGAGAGCCAGTCCCACAGTCTCACTCTCCTCAGGATCCCACCTTATGCCGCCAACAAACTAACCTCATTACTAGCGACACCAGGAAACTTATCAGAGATTCGGGGATCTAGAGAGCCAGGCTCTGGGCAGGCGCTTAAACATTTATAAACTGATTCCCTTTAGGCAACTCTCACCAAGCAAGAAGCATTTAGCGAAGGCCAGAGCAGAGCACTGACCCAGGAGCCCTGGAGGAGCAAATGCCAAGGTCCCAGACCTGTCTGCCTGTTTCGCCTGTAATCCCAGCACTTTGGAAGGCCGAGACGGGCGGATCTCCTGAGGTCGGGAGTTCGAGACCAGCCTGACCAATATGGAGAAATCCACATCTCTACTAATAATACAAAAATTAGCCAGGCGTGGTGGCGCATATCTGTTCCCAGCTACTCGGGAGGCTGAGGCACGAGAATCGCTTGAACCCGGGAGACAAAGACTGTGCTAAGCCGAGATCGCGCCATTGCACTCCGGCCTGGACAACAAGAGCGAAACCCCTCTCGAAAAAATAAATAAATAAATAAAATAAGTACGGGCAGGGCAGGCCGGCTTCCATCTCTCAGATCCTCCCTGGTACTTATTCAACCCCCGACAAACTCCTTCTGGCCGCTCCTACACCCCAGGCCTGGCCGGGCCTCCCCTGCTTCCTCTCACCGTCCTTCATCTGGACAATATTGCTGGCGGCCACCCGGTCGGAGGCGACAAGAACATAGTCGGGGCCTTGGATACCGATGAGGTACTCCATGGTGGCGGAAGGCCAGGGGCTGCAGGTCCGACACAGCACGAGACTCGCCCGCTTCCAGGTCTCACCGGTGAGACAGCACCTCAGAGCGAAGATTGGCGCGACGCCTGCAGCACGACTTCCACGGCGCTCTCGGATGACGTACAACTGTCGCGAGAGGTTGCAAAGCGGGCGCGGCGCCGGGTGCCTTATGTTCAGTGCTTGTCTCTGGGATCGTACGGGTCTCCTCCGGAGCAGGCTGTGCAGGTCACTTGCCTTATGTGACGCCCAGTTTCTCTGTTTACACACTAAGATTTTAAAAGTGGCTTTAGGATAAAATCACGCAGTGTATGTAAGGTGCCGAGCACGTGTGGGTGTCAAAAAGGGGTAGGTAGCCAGGCAGCCGTTTCCCTACGTTGCTCGGTAAAATCTCCCCAGAAACCCCTTTCCTGCAAGCCAGATTGGAGAAAAATTAACTTGAGGGGAGCCTTACTTCCATCCTTCACAAAAATAGTATATGGTTGGATTAAAGATATAAGCATGGCCGGGCGCAGTGGCTCACGCCTGTAATCCCAGCACTTTGGGAGGCCAAGGCAGGCGGATCACCTGAGCTTGGGAGTTCGAGACCAGCCTGACCAATATGGAGAAACCCCGTCTCTACTAAAAATACAAAATTAGCTGGGCGTGGTGGCGCATGCCTGTAATCCCAGCTACTCTGGAGGCTGAGACAGAGAATCGCTTGATCCCTGGAGGCGGAGGTTGCGGTGAGCACTCCAGCCTGGGCAACAAAAGCGAAACTCCGTCTCAAAAAAAAAAAAAAAAAAAAAAAAAAAAAAAAAAAAAAAAAAAAGAGAGGGAGAGAGATACAAACATGGAAGAAAAAGTAGAAAAATATTTCTGTAATTTTTGGAAGAGATGTGTTTCTAAGCTTGACAGGGAACCCAGAAGCAATATGAGAAAAGACTTGACAGATTTGACTACCTAAAATTACACGTCTCTATGTGGTGAAAGTCATTATCATGCTCAACAGTAAATGTAAATTGGGAATGTTTCAATTGTAGAAATAGTTACTATTTTGGACCTTATAGACAGAAGAAAGGAAAAAGTTAATATCTATAACTTAAAAGATATTCCTACAAACCAATGGGAGGGGAGCCGGGTGAGACAATACCATTTTTAAAAGACCCGGCAGGGCACGGGGGCGGATCAAGAGGTCGGGAGTTCGAGAACAGCCTGGCCAATATGGTGAAACCCCGTCCCTACTAAAAATACAAAAAATTAGTTGGGCGTGGTGGCAGGCGCCTGTACTACTCCGGAGGCTGAAGCAGGAGAATTGCTTGAACCTAGGAGGCGGAGATTGCAGTGAGCCGAGATAGCGCCCCTCCACTCCAGCCTGTGCAACAGAGAGACTCCATCTCAAAAAAAAAAATAAAAAATAAAAAAAGACCAAAGACTAAGAAAAACAATTCACAAAAGAAGCAACACGAATGGCCAATAAACATGAAAAGATCCTCAACCTTGATGGTAATTAGGAAAATGGGAAATAAGAAACAATGAGAAAGTATAAATTGGGGGTAAGGTTCTAAGTTGTACAACCTTTTTATAGAGAACAATTTTAATATCTGTTAAATATGCATAACCTTTTGAATATGTCCAAAAGAAATGTTTGGACACACAGTCCAAATATTTGTGTACCGAGATACTCAGTGTTGCCAGGGGCAGTGGCTCACGCCAGTAATCCTAGCACTTTGGGAGGCCAAGACGAGCGGATCACGAGTTCAGGAGTTCGAGACCAGCCTGGCCAACATGATGAAACCCCGTCTCTACTAAAAATACCAAAATTAGCTGGGCGTGGTGGTGCGGCACCTGTAATCCCAGCTACTGGGGAGGCCAAGGCAAGAGAATCGCTTGAACCCGGGAGGCAGAGGTTGCAGTGAGCCAAGATCACACCATTACACTCCAGCCTGGGCAACAGAGCAAGACTCTCTCTCAAAAAAAAAAAAAAAAGAGAGAGAGATATTTAGTGTTGCAGCACTACAACACAAAAGAGGACCAACTTACGTGTCTAAAAGTGGAGACATTGTTGGGCCGGGTGTGGTGGCTCATGCCTGTAATCCCATCACTTTGGAAGGCCAAGGTAGGTGGATCACGTGAGGTGAGGAGTTCGAGACCAGCCTGACCAACATGGTGAAACCCGGTCTCTACTAAATACAAAAAATTAGCCGGGCGAGGTGGCAGGCGCCTGTAATCCCAGCCACTTCAAGAGGTTGAGGCAGGAGAATCGCTTGAACCTGGGAGACAGAGGTTACAGTGAGCTGAGATCGTGCCACTGCACTCCAGCCTGGGCAACAAGGGCAAAACTCTGTCTCAAAAAAAAAAAAAATGTAGTACAGTCATAGTGGAATATTGTGCACCCATAAAAAGAATGAGATGAATCTAAATATACCTATATATTCCATGGCCCAAGATACATTAAGTGAAAGTAAAAATGCTTTTTTATATGTAGCCTGATGCCATTTTGTTTAACTATGAATATTTGAATATGAATGGAATACCTGTAAATACCTGTTTACAGGTATTCTAGTGTCAAATTATTTGCATTTATTACCCTGGTGAGTGTAATTTGAAGGGAGAACTTTCACTTTTTATTTTATACACATGGGTATTGTTTGAATGTTTTACAGTGCTCATGTACTATTTGTATTTTTTCTAATAGAAAAAAAAACAGCCATCCCTTTATATCTTGAAGCAATTCTGAAAAAAAGGTGAAATATTTCTTGATTGGGTTTCTGACATCCACAACTGAGTCTTCATACTAGCTTATTGAGAAATGGGAAACGAGTTGCAGTTGTATCTCCAAACACAACTATGCAATTCGTTTGTCTCTGCAGAAATTGTAATACTTTATTCTGAATGTTTCTTCCAGCTCCCTGCACATAAAGGAACACAGAGCCTGAGGAGTTTGAGGCAGCCTATCAATCATGGGATGGATGCCAGGGGCAAGTGAGGTCATTAAGTCAACCATCCACTATGAACACAGCTGCATCCATCACTCTAGAAAGATTGTTTTCTTAAATACCACTTGGAGGGGGGAGGTCTCTCTCTCTCTCTCTCTCATCCTCATTGTGTGTGTTTGTGTGTTTTTTTAATTGCAAAAAGTACATAGTTATACTATATATACACACATACACAAACAATATAGAAGAAACAAAGAGTTAAATACCTTTCCTTCCGCCAAAGGTAACCACCCACTGAATGTCTGTATCCTTCCAGACTTTTCCTTTGTACATACCAATATTCATTCATTCACAAACGCTGCAGATTTCTGAATTGGAAGATCCACAGTATTTTTATTATTATTTTTAAGGACTATCTTTTAAGCTGATTCATCCTTCTTTCTTTCCAGGCTTTTTTATTTTTATTTTTATTTTTTTGAGACAAAATCCTGGGTTCAAGTGATCCTCCTGCCTCAGCCTCCCAAGTAGCTGCACTACAGTCACATGACACCACACCCAGCTCTCCCTAGGACTTTTTGAAATCTGCTTTAGCTAAGTAGCACTAGAGCTGCCCTCATTTCTTGTTAGTATAGAAGAAAGTAGGTTTTCAAGACCTAGCTTGTGCTGTGTCACTCTCCTCCAACTAAAGTCTTAGAATAACTGAGTCTTAGAATTAGAAGTCTGTGGAGGTTCACAGAAGTAGCATAATGTAGCCAAAATATTTACAGATAGTAAATATTTTTGGCTTTGCAGGTCATACTTTCTCTGTAACAACTACTAACAACTAACAACTGCCATTACAGTGAGAAAGCAGCCATAGACAATACATAAACAAGAGAGCATGGCTGTGTTCCAATAAAACTTTGCTTAAAAAACAGGTAGGGGAAGGGGGAAGGTGGGCTTGGCTCATGGACTATAGTCTGCCTCCCTGATATAGTGGAAGGCCTGTAAGTCAACACCCAAGTGTGGTCCCAGCTTTACCTTTTTCAGCCTTGTTGCAAAATTCGTTTAGCCTTCCCGAGCCTCAATTTTCTTATTTATAAAAGAGGCATTCAGAAGAGAGGTTTGCTTTGTGTTTCCCTTGAGATGGGACAAAGACGCAGGTCTGTTTGGTTCCATGAGTATAAGGAACCATATTCTGCGAGAGTTTGGCAGAACCGTGATGAAGAATGACTGCAGTATTGGGGAACATGGCCATAATGTGGAAGCTACCAACCTTGCCAAGACTCCCAAGCCCAAGCTTGAGATAAAAGCATCAGTGTAGCTCACCCTCAAAAGACCCTGTGAGCTTAGACAATAGGATTGGGACAAGTGTAGACTGGAGATCAGAGGCACATCCCTAAACATTCAGGACAGTTACTGTACTGCATACTGTTGATGCCCTGCCCATACTCCGTTTACCTACCTGGGCACCCATTTCCCAGCTGTTATAAATGTTGGTTGATAACAACTCACAACTACCCTTTTCTTCAGAGAATTTTCCTCAGCCAAATAGGAGTCCGCCTTGCATAGGAGGCTGTTTGCCAGTACCCACTCCTTGCCAGTGATTGACTGATTGACTGGCACAGGAATAAAAAATCAGTTCCCTGAATTTAAGTGGGATACAGTTTGTCCTCCCGAGTCTCCCTGTGGAATCAGTCTAAAGCTGGTCTCCAGCCAAGACCAAGTTCGTGCTTAGCTTTTTCCCCCTACCCTATCTTGCTTCCTAACTCTGCTTCTCCTGAGAATACTTCCCCAATTAATGACTTGAACTAGCATCCTCATTTTGGTTCACTTCTAGGGAACTCAAACTAAAAAACATTTGGCACCAGAAGTCATCCTAGAAAGCAGTCTCCAAGGGATTCTGGAGTGAGCTCACTCACCACCTAGAGGATGATGAGGACACCAACGCTAGCAGTAGAAAGAATATTGATAGTTCCCGACCTCCTGTAACAGTGCTACAGCAGGTGAAAGCTCAGTCTTTCACCTGTGTTTAACTGGGATGGGTTATGGTGAAAAGGGATGTAGTAGCTGGAAAACTCTTGGACACTTGAGAAATATGAGAAAAATAGTAATTGTCTGGACCAAAGAATTGGGTGGCTATTGCTAAGTGCCATTGATTCATTAAAGAAAGAAAGTGAAGGCTGGGCACAGTGGCTCACAACTGTAATACCACCACTTGGGGAGGCCAAGGCAGAAGGATTGCTTGAGGCCAGGAGTTCAAGACCAGCCTGGAACATAGCAAGATCACACCTCTAAAAAAAAAAAAAAATTAACCTGGTGTGGTGTATGCCTAGCTACTACTACTTGAAGGGAGGCTGAGGCAGGAGGTTTGAGGTTACAGTGAGCTAGGATTGTGCTACTGTACTCTAACCTTGGCGACAGAGCAAGACTCTGTTTAGAATGAAGGGGGAGCAGGGAAAGAGGGAGGGGGAGAGAGAGAAAGAGAGAGAGAGAGATTTGTATGTCTTTAAGAGAATTGTTTAAAGCAAAAATAACATATTGTAGGCTGGGCGTGGTAGCTCACGCTTGTAATCCCAGCACTTTGGGAGGCTGAGGCGGGCAGATCACGAGGTCAGAAGATCGAGACCATCCTGGCTAATACGGTAAAACTCCATCTCTACCATAAACACAAAAAGAAATTAGCCAGGCGAGGCCAGGCACCGTGGCTCACGCCTGTAATCCCAGCACTTTGGGAGGCCGAGGTGGGTGGATCACAAGGTCAGGAGATCAAGACCATCCTGGCTAACATGGTGAAACCCCGTCTCTACTAAAAATACAAAAAATTAGCAGGTCGTGGTGGATGGCGCCTGTAGTCCCAGCTACTGGGGAGGCTGAGGCAGGAGAATGGCGTGAACCCGGGAGGCAGAGCTTGCAGTGAGCCGAAGATTGCGCCACTGCACTCCAGCCTGGGCGACAGAGCGAGACTCTGTCTCAAAACAAAACAAAACAAAACAAAATATATTGTAGGATTTATAATGTATTTCAAAGTAAAATGTAGAATAACAAAAGCACAAAGGCCAGGAGGGGAGGAATTGGAATACAACTGCTATAAAGTTCTCATGCAGTACATAAAGTAGTATAACATTACTTGAAGGTAGTCAGTAAAAGATGTATGCAAGAAACCCCAAACATACTAAAATAATACTACAAAGGGTTATAGCTAATGTGTTAACAGAAAACAAAATGGAATAATATACTCAATCCAAAAGATGACAAAAAAGGAAGAAAAGAAAAAGCATAACAGACAAATAGAAAACAAATAGTGGCTGGGCTCGGTGGCTAATGCCTATAATCCCAGCACTTTGGGAGGCCAAGGCGGGTGGATCATGAGGTCAGGAGATCGAGACCATCCTGGCTAACATGATGAAACCCCGTCTCTACTAAAAATACAAAAAATTAGCTGGGTGTAGTGGCGGGTGCCTATAGTCCCAGCTACTGGGGAGGCTGAGGCAGGAGAATGGCGTGAACCTGGGAGGCGGAGCTTGCAGTGAGCTGAGATCATGCCACTGCACTCCAACCTGGGCAACAGAGTGAGACTCTGTCTCAAAAAAAAAAAAAAAAGAAAACAAATAGCAAGATGGTAGATTTAAATCCAATGATAATGTCAGTAATCACATAAATATAAATGGTCCAAACACCTCAATTGAATGGCAGAAATTTTCAGGTAAAATGAAAAAGGAAGACCCAACTATATGCTGCCTACTAGATACCCAACTCTTCTACATAAATGTTCATAACAGTTTTATTTGTAATAGTAAAAAACTGGAAAAGACGGAGAAAGAGAGTCATGCCTATCAACGGAATAACACATTGTGGTATCCAGACAATGGAATACTACTCAGCAATAAAAATGAATGAGCTATTGCACACAGCAATATGGATAAGCCTCAATTATGCTGAGTGAAGAAAAGAGACAAAAATCACTGTACGATTTCATTTATATAAAATTCTAGAAATGCAAACTAATCTATAATGAAAGAAGATCTGTAGTTGCCAGGGGAGGGAAGAGGAAGAGAGGGTTCAGATGAAAGGATGCAATAGACATGAGGAACTTTTGGAGGGTGATGGATATGTTCATTATCTTGATTATGGTTATGGTTTCATAGGTGTATACATATGTCAAAATATTGTATGTGCATATTTTGTATGTTAATTATATCTCAATAAAGCTATTTTGAAAATAATACTATACTAGGGAATTAATAGAAATTGATGCCACCTTCAAATATGTGAAGGATTCAGTGGCGGTTGTCCCATCATAACTCAATTTAACTGACCAATCTGCCTCACGTAACGACTAGATGGATTATTACAAATAATAGCCCCCCATGCTGGGCGCGGTGGCTCACGCCTGTAATCCCAGCACTTTGGGAGGCCAAGGCAGGCAGATCACCTGAGGTCAGAGGTTTGAGACCAGCCTGGCCAACATGGTGAAACCTCGTCTCTATTAAAAATACAAAAATTGGCTGAGTGTGGTGGTGCATGCCTGTAATCCCAGCTACTCGGGAGGCTGAGGCAGGAGAATCACTTGAACCCAGGAGGCAGGGGTTGCAATCAGCTGAGATCAGGCCGCTGCACTCCAGCCTGGGCGACAGTGATACTCCATCTCAAATAATAATAATAATAATAATAATAATAGCCCCCCATTACATCTGCCGTGTTGGGTTTGGTATTACTAGAGAAGAATAATACAATCTTGGGTACATGGTTTGCAGCTATTGATCTGATAATGCATTATTTCTGAGTCATTCGAGAAGGAGAATCAGAAGTAGTTTGCATTCACATGGAATAAACAGTATACATTTATGGTATTTCCTCTAGGCTATATTAATTCTCTTACAGTATAGTAGTCCATGCTCTTGTAGAATTCAATTCCTTGACCGAAAGCCAAATCAACTCAAATGACTGAAATGTGTCCCTCTCTAGGCATGTCAGATTGCTAAAAATCAGAGAGTATATATATGAACTGGGAGCTGATATGTTTAATGTCTTGATGCTACCCAAAGAAATTACTGTTGGTAAAGGTAGAGACCTAGAGTAAAGGAGATACTAGAAGCAAAAGGAAATGCTTTAGCAGATCCTCAGCTAACAGGCTGCTATATCTAAATTCCTTAAGCAAGAATCTCTTATAGAATAGAAAAACAAATTCACGAAGAGGCTCAGAGATTACATCATAGAGGCACAAAATCTAGTCTCTGATTTCATATTGTACCTAGATTAACAGCCCAGGTAAAAGGGAACAATTTACATATAAGCTAAAAGAAAACACAGCCTAGCTATCTAAGGTAGACTCAAGGAGTTGTTTAAACATGTTTTCTTAGGCCTGAAAAATCTTGCGCCATGTGTCCAGAGTGCCTTTCAGATTCTTCTTATATTTCCAGTCATTTTCTCACAGTTGCTTGATGTCCGTTTTCTAGAGTCATCTGCATCTACACAGTTGCTGCCCTGATAGATGATTCAGTATATGACTCAAAGACAAAAACAGGATAAAAACATGTTGATTGACACTTGAACTAAAAATTAGCCCTTTCCAAATGAACCTTCATCTTCAAAGAAAATCAACAATAATGGTAAATACCTAGATAATTTTTATTGGTCTCTCCGAAAGCCTGGGCTGAATGAAGACCAAAAGGGAAAATCGTGAAGTTAAACATTCCCACACTCTTATGAAAAGACTGACTGTTTTCTGAGGCCATGGTATGAAGTCAGAGTCTGTTTTAAAACCATCTAATCAATAAATGAGAATTCTGTGCCCTTAGTAACAAGTAATTACCAGAACTGGTTTTAAAACCTTTTAATCAATCAACAACACACATCAGTGACCATAATTTTTTGCAAGCAAACCACTCAGTGACAACTCCTTGTTTCTAAAAGCCAGTCAGGATTTAACTCATTCCAGTAAACATACTTCTGAATGTCAACCAATGAACTGTCTCACCTGAGTAACCACACTTCTAAAGATTATATCAACCCACTCATGCCTCTGAAAATCCACTAGTCCTTGAATTCCATGCTTTCCCCAAACTCTAAGATTAGCAATCTGCTCTTCTTAGAGGAAACTGTGCCTGACCAGCATATACTTATGTGAGCAATAAATTAGGCTTTGTATTTTTTGTTTTGGATATTGAGTGGTAGTCTCATCTATTGACATGTGGAAGACTGCCAGCTTTGAGTGTGCCCAGAGCAAGAAAGGGCTGTGCAGCAGCAGCAGACTGCAATATAAATAGCCCTGCCGCTTGGGCCATTTGACTCAGCTGATCACATGTTACTAGAAGTATCTTTGGTAGAGGAAAATGCCGAATGAAAGTTCTGTTAGTTTACAATGGAAGAATTGTACCTCAAACTTCAAAGACATATCATCCTGTAGAAACTGAGTGTCTGACCATAGCACATTAAAAGGCCGTGTAGCTTCATCTTTCCATATTGAGTTGGATTCTGACAAACCCACCAAGTTATAAATGTCAAGTGGGCCCAGCTGTAATCCATCATAAAATGGAAGTGATATATCTTGGATCAAGCTCAAGCAAATCCAGAGGGCAGAGGTAAAAGTGCATGAGCAATTTGGCAGGGGTAATTAACCCTAATCATCATGAGGAGATAGGACTGCTGCTGCATAATGAGGGCAGAAGGGAATCTGTCTGGCACTCAGGTGATCCGCTGGAACATCTCTTGGTATTCTCATGCCCAGTTGAACTATAAATGGGCAGTTTTAGCAACCATGGCCTGATAAGGATCTGGTGACCAGGACAACATGAGAATGAGAGTGTGGGTCAACTCATAAGGAAAGCCTAAATGGCAGAAGAGGGAGATGATGACTATCAGTTACAGCTCAGGACTAAATGCAACAGCCTGGGCTATATTTCATTCCATAAACCCTCCTCTTGTAAGTTTTCTTAGAAATTGTGACCAACCAGGATGCAGGAGAAGCTATGCCTAGACAAAATGAATTTAATGTGAGAAGCCAGTGAAGCTGCTAGGTGCAAGGTGTGGACTTTAGTGGATCTATCAGTGCACCACCCTTCAGCTATGTTGATTGACAACAACTCACTGCTGCCTTCTCTTCTGGAAAATTGTCATTCACCTCACTGGGGAAGCTGACCCCACCTTGACCAATAACTAATTGACACAGGGATAGAAAAGACAGGCTCTCTTTCCTCAGTGGGGAACTAATTCTATGGCCAACTTGTGCTCCAGATATTTCTTATAGAATCAGCTGAGATCACATTCTTGCCAACCTTTTACTCCCTGTCCCATCCGGCATCTCCCACACCCTTCCTCCAGAAATTACTCCCCTAGTAAATCACTTGAACAAGAATCTCTGTCTCAAACTCTGCTTCTAGGGAACCCAATCCAAGCCAGTGTTCTTTGTTCAGAATTGTTGTATAATCAATCCTAGGGAGAGGGACAGCCCTCAAAAATACCTCTGAAATTTAATTTCCTGTTAACCAGCACAAGTGAGGGCTTAAATGATATTTATACAACATAGAAAAATGTACCACTTCTTACACATGAGTGTTGTGTAAAGTTCACACCCATTACTAAGGTATATTTTCTTGTCATATGGTTTATACCCCATCCCTTCCAGTAAATACATTTATTTTCAACAAGGTGCATCTTTCCATTGCTAGGTGTAAGCCAGCACTTTTAAAGCAGTCCACAGCTTGATAGGAAGCAGTCTTATGCTAGCAAGACATCATTTGCCAGAATTATGGTTAATTAAATGACCATTCCCTTCCTCCTCAAGCTTCCATTTCTCCTGCTTCATTTCTTCAGCCAGTGATAGCCAGGTCACTTGACATCTTCTGACTGGACCCTCGGTGACTTTAGCTTTACTCTTTGGTCCTGTCTTTGCTTCAGAAGCTGGTCTTGATGTTGAACCACTGATATTCATTAGTTGTGCTTGGCTTCACTTCTCAATGCTGCCCTTGCCTCCTCTTTTGCATCTGACATACACTAGCTGCCCCTCTGGAACAGGCCCCATCTCTCAAGGTTTTGGCCTTATTAGGCCCATTTTGCATAAAACACTGTCTTGCGTGCTAAAGTGAGGTGCCCCATTCTGCAAAGTCTTCGTGGTACTTCTGAGGTTGTTTGTACACCCCGACTGGGTAATATGATAAGTTATTTTTTTATTAATCATATTCTTGGATGATTAGACAACTAAAGTCATATGCGGAATTTTAAAATCCTCTTTATAGGCATTTTTCTGCATGAATTACCAGCCTCCTCCTTTCCTACAAAGCACCTTTATCACATCTTTGTCCTTCATGGTATCTACTTTTACTTTAGTCTGGACAGTCATCTTTCCTCATCACATTGCTTTTTAGAAACTTCTGCATCGACTCAGAAGTCTTTCTTCCAAACACATATATCTTGATGGTCCATAGAATGGTCTGTGCTCACCAGTGATGCCTGTCATGTTCCAGAAAACTCAGTTCCTCCAACTTGGATAAATAATGCAACATGGTAGTTAAAAGCTTGTATTTGGAAATAAAAGAAGCCTGAATTTGAGTCCTGACTCTACCACTTACTAGCTGGGAAACCTTCACCAAAATGATCAACTTTTTTTTTGAGACAGGGTCTTGCTCTGTCGCCCAGGCTGGAGTGTAGTGGCGCAATTAGGGCTCACTACAGGTCCGAGCTCCTGGGCCCAAGGGATCCTCCCACCTCAGTCTCCCAAGTAGCTGGAACCACAGGTGTGCGCCACTACACATGGCTAATTTTTGTATTCTTTGTAGAGACAGGGTCTCACTATGTTGCTCCGGCTGGTCTGGAACTCCTGGGCTCAAGCCATCCTCCTGCCTCAGCCTCCCAAAGTGCTGGGATTACAGGCGTGAGCCACCAAACCTGGCCAGTCAACATTTTTGAGTCTCAGTTTCATTTGATATAAAATGGGAGATGATCATGTTAGTTCTTACCTTACAGAGTGGTTGTAAGGATGAAATGAGATAAACCAAAGTGCTAAGCCTAGTTCCTGTAGGTATACAGTTGGTATTCAATAAATGTTATTAGTAGTATTATTCACCACCTTCAAAGATGTTCAAGCCCCAGAGCCATCCAATAGTTATTCAAAGGGCCAAGCAATGCCAGGTAAGAACTGTCTATGAGAGCCATCTATCAGTATGGGAGGTCCCAGGTCTGTATCAGAAGGAAGTCCATCACTGAAGAAACTGGGCCAGAGGGAGGTCAAGCCAGATGGAAGAGTAGCAAACCAACATCTGGAAAGGGGAAGGCAGCCCATCAAAGCCTCAACTGGAAAGGCAGGGCAAAGGAGATGGCCAGGGATGGGTGAGGGTGTTTTAGGGGCAGCTGGAGAAAGAGTAAAGTACCAATGAGTAAATTGTGCAGATTTGGAATAAGTACCCTGAAAGGCAATATCCTTTGTAGCCCAGAGTACCTCAAGGTGATAGAAGCAGAGTCTTAGAGAAATAGAGCCAGTACAGAAAACAACCTTCTTTAGGCCGGGCGTGGTGGCTTACACCTGTAATCCCAGCACTTTGGGAGGCCAAGGCAGGTGGATCACGAGGTCAGGAGTTCAAGACCAGCCTGGCCAAGATGGTGAAACCCCGTCTCTACTAAAAATACAAAAAATTAGCCAGGTGTGGTGGCACACGCCTGTAATCCCAGCTACTCTGGAGGCTGAGGCAGAGAATTGCTTAAACCTGGAGGGGCGGAGGTTGCAGTGAGCCGAGATCGCGCCACTGCACTCCAACCTGCGCGACAGAGCGAGACTCCGTCTCAAAATAAATAAATAAATAAAAAACCTTCTTTAATTTCAAATTCTCTCTCCTGCTTCCTCAGTACTGACCCAGGAAAAAGAAGTTTGGAATTAAGTTTGAAAGCTTTGGAATGGAGCCAATTTTAAGATAGAAGTTAAACTGAAAATCAGGGGCCTAGAGATTGGATAAACTTTGTGGCTAGGTCTTGCACTGCATGCTAGGCTTTAGCTTCTCCAAGTGAAAGTAAGACCTCTCCCTAGAATATCTCATCTTTGTCTCCCCTCATCCCAGAAGTGTGTGGTTGGTCTAAAACGCAAGCATCAGGGCTGCCTGATGTCTTCAGCAGCAGGCTCCAGTATCCCAGCGGCTTTCAGACAAATGGCACCTTCCTACTCCTTGCATTATCCCCAGGGGTCAGGGCAGTCACATCTGCTGATGACTAAAAACACAACACTTGTAGGCCTCACAGGAGCTGATGCAGACCCAGTAGAACTGAAGTGGTCCATGATCAGAGACTGGTTGTACGGTCTGAAACTGACTGCACCAAGCGCCTCACTGGCAAACAACTGTTATTTGCCATCTATAATTGTTTCAACCATTTGCCCAGAGGCAGGGAAACAGATCTGACTTTTAGAGAATTCCAGTCACATAGGAAACCTATAATCATTCAATATAGTAATTCTGGAATCCTTCAGGAAAAGTCATAGAGAACATAAGAGGATTCTGCACAAACATCAGAAGTATCATTTGTGCCATCTGACTTCTGGTACCCAAAGAGATTATATAGAATGAGAAAGCCTAAGATGCCTCCTCCCAGGGTATGGGACTATGAAGGCATTCAGGACCATGTTAACTCCTGCCTTACCTGTTCCCCTCCATTCTCACCTCAAACCCAACTTCCATGGAGCCCACCCCAAACTACCCCACCATGCACTCAGGCTCTCATCCAATGAAAGTTGATGAGTCCTCTTGCTCAGGGTCCTTTAATTTGGTGACTCCTGCTCCATAGCATCCCAGTTCTCCATATCCCATGCTTAATATATCTAGGGCTTTGAACCTCAGAGACAGGAGTAAGATGCAAATGTGTCCTGGCCCCAGCCACCCACAGCTGATGTTTGGATTGCTGAGACTCAGAGCAGAAAGCTCAGCCTGAGTCTGGTCCTCCTTGCTGCTCATCTTCTAGGAGCATTTGCCTCCCTGATGCTTCTCTTGCTATGAGGAAGTGTGACAAGCCAGTTTGCTGCTGGCACCTGCCACACTGCAGCATAACACCAACACTAATGGCAGATATAATCACAGTGACAAAGATGGCTTGGTCTACATGCAGAAGGCACTTGTCATCTCCCCAGGAGCCTCCTGGCCTAGGGCTCGACTCTGATGAGGTACCTGGCCCCTGGCTCACAGCCCACACTGTCCCAGTCACACACCAGACTCCATCTGAATGGTTGACATTATCATTACTGTCATCACAATTTTTGATAACTATTCATTTATTCTTGTGAAGCACATTTACTGAGGACAAACCACATGGTAGGTACTGTGCAAGATTCTAAAGGAGCTACAAAGATTAATAGCTTGAAGAAATAGCCCAGAGGGAGACAGAGATCAACACATCATTCCAATATAGGATTACACAGAGTATTGCAGATGGTTAGATTCCCAGTGCCTAGAAAAAAGATATGACGTAGTGAGAGCTCGGTATATATGTTTTGATGAATATTGAATGAATGAGCATCTGAATGAATAAATGAATGAATATACAAAGGGATATGGGATCTGAGAGTGGAGAAGACAGTAACTTTGCTGGAAATGAATCAAAGAAGGCTTCCAGGGGAGGTGATACTTAAGCTGAACTCTGAGAGCTGAAAAGGCAGCAAGCACAGTGTCCTCATTAAGAGCGTAGAGTCTGGATCTACACTACCTGGGTTTGAATGCCACCTTTGTGTGGTTTGGGGCATGTGTGGTTACCGAACTTCTTTGTGAATGCCTTAATTCTCCCATCTGTATAATGAGTTAACAATAGTATCTCCCTTATGGAGTGGTTGTAAAGATCATATGAGTTATGTGTTAAGTGCTTCGTACACAGTTAAAAATTCTATACATGTCTGATAAATAAATACGACTAGTTAGGGGCTCATCAGTCTACCAGGGTAGAAAGTTAAGGGTATGAAGAGCGTTCCAAACAATGTATGGTTATTGAGGTTTCCAACAGGATGACACCCTCAGGGAATGATGAGAAGGCAGCAGGGGGCGGGGGCTTGACACAGCATCCTGAGTATCAGAGTAAGTGATGTAGTGAGTCATTACTTCTTTAAACAAACTTTTTATTTTGGGATAAGTTTAGGTTTATAAAAAACTGCAAAGGAGTCCTGACAGTTCCAATATCACACCCAGTTTCCCCTAATGGTAATATCTTAAGGGGACCCATTGTTTTTAAAGCAAGAGCATGACATAGGCATGTATTTTAGAAAGTTCATTGTAGCAGTTGTGAAGAAGAAGAATTCAAAGGAGAGAGACTTGGCCCCAGCAGACCCATGAAGAGGCTGTTAGCACCATCCCAGTGAGCAATGATGCAGTCAGGAAATGGGGTGAAAAGGCAGGCGTGGATGTGAGAAAACTTCTGAATCAGAGCAGCTGCCTATGGGATGCTCTGGAACAGAAAGAACCCAGAGTACAGTCAGGAGATGCAGGCCCTGAGCAGAGCAACCCTCTGGAGGCATTTGCCAAACAGCTAGCCATGAGACCTGGCATCCCTCACCAGGAATCTCTCTGAAGACCTCAGAAATCTGGCAGGTCTGGGGAGTTCAGATGGCTGTGCAGGGCCCAGGGTAGGATGGGCACTGACCAGAGCTCCTTTCCAGTAGCTTGGGCCCAAGTTCCATGCATTGCCCTAGCGCCAGAGGTAGCTGATGGGGCTTCCTTTAGTCACTCTTAGTAACTGGCTAGATATGCTCAGCTTCCTGGCCCTCATCTGGGGAAATGGGCCTACACGAGAACAGAGGAATTGGTTCAGATTCATCCCTGGCCTTATAGTGTTATTCATTTGTACTGAGAGGGAGTATGATGTGATGGTTAAGTATGGGTGATGGCATCGAGCAGACTAGGTTCGAATCCCAGCTCTGCCACTTAACAACTGTGTAACCTTGGGCAGGTTACTTAACTTTTCTGTCCTCCAATTTTCTAATATGTAAAAAAAGATACGATAATAGTATCTGCCCCAAAAGGGTAATGTAATTATTAAATGAGTTAATTCATATGTGCAGTGCATGTATAACATTTCCTAGGAGATATCAGGTATGGTGTTATGTATGTGTTTCAATCATTTGATCAATGTGTTTAAATTAAACGTGTTTAGGGTTAGCCTAATAGAAAGCAAGCTTCAAATAAGCAGAGACTGTATTGCTCCCATTGTATGTTCAGTACAAAGTATGGTACCTGGAACATAGTAATTACTATCAAGTATTATTATTGAATACTTTTTAAAATGAATAAATGAGTGGCCGTCTAACCCCAGGGTAGATGTAGTGTGCAGACACTAATTCAGAAGCACTTTGGAAGACCTGTTCCATGGCCAAACAGCTTCTAATTCAGTGTTTGTAACTGTCCACTTAACATGTCAATATTAATACTAGATGGCTTTTTAAAAAAGTTAAAGGAGCAGTTTCACGCTTTGGGTCTGTTCTAGCTAGAGTCTGGCTATTAGACTCTAACAGAGCAGAAATGCATGCAAGCCAGCTTTATAAAAGGTTGTTTGTAGTGGTCCAACACAGGGACAAAGAAATACAGCTGATATGCTCTGGAACTAGAAAGTCATCATGGAGCAACTCCCCACCTTGCTCTCTCAGGGCCTCCTGAGTTCTTGCCTCTGCATTTATCTGCATGTCTGCTCCAGTCTCCTCTCGGTAAACTGGCTTCCTCTGTTTTCACATGCACTACTATGGCTGCCCCCAAATGGTTATTTCCTCTTTACCACAGTGCACATGAAGTTAGAAAGAATCTGATTGGCCCAGCTTGGGCAAATGTTTCCTACTCCTGTATAATCATTTATGACTGGGAATAGGATTGAGAAGAAAGAAGGCGCTGCCTTTTGGCAGAGAATATGTATGGGAAGAATGTGAAGAGCATCTCTAGAATGTGATCTTCTTTTCTGAAATTAAATAAAACTGATGAGTACTGTCAAAATATATGTGAACATGGGGCTGGGCGTGGTAGTTAATGCCTATAATCCTTGCACTTTGGGAGGCCAAGGCAGGAGAATCACTTGAGGCCAGGAGTTTGAGACCAGCCTGGGCAACATGGCAGGACTCTGCCTGTATGAAAAATTAAAAAAAATTGTTGAGGCTCACATCTGTAATCCCAACACTTTGGGAGGCTAATGCCGGCAGATCACTTGAGCCCAGGAGTTTGTGATCAGCCTGGGCAACATAGCAAAACCCCATGGCTACAAAAAAGTAGCCGGTCGTGGTCGTGCATGTCTGTAGTCCTAGCTACTCGGGGCCTGAGGTGGGAGGATCACGCAAGCCTGGGGAGGTCAAGGCTGCAGTGAGCTGTGATCTGCACTCCAGTTGGATGACAGATACAGACCCTGTCTAAAAAAAAAAAAAAAATTAGTTGAGTGTGCTGGCATGTACCTGTAGTCCTACCTCCTCAGGAGACTGAGGCTGGGGGTCACTTGAGCCAAGTTCAAGGCTGCAATGAGCTATGATCACACCACTGTGCTCCGGCCTGGGCTACAGAGGGAGACTCTGTCTCAAAAAATTACATATATATATATGTGTGTGTGTGTGTGTGTGTGTGTGTAGATATATATGATATATATGATATAATATATGTGTGTGTCAATATGGGTGGGATTTTACTTCTGAGTGTAGGAGGTAAATCTAGAAATTTACCCAGAGCCCTAGAAACACCCTTTTACCAGGCACTCCACCTGGGTTGGCTGGGTCCAGCTCCTGCCTACCTGGTTTCTGCTGCTTCTAAGCTCAGTTTCCAGAACTCAGAGGTCCCCACTAGAAGGTCTGATCATGTCAGGAAAACAAGGGATCAAGAGCTGTTTTGGGCCACTTAACATAACCTGAGAGAGGAGACAACCTCTTCTAGATTTATGTCAACAGAAATGCACTCCCAGCATTGTCAGACCTCAAAAATAGGGCTTTACGTGAAAGGCAAGGGGCTGGGTTTAGGGAAGAACCTATTCTAGGAACAGCCTCCTGGGCTTTATATTAATTACATTTTGCAGTTTTTCCCCACGTTACATTCACTAACTATAATTGAGTCCTCACAGAAACCCTGCAGAGTTGACATTTTTATCCCTGCTGCACAGCTGAGAAAATTGAGGTTAGAAGAGGTGAAGTGACTGGTCCAAAGTCACACAATTAGCTGCTGATCTAAGAGTGGAACCCAGGCCTGTTGGACTCCCAGCCCAGAGTTCCGCTGTACTGCTCTGCCTGGCAATGGTTTGGGGAGTGAGATTGTATCTGGAGGAGAATATAGAGAAGGGCAAAACTCACAGGTGGCCAGAGGTGCAGAGAGTTAACCAGTTTCTCAGTCCCTCAAGGACAGATGGTCTGATGAGGCTGGTTGGGGACTGCAGAGAACGAGGAATCGATCTGCCATTCCATGTGAAAATGGATTGTAGCCCCAGCCTGTGTGTGTCAATGGAGCTGATTAGCACTTGCGTGAGTCTGCAGCCATCGATTGGCAGGTGAGAATCGTTCTGGGAGCAGCAGGAAGCCAGTCCTCTCCCACTCCCATTGCCACCAGATTCTTCCCTCCACAGAGTTTTTCTCCCCATCCCTACTACCTGGAGTCTCCAGACCTCCTCCAAACCCCACAGCTAACGGGTGCTCAGAGCCACTTTAGCTGCATCCAACCAAAGGTGGGGGCATAAACGGTACCCACCTCATTCAGCCATGCTGGTTGCAGCTGGTAGAAGGACAGATGGCCTTTCAGGAAGGCACTGCCTGCTTGGAGGGTCCTGTGTGAGTGAGTGGGTGCAGGGTTCAGCTGGGTGCTTACATCATAAGAAGGAAAAAGCAGGGACCCTGCCACATACTTATCATGTGACCTCGGGCAAGTCATTTGCCTTTCTGGGCTCCAATTGCTCTACGTGTATGGGATTAAAAATACCTTCCTCAGTAGATTGTTGAGGCCAGGCACAGTGGCTCACACCTGTAATCCCAACACTTTGGGAGGCTAAGGCTGGTGGATCCTACATAGTAGAAACTAAAAATGTTACTTGGAAATGGACTCTCCACTGTCTTCAAGAGGCACCCACTCTGGGGACCCCCGTCTGGTCCCACTTCTACCTCTCTTTTCATCATTTGAATGTTGAAGACAAGTTACAGCAAGAGCCTCAGTGTTTGCCCTGACTTGGGGCAGTTCTGACTTCAAGGAAGCTCAGCCCATAGTTTTGGGTTGCCTTTGGGGGAGTGAACTGTCAAGTAACAGCAAGGGAACCAGACAGGCTCAGTTTCATCAGACCACCAAGGTCCATCTGGACTTACAGGTTCTTTCTAAGCTTGGCACATGGTATCTGGGGAGTGTTCTGACATTCCTGTGCCTGCCAGAATAGGACCTCTTCCATTACCTCTAATTGTACCAAGTCCACATGGCAGGCTTCCTTCATTAGTTTTCTCTCTTGTCCCTCCAAGGCTAGAACTCTGCCCAATTGGCATTGACCCTGATCTCCTGCCTTGATCTTGCCAGACTTCTCCCCAGGGACCTGGACATGTCTACTGATGGCTGGCCTTCTGCCCCAAGTTTGTCAGGCCATCTGTTACCAGAGCTTGGCTTCAGCCTTGACAGAGTTAGGCATTGCAAGACCACTGAAGGTCTCTGATGCCACACCCAGAGGGAAACATCATCTTGAGTCTCTATACATAAACAGTGTGACTAAGAATTATAAGCTCTGATACGGACCACTAGGGCTGTAGTGGCAAATGAGGATTGTGGTCAAGACCATGGACAGATGCCGTGGGGTTTAAGGATGCCTGGGATTGAGGATGAACGTAGTGGGCTTGGCTCCATGCTGAAGAAATGGATAGGAGTTCATGTCAGCACCATGGACAGACACCACTGGCTCTGTGTGTGTGTTTGTGTGTGTGTGTGTTTGTGTGTGTGTGTGTGTGGTTTTTTTTTTTTTCTTTTTTTGAGACAGGGTCTTGCTCTGTCATCCAGGCTGGAGTGCAGTGGCACAATCACAGCTCACTGCAGCCTCAAACTCTTAGGCTCAAGCAATCCTCCCACCTCAGCCTCTGGAGTAGCTAGGACTATAGGCGCACACCACCACACCCGGCTAATTTTTAAATGTTTTTGAAGAGACAGGGTCTTCCTATGTTCAATATCAGGCTGGTATTGAACTCCTAGCCTCAAGTGATCCTCCTGCTTTGGCCTCCCAAATGTCTGGGATTACAGCATGAGCCACTGCACCTGGGCCCAATGCTTTGAATAATTCACTTCGCTTCACTTCAAAGCCCTCCTCCACCACATGACAAGCATTCACATCTCTAGAGTCATCGCCCACTTCTCCTGTGCACAAACCCTCTTCTTCTCCAATCAAAGAGGGCCATTTGTCATCCACAGCCTATCTAGGTGATTTCTCAGCTCTGTGCTTCTACAACTCTTCAGCTGCTGGCTGTTGAGAGAAGAACATAAGACTTGGAGTCTGAAGGCCAAGGTTAAAAATGTTGGTTATTCCATTTATGGGCTATATGACATCATTTATTTCATCTGCAAAATGAGGCAATGATGCTTGCCTGGTGGAATCATTCTTAATTCATTCAGCAACTACTTGTTGAAGGAACATGCCCTGAGGCTTACCTGCATATGTGTGTGCATAGGTATACATGTATGCATATGCATGTTAGGAAGCAATGCTGATGCTCCAGCATGAAGGGATGTACCCTGAAGACAAACACAAAAAACAATAGTAGATAGCATTTATTGAGTGCTCAGTGTATTTATTCAAGTGACTACTATACTAGAGCAGTGAGCAGACAAGACTCCCTGACCCATTGGAATTTGTATTTATTTATTTATTTATTTATTTATTTTGAGACAGAGTCTCGCTCTGTCGCCCAGACTGGAGTGCAGTGGTGCAATCTCGGCTCACTGCAAGCTCTGCCTCCCGGGTTCATGCCATTCTCCTGCCTCAGCCTCCCGAGTAGCTGGGAGTACAGGCGCCCGCCACCACGCCTGGCTAATTTTTTTGTATTTTTAGTAGAGACAGGGTTTCACTGTGTCAGCCAGGATGGTCTCCATCTCCTGACCTTGTGATCCACCCACTTCGGCCTCCCAAAGTGCTGGGATTACAGGTGTGAGCCACCACACCCAGCCTGGAGTTTGCATTTAATCTACATTCTACTCTTTGAGTTTTAATCTTCTGAAGATCTGAATCATAGGCTACATTTTGTTTTTTAAGAAAATCAATACATGTACATTGTTTTTAAAAGCAAACTAGTACTGCAAGTCTTGCTACAAAAACAGCAGTTCATATCCTAATCAAGTCTCACTCCCCAAAGCAACCTCAAAAACATTTGAGGCCAGATGTGGTGGCTCATGCCTGTAATCCCAGCACTTTGGGATGCCGAGGTGAGCAGATCATTTGAGGTCAGGAGTTTCAGACCAGCCTAACCAACATGGTGAAACCCATCTCTACTAAAAATACACACACACACACACACACACACAAAAAAAATTTAGCCAGGTGTGGTGGCACATGCCTGTAGTCCCAGCTACTCGGGAGGCTGAAGCAGGAGAATCACTTCAACCTGGGAGGCAGAGATTGCAGTGAGCCGAGATCACACCACTGCACTCCAGCCTAGGTGACAGAGTGAGACTCTGTCTCAAAAACAAAAAGAAAAAACAAAAACCATTTGAGCTCTGCCTACTGGTATTTACCTCTGAATATCAAAATAATATACTTATAATGCTTGTTCTTAGTTTATTATGGAAGATAATAATTTAATAGTTTGTATCACCCCACCCCCACTCATCTCCTTTCTCCACCACTCCAATATAGTTACATCATAATTTTTTGTCAAATCAGTATTCAGTGTTGGCCTTACTGATTTCACACACATGATTTACTGCTGAAACTAATCTTCCATTATCTTTCTTGTGCTGATTTTTTGTTTTTACTTATGTTAATTATCTTGTTTTTTTCTTTCTGCCATTTTCTTAGTTTTCCATATCTTTATCATGAATTCATCCCCAACTCTTCAATAGAATGTAAAAATCTTCTGAATGCTAATTTCCACATGATGAAACACATCAGGCAATCTATTAATTCCCCCGTTTTGTTCCCTTAAGGAGACCTGGAGCCTTCCATCTCCCTCTGGGCCTTCTGCACAGAAGTTGTTCAGAGGATTCCCTTTCACACTTTTCTTGGGTGGGTCCCCTTTTCCTGGATCCCACACATCTTTTCTTTCTTGGCTTAGTCTTCCATTTTAGTGAAGCACATCCTTATCTCAGTGTGACAGGGCATGTCCTTTACCGGCTTCCTGAGAAAGAATGCACGAGAAGAGCCAGGCACAGTGGCTCACGCCTATAATCCCAGCACTTCCGGACGCCGTGGTGGACGGATCACTTGAAGTCAGAAGTTTGAGACCAGACTGGGCAACATGGCGAAACCCCATCTCCACTAAAAATACAAAAATTAGCCAGGTGTGGTGGTAAGCGCCTGTAGTTCCAGGTACTTGGGAGGCTGAGGCACAGCAGTTGCTTGAACCTCGGAGGCAGAGGTTGCCATGAGCTGAGACTGGGCCACTGCACTCCAGCCTGGGCAACAGAGCAAGACTGTCTCAAAAATTTAAAAAAGAATTCATGAGAAGTAAAATCTTGATACCTTATATTTCAGATAATTCTTTATTCTACCCTCACAGTTGGCTTATAACTTGAATGACATAGGAATTCTTTTTTTTTTTTTTTTTTTTTGAGACAGAGTCTCGCTCTGTCACCAGGCTGGAGGGTAGTGGCACGATCTTGGCTCACTGCAACCTGCACCTCCTGGGTGCAAGCAATTCTCCTGCCTCAGCCTCCCAAGTAGCTGGGACTACAGGCGCGCACCACCACCCCCAACTAATTTTTGTATTTTTAGTAGAGAGGGGGTTTCATCATGTTGGCCAAGATGGTCTTGATCCCCTGACCTCGGGATCCACCCACCTCAGCCTCCCAAAGTGTTGGGATTACAGATGTGAGCCACTGAGCCCGGCCAGTATAGGAATTCTTTAGACTTTTAAAGGCATTGCTCCAGGACGGCTGTTGAGAAGTCCATTGCCATTCCTGATTCCACGCTATCCTTTGTGTGCACCCTCTCCTTTCTGTAAGGAAACTTTAAGTATTTTATCCATATCCTAGTTCATCAAAAATTTCATGCAAATGAGACTTGGTTTGGGCATATTTTTATATATTGTATTTGTAGGTCTTTGGGTAAGTCTTTTTGTTCTAGAAACTCATGTCTTTTACCTCTGAGAAACGTTCTATTATTTCTGTGCTCTCTCTTCTCTCCGTTTTCTCTAATCTCTTTCTCAGTATCTAAAGGGTTTATTTTATTTTATTTATTTTATTTTATTTTATTTTTGATTTTTTTTTTTTGAGAGAGAGTCTTTCTCTGTTGCCCAGGCTGGAGTGCAGTGGTGCCATCTTGCTCACTGCAACCTTCGCCTCCTGGGTTCAAGCGATTCTCCTGCCTCAGCCTCCTGAGTAGCTGGGATTACAGGTGTGTACCACTACACCTGGTTAATTTTTGTATTTTTAGTAGAGAGTAGAGTAGTTTTACTATATTGGCCAGGCTGGTCGTGAACTCCTGACCTCAAATGATCCGCCTGCCTTGGCTTCCCAAAGTGCTAGGATTATAGGTGTGAGCCACCCACCATGGCCAGCTAAAGATCTTTCCTCTACTCAGTTTCCCTAGTAAAAAAATCCCTAATCTCCACCTGAGAGGGTGGGTATTCACCTGGCCATCAGTATTCTACAAACTGTGTCTCATGAGCCTAGGGTCTTAATGTTCAGACTGTCTCCTAACACACCTGTTTTCATTATGACATCTGTCACCTGCTTTCCACTGTGCCCGGTGTTGAAATGAAGTATCCCTGGTTCACTTAAAAAAAAAATTATAGATGAGGTGTTGCTACGTTGCCCAGGCTGGAATGCAGTGGCTATTCACAGGCACAATCATAACTTACCACATTCTAGAATGCCCTGTCTCAAGCGATCCTCCTGCCTCAGTCTCCTGAGTAACTTTGGTGGGTTTTTAAATATATATTTTTAATTTTTTTTACTTTCTGGAGACAGAGTCTCACTCTGTCACCCAGGCTGAAGTGCAATGGCACAATCTTGGCTCACTGCAACCTCTGCCTCCTGGGTTCAAGCGATTCTCATGCCTCAGCCTCTCGAGTAGCTGGGGTTACAGGCATGCACTACCATGCTCAGCTAATTTTTGTATTTCTAGTAGAGGAGGGGTTTTGCCATGTTGGCAAAACTGATCTCAAACTCCTGGCCTCATGTGATCCGCCCACCTTAGCCTCCCAAAGTGCTGAGATTACAGGTGTGAGCCACTGCGCCTGACCTATTTATTTATTTATTTATTTTTGAGACGAAGTCTTGCTCTGTCGCCAGGCTGGAGTGCAGTGGCACGATCTCAGCTCACCACAACCTCTGCCTCCCAGGTTCAAGTGATTCCCCTGCCTCAGCCTCCCAAGTAGCTGGGATTAAAGGCACGTGCCACCACACCCAACTAATTTTTTGTGTTTTAGTAGAGACAGGGTTTCATCCTGTTGGCCAAGATGGTCTCTATCTCCTGACCTTGTGATCCTCCCGCCTTGGCCTCCCAAAGTGCTGGGATTACAGGTGTGAGCCACCATGCCCGGCTTTATTTATTTTTAATTAGAAACAAGTTCTCACTATGTTTCCCAGGCTGGTCTCAAGCTCTCGGGCTCAAGCCATTCTCCCACCTTAGGCTCCCATGTAGCTGGCACTACAGGTATGTGCCACTGCGCCTGGCCTGTTTCACTTTTTAACTAGAATAAAACCTCCAGTCCTTGACAAGATATGGAAGATGTAGTTATCTGCCTGTGTATGTTATGGAAGGGACCTGGTTCTTATGCAGAATTTCAACCCATTCCCTTGTTCTTAGCCCATACCTCACTCCCACCTTCTGCAATAACTTGTGCCTCCAATATCTAATCTTTCCCTTGTCCTAGGTCTCCAACTGACTGACTTCTCTTTGGCATCTTTTGCTATAGCACTTGGTATGCAGCTATCTCAGCTCTGCCAACCCGTCCATCCACTTGCCATCTTCCAAAAATGTGTTGACATCTGTGGTCCACCATTGGCTTCTTTACATCGCTTTACTTTTATTTTTGTGAGGTTTGTTGAGGGAGCAGATATAAATGCATTTATTCCATCTGCCACATTTAACCAGAAATTCAAAAACTGCACTCTTAATTACTATGCTGAATTGCTTCTCAAATGAGATAGTACCTCTGGGATCCCATAGTCCAATGAGGATGAAATGAGATTACACATGTGAACATACTTTGTAAGCTTTAAAGAGCTATGTGCAATGAGTAAGAGGGTCTGTGTTAAATTCCCCGCCAAAGTGCCCTCCATTTTTCTCTCTGTTCTCTGATTCCTCCCATCTCCAAAGTACAGATCAAGCTTACCTCTTCCTGAGGCCTTCCCTGATCAACCCAGCTAACAGGGATGTCCCCGAGCTCTGACCACCAGGAGATTCTCTTTCACCTCCCTTGGCCCTAAGCAGTGCTGCTTTGTTCTTAAGCACAAAGTTACTAAGTTGCATCATCAAATGTAGTTCTGCTGGTGTACTAAAAAGAGCTTTCCTCCTTCCTACGGGCAGGGGACACAGGCTTGACTAAACAAGGGTGCACTTTGGGAGTGGAGGAAGAAGGGTTTTTTCCTTGGGAGGTGAGTTTAGAAGACAAAGTGGCTTCTGTTGCCCTGCAATCTGAGCTGTGGGTGTGGCTCTCAGAGCCCACCTTCTTCCTCTTGCCTCCTCTGCCCTCTCCAGAGCTCTCCTCTGGGCAGTGGAGCCCATGGCACTGGCTGCACCAACAAGTCCATGCCACTGGTCAGGGGCTGTGTCCTTTCACTCCCTCACTCTTTCCAGAACTTTGATGTGGCTTCTGAGGGATTCAACTCATCTGTGGAGAACTTAAGCCAGAATGGCAGTGGAAGATGGACTGGTCTCTGCCTAGAAGTGGTTGATCTTCACCTCAAAAAGATTCTGATCATTTTCCAAGAGACAAATTTCCTCTGACAGTCTTTCCAGAACATTCCATTAGAGTGAAATGTGCCATCTCTTGTCCCTTCCCTGACATGATTATGAAGGAAACTGGGCTTTTCCCAGGGACTGAGGCTGCAAGAGGCTGCCTGAAGGTCAGTGCTGGTGTGCTGGAGCATCTCTGAAACACACAGGTGCACAGACACAATCGTGCTCCCAGACTGCAGGGCATAACTCTTTGTGCAGCAGCAGTAGCACTCCCCTGCCCCATGTGTATGCACCGGCGCAGGAATCCATTTCCTCTGGATTCTTCTCTGTCCTTCCCAGAACCTTCATCTTTAGAGAGCCTTGAAAGTGAGGCCGATTTGGTTGGAAACAGCCAGCCAGGGCAGCGAGGTGGAAGAATGGCCAAGGAGAGAAACACAGACAATGAGGAGGTCATGCCACTCTGATTTCCCCTACCCCCGCTGCAGATTGTCCCAGGGCTTAGGATCCCTCTCCCCTACTTCTTTTTATATCTGGAGCTGTGTTGTCAAATACAGGAGCTGCTAGCCATGCATGGCTGTTGAACACTTGAAATATAGCTAGTCTGAGTTGTTGAGATGGGCTAAAAGTATAAAATACATACGGGAATTTAAAGACTTAGGAAAAAAGAATGTAAGATAGCTCATGAAAAAAATGTTTTCATATTAACCATAATGACAAAATACTTGCATTTTGGAAATACTGGGTTAAATAAAATGTATAATTAAAATGAATTTCATCTGCTTCTCTTTATTTAATTGCACTTGTGGCTCACATTGTATTTGTGTTGCTCAGCACTGGTCTAGAGCCTGCCGTGAGCCAGACTGCTTGACTGGGCCCTGATTCCCTATTTGGATCTTGTCATTTCTTTCCACAGAAATGAGACCCTTGTCATTCTTAGAGTCCTTTGTTGAATGGAAGAAGAAATGGAATAATGCCGTATCCACCTGATGGGGACATCACCTCCTACCTGGATGGTCAGAGGACTCCTATCCATCCCACTGTTCCTTCTGGTTTGGGGCCCAGAGGTACAGAGCCCTCCCTCTCCCCCACAACCCCAGTATCCATTTGGATTGAAGTACCAGCATGGGCTGGGCCTTGAGCCTAGACAGGCCCAAAACTCTCCAGGAAGCCCCCTCTAGGCTGTGCCTGCCCTGTCTGGTAGGGTAAAGCCAGGTGGCCCCAAATGCCTGTCTTATTCTTCTCTTAGTTTTCCTCCTTCCCTCTTATCTGTCCTCTCCTCCCCCAACCCTTCTCTTCTTTTTTAAAAGTCTAATTCTGAGCAGCCGGCTCTGTTCAACCTGACTGGTTTGTTATGGCTTATAATCTGCGCCAGGATTAATTAGCTAATTACTGACAAACGTCCGCTGGCAAGATTCTGCTCCAGCTTGTCAGCTTGAAGTGTTTAATTATTTTAATCATTTACTTTCATCTTCAAAATGTATGCTGCCAAGAAAGTTGCAGGGCATCTTTTAATTATGATTTGGGGTTTCTGCTGGGCTGTGTTCTGTTCCTGAGGACAGGGGACGTTATTTATTTATTTATTTATTTTTTACCAGTCTTCCACCAAAGCCTGAACATGCTTCTACTCCCAGGGCCTCCACATTCCACGGATGGCTGATGGAGAAGAATCCCAGGTCATCTGTGGACACCTCTCCTTCTGTATCCCCAGAACATGATGTGCACAGGTGCATAAAGGAAATTTAAATTTTGTGAGTACTATTATGTGCTGAACATCATGCTAGTTGTTTTTCTATTTTATTTCACATTTGTGAGCACAGAATATGGAAACAGCCTGAGAACTGGACAGAGTGGCCTGGGGTGATCAGTGGGGTGAAAAAAGTAAGAAAGGGGTTATTTTATTGATTGATTGATTGATTTTTGTGATATGATTTAATTATAGTAAACTGAAGTCGTCTTAAATATCAAGCTCTGTGAATTGTCACATATACGTACACCATCACCCAGTCAATGTACCCTAGAGGCCCTGTAATGCCCACTCCCAGCTTATCCTTCCCAACAGTAACCACTTCTGACTTCTATCACCATAGATTTGTTTTTCTAGTCTTCACTCTTATGTAAATAGGAATCTGCAATATGTTCTCTTTTTTTTTTTTTTTTTTTGAGATGGAGTTTCATTCTTGTTGCCCAGGCTGGAGTGCAATGGCGCTCTCGGCTCACCGCAACCTCTGCCTCCCGGGTTCAAGCAATTCTCCTGCCTCGGCCTCCCGAGTAGCTGGGATTACAGGCTTGCGCCACCGCGCCAGGCTAATTTTTTTTTTTTTTTTTTGAGATAGATAGAGTCTTGCTCTGTTGCCCAGGCCGGAGTGCAGTGGCATGATCTCAGCTCACTGCAAGCTCCACCTCCCAGGTTCACACCATTCTCCTGCCTCAGCCTCCCGAGCAGTTGGGACTACAGGCGCCTGCCACCACGCCCGGCTAATTTTTTTGTATTTTTAGTAGAGATGGGGTTTCACCATGTTAGCCAGGATGGTCTCGATATCCTGACCTCGTGATCAGCCCGCGTCAGCCTCCCAAAGTGCTGAGATTACAGGCGTGAGCCACCGTGCCTGGCCTAATTTTGAATTTTTAGTAGACACGGGGTTTCTCCATGTTGGTCAGGCTGGTTTCGAACTCCCAACCTCAGGTGATCCACCCTCCTCGGCCTCCTAAATTGCTGGGATTACAGGCGTGAGCCACTGCGCCTGGCCAATACATTCTCTTTTATGTGAAACTTCTTTCCCTCAACATTTTGGCTGTGAGAGGAAGGGGTCTTTAATATAAATCATATTCTCTGGCCAAGGCTTTGGTTTGGGTCCAGCTGAGAGATTCAACCCATGTTCTTAGAAAGACTTTAACATGGTTTCCTCCTATAAGCATATCGAAAGTGAATTTGGAGGCTCATGTCTGTAATCCCAACACTTCGGGAGGCCGAGGTGGGCAGACTGCTTGAGCTCAGGAGTTCGACACCAGCCTGGGCAACATGGCAAAGCCCCACCTCTACAAAAAATTGGCCAGGCATCATGGCACACACCTGTGGTCCCAGCTACTCTGGAGGCTGAGGTGGGAGGATCACTTGAGCCTGGGAGGTCGAGATTGCAGTGAGCTTTGATTGCACCACTGCACTCCAGCCTGAGCGTCAGAGTGAGACCTGGTCCTCCCCAACCACCTCCCCCCCTAAAAAAAAAACAGAGTTTGGATATGATTTTTCTCCTTCATTCCCTCTCCTTCTCTACTTTCTCCTTTTTCCTCTCTTCCCCCTCCTCTCCTTGCTCTTGCCCCTGGCCATAGTCATGACTTTCACTACATCCTATTAGGAAGTTCTTCCTGAGCTTAAATTCATGCCATTCTGGATACAAAGGCTTATGAGTTTCCTAAAGACACATGGTGTTCAGAGGAGGGTTTTGAAGAACAAAAGATTCCCACATTATGGGTTGAATTGTGTCCCCTAAAAAAAATATGCTGGATTCCAAGTCCCCACTACCTCAAAATGTAGCCTCAACTGGAAATAGGGTCTTTACAGATGCCATCAAGTTAAAATGAGGTCATTAGGGTGGGCCCTAATCCAATAAGACTGGTGTCCTTATGAAAAGGGGAAATTTGGACACAGACACACACACACACACACACACACACACACGCACACTGAGAACATCATGTGAAGATAAAGGCGGAGATGGGGGGATGCATCCTCAAGCCAAGGAACACCAAAGACACCAGCTATCCTCCAGAAGCCACAAGAGAGGCATGAAACAGATTTTCCCTGGAGCCCTAACAGGGAACCATTGTCCCTGGAGCCCTAGGAGGGAACCAACCCTGCCAATACCTTGATTTCAGACTTCAAGCCTCCAGAACTGTAAGACAAAAACAAACTTCCTTCCTTCCTTCCTTCCTTCCTTCCTTCCTTCCTTCCTTCCTTCCTTCTCTCTCTGTCTTTCTTTTCTTTCTTCTTTTTTTGAGACAGAGTCTCACTCTGTCACCCAGGCAGGACTGCAGTGGCGTGATCTCAGCTCACTGCAACCTCCACTTCCTGAGTTCAAGTGATTCTCCTGCCTCAGCCTCCAAGTAGCTGGGATTACAGGTGCATGCCACAACAGCCAGTTAATTTTTGTATTTTTAGTAGAGATGGGGTTTCACCATGTTGGTCAGGCTGGTCTTGAACTCCTGACCTCAAGTGATCCACCCATCTAGGCTCCCAAAGTGCTGGGATTACAGGCGTGAGCCACTGCACTCAGCATCTTCCTTCCTTCCCTTCCTTCCTTCCTTCCCTCCCTCCCTACTTGCTTGCTTGCTTGCTTGCTTGCTTTCTCTTTCTTTCTTTCTTTCTTTCCTTCTTTCTTTCTTTCCTTGTCTCTGTCTTTCTCTCTGTCTTTCCTTTCCCTCCCTCCCTTCTTTCTTTCTTTCCTTTTTTTTTTTTTTTTTTTGACAGAGTCTCACTCTGATTGCCCAGACTGGAGTGCAGTGGTGTGACTTCAGCTCACTACAGCCTCGACCTCCCTGGGCACAGGTGATCATCCCCCCTCAGCCTCCCCAGTGGCTGGGACCACAGGCACCCACCACCACACCCAGGTAATTTTTTGTATTTTTAGTAGAGACAGGGTTTTGTCATGTTGCCCAGGCTGGTCTCGAACCGCTGGACTCATGTAATCTATCTGCCTCAGCCTCCCAAACTTCTGGGATTATAGGTGTGAGCCACTGCACCAGCCCAAGATAATACATTTTGTAATTTCAGCACTCAGTTTGTGGTGCTCTGCTGCAACACCCCTAGGAAAATACTGCACCCCCAAAGGGAGCTGCAGTCGGGTCTTTCTGAATCTGTGTCATGAGACCGATAGCAACCTCTGAGGCATCCTCCGTGCAAACCCAGCCCCAGGCTGGGAGTGACTGAGGTGACAGCTCCAAGTTGGAAGACTGAGGAGAGGAGAAAAATCAAATTAATGAGCTCAGCAATGCCATTAATGAGGCATCAGGCAATATCCAGGGGGCTTCTGTGATGGCCTACACCAGGGCAAGATTAGCCAAAGGATGCCGGGAGCCAGCTCGTGCCAGGTTCTGACGTGATGTGATCTGTCCTCTTGATGCCTCCCTTCCACAAAGTCCAGGGTGGGGCTGGGAGTAAACACAGAGAGTCCTCACCCAGCAGCTGAGATCGCTTGGAAGTCCCTTACCCTTCTTTGGATCTGGTACATGACCCTGCACATGGCATTGCACTTTCTACCATGCAGGTTCATACCTGAGTCCCCCCTCAAACACACCTATTCCTATGTGCCAGGCTCAGTAAAGCCACCCTATCTATATGTGTTTCCCTCCTCCTACTCCCACCCACCTTGAAAGTTCCATCTGGAACAATTTGCTTCATAGGAATGCAAGCGAGCAGCTTGCTAGCCTGTCTGGCAAATGCATAGGGAACCTCCTGGCCAAATCCTACAAAACCTTCTTTCTCTGGGCCCCTGCTGGTCCATGCTAAAAATCCACCCCCACATCTCATCATCCCACCTCCTTCTGATGATCCTGTCATTCAGGTCAGAGCCAGCTCTCACTGCCTTCTGCCAGAGCTCAAAGTTTCTGCCTAACAAGCCCCCTCCTTACCGACAGCCACAGGCTCTCTCTGGTTTGTCCGTAGAGGTCCGTATGGGGTCTGAGTCCCTGTCGCAGTCTGTGTCTTCTATAGCTAGGTCTAGCTTACGATGGCTTGTATGATGACGGGCATGGTCAGACACCCCTCACCACCATACGCTGTCTGAGGATCTCAAACACAGAGGAGTGTGAGGCCTGTGCCTGGGAAGCCTTATAATGAAGTAATGCGTGAGGAGAGAAAATAAGATGGGGTCTGGGTCCTAGCCCTGGGTCTGTCTCTAGGGCAAGCCACTTCCCTTCTAAATCTCTTTCTTTACCTGAAAAATGGGGACATAATCTCCACTGTATGAAATTATACACCCAAGTAAGTATATAAAAATGTATACTGCATGTGGTATATACATACTTTTTCAGCTTTTAAAAGGAAGGGAATTCTGATACATACTACTGCATAAACCTTGAGGACATTATGCTAAGCAAAATAGGCCAGTCACAAAGGACAAACACTGCATGATTCCACTTTTCTTTTTTTTTTTTTTGAGACGGAGTCTCGCTCTGTCGCCCAGGCTGGAGTGCAGTGGCGCGACCTCGGCTCACTGCAAGCTTTGCCTCCTGGGTTTGAGCAATTCTCCTGCTTCAGCCTCCCGAGTAGCTGGGATTACAGGTGCCCGCCACCACGCCTGGCTAATTTTTGTATTTTTTGGTAGAGACGGTGTTTCACCATGTTGGCCAGGCAGGTCTCGAACACCTGACCTCAGGTGATTTGCCTGCCTCGGGCTCCCAAAGTCCTGGGATTATAGGCGTGAGCCACCGTGCCCAGCCTGCATGATTCCACTTATAGGAGGTACCTAGAGTAGTCAAATTCACAGAGACAGAAAGCAGAATGATGGTTTCCAGAGTTGTGGGAGGGGCAGTGGGGAGTTATTGTTTAATGGGTATAGAGTTTTATTTTTGCAGGATGAAAAGAGTTCTGGAAATAGATGGTGGTAATGGTAGCACAACAATAAGAACGTCCTTAATACCACAACACTGCACACTTAAAATGGTTAAAATGGTAAACTTCCTGTCACGTATATTTTACCACAATTTAAAAATAAGCAATAAAAACAAAATGTAAACTGCAAAGCTCTGAACAAATGTGACACTATTAGTATCACAGACACTTTTGCACTTGGCTCTGGGGACCTCAACGGACCTCCTCCACCACAATAAAAGCCCCTCCATTCTCATTTGTTATCATTTTCAAACAATTTCCATGAAATATACATTTATAGTTGCTATAGGTTTGGTCTTCAGTCCTCACTTTCTAGACAGAGTAACACAGGCGTTAGAGTAACAGTGAGTCAGCAGATCTGGGTTCCAATGTGGCTCTGTTGTTTATCAGCTGCACAAGATATTTCTTCAAGCCTTTTTTCTCATGAGGTGACCAATTATACCAATCTCATAGCACAGGTGTAATAATTAAATAAAAGAATGCATGGGGGCTTGGTGCGGTGGTGCACACCTGTAATCCCAGCACTGTGGGAGGCCAAGGCGGGTGGATCACTTGAGGTCAGGAGTTCGAGACCAGCCTGACCAACATGGTGAAACCCCATCTCTACTAAAAAATACAAAAAAAAATTTAGCTGGGTATGGTGGCACACGCCTGTAATTCCAGCTACTCAGGAGGCTGAGGCACAAGAATAGCTTGAACCTGGGAGGCAGAAGTTGCAGTGAGCCAAGGTCATGCCACTGCACTCCAGCCCAGACCACAGAGTGAGATTTCGTCTCAAAAACAAACAAAAAAGAATGCATGAGGACAGGCGCGGTGGCTCACACCTGTAATCCCAGCACTTTGGAAGGCCGAGCTGGGCAGATCACAAGGTCAGGAGATCGAGACCATCCTGGCTAACACGGTGAAACCCCATCTCTACTAAAAATACAAAAAATTAGCCAGGTGTGGTGGTGGCGGGCACCCGTAGTCCCAGCTACTTGGGAGGCTGAGGCAGGAGAATGGCATGAACCCAGGAGGCGGAGCTTGCAGTGAGCCGAGATTGTGCCACTGCACTCCAGCCTGGGCGACAGAGTGAGACTCTGTCTCACAGAAAAAAAAAAAAAAAAAAAAAGAATGCATGGGGGCCAGGCATGGTGGCTCACACCTGTAATCCCAGACCTTTGGGAGACTGAGGTGGGAGGCTCGCTCGAGCCTAGGAGTTTGAGACCAGCCTAGGCAACATAGTGAGACCCTGTTTCTACAAAAAGTTTTTTAAAAATCAGCTGGGCATGGTGGTGTAAGCTACTTGGGAGGCTGAGGGCGGGGATCCTTTGAGGTGGAGGCTATAGTGAGTGGTGATCATGCCACTGCACTGCAGCCTGGGTGACAAAGCAAGACCTTGTCTCAAAAAAAAATTTTTTAATTGGATCTTGACACAGGGATGCAACTGTGCTTAATATCTCTTAGACAATGCTGTCATTAGATACATGGTGTCTAAATGGGGATCTTGTCAAAATTAGTTTTCCATTGCTGTCACACACACACGTGCATCAAACAATGGAGCTCAAAGTCAGAGGAGAGGGTAGGAATGAATGAGGGTGAATGTGAATGCTTTCCTCTCTACTGCAGTATAGTTCTCTGGGTGGCCTTGAATCAACCCTGTTCTCTTCCCTTTTTTGCCTGTAGTTCTCAAGAATAACTGTAGAATATGCTGGGAATACAACATCCTGAGATAGGGAGGAACTGGCCAGAACAACCCAGACTTTGTTCCATTGCTCCTTAGAAACAGAATAGCCTTCAATGCTTCAGTCCAGTGAATCATCAACCTTGGGGTATAAAACCCAGGGTGGGCTGCTTTCTGGGGTCCCTCAGCTGCAGTGCAAGTGAGGCCTGCACAGATGAGATTTCATCCACCCTGGGCAGCTTTCCTGAGCCTTGGGGGACCAGCTCCCAATGAATCATAGGCTTTGGTTATGCCTTGCTGCCTATCTGTAAGTCATAACTCCGCTTCATGTAACCTGCTGTGTGTGTGGGTGTTCTTTCTCACCAGACTCAGACAAGTTGGTAACCAATGCACAGTGAATCTGCTTCACTTCTCCCTTCTTTCCTCCCTCCCTTCCTTCTTTCCTTCCTTCCTTCTTTCCTTCCTCCCTCTCTTCTTCCTCCCATACTTCCTTCCTTCCATCCTTCCTTCCTTTCTCTCTTCCTTCCATTAATGATCCCCTACTAGATTTACATAGGATACTGGGCACTTTGCCAGGGCACTGGGGCATAATTTCATTCCTGACCTCAAGGAACTCCTAGCCTGATGAGGGAAACAGGGAGAGAGATTATAGTGGTCTTGGGAATATAGAGAAAAGAACATTTTTAAGATGCATACATTTCTGAATTTCCTCATCTATCAAATGTGAATAATAATACTTGACTTACAGAGCTGTTCTGAAGATGTTGTCTGGCATTTAGTGGTGGCTCAGTAAGCATTTGTTAAATTTAAAATGTGTTGATGTAGGCCGGGTGCGGTGGCTCATGCCTGTAATCCCAGCACTTTGGGAGGCCGAGGCAGTTGGATCATTTGAGGTCAGGAGTTTGAGACCAACCTGGCCAACATGGTGAAACCCGTCTCGACTCTGTCTCAAAAAAATAAATAAAATAAAATATGTTGATGTAGAATAAACAAGACTTGGTGCCTAAGAATACAGGGGTTTAAGAAAGGAGAGAAGTAGAGGATGATTCCTAGGTTTCTGGCTTGGGTAACAACTGGGTTGGTAATGGTACCAGGTGGGGTCAGAGAAAGAGAAGGGGAAGAAAGTTAGGGACAAGATGATGAAACCAGTATTGGACACACTCAGTTGTGAGAAAGATGATGGGAGAGGGTGTCCAATAGGAACAGGCTAAAAGTGTCTAGATTGCAGGAGAGACATCTGGGCTGGAGACAGAGATGAGTGAGTTAGGAGAACATGACTCAGGCATAGGTGAGACATAGATGAACAGAAGAGGATTGGAGCCCACGCCAGCATTTAAAGGGTAGGTGGGAGGAGCACAGGACCCCGAACAAGTATCACAAGAGAGGAAGAAGAGAAGCAGAGAGTGCTATCGCAGAAGCTAGGGAAGGAGAGGGTTTCAGGGGAGAGAAGAGGGTCTGCAGGGTCAAGTGTTTCAGACAGGCGGTGAGAAAGCCCATTGGGTTTGGGATCAACATCTGTATGTATGGGCAGCTCTATCAAGAGTGTGGGTGGAAGTCAGACCACAGTGTGTTGCAGAGACAATGAAGGGGAAGTGTATCCACTGACTGCAACTATTCTTCCAAGAATCGTGTTAGTGAAGGAAAGAAAAGGATTTCAATGATAGCTTAAGGAGAGGCAAGCCCATTTTGGAATGGAGAAAACCTAAGAAAATTTTTAAGCAAAAGAAGGAATCAGGGCCAGGCACGGTGCCTCACGCCTGTAAAACCAACACTTTGGAAGGCCGAGGCAATAGGATCACTTCAGGTCAGGAGTTCAAAACCAGCCTGGCCAACATGGCGAAACGCTGTCTCTACTAAAAATACAAAAATTAGCCAGGCGTGACAGTGTGTGCCTGTAATCCCAGCTACTCAGGAGGCTGAGGCAGGAGAATCACCTGAACCCGGGAGGCAGAAGTTGCAGTGAACCGAGATGACACCACTGCACTTCAGCCTGTGCAACAGAGCCAGATTCCATCTCAAAAAAAAAAAATAGAAGGATTCAGTAGATTGGGAGAAGGGTGAGGATACAGGTTGAAGAAGAGTGAACGGTTGACCAAGAGCTAGATATTTCCAGCCTCCCTTTGGGCATCTCCTTGTCCGTTCTGTGTGCATAGTGAGACAGCCTAGACCAATTCAGCTCTGCCTGTGCTAAAAGGGGGCCCCTTTGCCCTTTGATACAGGCAGATGAGGGCATGTGAAAGGCTGTGCCTCAGTGTCCAGGTCTACCTCATCCACACTTGGGACTATCCACATACACTCTCATTCCCACCCCTAGACTCATATATACCCTTTCTTTTTTAACTTTTTTACTCTTTCAATAGAGACAGGGTCTCACTATCTTGCTCAGGCTGGGCTAGAATTCCTGGGCTCAAGCAATCCTCCCACCTTAGCCTCCCAAAGTGCTAGGATTACAGGTCCCACCTAGGCTTCCCAAAATGCTAGAATTACAGGCACGGGCCATCGAGCCCAACCACATATACCCTTTCTAACACACTATTTATAGTAGACATCATGAAGGTACGTGGAATTTTATTTTTGAGATGGAGTTTCACTCTTGTTGCTCAGGCTGGGGTGCAGTGGTGTGATCTCGGCCCACCGCAACCTCCACCTCCTGGGTTCAAGCGATTCTCCTGCCTCAGCCTCCCAAATAGCTGGGATTACAGGCATGTGCCACCATGCCTGGCTAATTTTGTATTTTTAGTAGAGATGTGGTTTCTCCATGTTGGTCAGGCTGGTCTCAAACTCCCGACCTCAGGTGATCCACCCACCTCGGCCTCCCAAAGTGCTGGGATTACAGGCGTAAGCCACTGCGCCTGTCTGGTATGTGGAATTTTTATAGAATGTTCTCTCCTATGTTATTCACAAGGTTGTGAGGATCAAATAAGAAGCATATCTAAATGCTTTGTAAAAATATAAATGATACAAATATTAAAAATTAATATTTATTAATTAATAATTCTTACTATTATTGACAAACAGGCTCCACACCATGTTGGCCAGGCTGGTTTTGAACTCCTGACCTGAGTGATCCTTTTGCCTCGGCCTCCCAAAGTGCTGGCATTACAGGCATGACACACACAGAAGCCCACGCACATATGCAGAGGCTCTCATAGGTCCACCTTGCTCCTACTGTTCGGCTAGGGCTTATGTGTCCACACGAGTTCATGAATTCACTAAGACACACTCACCCACTCCCCTACAGGCCCACACAAATCTTTACAGGCTAACACACACTTACACACTGTCCACCACATTCTCAGACAGACCCACACATGTCCAAGTTCACAAACACACTCTTACAAGCATACTCATACACTGCCATTTAGGCTCATGTGAGTATGTGTGCATGCACACACACATACTCTCTCACACTCACAGAGGCACATGTGCCGACACACAATTAAACTGAGAATCTTCCAGCCTAAGGAGGGCTGAGTTGACTGAACATCCATGAGCCAGGGAGAATACCTTGGTTAGCAAATGATTTCACCGCAGACCTGCAGCTTTGCTCCAGGACATTTGTTTCAGCAGAGAATCAATGTGTCTGGGGCCAAGGCGGAGAGAGAAGGGAGCAGGTTTGAAAGAACAGAACTCTCATCTCTCCCTCCTGGTCTGCCTCTCCACAGATGCCCAGGGGCTCCCACTCTCACCCTCCTGAGCAGAAGCTGGGGATCCTCTGAGCTGCTGTCCCTGATGTTAGAGAGCCCTTATCCCTGAGACCAATGCCAGTCATCAAATACATCTCATAGGATGTCTGCACAAAATCAGCTGCCCCAAGCCCCTTGCCTCCCTCCTCCTGGCTTCTCTGATGCATCCCCCACAGGTGAGCAATACGCAGCTGGGTCCCCACTTGGGTGATTTTTAAAATGAGCTCAGGGAAAGGAAGAGCTTTATCCAAGGAGTGGCATGTGTTAATTGTTCTTTCATGAGGGTCTCAGCCTTTCACAAGCCCCCAGTAGGTGTCCTGCCATTCCCCATAACAGCTGCTTCAAACCCCCACATCTCTAGGCCTCCTGGCATCGCTTTCAGCACAAAACCTCACCTTTTTCTGTTTGTTTGTTTGAGTTTTGTTGTTGTTGTTGTTTTTCTGAGACGGAGTCTTGCTCTGTCACCCAGGCTGGAGTGCAGTGGCACAATCTCGGCTCACTGCAACCTCCACCTCCCAGGTTCAAGTGATTCTCCTGCCTCAACCTCCTTAGTAGCTGGGATTTCAGGCCTGCACCACCATGCCCAGCTACTTTTTGTAATTTTAGTAGAGATGGGGTTTCACCCTGTTGGTCAGGCTGGTCTCGAACTCCTGACCTCTTTTTTTTTTTTGAGACGGAATCTTGCTCTGTCACCCGGGCTGGAGTGCAGTGGCACAGTCTCAGCTCACTGCAAGCTCTGCCTCCCGGGTTCACGCCATTCTCCTGCCTCAGCCTCCTTAATAGCTGGGACTACAGGCGCCCGCCACCACACCCGGCTAACTTTTTGTATTTTTTTTTTTTAGTAGAGACGGGGTTTCACTGTGTTAGCCAGGATGGTCTTGATCTTCTGACCTCGTGATCCACCCAGCTTGGCCTCCCAAAGTGCTGGGGTTACAGGCGTGAGCCACTGTGCCCGGCCAACTTCACCTTTTTCTTTACAGAGAACATAAATAGATTAGGGACAATCAGAAGGAGACCCTTATAACTTCCTGAGCCACCACCACCATCAGGAGAAGCTACTCACATTTGTCTCATTTTTGTCTTCTCTCATCTCAGAAGGGTGTGGGGCTGATTGCTCACTGATGCTCTACATCCTGCCGCTCCCACATCACCTGAAAACTTGCTCCATCATCAATTTCTCCCCTTTCTCCTGCGTCTTCACTCTCTTGGTCTCTACTAGATCCTTCCCTTCACAGATAGATATGGTGCTGTCTCTTCCATCTTAAAAAAATGAGTTCTCTTGGCCAGGCGCAGTGGCTCACATCTGTCATCCCAGCAATTTCAGAGGCCAAGGTGGGAGGATTGCTTGAGTCCAGGAGTTCAAGAGCATCCTGGGCAACATAGTAAGGCTCCATTTCTACTAAAATAAATTTTAAAAAATTAGCCAGGCATGGTGGCACACACCTGTAGTCCCAGCTACACAGGAGGCTGAGGTGGGAGGCTGAGGTGGGAGGATCGCTTGAATCCCACAGGTCAAGGTTGCAGTGAGCTGTGATCACATGACTGTACTCCAGCTCTGTGTGACACAGCAAGACCTTATCTCAAAAAAAAATAAATAAAAGTCTTCTTCTATACAACATTTGCTTCTATCTGCCACTCAGTCTCTCTCCTTTCATTCATTGCCAATTTTCTTAAAAGAGTTGCCTCTACTCCCTCTCTCCTCCTATCACCCCCTCATTCCCCAAATCACTGCAATCTGTCTCCTGCACCCCACCCCCCACACACACACAACTGTTCACCAGGGGTCCCAGCAAGACACAATGTTCACTTCTCAGTCCCTCCAGTAGGGACCCCTTAGCAGCAGTGAATACTGTTGACCATTCCCTTCTTCTTGGAACTCTCTCCCCCTGGTTGTCTTCTCTCCTGACAAGTCTCGGCTCTCTTGTCTCCTTACCTCTCTGACTACCACTTATTGCCTCCTTCTTTCTCTGCCCTCTTCCCAGATCCAATTAATATTAATTATGTAGCTTCTACCTCCTAAAGAGCTCTTTTTTTTTTTTTTTTTTTTTTTTTTTGAGACGGAGGCTCGCTCTGTCCTCCAGGCTGGAGTGCAGTGGCACAATTTCGGCTTACACATGTAATCCCAGCACTTCCCAGGCTGAGGTGGGCGGATCACCTAAGGTTCCAGACCAGCCTGGCCAACATGGTGAAACCCTGTCTCTACTAAAAATATGAAAATTAGCCTGGCGTATAGCTGGGCGCCTGTAATCCCAGCTACTTGGGAGGCTGAGGCAGAAGAATTGCTTGAAACCGGGAGGCAGAGGTTACAGTGAGCTGAGATCAAGTCATTGCATTCCAGCCTGGGCAACAAGAGTGAAACTCAGTCTCAAAAAAAGAAAAGAAAATACAAAACCAGGCCCGGCGCAGTGGCTCATGCCTGTAATCCCAGCACTTTGGGAGGCCGAGATGGGCGGATTACGAGGTCAGGAGATCGAGACCATCCTGGCTAACACGGTGAAATCCCGTCTCTACTAAAAATAAAATTAAAAAAAAATTAGCCTGGCATGGTGGCGGGTGCCTGCAGTCCCAGCTACTCGGGAGGCTGAGGCAGGAGAATGGCATGAACCCGGGAGGCGGAGCTTGCAGTGAGCTGAGATCGCACCACTGCACTCCAGCCTGGGGGATAGAGCAAGACACCATCTCAAAAAAAAAAAAAAAAAAGAAAAAGAAAAGAAAAGAAAATACAAAACCATATTGCTGAAATGTGGGTGTAGTAAAAACAAAAATAAATGGATAGATGATGGATAGATAGATAGATAGGTAGATAGATAGATAAAATACAAATCTAGGCCAGGTGCAGTGGCTCATGCCTATAATCCAAGCACTTTGAGAGTCTGAGAAGGAAGGATTGTTTGAAACCAGGAGCTTAAGACTAGCCTGGGCATCATAGGGAGACCACATCTCTATAACAAATTTTATTTTATTTTTTGAGACAGGGTTTCACTCCTGTCACCTAGGCTGGAGTGCAGTGGCACGCTCTTGGTTCACTACAACATCTACCTCCCAGGCTCAAGTGATCCTCCTGCCTCAGCCTCCCGAGTAACTGAGACTACAGGTGCACACCAACACATCCAGCTAATCTTTGTATTTTTAGTAGAGACAGGGTTTCACCATGCTGCCCAGGCTGGTCTGGAACACCTGACCTCAAGTGATCCCCCTGCCTCAGCCTCCCAAAGTGCTGGGATTACAGGCGTGAGCCACCATGCCTGGCCTATAACAAATTTTAAAATTAGCCAGGCATGGTGGTACGTACCTTTAGTTCTAGCTAGTCAGGATCCCAGGAGGTCAAGGCTTTGGTGAGTTATGATTGCACCACTGTACTCCAGCCTGGGTAACAGAGCGAGATCCTGCCTCTAAAAATAAATAAATAGAATAGAATACAAATCTGGACCAGGTGTGGTGGCTCAGGCCTGTTATCCCAGCACTTTCAGAGGCCAAGGCAGGTGGATCCCCTGAGGTCAGGAGTTTGAGACCAGCCTGGCCAACATGATGAAACCCTGTCTCTACTAAAAATACAAAATTAGCCAGGCGTGGTGGCAGGCGCCTGTAATCCCAGCTACTTGGGAGGCTGAGGCGGGAGAATCACTTGAACCTGGGTGGTGGAGGTTGCAGTGAGCCAAGATCATGCCACTGCACTCCAGCCTGGGCAACAAGAGACAGACTTCATCTCAAAACAAAAAAAAAAACAAACAAAAAAAAACGGAATGCATCCTTTTGCTATATAAAATTTTTCATTGTCTTCTTTCATTATCTGCCTATAGGATAAGTTTCAAACTCTGAAAGAGGGCTTCCAAGGCCCTCTGTGTCAGACCCCACCTTCCTCTCTAGCTTTGTCTCTCACACCTACCCCCTTGCCTTCTCCAGGCCTTTTCAGTTCAGCTAAACCCTTTCAGTTCCCCAAATCCAGCACACTATCTCTTGCTTCTGAGCATTTGAACATGGTATTATCTCTGCCCAGAACACCCTCCTCTCCCCGCTCTCTCTCCCATTACCTAACTCCTATTCGTCCTTCAGAGCTCAACTCAGCCATTTCCTCCGTTTACACATTTGCTCATTTATTCAGAGGGGGCAGCTGCACGTAAACTTTAAGAGCCTCAGAGAGAATGCTCAGTCCAGTCAGGGACCAGCTGGAAAGGGAAGGAACGGGGGAAGAGGAATGTAGGGTCTTAATGGTTTAAAGGGTGGGAGCTGAGAGGCCAAGCTACTGAGAAAATAAGGGTTCTCTGAACACTGAGTAATAATATACAGAAAAACAGAAAGTTAATAATGAGAACTTTGGGATTTTTCTCATGTATGTTTAAGTTAAATGTTCTTCTCAGGCCATAATAAACTTACAAAGGGCTTAATAGGGAACACTTAGATGACCAGGAAAATGTACTTAATAACAAGTCATTTATTGAGCACTAAAGGCACTGAGTGGAGCATGTTATTGTACATCATCTACCACACTGCTTGTGACAAAATAAGTATTGCTCTCCCCCATTTTGCAGATGAGGAAGATTCAGAGATTTGCCGGAAGTCTCACAGTAAATTAGTGCCAGAGTCAAAGTTCAGACCTAAATCTATCTGAACCCAAAGCCAACTTCTTGATCTTGACATTCTTTTGCCCACTTTTACTATGGGATAGATTTAAGGGGAGATTCTAATGTGCCAAGAAGATGGGGAGCCCATTGGTAGTTCTCACACTTAATGTCCCCATGACACCCATCCTGTGCCCGCTGACAGTTTGACAACTTACACAGCAGCTGGTTTGCTCGGAGGAGATCTCCGTTAATTAAAATAGCACTAAGGGAGAGCAGTGCAAACCATGTCAGCAGGTAATTAATGCAAAGGAGGACTAAGGCATGCAGAAATGCTCAGCCTCTACCTGCCAGAGCCCAGCTTCACTCATTGCCCCCAGACTAAAGCTGCCACTTTGTCCCTCTGGCTACGAGCTGCTGCCTGTCCTCCTACTTCCGTGGATGGGGAGGAACGACCTGTCCTCTGAGGTCACACCCAGGGCTTCTACTCTTACTGGGCTCTGGACTCTCAGCCTTTTTTGAACTGTCTATCTCTCCCAGGAGATCCAGGAGGACAAGACCAGCCAGAGATCAACCATCCAGGCCCCAAGGCTTTGGGGACATCATCTCAGAGGAAGTGTCAATCCTAGCCTACTCCTGTCCCATCAAGCTGTCTGTCAGGAGTTATTGACTTATGTCTTAGGACAGGACCTTGAACCAGTCTGCCTCAGTGTCTAGTGTGCTGGGCTGAACCAGACCCAACCTCCTCAATGCCTCTGCCCAGAACTAGGACTTGCTTTCCTGTTGGACCTGGTCCTGAAGCTCACTGCTTTGGTGGGACCCTGATCCACCTTCCTGTTCCTCCTCTCATTTCATTATCATCATATCTGCAGCAGGTACTCTGCAAAAAGATAGTTCTCCATTTTTCAGATGAACAAACTGAAGTTGAGAGCAGGGAAGTAGCTTGTCTAAGGACAGCAGACGTTTCCCTTCTGTTCAGAGGCTGTGCTCTTCTGGGATTCCAGCCATCAGTTCAGCTGTAACTTGCTTTTCTGTCTTTAATAAACCTTTTGTTTTGGAATAATTCTAGATTTACAAAGAAAGTTACAAGGACAGCAAAGAAAGTTCCCTTATACCCCTCACTCAATGTCTCCACTGTTGACATTTTCTGTTACCATGGTACCTTGGTCAAAACTGAGAATCTGACATTGTATACTTGATTTTTGAATCAAGAAATTTTTTTTCCCTCAGGAATGAGCTCCAAATTTCTCTCTTCTGCATCCAAAAGTCCAGTGAGGAGTGTGGATGCGTGTAATGTGGCCCCTTCATCACATCCACCCCGTGCGTTCCTACCTTATCCAGTGTCCCCAACCCCAAAAAACAGAAGGACCATCCAAGGAGGACCAGCTTCAGGCCCAGAGACTCAGATTCCTAGTCAGCATCCTTCAGGTACCTCACTCATCAAGCTCCTCTTTCCATAAGGCTTCAAAGATACGACTTGCCCACAAACACACTCCTACCCACTAACCTCTAAACTAACTCCATCTTTAATTCTTGTGGACACCCACCCAATATCAACTCCATCCTCAAAGCTGTCAATAAGATCCAATGAAGCAAATATTTATTGATAACACAGAAATAAATCCAATCCTGTCCTGACCTTAAGCTGCTCCTGGTCCTTTGAAGGAAATAGAGGCCTTTGTATATGATTAAAATAGCATGTGGTAAGTGAAGCAGTGTAAACAGTGGTTAAGAGCTTGAGGTCTTCAATCAGAAATCTATGTGACTTTAGCTAGGTGACATTAATTTCCATGAACATGTTTTCTGTTCTCTAAAATAAGAGGCTGGGGCCGGGCACAGTGGCTCATGCCTATAATCCCAGTACTTTGGGAGAATGAGGTGGGTAGATCACTTGAGGCCATGAGTTTGAGACCAGCCTGGCCAACATCATAGAACCCCATCTCTACTAAAAATACAAAAATTAGCTGGGTGTAATGGCCCATGCCTGTAGTCCCAGCTACATGGGAGGCTGAGTCAGGAGAATCACTTGAACCCTGGAGGCAGAGTTTGCAGTGAGCTGAGATGGAGCCCCTGCACTCCAGCCTGGACGATAGAGTGAGGCTCTGTCTCAAAACAAAACAAAACAAAAAAACACAACCAAATGGTATTCATTCCTGCACTCCAAGGATGTGTTAAGAGGGGGCCGGGCGCGGTGGCTCAGGTCTGTAATCCCAGCACTTCGGGAGGCTGAGGCGGGCAGATCATGAGGTCAGGAGTTTGACACCAGCCTGGCCAACATAGTGAAACCCTGTCTCTATTAAAAATACAAAAAAAAAAAAAAAATTAGCCGAGCATGGTGGCAGGCACCTGTAATCCCAGCTACTTGGGAGGCTGATGCAGGAGAATCACTTGAACCTGGGAGGCAGAGGTTGCAGTGAGCCAAGATTGCGCCACTGGACTCCACCCCAGGCTGTCTCAAAAAACACCAAAAAAAAAAAACAATTTTTTTAACAGGGGAAATCATGTTGTGTTCTTACCACAATAAAATTTTTAAAAATGTTATCCTATTAGATTACACTATTATCTATGATTTGCAGATTGTCTCTTATAGTATTAGATTTCCTCACTTGTTTTGTAATTTTTATTTGTGAACACACCTTCCGGGAAGTTTTCCTCTATAGGATTCTATTAATTCCTTGGGTTTTGAATTAACTGTGAATTGCTTTGACCAATGTGATTCACTGGCTCTGGATCAGTTTTGATCTTGGGCTGGGGTTATTTTGATATTGGGGTTTCTATATGAAGAAGATAGTGCAGAATAGTAGCTGTCTAGTCACACATTGCCCAGGACAGAGGTTGATATCTCAGGACTGACAAGAATACTTCTCATGGACTGGGCTGAGTGTCCCACTTTCACTTCTGTCCATATTTCCCAGGCAATGAGCCGGTACAGTTTTGTAAGCCTAAATGAACAGACAGGACAGCCCTTTTCCTACCTCCTCGTTTTTTTGCAAGGAGCCCAGTTCTAGCCTGTAATCTTGACTCCTGCCCTGGCATCTAGTATTAAAAGCTCAGCCCCAGCTATGGCTGTAATCCTAGCAACTTGGGAGGCTGAGTGGAGGATCACTTGTGTCTAGGAGTTCAAGGCTGCAGTGAACTACAATCATGCTACTGCACTTTAGCCTGGGTGACAGAGCAAGACCTGTCTCTAAAATAAAAAAAAAAAAACATTAAAAGCCCAGCTCCGTGGCTTAGATCTCAACATCTTTATGGGCTCCATGGCTTCAGTTCCCACTCATTACTGAAGGAATCCACAATGTTGCTTTGGCATCTGAAAATCTGAAATTTTACCATTGTTGCTTTTAGTTCGGCTATACATTTTTAAAAATTGAACAAAAAAACCCAAAAACCTTCTATCCTGCATTTCTATGTGTTTGGAGCAAAATGCCAGCTCAGTCTGCCATCTTGAGCAGAAGTACTAGGAAGAAATTATTACGAAGAGATAACAAAAATTAGCTGGGCGTGGTGGTGTGCATCTGTAGCCCCAGCTACTCAAGAGGCTGAGCCTGCAAAGTTGAGGCTGCTTACGCCACTGCACTCCAGCCTGGGCAAAAGAAGTGAGACACTGTCTCAAAAAAATAAATAGGTAAAAAATTAAAAATAAATAAAGATATGATAAGAACATGGAAACAAAGATGTCCCAGAAGACAAGCAAGAAAAAAGTTTCAAGCAAAGGAATCAGGATGGGGCACAGCAGCTCATGCCTATAATCCCAGCACTTTGAGAGGCCAAGGTGGAAGGACTGGTTGAGGCCAGAAGTTTGTTAGCAGCCTGGGCAACATAGTGAGACTCTGTCTCTACAAAAAATATAACAAATTAGCCAGGCATGGTGACGCACACCTGTAGTCCCGGCTACTCAGAAGCCTGAGGTGGGAGGATTGTATGTGCCCAAGAGTTCAAGGCTGCAGTGAGCTATTATTGTGCCACTGCATTCAGCCTGGGCAATACAGACATGCTGTCTCTAAAAAAAAAATTTTTTGTTTAAAAAAGAAAAGGAATCAACTGAATTATATCAAAAATTGCATTGTGGACCAGGTGCAGTGGCTCACGCCTATAATCCCAGCACTTTGGAAGGCCAAGAAGCGGGCGGATCACTTGACATCAGGAATTCGAGACCAGCCTGACCAACATGATGAAACTCCATCTCTACTGAAAATACAAAAAATTAGCCAGGCATGGTGGTGCACACCGGTAGTCCCAGCTACTTGGGAAGCTGAGGCAGGAGATTCGCTTGAACCTGGGAGCCAGAGGTTGCAGTGAGCCAAAATCATGCCGCTGCACTCCAGCCTGAAGGAAAGAGTGAGACTCCAACAAACAAACAAAAAAGAACTGAATGGACATCGTTAAATTTGAAGATGTGGAGGGCATCGATTACCTTGGTGAGAGCTGCTTCGTGGAGTGGTGGGAGACAGAAGCCTAACTGAAGAGTGGAAAGGAGGTGATGGACAGAGACAGGTGGGAGGTCCTCCTTCTGACAGGTGGCTGTGTAGAAAGGAGGCTGAGCTGGTGGCAGCAGGACAGGGGTCAGGGAGGTGTCTGTGGGCTGCGGGCAGGGAAGATGCAGGAAGAGTCAGAAGATGCAGAAAGGAAGAGATGTCCTGCAAAACCTAGGGATGGCAAGGGTCAACCCCAAAGGAGTTGCTGGCCTTTCCCAGAAGGAGAAATCAGAATCCAGGGGAAAAGAAGAAGGATGAGAAGAGCACGGACATCATTTGACTTAGAGTAGGGGGGTGCAAATGAGGAAGTTCACATTCCTGGCTCTGTGGAGTTGGTAGAGCCAGGGAATAGACCTGGTTGAAGGGATGAGGAAGAGCAGAATAGATAGAGGCTTGAGGAGGGAGAGTGGGGAAGGTCTTTAGCAGCTGAGGTGGAAAAGAGGAGAGAGAGTCTCCCTTTGACAGCAGAAAGGCCGTGGGAATCCCTCCCACGACCCTGGGCCAACATGGAGTGGGTACAAGTCAGGCAGCAGAGGGCCAAGGGTGAGGAAATCTGGGCCGAGGGTGAGAAGGCACAGTGGCCCAGGTGAGGCTGGATGGAGTAAATGTTGAGAGAGAGAGAAGGGGAATGGGGCAAACCACCCCGTTCAGAGAGAGAGAGAGAGAAAGAGAAAGAGAAGGGGGATGGGGCAAACCACCCCGAGAGAGAATGGAAGTAAGAGTGTGAATATTGTGCGAAAGTAAAAGTTTCCAAAAGTGGAGCTTGGGAAATTTTGCTTATATGTAAATTGTTTTGCAGGTCTATTTGACTGGGACTTGACCTGTAAATGAAGCACAAACGAATGAATGCTAGATACAATAGATCAAAGAAAAAGAAAAGACAGCGAGAGGACCGGGGGCGGTGGCTCACGCCTGTAATCCCAGCACTTTAGGAGGCCGAGGCGGGCAGATCACAAGGTCAGGAGATCGAGACCATCCTGGCTAACATGGTGAAACCCCGTCTCTACTACAAATACAAAAAATTAGCCGGGCGTGGTGGTGGGTGCCTGTAGTCCCAGATACGCGGGAGACTGAGACAGGAGAATCACTCGAACCCAGGAGGCAGAGGTTGTAGTGAGCTGAGATTACACCATTGTACCCCAGCCTGGGGGACAGAGCAAGACTCCATCTCAAAAAAATAAAAAATAAGAAAAAAAATGAAAGATAGCGAGAGAAGCGGGGCAGAGAGACAGGCACATGGGCAGTGGCTAGGTGAATAGATGAATATAGGAACAACTGGACTAGCTGGTCACCATGGCTTATGCCTGTAATCCTAGCATTTTGGGAAGCCAAGGTGGGAGGATTTCTCGAGGCCAAGAGTTCAGGATCAATCTGGCCAATGTAGTGAGACCAGCTGGACAGACAAACTGACAAACTGACAGACAAAAAAAAGAACAGCTGGACAGACAAACTGACTCCTTACTCCCTAAACTTGGTCCCTCTAGACTCAATTCCTTTCCCTTTTTTTTTCTTTTTTCTTTTTTCTTTTTTTTTTTTTGAGACATGGTCTTGCTCTGTCACCCAGGCTGGAGTGCAGTGGGGCTTGATCTCAGGTCACTGCAACCTTGCAACCTCCGCCTCCTGGATTTGAGCAATTCTCATGCCTCAGTCTCCCAAGTAGCTGGGATTACAGGTGTGCATCACTATGCCCAGGTATTTTTTGTAGAGACGGGGTTTCACCATGTTGGCCAGGCTGATCTCGAACTCCTGGCCTCAAGTGATCTGCCTCAGCCTCCCACAGCACTGAGATTACAGGCATGAGCCACTGCACCTGGCCTTTCTTTTTCTTTTTCTTTTTCTTTTTCTTTTTGAGACAGGGTCTCGCTCTGTCACCCAGGCTGAGTGCTGTGGCATGAACACAGCACACTGTAGCCTCGACCTCCCAGGCTCAAGCAATCCTCCCACCTCAGCCTCCCACGTAGCTGGGAACGCCTAGCTAATTTTTGTATTTTTTGTAGAGACAGGTTATTATTATGTTGCCCAGGCTGGTCTTGACCTCCTGGGCTCAAGTGACCCTCCTGCCTTGGCCTCCCAAAGTGCTGAGATTATAGGCATGATCCACTCACTGCTCCTGGCCTAGACCCAGTTCTGTCTTTTTTTGTTGTTGTTGTGTTTTCTTTTTTTTTCCTTTGAGATGGGGTCTTGCTCTGTCATCCAGGCTGGAGTGCAGTGGCTTGATCTCGGCTCACTGCAACCTCCACCTCCCAAGCTCAAGCGATCCTCCCACCTCAGCCTCCTAAGTAGCTGGGACTACAAGCATGCACCACCACGCCCGGCTAATTTTTTGTATTTTTAGTAGAGATGGAGTTTGGCCATGTTGCCCAGGCTGGTCTCAAACTCCTGAGCCCAAGTAATCTGTCTCTCTTGGCCTCCCAAAGTGCTGGGATTTCAGGCATGAGCCACCATGCCCGACCTACACTCAGTTCTGTTCTCTGCATTTCTCCTCTCTTTCTTCCCTCTATCTCCTGCTATCAAGGAGCTCAGTGCCAAGATTGAAGTGCGGTTTGGGGGTTATTTTGTGAAGGGCTAGTTCTGAGGGCTGGCGCTGGGGTGGGGGGGCAGCTTCAAGGGTGCTGGGCCCCTGTATGCAGCTGAGGCCGAGTTGGGGAGGGGGAGACAGAGGCAGGGTGCCCCGGGCATGAAAGCTGCAGAGGTGTCAGAGGTAGAGACTTAATGACAAGCCCTGGGTCCACCTGTACAGATGAGCAGGGCTGGGAGGGAAATTGGAAAAGGGACACGTTCATTTTTCAGCACAGTTCTCTCTCCTTACACACACTCTTTCTCTCAATAAACAGCTGGAGCCTGCCTCTGTTCTGCCTCTCACTCCATTTCTACAAAGGACCCCTGGAGAGAGGTTGTAAAGTCGGTAAAGAGGGGAAGGCGTGGGGTTGCCTCCTCCGCTGGGACTTGCAGCTGTCAACGCAGTTGCCTGGGGGACACCCAGCCAGTCCCGTGGGCTTGGGCTAGCTAGGGTGAGGGTGGGGGAGGGTCGAAGAAGCAAGAACAAGGCTGGGAGGCTGCAGGGTGCCCCACACTTGAGCAGGTACTCGGCCGGAACCCTAAGCCTCTGGAGCCCCAGGTTGGCCCCTCAAAGGAGGCCTAGCTGCAGCCCAGAAGACTTCTCAAGAACCTTCCCCACCCCAACACACACAGGGCTACAGGAACCCTCCCCACCCCAACACACACAGGGCTACAGGAACCCTCTTCACTCACAGACACTCACGAAGCCCAGAGCTGTTAACTCCTACACTGGGGCTTGTGCCTGTAATCCCTGCAACTTTGGAGGCTGAGGCGGGAGGATTGCTTGAGCCCAGGAGTTTGAGACCTGCCTGAGCAACATAGGGAGACCCCCCCCCCCGCCATCTTTAAATAAATAAATAAATAAATAAATAAATAAATAAATAAATAAATACTGCCACACCGGGTTCTCCTTCTCCTACTCCAAATTGGGACAGTGGGAATGCTCAGCTGAACCTCTGGGCCAGGGAGAGGCTGAGTTGCCTCTGAGGTCAGCATCTTAGGTGCAATTCCAGCCCTCATAGCCCCAACAAAACTCACATCTGTTCCAGAAGAGTGGCTACATCTAGTCAAAGTTGTCTCAACACTGTTCTAAGAACCAGGGGCATACAGCCAACTCCTGGCACTAGGGAGAAAGCCGCTTCCTCCACTCCTCTGCTTGAGGAGGAGCTGGCGTTGGTATCCAGGAAATACACAACTGTCCACACATAAACTGGAGGCTCCCTAATGTAACTACAATCAAATAACAATAATCCCGACCCCGACCCAGAGGTGAAATTGCTGGATCATATGGTAATTCCATGTTTAATTTTTTGAGGAATTGCCATGTCATTTTCCACAGCTGCTGTACTATTTATATTCCCACCAGCAATGCACAGGGGTTTCAATGCTGCACATTCTTGTCAACACTTGGTATTTTCTGGATTTTTGTTTATTTGTTTTTGACAATAGCCATCCTAGATTGCCTTAGTAAAGTAGGGCAATCACTTCTGAATGTGGTCAACATTCACAGTCTTCATTTCCTTAAGTTCTGCTCACTCCATCCGTCTCTCTAATTGGGCTCCCATCTCTATCAGTCTACTGAGCCTTGCCTTGCTGTAATGGTTAACGTGTCAACTTGAGTGGACATGTGGTTGCTCAGATTAAACATTGTTTTCTGTATCTGTGAGAGTGTTTCCAGATGAGATTAGCATTTGAATCAGTGGACTCCCTAAAGTAGATTGCCCTCCCCAGTGTGATTGGACATCATCCACTCACTTGAGGGCCTGAATAAAACAAAAGGCAGAGGAAGGAGGAATTTGTTGCTTTTTTTCCTGCCTGGCTGCTTGAGCTGGGTCATCCTGATGGCAGCAGCGGGCCATCTCTGTCCAACATATTCCATCTTTCCTTTATGGGCTCCTCTTCTCAGCCCACAGATGGTTGCCATCAGCCTCTGACTGCCCCGGGAGCCTAAAGCCAACTTGAGAGAGGATTAAGGCCAGGCCTGATGGCTCACACCTGTAATCCCAGCATTTTGGGAGCCCAAGGCGGGAGGATCACTTGAGCCCAGGAGTTTGAGACCAGCCTGGGCAACATGGCAAGACCTCATATCTTAAAAAAAAAAAAAATTTTTTTTTAAAAACTAGCCAACTGGGCGCAGTGGCTTACGCCAGTAATCCCAGCACTTTGGGAGGCCGAGGCGGGCGGATCACCTGAGGTCGGGAGTTCAAGACCAGCCTGGCCAACATGGTGAAACACTGTCTCTACTAAAAAATACAAAGATTAGCCGGTCGTGACTGTGGGCGCCTGTAATCCCAGCTACTTGGGAGGCTGAGGCAAGGAGAATTGCTTGAACCCGGGAGGCAGAGGTTGCAGTGAGCCATGATTGTGCCACAGTACTCCAGCCTGGGTGACAGAGCAAGACTCTGCCTCAAAAAAAGTAAATAAAAATAAAAAAATTAGCCAGGCATGGTGGCACATGCCTGTGGTCCCAGGTACTTGGGAGGCTGAAGTGGGAGGATCACTTGAGCCCAGGAGATCAAGGCTGCAGTGAGCCATGATCATGCCACTGCACTCCAGCCTGGGCAACCCTGTCTTTAAAAAAAGAGAGAGAGAGAGAGAGGTTTAAGCTGAATGATGCCGTGATTACAGCTGACATTCTTATCTTCAACAGTATGGCTCTAACATAGGCCCCCTCGGACATGGCTGAAATCAAGGTCACCTCCTCATTGCCTAAAGGCATTTCCCAAATTCTGACTAGGTCACACTCTGCTAACTGCAGGGCCTCGTGCAGGGAAAGATGGGACAACCAGTGGCTAGGAGAGACTTTTGGCACAGGCATCATATTCATGAAGAGCCTACATTTTATACTTTTATTTCCAATTAAGTTATACATAGATTCATCCGACTTTTTTTTTTTTTTTTTTTGAGATGGAATTTCGCTCTTGTTGCCCAGGCTGGAGTGCAGTGGTGCAATCTCGGCTCACTGCAACCTCTGCCTCCCAGGTTCAAGCGATACTTCTGCCTCAGCCTCCTGAGTAGCTGAGATTACAGGTGCATGCCACCAAGCCCGGCTAATTTTTGTATTTTTAGTGGAGACGGGGTTTCACCATGTTGGCCAGGCTGGTCTTGAAATCCTGACCTCAGGTGATCCACCCACCTCAGCCTCCCAATAGTGCTGGGATTACAGGTGTGAGCCACCATGCCTGGCCGATTCGTCTGACTTTTAAAAAACTGTTAAAAGGAGTAATTTATTAAGGTGCTATGAACTAAATATTTGTGTCCCTGCAAAATTCATATGTTGAAGCCTAAATCCCCAATGTGATGGTATTTGGAGGGGAGGACTTTGGGGGGCAATTGGGTCATAAGGATAGACCCTCACAAATGGGATTAGTGCCCTTATAAAAAGAGACATGAGAGAGATGAGAGATGATCATTCTCTGCTCCCTACCACAAGAGAACACAGCAAGAAGGCAGCCATACACAAACCAGGAAGTGGTTTCTTCCCAGACATTGAATCTGCTAATTCCTTGATCTTGGACTTCCCTGCCTCCAGAACTGTGAGAAATAAACGTCTGTTGTTTAAGCCACCCAGTCTATGGGTGGTACATATTTGTTACAGCAGCCCAAACTGACTAAGACACAAAGTAAGCATTTAAATTATACCATACTTAAAACACATTGTTGGCTGGGTGTGGTGGCTCACTCCTGTAATCCTGGCACTTTGGGAGGCAGAGGTGGGTGGATCACCTGAGGTCAGGAGTTCGAGACCAGCCTGGTCAACATGGTGAAACCCCATCTCTACTAAAAATACAAAAATTAGCTGGGCATAGTGGCGCACACCTGTCATCCTAAATACTCGGGAGGCTGAGGCAGGAGAATTGCTGGAACCCAGGAGGTGGAGGTTGCAGTGAGCCAAAATTGTACCGCTGCACTCCAGCCTGGATGACAAAAACAAACAAACAAACAAAAAACATTGTTTTGGCATTACACACTTTTTTTTTGAGACTCTGTCACTAAGGCTGGTGTGCAGTGGCATAATCTTGGCTCATGGTAGCCTAGACCTCCCAGGCTCAAGTTATCCTCCCACCTCAGCCTCTCAAGTAGCAGGCACTATAGGCAAGTGTCACTGGACCTGGTAACACTCTTTTTTTTTTTTTTTTTTGAGATGGAGTCTAGCTCTGTTGCCCAGGCTGGAGTGCAGTGGCGCAATCTCGGCTCTCTGCAACCTCCACCTCCTGGGCTCAAGTGATTCTCCTGCCTTAGCCTCCTGAGTAGCTGGGATTACAGGCGTGTGCCACCACTCCCAGCTAATTTTTAGTAGAAATGGGGTTTCACCATATTGGCCAGGCTGGTCTTGAACTCCTGACCTCAAGCGATCCGCCCACCTCGGCCTCCCAAAGTGCTGGGATTACAGGCATGAGCCACCACACCCAGCCCCGGCAACACTTTTTAAATGTGCTCTGGACCTTCAAATACACAAAGGTGGCCTGGGCTCTGATAGCCTACGAGAGGCCCTAAATGGCTGCCCCTCCTGAAAATGCCCGCCTCAGTGCTTCACTGTAATTGTCATGCTTCTGCTCCCTCCTCTGCCTGTTCTTCTTTTCCCCACCCCGTAAATTAAAGCCTTCCTTTCCTAAGATGCAGCCTCCACTCTCTGGCTCTTCATCTCCCATTATCTTGCCCACCACCCCATGTCCACCAACCTTGCTAGGACAAATAATCTCCAAATTTCTATCTTCCAAAAAGACTTTCCTCCCTAGCCTAGGCATGTATTTCCCAACTGTCTAAAGTTGGTTTTCTGAAAACACTCTTAGGTGGAGACCTGCGGGCAGGAATTGTATTGAGGAATGCTCTTGGGATCAACACAGTGGGGAGGGAAGAAAGGAGGATTGCGCAGATGAAGTAACTGAATGGTCAGAACAAAAGCCCCAAACAACCTGAAATGAGTTTTGGAAACTGAGTGGCCTTCAGACATGCTTCTCCTTAAGCAAAGGGACCCAGCCTTTATACCCCTACTTTGGTCAGTCATTGGATGTTGACTGCCTGGGAAGGCAGTGTGACCTTGGGCCAGGTGGCTCTCTTCTGTTGAGGGCAAAGGCAGAGGGGCACTCAGCTGAGAGCCCTCAGCTACCAACACTCCTAGAAACAGGGCGATGAGTGCCTTATCTCTGAAAGGGGGATGTGGGTGAAGTATCACATCATCTCCTACCAGCCACCTGCTGATCATCTCCACTTGGAAGCCCTCGGGCATCTCAAATTCAACATACCCGAAACTGAACTGAATCTGTTCCTTTTCTGTGTTATTTGATGGTATGACCAATCTGCTAGGCTTGGTAGCTGAGTCAATTATCCTCAACAACTCCTTCTCCTTTACCCTATATCCAACCAAGACTTCATCCCATAGAGGATATTAGGCTTTGTCTAAACTCCCTTGAATTCATCATTCCCATCTCCTCTTTCCCCACCACTGACCTGGCTCGGCCCTCAGCACCTTGTTATGGCATCGTACTTCAATGACCATCCAACAGATTCAGTGGAAAGAGCCTCTTAGCACGGCACAGGCAGAGCAGGTGCTACATGAAAAGTCTGTTGGGATACTGTAAGAGAAAAAAACAAAAAAAAGAGTGTGATACTCAACTGCCTAGGAATTAGTAAAGAAGGAAGGATAACAATTTTAATAACAAATGTTGTTAATTGTAATATATATAACACCACACGGTATGTTTTGTTAATTGTTATATTTATACAATCATGTCTACTTATTAATTTTATATTTATTACATTTGCAAGGATATCTTTGGGAAAATGATTTCACAGTATTTCTCAAGGGCCATGAAGACACTTTGATCTGGGAATTCTGAGAACCTACCCTAAATAAATAGTTTGAAATATGAGAAAAAATATGAACAAAGATGTTCATTCTAACATTATTCATTATACACAGCTTAAATATCTAATAATAGGGAATTAGTTAGATATTTAAGAATGAGTGGTTCAATGGAACATGATGAAACTATTAAAAATAATGGTTTCCATGCTATGTAACAGCATGGAAAATTATTGCAATGTTAAGTCAAAAAGTTAGGATTCATCATGCTTATGCACTATAATTGCAACTACGTAAAAAGTATTATTAGGGAAAACAATGTGAAAGAAGATACACCAGCATGCTAAGAGTTATATTAGAAAAAAAGAAAAGTCATCCCTGGTATCTTCAGCCCCGCTCCCCACATGGTAATTTTTATCATTGGTCTTTCTTTCTCTGATATTGACAACAATGTCTTCTTAGTATGTAAAGCACTCTGGAAGTGCAGCTTCAAGATTCAGTCTTTTCGCCGGGCGCAGTGGCTCACGACTGTAATCCCAGCACTTTGGGAGGCTGAGGCAGGCGGATCATGAGGTCAGGAGATCGAGACCATCCTGGCTAACACGGTAAAACCCTGTCTCTACTAAAAATAAAAAAAATCAGCCAGGCGCAGTGGCAGACACCTGTAGTCCCAGCTACTCGGGAGGCTGAGGCAGGAGAATGGCATAAACCCGGGAGGTGGAGCTTGCAGTGAGCCGAGATCGCACCACTGCACTCCAGCCTGGGCAACAGAACGAGACTCCATCTCAAAAAAAAAAAAAAAAAAAAAAAGATTCAGTCTTTTCGATCAGGTTGCTATCCCAAGCCCCTCTTATGATCAGAGTAATTCCATAACGCTACTTCTCAAACTTGTAATTGGTAGCTTTATAACATAACATATAATATATAATACAATATAATTATGATATAATAAATAACATGCCTTAGTATTTCACTTCTTTTTGTTGCTAAATAATATTCTATTGTACGATTTGCCACATTTTTAAATCTGTTCATCATTTGATGGACATTTGGGTCATTTCCATTTAGGCTACTATAAATATTTCTGCTATGACATTGTGTACAAATTTTTGTGTGACTACTGTATATGTTTTTGATTCTTTGGGGTATATATGTACTTATCAATGGAAATGCTGGGTTGCATGGTAACTCTATGTTTAAACACTTCAGGGATTGCCAGGTTATTTTCCAAAGCAGCTGCACCATTTTACATTCCCACCGGCCAGTTATGAGGGCTCCAATTTCTCCACATCCTCACCAACACTTGTTATTATCTGTTCTTTTGATTATTAACATCCTTGTGGGTGTGAAGGAGTATTTCATTGTGGTTTGATTTGCATTTTCCTGATGGCTAATGATGTTCACCATTGTTCTTTTTTTTTTTTTTTTTTTTTTTTGAGACAGAGTCTCGCTCTCTCACCCAGGCTGGAGAGCAGTGGCACAGTAACAGCTCACTGCAGACTCAAACTCCTGAGCTTGAGCAATCCTCTCACCTCAGCCTCCCAAAGTTAGGATTACAGGCATGAGCCACTGTGCCACTATTATTCATTTTTAACCCAAACCAGTTTTTTTTTAACAAAATAAGATTGAAATGTTCCCATATAAAAGTAATTATTGCATATTATTCTGTATTTGGGGGAAAAAAATCCAAAAGACTTAAAAAAAATTTAAGCCACACCCAAATACCACCATCTAGAGCTAACTACTATAAACATTTCAGGGCATTTCCTTCTAATGTTTTTTTTTTTTTCCTATCCTTTCATGTGACATTTGCAATTTTGTTTCTGGCTTTTTCACTTCATATAATAAAATAGCAATTCCCCAACATTTTCCTGAACATTACTGGATATAACAATTTCCTTAGCCATTCCCTTATGAATGGATGCTTGGTTATGTCCAGCTGTATTTAATATTGTGAATAATGCAGTAACATGGTGCTTTGATATTGCTCTTTAATGTCTGTGTTCCATTTGTCCAATAAGGCTCAGATCTTTGAAGAATCTGTCTTTTCTTCCCTTTCCATCCACCTACATCTTTCCAGGGTGGTGCTCAGTCCAGAGTAGACTCATTTAAGTCCTTATTATGGCCCTATTCTGAGCACTTGATACATAGCAAAGCATTTAATCCTCACAACTTCCCTGTGAGGTAGGTAATATTATTACCATCCCTTTTGTCCAAGGTCATTGGCTAGTAATGATGCAGAGGCAGAATTTGAATCCAGGTAGCCTGGATCCAGAGTCTGAATGCTGAACCATCAGTCATCTTGCTTTCCTGTCATGCTAGTGGTGGAGGGAATTAAAAATGAGACAGCCAGCCATCCCAGCTCTGTGGGTGGATTGGTCTCATGTTCAAAATCTGTCACCTAAGCTTCATCCTTCATTTGAAAATGGATAAGGGAAGTGATATGGTTTGGCTGTGTCCCCACCCAATTCTCATCTTGAATTCCCACATGTTGTGAGAGGGACCCAGTGGGAGGTAACTGAATCCTGGGGGCAGGTCTCTCCTGTGCTGTTCTCATGATAGTGAATAAGTCTTACAAGATCTGATGGTTTTATAAGGGGGAATCTCCCCGCACAAGCTCTCTTTTTGCCTGATGCCATCCATGTAAGATGTGACTTGCTCCTCCTTGCCTTCTGCCATGATTGTGAGGCATCCCCAGCCATGTGGAACTGTAAGTCCATTAAATGTCTTTCTTTTGTAAAGTACCCAGTCTCCATATGTCTTTATCAGCAGTGCCAAAAGAAACTAATACAGGAAGTGATAAAGTCAGAAAAGCTGGGGAGTACAGGGAAAGTGATTCAGCTTCAACCCACAAGATTGGAGCTTCCAACTGTCCCCAGCCTTGCACAGTCCTCTTTCCCCGCACAGCACCAGAGAGTTCTTTCTCAAATGCAAATCTGATCCTGTCACTTTCCTGCAAGGCTCTCTGTCGCACTCAGGATAAAATCCCCAAACCCATAACTGGCATGCAAGGTCATCTCTTGCCCCGTGTCTCTACTCCTGGCCTGACTTCTCTCTGCCTCAGTTCTTTCAGGTCCTGCAAACCCCACCGCTCTGTTTCATCCCTGTACCTGTTGTATCTTGGCCTGGAGAGCTTTTCCCTACCTCGCCCCTGCTCATTGTCCTTTGGCCCTGCTCACTCTAAGTCTCTGTTTAAACACTCCTGTCTTCCGCCGGGCGCGGTGGCTCACGCTTGTAATCCCAGCACTTTGGGAGGCCAAGGCGGGCAGATCACGATGTCAGGAGATTGAGACCACGGTGAAACCCCGTCTCTACTAAAAATACAAAAAATTAGCCGGGCATGGTGGCAGGCGCCTGCAGTCCCAACTACTCGGAGAGTCTGAGGCAGGAGAATGGCGTGAACCCGGGAGGCGGAGCTTGCAGTAAGCCGAGATCGTGCCACTGCACTCCAGCCTGGGTGACAAAGCGAGACTCTGTCTCAAAAAAACAAAAACAAAAACGAACAAACAAACAAAAAAAAAACAAAAAGTACACTCCTGTCTTCTATCTAGAAAGTCTTCTTCAAAGCCCTTAATTGGATCGTGTTCCCTGGTTAAACACATACCTTTCTCTTGACATGAATTACATTTTGTAATTGCTTTTCTTAAAAAAAAAAATTTTTTTTTTATTATGGAAAAATTCAAACATAAGAAAAAAAAGAAGAGTATTCTAATCACCCAACTTCAACAATTATCAACCCACAGCCAATCTGGTTTCACCTAACCCCCCATCTACTTCCCTCCTCCTGTCTTATTTTTAAACAATAAAACAGATCGTTTTATTTAATCTGTAAATGTTTTATTTAGCAAGTTTCTCTAAAAGATAAGCACTTTTAAAATCATAGTTACAATATCATTATCATGCTTTTAAAAGGCCAATTATGCTTGTTTTTTTCTTTTTCAACTTTTTATTTTGAAAAATTTAAAACTTACAGAAAAGTTGCAAACTATCTGAGACTAAGTCGCATATGTTATGATCTTTTATCCTTAAACATTTCCACATATATTTCCCCAAAACAAGGAAATTCTTTGATATAACCAAAATATAGTGAGCACATTCAGGAAATTTAAGGTTGATACAATAAAAGATCTACAATAAAATCCATATTCAAACTTTGCCATATGTCCCAATGATGTCCTTTACAACAGGGGTCCCCAACACCTGGGCCACGGACTGTATAGGTTAGTGACCTTTTAGGAACCAAGCTGCACAGCATCTCCACCTCCTGTTGGATCAGCAGCAGCATTAGATTCTCATAGAGGTGCAAATTCTATTGTGAGCTGCGCGTGTGAGGGATCTAGGTTGTGTGCTCCTTATGAGAAAGTAATGCCTGATCTTGAGGTAGAACAGTTCCTTCCAAAACCAAAAATTCCTCCCCCAGTCCGTTGAAAAACTGTCTTCTACAAATACAGTCCCTGATGCCAAAAAGGTTGGGAACCACAGTTTTCGCAGAAATTTTTTCTTTTTTTGAGACAGGGTCTCACTCTGTCATCCAGGCTGGAGTGCAGTGGTGTGATCATAGCTCACTGTAGCCTCGACCTCCCAGGCTCAAGTGATCCTTCCAGCTCAGCCTTCCGGGTAGCTGGGACTACAGGCACATGCTACCACATCCAGCTAATTTTTTTTAAAAATTATTATTTTTTTGTTTTGTAGATACAGAGTCTTCCTATGTTGCCAGGGCTGGTCTCAAACTCCTGGGCTCAAACGATCATACTGCCTTGGTCTCCCAAAGTGCTGGGATTACAGGTATGAGCCACCGCGCCCAGCTCTTTACAGAAATTTTTTTCCAATCCTCCAGTATCCAATCCAGAATCATGCATTGCATTTAGTTGTCCTGTCTCTCTCTCTCTCTCTCTCTCTCTCTCTCTTTTGGAGACAGGATCTCACTCTGTCACCTGGACTAAAGTGCTAGGCTTAAGTGATCCTCCACCTCAGCCTCCCAAGTAGCTGGGACTACAGATGCAGGCAACTGACCTGGATAATTATTTTTATTTTTGTAGAGACAAGGTCTTGCCATGTTGCCCAGGCTGGTTTTGAACCCCTGGCTTCAAGTGATCCTCCTGCCTCGGCCTCTCGAAGTGCTGGGATTACAGGCGTGAGCTACCACACCCAGCCTCCTGTCTCTTTAGTGCCCTTTAATCTGGAACAGTTCATTCCTCTTTCATGGCATTGATATTTCTGAAGAGCACCTGCCAGCTGTTTTGTAGGCCAACCCTGAATTTAGGCTTGCCTGATGGTTTCCTCCTGGTTCTGCATTCCTCAGGTTCCACATCATGGGCAGGAGTGGTACCTAGGGGAGTCCTAAAGGCTGCATCGGGAGGCAGATGTCCATTGCTTCATCATGATGAAGCTGATTGCTTAAGGTGCCCTATAATTGCTTTTTAAATTTCAAATGATCTGGGGCTTTTTTTCTGCTAGACTGTGAGCTTGATGAGGGCAGAAGTCATGTCTGTTATCTCCATCTTTGTATCCCTCAAGCATAGCAAATTTAAACTGGAAAATCGAACCTGCAAATGCATGTGCCGGCTAATGCCTCTCCCTTTATTCAGCCTCACAGCAGCCCCGGGAAGGACTAATTGAGATCTCAGATGGGGGAAAGGAGGCTCAGAAAGGGGCAGGCTCCATAACAGCGCTATTTTCCCAAACTTTTCCTGCCTGGGCTGTTTCCTCCCTTCTAAGACTCTCCCTTTGGATGGCACCTGGGAAAAACCTCCTCGCCACCACCCCCTCCCCCGACTCCCCCCCCCACCCCCCGAAGTAATGGTTTCAAGGGAAACAGAAATTCCAGAAAGAAGGAAAGCAAAGCGCATTAGCTGTCCAGAGCCTAGGGGCTGGGGGAGACGGGGGAGGCCCTATTTGCATTTTTCCCATTAACAAGCTGGAGTTGAGCTAGCTTGCCTGGGGAGATCATCTGAGAGGAAAATCTTTGCATATTTTATTTAAAAGCACGCTGCATTAGGCGGGTAATAATGCAGAGTGTGGCGATTAGGTGAGGCCTGCAGGGGGCGGGGGTGGGGTCCTTTCCCTCCCTTACCTCTAACTAACCCACCCTGGAAACCCCTCAATCCTGAGAACCAGCCTCCCTAAAGGAACAGCCCTTTGGCCTCAGAGGCAGGTTGAGACTCCAGCCTCTGTAATTCCACTCTTTCTTGCTAAGAGAGCCGGAGAGATAGGAGGAACTGCCCTGGGCAGGAAGAAGGACAGAAGGGGGTGGGACAATAGAACAAGGACCAGTGTCCAAAGCTGGACTCTAGCCCTGTGGTTCTAAGTGATGGGGGTGGCCATGTGGGGAAGTGTAGGGAGATACTACCCCTATAGGGGGCTTTTAAACATGTGAAAGAGATGTTTTGGTGTTCTCAATAATTGGGTAGGCAGTGCTATTATTAGTACTTCCTGTCTAGGGGACAGGGATGCTAACTGGGACCTTCCATTGCCCAGGACAAGCTCACTCAAAGAATTATCCAAATGCCAAAGGCACTCCCATTGGGCTAACCCTTCCTGTACAAGTGCAGGCGTGCATACACACACACACGCACACATACACACACACGCACAAATCAGACTTTCCTTTAAGCCCTGCCATTCTGTGTTACTACGGACTTAACAGAGTCCTGGATGGTCAAATAGTTGAATAAACAGGGTCCCTGCTTCATCACAAGCTGTTGAGTTTGTGCAATTCATTTATCCTCTCTGAGTCTCTATTTCCCAATTTATAAAATAGACATATCAGCTGAGTATGGTGGTGCATGGCTGTAATTCCAGCATTTTTGGAGGTCCAGGCAGATGGACTGCTTGAGCCCAGGAGTTCAAGACCTGCCTGGGCAACATGGCAAAACCTCATCTCTACAGAAAAATACAAAAATTAGCTGGGCATGGTGGGGCACTCCTGCGGTCCCAGCTACTCGGGAGGCTGAGGTGGGAGGATCACTTGAGCCCAAGAGATTGGTCCCAGGCTGAGGTGGGAGGATTGCTTGAGCCCAGGAGGTTGAGTCTGCAGTGAGCTGTGATGGTGCCACTGCACTCCAGCCTAGGTGACAGTGAGACTCTGTCTAAAAAAATAAATAAAAAAAATAAAATGAAATAAAATAGACATGTCAATGCCTACCTCTCAGGATAGCCTCTAGAGAACAATGGGATAATAGAGGGAAAGGGGTTTATAAACCATAAAACTAGAGCACATGGCTGGGCGCAGTGGCTCACGCCTGTAATCCCAGTATTTTGGGAGCTGACGCGGGCAGATCACTTGAGGCCAGGAGTTTGAGACCAGCCTGGCCAACATGGCAAAATCCCATCTCTACTAAAAATACAAAAATTAGCAGGGTGTGGTAGTACGTGCCTGTAATCCCAGCTACTCAGCAGGCTGAGGCAGGAGAATCGCTTGAACCCGGGAGGTGGAGGTTGCACTCCAGCCTGGGTGACAGAGCGAGACTCCGTCCCAAAAAAAAACCAAAAAACAAAACAAACAAACAAAAAAAACTGGCGCACACACAGGGGATGTTATTAGAATGGGGAGCAGAGCCTTAGGCTACTGGTTTAGTAAGGGGCTCCTGAAGGTAGCTGTCCTCTGTGAGAGGTTTATAAGGCCATGGTGATCCTAACCGTTCCTGCCTCACTGGGTGAGGGGTTTATATTCACAAGGTCAGCTTCCACAGTTAATGCTTGGCTACACCTTCTCCTCTGAAAAATGGGGTTGCACCTACTTTATACCAAAAAACAGAAGTGAAATTAACTTGGAAAATGTTAAATATGATGAAGAGGCAAGGTACTAGAAAACTCCATAACGTAATTTGTCATTTCCAGTCTCCCTTTCTCCTCCCGCTGCCTTAGTCTTCTGTCTGTTAGATGGTTACATATTCACTCTAACTTCTCCATCCCAAAACGCCGATGTGCATGAGCCCACACACAGACACACAAGCTAGAAAGTCTCATTAGGAATTAGGGGAGTATCTTAGCGTCTCACGTGAAAGAAGTTTTATGGTGGCCGCGGTGGCTCACACCTGTAATCCCAGTATTTTGGGAGGCTGAGGTGGGCAGATCACTTGAGGCCAGGAGTTTAAGACCAGCCTGACCAACATGGCAAAACCCTGTCTCTACCAAGAAGACAAAAATTAGCCAAAAATTAGCTGGGCATGGTGGCACGTGCCTGTAATCCCAACTACTCGAGACGCTGAGGCATGAGAATCGCTTGAACTGGAGAGGCGGAGGTTGCAGTGAGCTGAGATTACGCCACTGCATACCAGCCTGGGCAACGGAGTGAGACTGTGCCTCAAAAAAAGAAAGAAAAGAAAGAAAGAAAGAGAGAGAGAGAGAGAGAGAGAGAGAGAGAGAGAGAGAGAGAGAGAGAGAAAGAAAGAAAGAAAGAAAGAAAGAAAGAAAGAAAGAAAGAAAGAAAGAAAGAAAGAAAGAAAATAATAAGTTTCATTATGGAGATCAACACAGTGATTGTACCTAAGGCATGCGGGGAGTGGGAGCATCAAGCAAGTCTATTCAGAAGGATCTGCTTCTATCTGGGTGAGTATGGGGGTAGGAATAAATTCAGGCTAGGGTGGTTTGTGAGTCCTGGAAAGCTGTATGAGGATTTCACACACCCCAGGCACAGGAAGCAGAATAGGTAGCAGCTGCTAGCTATTCTGGGGGAATGTGGAAACAGAGAGTAGTGTGTCTGTCCTTCCAGAAATGGAACTCACCTAAAGCAACTTCAGTTTACTCACCTGTAAAATAGGACAATGGAGAAACTCCCTCATGGGAAGTTTGCGAGGGTGAAACAGGAAGGCTCTGACACATGTTGTCAATTTTTGTCTTACCCTGTATCCCTTAGCTGCCCCTGTCTCCACCTCATTCCCATCCACTTCTCCATTCTCAGTTCCCATTCCCATCACATCTTCCTCCCATCCTGTCCTAGAGCATTCTAGGAATGCTCACAATGGCTTTTGGGAAATAAAAGAGGGAATCTAGAGGTAAGACATCCTGTGGAAAATATTGCCAATTTTGTTAACATAAGCAACTTTTACTTTCTTTTAAATTAGTAATAATCACAATAATAAAGATTACCATTTCAGTGGCCTCCATCAAAATTAGTTTCAAAAGAGCACAACAGGGCCAGGTGCAGTGACTCACTCCTGTAATCCCAGCACTTTGGGAGGCCAAGGTAGTAGGATCCCTTGAGGCCAGGAGTTCAAGACCAGCCTAGGCAACAAAGCAAGACTCTTATCTCTACAAAACAAACAAACAAACAAAATTAGCTGGGTGTGTGGCACCTGCCTGTAGTCCCATCTACCCAGGACCCAGGAGGCTGAGGCAGGAGGATCACCTGAGCCCAGGAGTTCAAGGTTGCAGTGAGCCATGATTGCACCACTGCACTCCAGCCTGGGCAACAGTGAGACCCCCTCCCCTTTTTTTTTGAGAAGGAGTCTTACTCTGTCACCCAGGCTGGAGTGCAATGGCACAATCTTGGCTCACTGCAAACTCCGCCTCCCAGGTTCAAGCGATTCTCCTGCCTCAGCCTCCTGAGTAGCTGGGATTACAGGCACGTGCCACCATGCCTGGCAATTTTTGTATTTTTAGTACAGATGGGGTTTCACCATGTTGGCCAGGCTGGTCTCGAACTCCTGACCTCAGGTGATCTGCCCACCTTGGCCTCCCAAAGTGCTAGAATTACAGGTGTGAGCCACTACGCCCGGACTGAAACCCTGTCTTAAAACAAACAAACAAACAAAATCCAAAAGAGCACAAACACTGTTTAGAAAACAAATGGTCAATTATTGAAATAAAAATATTTGCTCCTAGAGTGAAAAAAAATCAAGAAAAAGTTAACAAAAAACAACACATTTGGTAGTAAAATATTTTGCAATTTCCAAAGCAATTTCGAGAGCATTATTTATTTAATACTCACATTGCTTCTGTAAAGTAGATGATACTTATTTTCATTACCCCCTTCTTTCTTGTGTGTGCGTGCGCGTGCCAGAGTCTGTCGCCCAGGCAGGAGTGCAGTGGCACAATCCTGGCTCTCTGTAACAACCATCTCCCGGGTTCAAGCGATTCTCCTGCCTCAGCCTCCCAAGTAGCTGGGATTACAGGCCTGCGCCACCACGCCCGGCTAATTTTTGTATTTTTAGTAGACATGGTGTTTCGCCATTTTGGCCAGACTGGTCCCGAACTCCTGAGCTCAAGTGATCCGCCTGCCTCAGCCTCCCAAAGTGCTGGGATTACAGGCGTAAACCACCGCGCCCCGCCACGGAGGCTCTTAAGGAAGGTCTTTGTGGATTTGTAAAACATCAGACCCTGGGAAAGATGGCCAGCGGGGATGCAGGAAGCAGCCAGCAAAGCCCTTGCAAGCCAAGCTGAGTAACTTAAGCACCTGGGGAGCCTTGGAGAGATCTTAAACTGGAGGAGGGATGGGGCCATATTTGCCTTTCAGAAGCCCACTCTAGAATACTGTGTCCCGTGGATGAGAGGGGGTCAGACAGAAACCGTTCCACGTGTCCAGATGAGATTTGGCGGTGGCCTGAGCCAAGAGGGCATGAACAGGAGAGGGGCTGGGAGGCAGATGGGACAGAGCTTAGCACCTGACTGGCACGGAGTGAGGTGGGAGGGCCTGAGGCTCGCCTCACTTCAGGTGATGAGCAGACTGAGCAGGTTGTGGCTGCGGAGAAGACGAGCTCGGCTTCCAACGTGGGAAGCCTGAGGTGCTTGCGGGTGCCGTGGGTGGAGCTGTCCGGTGGGCGGGAGGATGTGCTGCAGGTGGGGCGGAAGGCAAAGCCCCTGCTGGAGACGGAGGTTGGGGAGCCCCGAGAGTGGGTGAGAACTGAGGCCTCGGGGTGGAGGATATCCCAGGAGTGTGGAAGGAAGCGGTCCCACGACAGCCCAGGGAGACATCAAGGTCTAGGGAGCGGCCCTCACCCTGAGAGCTGTCACTGAATGTTGGGGGCCGGTGCTAATTCGCACCACTCAAGAACACACCCACAAACCCAGTCCCACCACCAGGTTCCCACCCCAACACCCTACCCGCAGCAGCCCTCTCCTCCGTGCTCCCACCCCGCCCTGCAGACCCGGGTTAATCCTCCCCTCCCTGCTTTGTGCGCCCTCGCGCCTGAGGCCAAAGCCCTGGGCGGCGCGGGCGCTCCCGGCAGCTGAGGTGGCGGGGCGGGGGCCGCGGGGGAGGAGACACAAAAGGGGGAGGGGCCCAGGCTGCAGCTGCCCCGTACCCGCGGGGACAAAGGGCCTGCTGGCGGGCCGGCCCCAGCCGTTTTCATGCTTGTTGGGATTAGGGGCAGTAAAGGGCGCTCGGGACTGTGCGGATCAACAGTCTGTGCGGGGCGGCGCGTGGGGGCGGGCTTGGCCCCGCCCGCCCCTGCTTTGTGCGCAGCCCCCGGCCCGCGCCACTCGAGGCGCCGCGGGGCTCCGGGGAGGCCGCCCCTTTGTCTGCGCCTTTCGGGGACGAGCCCCGCCCGGGGAGCGCCGAGCACCAGCTGAGCGCCGCGCTCCCGCCGGCTACCTCTTCCCCGGCGCGGAGGCCTGGAGGCCCCTCCTGGGGCGAGGTCGCGGCCCCCCGCCACGCCCGAGCCCCTCGGACGGCTCCCATCCCACAGCCCGAGCCCCCTTTCATTCACGGCGAGGAGGCCCTCGGGGAACCCAGCCCTCTCCCGGCAGCGACATCTAAGACCTTAGTAGGATGTACGCACCCCCCTTTCTCCAACGCCACCCTCTCCCCCTCCCGCCAGTCTCCACCCGAAGAATCTCTTCTCAAATCTATGGGTGATAAATGAGAATGGAGCGATTAGGGGATCGACTGGTTCAGAGCCTACGGGTTGGGGGCAGGAGTAGGGCTGGGAGGAGGGGGGATCTGGGCAAGGATAAGGTTGGGCTGGAGAAGCTTACAGGGCTGGAGGGGAAATGCAGCCGCATTTCTGGCAGTCTGGTGCCAGGGCTGGGGTGCGGAAACCTCCCCAGGCTGGGTCCAGTCATTTCTGCCAGGGGTGGGAGGAGGAGGGAGTATGTATGTGGCTCTGTGTCCCGGAGTGTGCATTTGTGAGTGTGAACGAACCATGGTGCATGTGTATGTGTGTGAACGGGTGTGGGGGCTGGTGCCTGCGCGTCTGCAGGTGCCTGGTGGGCGTGAGCACGTATACCAGTGTGGATTTGAGGTCTGGCTCAGATCCCAGAACATCCCCATCTCAGGCTCCTCTTCTCACCACCTGCATCCTTTAACTCCTGGGTCTGGGATTCCAGATGCTACATGCATCTCCTACCTCTGAGGGCCTTCTTGTCCTCTCCTAGTCAGATAAAAACAATTAACATTTGTAGACTACTTCCTGTGAGCCAGGCAGGCTCAGGTCTAAGCCCTTAACATCTGTTAACTTATTTAACTCTCAAGTAACCCTGTAAGAGAAGTACTCCCATTGTTCCCATTCTACAGTTGAGAAAAGTGAGGCACAAGTAAGAAGTGGAGGATCCAAGACACCTGGGTCCACTCTGCACTAGAAATCACTATCCTCTGTTGCCTCCACTTCTACTGGGTCTCCAAGCTCCTCTTCCTCCAGGAAGCCTTCCTTGACCAGGCCCTTACAGATCTCGCCTCTCTCCTGTTCCTGTCACCTGTTCATGCTGAGAGTAGGAGCAAACCTACCTACACAGGGTTTCCGGTGAGGCTTGAAGGCTAAGAGGCAGGTAGACAGGTCACAGGCTGCCATCATGGGGCAGTCAGTCTCCTTAGAGATAGCCATTATACAGAGCCCTAACAAGCCAGATCCCCCACCGGGGAGCCCACCTATGATATTCTGAAGCCTTTTTCTGCAGTCTTCTAATGCTTTACCCTCTTACTCAGTTCCCAGTTCATTTTCTGCCTCCCTGCACTCAGGCTTTAACCCCATTTACTCTGACCATACTTGATGGGGCTGACCTAGTTGGTGTCCCTGGAGAGCAAGCAAGTTCTCAGTGCACCCAGCCTCACAGGCCTCTCTGCTAATCCCTTCCATGCTTTCCATCCTGTACCTGCAGCCTACTCAGGCCTCTGCTGTGTGCCCTGCCCGTGTTGGTCTCTGGGTCTCTGCTCCAATCTCATCCCTATGTCTCCTACTAAGCAAGATGACTCATGTCGCACCCAAAACCTAGGTTAGACTTCCTTGGGATTTTATTCTGGTGAGAGAGGTGAAGGGGTGGAGGTAGCTGACTGGCCAAACTCCTACCAAGTGCATGAACCTTTCCTACTCCCCTCACTGTCCCACGGACTAAGGAATTCCTACCCCAATGACTTTTTTTTTTTTTTTTTTTTTTGAGACAGTCTCACTCTGTCACCCAGGCTGGAGTGCAGCGGCACGATCTTGGCTCACTGCAACCTCCACCTCCCAGATTCAAGCAATTCTCCTGCCTCAGCCTCCCGAGTAGCTGGGATTACAGGCATGTACTATCATGCCCAGCTGATTTTTATATTTTTCATAGAGACAGGGTCTCACCATGTTGGCCAAGCTGGTCTCGAACTCCTGACCTCAAATGATCCACCCGCCACAGCCTCCCAAAATGCTGGGATTATAGGCATGAGCCACCGCACCTGGCCCAATGACTTTAAGACAACAACCACGTATAGAAGTCCCTGACTGAAAACTAGACAGACAGCCAGTCCTGCATTCCCCTCTCCTAGGTTACGAGTGGCTTGTGCATTAGGCTTTTGGGGTCTTTTTGTTGGGGAGGGGGTTGAGACAGGGTCTTGCTCTCTCACCCAGGCTTCAGTGCAGTGGTGGGATCATAGCTCACTGCAGCTTCAAATTCCTGGGCTGAAGTGATCCTCCAGCCTCAGGCTCCTGAGTGGCTAGGACCACAGGCATGTACCACCATGACTGACTAATTTTTTTTCCCTTTTTGTAGGGATGGAGTCTTAAACTCTTGGCTCAAGCCATCCTACTGCCTCAACCTCCCAAAGTGTTGGGATTACAAACATGAGCCACTGTGCCCAGCCTGCATTAGGCTTTTGGATGCAAGTCTCATCTACCTGTGCACACCACAGCTCTCAAAGACAAGAGCAGGCTCCTCAGGGCCTCATGCAGGGGAGGCACACAATCTTCTTAATCCATACAGAGCATCTTCACGTCCATTTCCTCATTCAGCCCTTATAGTTGCCACAGGTGAGGAAACTGAGTATAGAGAGTGTAGCTCAGATCTGCCTATGGGAGGTACTGTGGTCACCTTAGCACTTCCCATGATTAGGCCTCGTGGCCAGTGGACCTGATGGAGAACCACAATTCTTGGCTGAGTTGGTTCAGCCACTGGAGTCCTGCCTCCGTTTCCCTGCCCCTAACTCTGCCGTCCTGGGCTGTGGCTCTATTCTTGCCAATCTCCTTCCCAAACCCATCATCCCCCGGGGAGTCCCTGACCTTCAGTGACTGGCAGGGGTCCTGTAAACATACAATTCACCACACATTCCCTTGGTCTCACCTTCTTCTTTTTCTCAGCTCAAAGAGTTCTTTTCTGGAAAGGAATATTAGGCAGCTTTATTTTTTAGAAGTCCCCTTCCCCTTTAAAGATGACATTCAAATTTTAGATTCAGCCAGGTGCGATGGCTCACACCTGTAATCCCAGCAGGTGGGGAGGCTGAGGCGGATCACTTGAGGCCAGGAATTAGAGACCAGCCTGGCCAACATGGTAAAACCCCATCTTTACCAAACATACAAAAAAATTAGCCAGGCGTGGTGGTGCATACCTGTAATCCCAGCTACTCGGGAGGCTGAGGCATGAGAATTGCTCAAACCCAGGAGGCGGAGGTTGCAGTGAGCCAAGATCACACCACTACACTCCAGCCTGGGCGACAGAGCCAGACCCTGTCTCAAAAAAAAAAAAAATTTTTTTAGATTCCAATTTCATAAGAAAAAATGTTTTTCTATGAAAAAGCTGTATGTACCAAAAAAGTATGATTTATAATAATCATAATTCATTAATGTAACTTACTATGTGTCAGGTACAATTCTAAGTCTTCTATATATTACATATTTAATCCTTGCAGCAACCCTGCGAAGTAGTTATTACTATTATTCCCATTTTAAGATGAGGAAACTAAAGCACAGAAAAGTTAATTGACTTGCCCAAGGTCACAAAAACATAAAACAATGGGGACAAGGTCCAAATCCAGGGTGTCTGGCTTCAGGGTCTCTGTCCTTCACCAGGGGCTGTGTTCAAAAGAGCCCTCACACATTTAGAAAAGGGGCTCCTGGCCGGGCATGGTGGCTCATGTCTGTAATCCCAGCACTTTGGGAGGCTGAGGTGGGCCGATTGCCCGAGCTCAGGAGTTTGAGACCAGCCTGGGCAACATGGCAAAAACCCATCTCTACTAAAAATACAAAAAATTAGCCAAGCGTGGTGGCATGTGCCTGTAGTCCCAGCTGCTTGGGAGGCTGAGGTAGGAGAATGGCTTGAACCCAGGAGGTGGAGGTTGCAGTGAGCCAAGATCACACCACTGCACTCCAGCCTGGGCAACAGAGTGAGACTGTCTCCAAAAAAAAAGGCTCCTTATAAAAATTCACCCTCTTATGCTCTGAAGGTTTGACAGACATCTTATTGTCAGAAATCTCCATTCAAATTTAGCCTTAGCCCTTTGCCAAAACATCTCTTAGTAAGTGGAATTTGTAAAAATTGGTTCAATACTATTTCTGTTTAAGTGTCAAGTGTGGAGATGACAAGAATTATTAACTGTTTCAGTGAGAAGTATACTTTGTGAAGTTTAAAATAAATATGTTGCCAGGCACAGTGGCTCCCAGCACTTTGGGAGGCCGAGGCGGGCAGATCACGAGGTCAGGATATTGAGACCACAGTGAAACCCTGTCTCTACTAAAAATACAAAAAATTAGCTGGGCGCGGTGGCGGGCGCCTGTAGTCCCACCTACTCGTGAGGCTTAGGCAGGAGAATGGTGTGAACCCGGAAGGCGGAGCTTGCAGTGAGCCGAGATCGCGCCACTGCACTCCAGCTTGGGCAACACAGTGAGACTCCGTCTCAAAAAAATAATAATAATAAAATAAAATAAAATAAAATAAAAATGTTGGCCAGGCGCAGTGGCTCACACCTGTAATCCCAGCACTTTGGGAGGCTCAGGTGGGAGGATGGCTTGAAGCCAGGAGTTTGAGACCAGCCTGGGCAATATAGCAAGAAGCCATCACTACAAAAAACTTAAGAATTAGCTGGGTGTGGTGGTGTGTGCCTGTAGTCCCAGCTACTCAGAGGCTAAGGTGGGAGGATCACTTGAGCCCAGAAGTTCAAGGGTACAGTGAGCTATGATTGCACCACTATGCTCTAGCTTGGGCGTATCTTGGAGACGCTGTCTCCAAAAATAAAGAATCAAATCAAATAAAAATAAAATACAGTATTTCAGATTTGTGAATTTTGGTATCCCTGGGGATCCTGGAACCAATCCCCTCAGATAACAAAGGATGACTGTATATTATAACTACATGTGTGTCAAAACCATCTAAGGACCCGAAATCATAGTCATAGTCAGAGCGCCCTTCAGGGAAGTGATGACACCAGGGTACTTGGTGTTTTATTTTTTGTTTTATTTGGTTTTTTGAGATGGAGTTTCCCTCTTGTTGCCCGGACTGGAATGCAGTGGCACGATCTCTGCCCACTGCAACCTCTGCCTCCCAGGTTCAAGCGACTCTCCTGCCTCAGCCTACTGAGTAGCTGGGATTACAGGCACCCGTCCCCACGTCTGGCTAATTTTTGTATTTTTAGTAGAGACAGGCACCATGTTGGCCAGGCTGGTCTTGAACTCCTGACCTCAGGTGATCCACCCATCTCAGCCTCCCAAAGTGCTAGGATTACAGGTGTGAGCCACCGTGCCCTGCCCAGGGTACAGTTGAGTATGTACGAGTGTGTATGGTATGTGTCCCTCGCAATTCATTTAGGCCCAAAGGTGACACAGGACAAGGACAATCCCATATGGGGCTCTCAGGGTAGAAGTCAAGTCTCCCCTGTCACACTGGATGGCCCCTGAGAGACTTCTCCACCCCATTGGATCGCCAGGCACAGCAGTCTAAATTCTTCAGTGTCTTTCCCCAAAACCACCTCCCTAGCTCCTAGTCCAGGACCCTACTCAAAAGGGGAGCTCAGATGGTATGAAAAAGAGGCCATCAGACAACAGGTAGAAGAAAAACACATACTCAAGAAATGTAATTTTCTGCCCCAGTTTATTCATCTTGGGTTGGTCCAGAAGCCGGGTTTATACACTCAATATGCAAGAGCTACAGACAAAAAGTCTTCAGGGCCCACCCCTCACCCCCACTCTCTGGATCTTTCACCCATCCACCTGTCAGGGATGAAACTCTTTAGAGATAGGAAGAGCCCCCCACTTTGCCGATAGGGAGACTGAGGGCCAGAGGCTGCATCAGTGACTTCCATGCCACTGTTCACCCACCAGTGTCCCCTCTTCATACCACTGCTCACCCACCAGGATCTTGCATTCTCTTGGCTCCCAAGAACAAAGCAGAGAGCTAAGCTACCTTAGTCGTTGGTTCTCTCCAAGACTCACCCACTCTGTAACTCGCGGAGCCTGCCAATCCCTGTTTGAAGGGCCATGCAGTGAAAGAAGGGGTTAAAATTCAGCATCCTAAGCATCTCCAGAGGCTTAGGCTGACACTGTCCCCTTCACATCCCAGAAAGCCAACCTCTGGCTCCTCCTGACAGTCCGACTTCAGAGAAATGAACCAAACCAATTCAACATCCAATGCTGCTAAAGCCAGAGAGGCACAGCAAGGTAGAGGCAGAGACAGGGAAGCGATATTTTCCTCATCGGCCTTGGAACATCTTGTCTGTTACTTGCAAGCTTATAAACATACATTGCTTTTCATCAGAAGCTTAAATGAACACGGTTTGCAACAGCTCCTTTTCCAATGGAGAGATGGTTTGTTTGGGAACTGGTATTTTAGAATTCCCATTCTCCTATTCTTCACAGGGTTCCACTGTTATCATCTTTCCTGTCCCCATCTCCCATGTGCCCAAAGGCAGAGTTCAAGAGGGACAGTCCCCTATGTCCTCTGTCCCCATCCCCACCATCATCTTCATCACTACTCCTGGTTCCCTTTCCTGATACCAGTTCTCCACACACTGCCAAAATTGCAGCCAAAATTCCATGGCAGGCCAGAGCAGCCACTAAACCTCCTACAAGTAAAGCCAACATCAGGGACAATAGCCTCAGCTGAGCAAGTCTGGGTTAAGTGAGGGAAAGGGAAAGGAGAGGTGGCCTGGGAAATCCCAGGAGAATGGGTCAGCCACAACCTTCAGATAAATGACAGCATGCTAGCCCTCTGTCTCCAGGGAACAGTGGGACCCAGTGGAGAAGAAAGGCTGGGGTAGGCCATGAGGAACACAAGGTGTGGGTGGACACCCACAGTGCAGCTGGATATGTATTTGCACACACCTGCTCATGAGTCTGCCTACAAACACACATGCTCCTAACATACACCTCCCATGCCTGTGGCCAAACATGTGCACCCCTGCACACACAAGGGCTTCCTCACATACACCTAATACAAGCCTGCACACTCAAACTCACTCATAGACACACACATCTTCTGCCTATACATCCTCACTCATGCGCATATACACACACTGCTGGGTACCTGTCTACACATGCACATACCGAGTTCCTCATTCTTACATACTACACACACACACATATGTTCACTCTTACATGCTCACATATAGGTCTGCAGATAAATTAGCTGTGTGTACACATGTGCACACAGCACACTTAAGCTCATTTATACATGCTTATTCACACATGCCTACACACACCAGCCTACATGTTAGCACATACACACTCATGCCTACCTGCAATCATGCCAGCAAATTATGTACTTACTAGTGCGCCTCACACATGCCTGCAAATATATACATATACCCTTGCACACTTGTGGAGGCACACCCTTAGGCCTGGTCCTGGGGCCTGGATGGTGCTGCCCTCTGCTGGAGACAGCGAATAAGCTCCTTCCGGTTGTCTAGGATGGTGTCGAAGCTCTCCTGCAGTCGGGCCTGCTGGTCAATCAACTGATGCTGCAGGCCCCGGATCCACTGGAGCAGTGCCAGGCGACGGTACATCACCAAGTGCACGTGGTGCTTTTCCTTCTCCTGCTCTTTGTAGCGCTCCTGGACTTGTAAGTGCTGCACAGCCTGGGCCACTGAGGGCAGAAGGGGATCGGGAGGGCCAGGGCCTCGCGGGGTCCCACAGGCAGGCTCAGGACTGCTGCTACGGCTGTCAATGCTCAGGGAACTGCTGGCATAGCCGTTGTCCTCCAGAGGGGAGCAGACTGTGCCAGCACCACCCATCTTCTCAGGCTCAGCCCCGGGAATCTCTGCCCCCTCTGGGGGGCTGCGCACCCCTTCCTCAGGGGATCCAGGGGCCTGGAAGGCTTGGTTGTCAGAGGGTGACTCAGAGGAGCTCCTCCTCAGGATAGGTTCCACTCTGCCTGGCATCCCATGCCAATTCTCGTTAGCATCCTTGGCACTTGCCATGAAGTTGGAGTTGCTGTCTGGTTGGAGCTCGGGCTGACATAATCCAGGAGGTGGGTCCCCCAGGAATTGGCCCCCCTCAGCTAGCCCTGGCTGGATGGCGAACATCTAGCCTGTAAAGGGAAAGCAGGAGACCGAGTCACAGTAGGACAGGGTGGGGTGCCTGAAGTCAGGGCAACTTAGCTGCAGGGACAAGGCTGCAAGCAAGAGCCTGGCCACTCCCTGTCAAGCCCTTTCTCTTGACTCTGGTAACACTTCCCTTCGTGGTTTTCGTCCTCCCTGTCTACCTGTTCATTCTCAGTCTCCTGCAAAGGGTTTTTCCTCCGTCCTCAGAGCCAGGCTGTCTTCTGATTTTGTGCATTTCTCTCCAGAGGACCTCATTCTCTGCTGTAGCTTCAAAGACCATCATATGCTGGTGACTCTCAGATCTGTCTTCAGCCCAGATCCAACTGCTATCCAACCCTGCAACCAACCATAGTCTCCTCAAATTCTACATAACCAGTCCAGGCATGGTGGCTCATACCTGTAATCCCAGCACTTTGGGAGGCCGAGGCAGGCAGATCACCTGAGGTCAGGAGTTCGAGACTAGACTGGCCAACATGGTGAAACCCCATCTCTACTAAAAATACAAAAATTAGCCAGGCATGGTGACAGGCACCTGTAATCCCAGCTATTTGGGAGGCTGAGGCAGGGGAATCACTTGAACCCAGGAGGCAGAGGTTTCAGTGAGCCGAGATTGCGCCACTGCACTCCAGCCTGGGTGACAGAGTGACATCATCCCCCTCCACCACCGCCCCCCGCCAAAATTCTACATAACCAAACAAGCTCTCCTTCAGTATCCTCAGCAAGATGGCTCTGTACTCCATCCAGAAAGCTGAGAGCATCCTGGGGTCCTCACTATCCTTCCTTCTCCCATCTCATTAATAACCACATTCTGACCATTCTTCCTCTTCCAGGCCATTTCTGACCTGGATTATTGCCTCGGCCTTTTCACTGATCTCTCTGCCTCCAGTTAAAAATGTAAATTTCACTTGTCACCACTCCTAATGCCCTCCCTGAATTCCTGCTAAACCTCTACCTGGCCTACAACACCCTGTTTGATCTGGCCCCTGCTCACCCCTCCATACCTGCCTCTTGCCACTCTGCCCCTCCCATCATAGCAAACTGCCCAGAGATCTCAAAACACACCATTGTTTTTCTTACAGTATTCCTTTGGCCTACAATATCCTTCCTCTCCCCTCCCCTCAAAGCTCCTCCCTTCTCCACCCAGCAAATTCCTTTTTGTACTTCAAAATTAGCTGTAATATCCCCATGTTTCCATGTCCCCATGTCTCTGAAGCCGTCTTGATACTGCCCCAATCAATATTACATAAACAAGCACGGTTAGTTATGCCTTCCTCTGGGTCCCCACTGCGCTGGGTATACACTGTCTTATCCAACTTTGCATCCGTCCCTGGCATACATGGTCGACGATCAGTGAATGTCTATTCAACTGGCATTTTTGGTTTGTGGTAATGATCTTGTAATAGCAGTTTGTAATCTGGCTTGGACCTCCTGTATATATCCTCCATCATATTCCCCAGAGTCAGCCAGCATAGAGCCCTGAACCAGGCTGTCTGTGCATACAGGTACTTGCTAAGTGAGTGAATGGGAGAAGAGACTGCAGTGAATTTCCATGCTCAGGAATCCACTCTTGACTCCCCAGGGCTGGAAGAGCTGGGTTCTGGAAGAGCTGGGTTTGGTTCCCTTTCCTACCCCAGCCAGGGAGCCCCGCCTTCCCCAGTGACAAGCTTTTCTTCTGAGCCTGCCCCCTTCCCTCCCAATGCCTCTGGAACACAGCCACTATCTTGCGGTCCCCGTCCCTAGCTTGCTCCATTCTGAGGCCCTGGAGGGAGGGCATACCACACCACTCTTCTCTCCTCCATAACCTGCTTCTAACCAAAATTAGGATTTGAACTGACAAAGGGATTCTACTGACCAAACAGCACTGGGATTAGAACAATTGAAGAGCATGAAGAGGAAGGGTATTGTAAGTGGAGCCGGCACTGGAAGGCGCTCCATAGGTGGCATGGACCCTCCCCACCCCCAGCAATGGGCAGAGAAGTCCTGGGGAGAAGGGTGTAGGAACAGTTCGTTTCTAATCGCCCTCTAAGCAAGGCTTGTGGGAAGGTGCCTAGAGATCTCCCCTCGCCCCAATTTTTTATTTTTCCTATACTTGGATGGGGCCGTGAAGGAAGCTGGGATGGGGTGGGGGTGGCGCTAGGGATCACAGGGTTCTCAGAGATAGTAAAATGAGAACCCCGACACGCCAGGACTAGGTCTCCGCCCAAACAGGAGGCAGCCTCCTTTTCTGGCCTTGCGGGAGTGGGAGACCACCCCAGGAGACAGAGACCATCCTTCCCTAGTCTCCTCGAAGGAGGCCACTGTGACTCCCCGCTTCCCGCGGCTGAGCCCCAAGCCCCACCCCGCCTCGGGCCCCAGACTCGGACTCACGGCGTAGAGGCGCCCGCTCCGGCGCGTCTGGCTCTGGCTCCGCCCGGCCCTGGTGGTGTCTAGTCCCTGGGCTGGGGGTTCCTCGGCCTGGGCGTCTCCGCGGTCCAGGCGTGGGTGCGGGGCTCCCGGGCAGCGCGCCCAGCCCCAGTCCCGGACTGCGGAGTCAGGCGGCGTCTGCGCAGCAGGGCGGAGCGACCGGTCCCACGTGGGCCGGTTCGGTTTTCCGCGGAGCCCCGCGCCAGGCCCCTGCGCCGGAACCGCTTCGCCCCCGCGCGGGGCCGCGTTGACCCAGGCCTTCCAGGTCCGGTGCTCTCTCCTATTGGCATTCGCTGGGCCCTTCCCATCAGTTAGCCTCGCTGCAGACACCGTGCCATTTTCAAGTGAAATCTGATTAGTCACCACCTTCCGGCGTTAAACTCCTCAATGGCTTCCCCACCGCCGGGACAACCCCTAAGGCGGTAGCCGCGGGGCTCTGTGCGTCCTGCCCTTCGTCTGCCTCTCCGGCTTCGTCCTCTACCCTCCCTCTCCGCAGTTACCCTCCCACACGCCCCTTTCCGCCACGCGGCTTTGGCACGCACTGTTCCCTCGGTCTAGCATTCTCTTCCCCCTCTCGACTTACTCCTATTTCAGATCTCTTCTCGGAGAGATCTCTGACTCCCTAGATCACGTTCGTTCCCCCCTTTATGTCAGAGCACATTCCTTTTCTTCATAGCATTTATCACAATTTGGAATTATATATTCCTTTTTGTGCTTACTTGACTAAAGTCACTGAGGCCGGGTGCGGTGGCTCACGCCTGTAACCCCAGCACTTTGGGAGGCCGAGGCGGGCAGATAACCTGAGGTCAGGAGTTTGAGACCAGCCTGGCCAACATGGTGAAACCCCATCTCTACTAAAAATACAAAAATTAGCCGGGCTTGGTGGCGGGCGCCTGTAATCCCAGCTACTTGGGAGGCTGAGGCAGGAGAATCGCTTGAACCTGGGAGGTGGAGGTTGCAGTGAGCCAAGACTGCACCACTGCACTCCAGTCTGGGCAACAGAGTGGGACTCCGTCTCAAAAAAAAAAAAAAAAAAAAAAAAAAAAAGAGAGAGAGAGAAAGAAGATCCAAGCCTGGGACAGGGCTCAGGGCTGATGTCCTGTACCCGGGACGGGGGCTCTCCGCAGGACACAGAGCCCACCCATGATGCCTGTGAAGTGGGTACCAGTGCTTTTGCCCAGGTGAGGAGGAACAGCGTGATAAAAAAGGGTCTTGGGTTCCAAACTCCAGTGGATTCTTCTCAGAGCTCCACTCTACTGAAGCTTGACCCCCCTCACTCTTTTGCACCCTGGGGAAATGTGAAGTTGGGGGCCCTGTTTGGAATAAAAGAGAACAGAGTTCAGTAATTGCTGACCCTAATATATGAGGTGCCCTCTTCCAGTTTCAATTTGATTCCAAGTCACCATTCTGCAACCTAGAGACTAATTGGCAAATTAAATCACACCAAGAAATCCTATATGCAAAAACAGGGAAAATGGAAAAGAAATTTTTATGATTATGATGACTATTTTAAAAGGGAAAAGGAAATAAGAAGGAGAAGGCAGAAGTAATTCAAACTTTGCACACTCCTCCAGCTAAGAAAATACAGGTGGAGACGTCAGCCCCATTTCTACATCAGATCCTGTGGCCTAAGTCTTCTCCCTTCCCTTATCCACTTCAGGTTCCCCTGGCCTTCAGCCTGGGGTGACCCAAATCCTCACTTTTTTTTTTTTTTTTTTTTTTTTTGAGATGGAGTCTCGCTCTGTCGCCTAGGCTGGAGTGCAGTGGCGCAATCTCGGCTCACCGCAACCTCCACCTCCCGGGTTCAAGCGATTCTCCTGCCTCAGCCTCCTGAGTAGCTGGGATTACAGGTGCATGCATCACGTCAGCTAATTTTTGTATTTTTAGTAGAGATGGGGTTTCACCATGTTGGTCAGGTTGGTCTTGATCTCCTGACCTTGTGATCCACCCACCTCGGCCTCCCAAAGTGCTGGGATTACAGGCGTGAGCCACCATGCCTGGCCCAAATCCTCACTCCTAAAGGCTCTCAGCTTTGGTGATCTAGGGTTATGCAGTTCTGCCCAGACCACAGAGCCATAAAGTCATCAATTGTTTGTTCTGCCCAGAATAGCCCTTCTCCGCCTCTCTTTGGACTCTGTCTCTCCCAGCTTAACCATGTGGGTCAAATGAAAGCCTGAAGAATCCAGGGATAGGAGCTCCACTCCAGGTGAGCCAGTCAGAGTCCTTCTCTGGGATCTTCTGAAACGAAATTAAAGGAAGACGAGGCAGGGAAGAAACAGAGATGAGAGATAGTTCTGATAATGTTGCAGACCCTGTTTCCTGCATCTAAACTTATAGTTTTGTATGCCTTATTTTGCCAAGCCTAACTTGAGTGGAATTTCTTTCACCGACAATTGAAAGAATGCTGATTACTACAATAGCACAAGGTGGTGACCCCAGGGTCTCTGGGTTCCATTCACGCACCTCTCAACACTTATTAGGTAACAGTAACTCCCTTTCTCCTTGGTAGCCATGATCAGTCCAGTCTACACTGAGACCACCCCCTTCTCCTATTCCTCTAGTGCTACCAGGAGCCGAAATCCCAGGGAATCATCTTTGTGTTTCTTGGTTAGAAGAAACATTCCTCCCATGATGCTATCACCATGTTTTGTTTTGTTTTTTTCCCAAGACAGAGTTTCACTGTCACCCAGGCTGGAGTGCAGTGGCGCGATCTCAGCTCACTGCAACCTCCGCCTCCCAGGTTCAAGTCATTCTCCTGCCTCAGCCTCCCGAGTAGCTGGGGTTACAGGCGCGTGCCACCACACCCGGCTAATTTTTGTATTTTTAGTAGAGACAGGGTTTCACCATGTTGGTCAGGCTGATTTCAAATTCCTGACCTCAAATGATCTGCCCGCCTTGACCTCCCAAAGTGCTGGGATTACAGGTGTGAGCCACTGTGCCTGGCCGATGCTATCACCTTCTGACCTGCAATACCCAGAATCTCAGAGACAGGAAGAAAACTCTTAGTCCTTAGGTAAATCATATAAGGTGCCACAACCACCGCTACCTCTTCTTGTTATGCATTCTGGCCACAAAGGACAAAGCATTATATACATTGATTTAAAGCCTATATTGGGCCTGGTGTGGTGGCTCACACCTGTAATCCCAGCACTTTGGGAGGCCGAGGCAGGCGGATCACTTGAGGCTGGGAATTCGAGACAAGCTTGGCCAACATGATGAAACCCCGTTTCTACTAAAAATACAAAAATTAGACAGGCATGGTGGTGCGCGTCTGTAATCCCAGCTATTCAGGAGGCTGAAGCAGGAGAATCGCTTGAACCCAAGAGGCAGAGATTGCAGTGAGCCAAGATCGTGCCACTGCACTCCAGCCTGGGCGATAGAGTAAGACCCTGTCTCAAAAAAAAAAAATTAAAATAAAATAAATAAAGCCTATATCGTGCTCTGCAGGGCAGCACCCCAGCCTGGAATAGCTGAGTCATCAATTCCATTGTTCTAAAAAGCTAGTTATTCCTTTTTTTTTTTTTTTTTTTGAGATGGAGTCTCTCTCTGTCACCCAGGCTAGAGTGCAGTGGCATAGTCTTGGCTCACTACAACCTCCACGTCCTGGGTTCAAGCAATTCTCCTGCCTCAACCTCCTGAGTAGCTGGGACTACAGGTGCCCGCCACCTGGTGAATGTTTGTATTTTTAGTAGAGGCAGGATTTCACCATGTTGACCAGGCTGGTCTCAAACTCCTGACATCAGGTGATCTGCCTGCCTTGGCCTCCCAAAGTGCTAGGATTTCAGGCGTGAGCCACCACACCTGGCCTAAAGCTAGTTATTCCTAAATAATACAATACCTGCTAAGTCAAGTGAATTCATTTAAAGGAAATCAGATTGTAGTCTCTCTCTTTCTTTTTTTTTTCCCTGAGACGGAGTCTTACTCTGTTGCCCAGGCTGGAGTACAGTGGTGCAATCTCCATTCATTGCAACGTCCGCCTCCCAGGATCAAGCGATTCTCATGCCTCAGCCTCCTGAGTAGCTGAGACTACAGGCGTGTGCCACTGCACCGGCTAATTTTTGTATTTCTAATAGAGACAGGGTTTCACTATGTTGCCCAGGCTGGTCTCAAATTCCTGGCCTCAAGTGATCTGCCCACCTCGGCCTCCCAAAGTGTTGGGATTACAGGCGTGAACCACCACACCCAGCCTGTAGCCAGTTTTGTTAATCAAGGGCAGTGTTGTATGGAATATTCTAGCACTGTATAATTAATACAGTCAGTGCTCACACAGCAGTCCTGGTCACTCCATAATTTTCAGAGCTCAAAACCTGAAGAAAAAAAAGCTCCAAATGCAGGGATGTCCATGTCCACAGGAAGACAAAAAAGCAGCTATAGAGATGCCTGTTATTCATTTGCCAGAGGCTTTTCCAGTGAGGACACCAGAGAATAATTCACCCCCAAGTGAAAGGGTATCTGTGGCTGGGTTCACCTACCCACATATATGCCAGGAACTTAAGTGGCAAGGACACAGAAACCTCCAGAGATGGCCAGTATCAGCCTGAACAGGGCTTTGCAAAAGGCCATGCCATCAAGACCCAATGATGGACAGCGGGTAAGCCTCTTGGCAAACAGATGTCAGAGCCAAGAGAGGCTAGCAGTGAGTAGCCAGATCCAGGTCCCAGGGCCTGGGGTGTCAGGCAAGGAGACCAGAGAAGATGAGAGGAATTTCTCATCCAGGAAATAGGACAGGCCTAAGGGTTATTCATAGGTGGATAATTTCTCAATATCAGTATTCTCAGGAAGAAAGGGGTGGGTAAGATCAAGGTGTTTCAGCTTCAAAGACCTTGTCCCTTCCCACCCATTCATTTACATGTATCATACAGTTACAGAGTGCTTACTTTGTGCCAGGTACTGTGTTGGGAATTCAGAGCAGAATCAGAACTGGTCGTGGTCTTGGGGAGCTCCTTGTTTAGAAAGGGAAACAGAAGTCATGGTGTGTTGGCTCATGCCTGTAATTCCAGCACTTTGGGAGGCCGAAGCGGACAGATCACTGGAGGCTAGGAGTTTGAGACCAGCCTGATCAACATGGTGAAACCCCGTCTCTACTAAAAATACAAAAATTAGCCGGGCATGGTGGCACACGCCTGTAATCCCAGCTACTTGGGAGGCTGAGGCACGAGAACTGCTTGAACTTGGGAGGCAGAGGTTGCAGTGAGCCAAGATCACACCACGGCACTCTAGCCTGGGTGACAGAGCCAGACCCTGTCTCAAAGAAAAGGAATAGACAGAAGAGTGGGCTATAACAATGTAATGGGCCCTGCAACAGAGCCAGGAGGCAAAAGTAGTAAGCCCAGAAAAGGGTAAGGAAAGGCTTCACAGAGGTGATTTTTTTTATTTTAAGAGATGGGAGTCTTGCTATGTTACCCAGGCTGGTCTCGAACTCCCAACCTTAAGTGATCCTCCCACCTTGGCCTCCCAACATTCTGGGATTACAGGCATGAGCCACTAAACCCAGCTAGCACAGAGGTGATATTTGAGCCAGGCCTTGAGGGATGAATAAGAGCTCACCAAGAGAAAGCAAGAGAAGGCATAGGAGACTGCATTTTCAGAGTGAGTTCAGGAAACACCCCGTAGGCCAGTGTGGCTGGAGCTCGGTGGGAAATGGAGGTAAGGTGAGGCTAGAAGATAAAGTTGGCCCAGTTGTGAAAGTTCTTGACACCATCCCAAGGAGCTTGGGCTCCATCCTGGGGACAGCAGGGAAGTAACTGAGGAAGCCCTCAGAGTTTCCATATCAGAACAAAGCACGATCCTGGATTACAAACTACGTTGCTAACCTGCTTTCTTCTCTCTTCCTGAGGTCACATCATCTGTCAACTTCCCCACATGGCTTTGGGAACTTAGGCAAATCAAATCATTTTAACCTTTTTGGGCTAAATAAAATAATATGCCTTAAAAATTGTTCAATAACATAGTGGTGAACATTGTCACTTGGGCTCCCAAGACCAGGCACAACCCCAGAGGACCTTTGACATGCCAAAGAGCCATTAAGGCAGATTGGAACGAACATTATTCCCCAGAATTGGTTCATCTTGGGAAAGGAAGGCCTAGGAAGCTGATGACCTACTTGTTTTGTTCATCCATTTCTCTACTGCTTCTTAAAGGTAAAGTGCCTCTTTAGTCTATCAAGAAATTACTATGTGTTTACCTTAGGTAAAATATGCCCATTCCCCTATCTTCCATTTTGGCTGTTTTCCCAGCTGTAAAATGACAAGGCGGTACATTCAATTAGAAGTTTTAAAGCATTTTTAGAGCCTTGAAGTAATTTCTTTTTCCTCAACAAAATCTTTCCAATATATCCAGTTTGAGATCTGTCTTCCCCTAAACCCTCCACCTAAGGGCTCCGAGGGAACTTCAGAGAAGCTTTTAAAAGTTCGGCAGGGCACAGCTGCAAATCCACTGCACCAGATGAACCTAGGAAATGAATCCTCCCCCTGTCCCCAACACTGTTCCCCTTCTCACCCACCCCTTCCAAGGGAAAAGGGAGAAACAGGTCTTTTCGGAGCTGCTGGAAGAATGAAAGGTAATATAAATTCTTTCTCTCCAGTGCACTCAAGCGGTCACCAGGACATCAGAAAAGCCAAATCCAAGGTCCCAAGGCTCTTGATCATCCAGTGCCCACAACAGAGGGAGTAAGCTAGACGGAGAAGCTGAAGTGAAGGAGGAAAGAGAGAAGGGGGTGCCTGTTCCACCCCCTTCCTAGCAGCTGCCTCTGTGGGCTCCATAATCCCCATGCCCTCTCCCCCACCCCACCCTCCGGCCGCCCACCTCTCCTCCACCCACCCCATTCATCAGTAGGAGGGCACTGTATCAGCACAGCCTTTCAAGGCCTGACAGTTCCTTTCTGGGTGCCCCCCACATGTAACCACTTAACCCCCAGCACAAAGGGCCAGCCTGAATGGGCTTGGAGCCGGTGGCTCGTGCGGAGGGGGAGGCCTCAATAGGATTTGGGGAGCTGGGTGTATAAACCGCTCTGCTCCAGCAGCCCTCAATGGAGGAGCTGGAGTTGGGGCATGTGCCGAGGGGAGGAGCTCGGCAGCTGCATCCCGCCCCTGAACAATGATTTATTCATTCTCCTGGCACGCACAGAGAAGACAGGCTGGGGAAACATGGCCCCACAAATCGCCCTCAGCCTCAGCTGATTCCCACGGCAATCATTGCAGTTCAGAGTGCCCCCTCCCACTTGTAATGTTTTGCCTCAAGCTTGCCCTTCCTCTTCCTCGTAAGGAAGTAGACTACATTACGGGAGGCCTTAAGTAGCCTTAAATTCAGGCAAGCATCGTTCTTTGAGTTGGTTGCACCCAAACTCAATCTCACTCTCTCAAAGCTTTCTGGCCAGGTTTTCCTCACACACCCATAGAAACAGATGCAGACAAAAAAAAAAAAAAAAAAAAAAAGCGCATAGCAAAACCTGTCTCCAGGATGGCCCCCAGCAGGGAGTTGGGGAGCTTAGCCTAGAAGTAACTGACAGGTGATGGGAATGTAGTAAATGTTTGCTGGATGAGTTAATGGCTGCTAACAAAAGGTAGTATGCTTGCTGCTGTCACTCCTCTTCCCAGACCCTTTCCTCCTTCTTGTAGTCACATCCATCTGGCTCCAATTCCCAGAAGAATCTCTTAGAAATCTTTGGGGATGAGGGGACAGAATGAAGACAGGTAAGCAAAGATGCTAAAACCTGTAAATAAACAATGCTGGGTGGTGGTGGTGGGGGTGCGGTTTCAAGAAGTCAAATTGTGACAAAAGGAAATTTGCTCTCGCCCTCTTGCCTCCATATGTCATGTCACCAGGGCCAGATCACACACACACATCATCATAATAAATAAAACTGAAAATCAATACCGTTAGCAGAACAGGGAGAGCCAGAATGAAGTGACCATCCTCAGACTGGCCCCTGGGCCTACTGGCCCCAAGCTTGTAATTACCTTGTCACACAGAAAACAAATCTATTGTGGGTGGTAAGTGTGAGAGGTGGGGGATCCCAGGCACGGAGCTTGCCGGACGAGGAGCAGGGGAAGGGGCACAGTAGGAAGACTGATTGGCCTTCAGTGATGGTGGTACAGGAGCTTGAGACTAACAAAACTAAGGCCTGGACAGTTTAAGAAAGTTTTGTTGTTTTAGTCAGGAGGGTGAACACCCTAAGGGAGGTGATCCTGCCCAATACTGGTGTGGGGCGTGAAGTTGCCGGGGAAAAGGCTTCAAGCCCACTCCTGGAGCCTCAGAAGGGCAGGTGGCTAGGATGCTGCTGCCCTCTGGTGGGCATAAAGAGACAGTATCCACACCTCCAACGCTGGAAATCCATTGCAAAGGAGTCTCCGTTCTTTGTTGTTCTAAAGGCTTGGCCACCAGGACTAGTGCATTCATAGCTTGGATTTCCCAGGAAGCCAACTCTGAGACTGTTTAATGTGCTGGATGTTTATTAAGAACCTCCTTTGGGATCAACAGCTGTGGAAGAATGAGAATGAGCAGGAGTGGCCAGAGGAAGAGGCTGATCTACAAGACAAGCCAGTGACAGCCTCAGCCAACCCCACAGGGAGCTCTGAAGCTAGAATGGCCCTTCAGAGTTGACCCAAAATAAGCTAAGAAGGCCAGGCCGTTACACACCTGTTGCCATTGAATGTGGGCTATCCTTGACCTTGGGCAAGGTGCTCTCTGAGGCAATTCCCACCCTGGAAGACTGTCTGCATAGTGCTTCCAACAGCTAGGCCAACAAGGCCTTCATGGAAGGGTCCACCCTCCACACCATAACTCATCAAATATTTGTCAAAGGAACAGCAGGTTTAGATCATGCCTCAGGCTGCAGGCTCAGTTGGGACAGTCTACAAGTCTCAGTTACCGGGGCTGTTATGCACTGATCCTTGGAAACGGTGAGGGGGGCCTTAATGCTCAGATTCATGGATTCATTCATTCAACGAGCATTTGTTGAGATTTACTCTGTGCCAGGCCTTGAGGCAGACACTTTACAATTTTTTTTTATTTAATCCTCACAACTGTGAAGCTAGTATTAACTCAGATTATTCAGATGAGATCAAGTTATTAAGTAGCTTTCACAGTCCAATGACACTTTGAAAAAAATGCCACTCACAATGGGACAAGTGCTATTGCTGCCGCCAAAGATTTCTCAGGCCAGAAAGGGTCTTGGCTGTCTTCTGTGTGTGTGCATATGTGTATGAACTGGATGGCTTGCTTTCTGCTTTCAGCCAGAACATTTCCTCTATGGCAGCCAAGAGCTATGCCTCAATAGCCTCCTGCTTTAATTCCTTCCTAAAAATGTTGCTGCTCAAGGTAACAAAACCACAAGCTTTTTTTTTTTTTTTTTTTTTCTTTTGAGGCAGTCTCACTCTGTCACCCAGACTGGAATGCAATGCTGCAGTTTTGGCTCATTGCAGCCACAACCTCCAGGCTCAAGTGATTTCCTACCTCAGCCTCCCAAGTAGTTGGAACCACAGGTGCATGCCACCATGCACAGCTAATTTTTGTATTTTTTGTAGAGATGGGGTTTCGCCATTTTGCCCAGGCTGGTCTCAAACCCCTGAGTTCAAGCAAACCCCCCACCTCAACCTCCCAAAGTGCTGGGATTACAGGCATGTGCCACCATGCCTGGCCCAAAACCACAAGTTTTACAAATTCCTGGTTGTAGCTACAGAGCAAGCCACCATTGCCCAAAAGAAAACTGGGCTAGCTCCTTCCCTGGATAGTCAATGGAGAGACAGCCCTGGATCCTCAGTGTTCTTTTAGCCATTTGATCATCAGAAAGTTGATGATAAGTTCTTCCCTAATGTCTAACCTCCATATTTGCTGCAACTCTTTGGAACAATAACATTGAAGGGACAAGAAGCACAGGTTTCTGTTTCAGAAAACTCTCAGTACCCTGCACCTCTCACTAACCTGCCCACTCTGTGTAAGGGACTGAGGGCTGGAAAGATAGAGAAAACTGTCAGCTGCTGTTCTTCTATAGCCCTGATGGGTTCTAATCCTTGGTCAATTAAGACATCCAGCAACCAACATGAAGATTTTAATTTTCTCATTTAGATTCTAATCATAAAGAACTTGAAGGAAAATGAAGGAGGGAGTATGCTTGGAAGTCATGGAACAATTTCTGGGTCTAACTACAGAGACATTCACTCAACCTCACCCTCCCCTCAAACACACACACACACACACACACACACACACACACACACACACACACACACACACACACACGCCTTTCCTGCTGGGCCCCCAGAACCTAATTTTTCACGTTTGGAAAACCCAGATGATTTTTGCCTAGGTCCATCTGGTTTTCCAAATAACCTGTCTTTTTGATAAATAACGTAAGTTAAATTAGACAAGACAAACAAACAGAAGGGTGGGCAGTCAGCCTTTTTCCTTCCTTCAGCCTCTGAGAAAAAGAGATGAGGGCCAAAAAACCCAAACCACGGCTCACTCCCAACCCTGCCTCAGCACTTTCTACCCCTTGGACTAGGCAATAATTCTCCAGCCTGGAGCTGGGAGCTGCCTCTTCAACCCTACATCTAGCCCACCAGCCATCAAGAATTCCGCGGACTACGGTTCTCTCTAAAATGAAGGGAAGGAACTCAGGTGTCCACCCCAACTCCTTCCAATCACCCTTAGGCTGTAGCTACTTCAAACTCCCTTTTCCCATTATGAATCCCACCACAGGGTAGAACTAAATCAATAAACTGAAAATGAAAAACCTTTAAGGTGAGAGGAGAGAGGACAAAAAGAGGGGATGGGAAGGACGTGGATGGTACAGACCAAGACAATAAAACTACTGGGGACAGAAACCAGGCACCTTGGTCTCAAAAGGTAAAATCTGAGGTGACACCAGCCATACACAAGCCACGTCTATCTCCCCAGTTCACTGGAGTCCAGGCATACACACAGGCCTCCATTTCTACTGCTATAACAAGTCTCAGCACATAGCTAGCCACCAATGGTGGACTATGGAGCTTTGTTGGGGCTTGGCTTCTCCTTCCCACTCAGCTCTACCCATTCCTCAGCAGTGAGTTAGCCTGCATTAGTGCAGCCTCTTAAATATGTACATTCACTTCACATTAATTTGTACCTTTGATCCTAACCATACCCTGTGAGCTAAACCAAGTCATTTCACATGAGCCCCATTTTCCAGTTGAGGAAAAAAGAGACTGACTTACCCAAAGTCATGATGCTTACAAGCTGCAGAAAGAGCAAGGACTAAAGCTCTACACCTCTATTCTGTCCTGCACTAGAAAGCTCCTCTGTATATAATTCAGCTCTATGCTTTTCACCATTAGCTCTTCCAGGCCTCCCATCACTCATTGCTCAAAAAATTCATTGAATTATTTTATGTGCCAGGCATGGTGCTACCCAAAGCATACATTTTTCAACAAAACGGATATGCTCTGTTTTCACAGCACTTACAGTCTAGTAGGGAAAGCAAGCCTCAACGAACATTAAAGTAACACATCATGATGACAGACCCAAAAGAATGGGAAACCTAAGGCTGGGTGTGGTGGCTCATGCCTATAATCCCAGCACTTTGGGAGCCTGAGGTAGCTGGATCACTTGAGGTCAGGAGTTCGAGATCAGCCTGGCCAACATGGTGAAACCCCGTCTCTACTAAAAATACAAAAATTAGCTGGGCACTAAAAACACAAAAATTAGCCAGATGTGGTGGTGCACACCTGTAACCCCAGCTACTTGGGAGGCTGAGGCAGGAGAATTGATTGCCCGGGAGGCCGAGGTTGCAGTGAGCCAAGATCACGTCACTGCACTCCAGCCTGGGTGACAGAGTAAGAATCCATATTAAAAAAAAAAAAAAAAAAAAAAAAGAACAAGAAACTCAAACAGAGGTAACCTAATTAAGAAAGGAGTGGTAATGGTCAGAGAAGGCTTCTCTGAAGAAGTTAGGCTTAAGCTAACACCTTCCCCGTCTCTATCAAAAATACAAAAATTAGCCGGGTGTGGTGGTGCGTGCCTGTAACCCCAGCCCCTTGGGAGGCTGAGGCAGAATTGCTTGAACGGGGGAGACAAAGGTTGCAGTGAGCTGAGATCGTGCTACTGCACTCACTCCAGCCGGGGCGACAGAGCGAGAATCCATCTCAAAAAAAAAGAATAGGAAACTTATACAAAGGTAACCTAATTAAGAAAGGGGTGTTAGGCTGGACTTGGTGGCTCATGCCTGTAATCCCAGCACTGTGGGAGGCCAAGGCGGGCGGATCACGAGGTCAAGAGTTCGAGACCAGCCTGACCAACATAGTGAAACCCCGTCTCTACTGAAAATACAAAAATTAGCTGGGTGTAGTGGCGCATGCCTGTAATCCCAGCTACTTGGGAGGCTGGGGCAGGAGAATCGCCTGAACCCGGGAGGCAGAGGTTGCAGTGAGCCGAGATCGTACCACTGCATTCCAGCCTGGGCGACAGGGCGAGACTCTGTCTCAAAAAAAAAAAAAAGAAAGAAAGAAAAAAGAAAGGGGTGTTAATGGTCAGAGAAGGCTTCTCTGAGGAAATTAGGCTTAAGCTAACACCTTGAGAATTATGCATTAGTCAGACAAAGAAGGAGGATGGATGTAGGGGAGGGCATTCCAGGGAAAGAGGACACTTTAGATGCTCCTGAGGCTGCATGTCATGAGAAAGAAGAGTAGACAGCAGGTTGGGAGGCAGAGCTATGTCATGCATCGGCCATGAGAAGTTTGAACTTTGAGTGCAGCGGAAGACATTAAAAGATTTTAAGTAGTGAAGTGTCATCCTCCAAATTATATTTACATAAAGGTCGCCTCTGGCTGCTGTGCAGATTGGATGAAAAGGAAGCAAAAACAGAAGTGGGGGGGTCAGGAGGCTACGGTAGGACCCTAGAAAGAAATTGTGGAATCTTGGACCAGGGGGCTGGCCATAGAGCTGGAAGAAATGAGCTGATTCCAGATGCAATTTGGAAGTAGAAATAACAGAACTTGGAAATTGTCTGATTACAGGATTAAAGAACAGGTCAAGAATGCTCTCCAGATTTCCAGTCTGAGTGACTGGATATATGGAGGTACCTTTTACTGAAATGGCAAATACAGGAGGAAGAGCAGGTTTTTAGAGAAGATCACATTTTCATTTTAAGTTTGAGATATTTGAGAAACAATGGGCCTTTCAGAAGTGGCCTACAATATATGATATAATTGTGATACTGGTAATTTCTTTCATTCTCAAAGGAGGTGAATTTCTTTTTTCTGGGAGCTACTGGCAATTTCTTATGCTTACAGAGTGGCACTTGACATAATGCACTGACATACATTTTCCAACTGAAGCCCCCCAGCAACTCTGAGACAGCCATGACTTAGTATCCTCATTTTATAAACAGAGGCTCTGAAAGGTGTAGTGTTATTTATTCAAACTGTGGTAGGCACCACTACATTCCAAGCTGTGTGCCAGGCGATGAGTAGGATATAAGGGTAGAAGATACAATACCATCTCAAGGATGACATAATCAAATAGTATCATGGGAACACTCCTCCCAGAAATACTCTCCTCTATCCTTAGGAGCACAAATCCCAGGACAGGATGCCACAAGAGTGATTAGACATAACCCTAGGAGATAAAAACCAAAAACACCCCCTAAAAAGTCTCCCAGCCTGAGCATTAGAAACTCTCAAAGTGAGGAGAAGTTTGTAGAGAAGCAGTTGAGAAAATGAGGGATGCCACAGAGATCTGAGTACCTTGTCTCTAGAGCTTTGGTGAATAAAATCTTATGGTTTATGGAAGAGACCCTAGTATGGCTGTGCAACTGTGAATTAATGAGATGAAATTAGAGACCTGTTTAAAGAGGTTAATACCATGTATCCCTACTCAAGTGTATGGAACAAGGAAGAAACAAAAACACTGACACTGAGCCTACCCTATCTCCCACACTCATGGGCTCTCATCCCTCCAAATATGTAATTTCCAAGCTAGTGAAGCTGAGTCCTCCTCAGAGCCATAGTGGCAGGTCCTGGGGCTTCAATTTCATTAAAACATAACTGATGCTGCTGGCTCAGTGCTTTGGGCAAAGGGCATATGGGTCAGATTGAAACTGTCCATGTCAATCCTGTTACCAAGATCAAGGCTTAGCTTACTTTATAGCAGCCATCCTGGCATAAGGAAAAGTAACCCAGAGTTTGACTCAAGTTTTCTTTCTCCAAAGAGTGCTTTCTCCCAGGAGCCTCAATCAGAAACCATTTTCTTTCTTTCTTTTTTTTTTTGAGAGGGAGTCTCACTCTGTCGCCCATGCTGGAGAGCAGTGGCGTGATCTCGGCTCACTGCAACCTCTGCCTCCCAGGTTCAAGCAATTCTCTTGTCTCAGCCTCCCAAGTAGCTGGGACTACAGGCACCTGCCACCACCAAGCCTGGCTGATTTTTGTATTTTTAGTAGAGACGGGGTTTCACCTTGTTGGTCAGTCTGGTCTCCAACTCCTGACCTTAGGTGATCCAGCTGCCTCAGCCTCCCAAAGTGCTGAGATTACAGGCATAAGCCACCACGCCCAGCCCAGAAACCATTTTCTCCCTGGATTTCTCAGGCACTAATTTTCTTTTTTTTTTCTTTTTTTTTTTTTTTTTAGAGTTGGGATTTCACCATGTTTCCCAGGCTGGTCTCGAACTCCTGAGTTCAAGCAATGCACCCACCTCAGTCTCCTAAAGTGCTGGCGTGAGCCACCGGACCTGGCTGAATTTTCTTATCCTCAGTTGTCAATTCCAATTGTCTTTTCTATCTCTCCTCAAAAGACATGTAGGGAAACAAGAGGGAAGAAATATCTAGCCTTCCTGCTCAGTTCTCTTTTGCCCAGCAAGGGCTACTTTGCCTTGGGAACTGTTTAGAGAGTTCAAAGAAAGAGGCAAAAACATGTATCTTGAACCCATGGATAAAATGAAGTACATACAAACTTAGCTAAAGAGAAAGGCCAATCAAAGCTGTAACAGGCTGGGCATGGTGGCTGAGCCTGTGACCCCAGCATTTTGGGAGGCCAAGGTGGGAGGATTACTTGAGGCCAGGAGTTCAAGATCAGCTGGGGCAACACAGCAAGACCCTGTCTCTACTAAAATAAAATAATTAGCTGGGCATGGTGGCATATGCCTGTAATGTGGCCCAGCTATTCCAAAGGTTGAGGAAGGAGGATGCTGAAGCCCAGGAGTTCAAGGGTACAGTGAGCTATGATTGTGCCACTGCACTCTAACCTGGGCAACAGAATGAGACTGTCTCTAAAAAATAAGTTTTTTAAACAAAGAGCTATAATAGAAGGTACCATTTATGTAAACTCAATTATCCTCTTCACCTGAGCTGAACCCAAACCACTTGGTAAGTTAACTTGATCAATTCACTAGGACTGAGAAGCCAGTGAGGGGACAATTGCAGCAGCTTCTCAGTTTAGACCCAGAGGGTTTCCCTGGGATGGAGATAACCTGAAAATGAAATGCTCCTCAAGGTTAGACAGGCACTGACCCAAGAATGAGCATTCAAGCTGGACAGCAAATCTTCCCTTCAAGGCATTAAGATTTATTGAAAAACTACATACATATTAAAACATCTTTATACACATTTTCCCCATTATAAGATTACAAGTATACAAACATAAGTATTGTCAAAGTCAACATCTTGAGTATTAGAAAACTGTAGAAAACCGGCCGGGTGCGGTGGCTCATGCCTATAATCCCAGCACTTTGGGAGGCCGAGACGGGTGGATCACCTCAGGTCAGGAGTTCAAGACCAGCCTGGCCAACATGGCGAAACCTCATCTCTAATAAAAATACAAAAAATTAGCTGGGAGTGGTGGCAGGTGCCTGTAATCCCTGCTATTTGGGAGGCCGAGGCAGAATTGCTTGAACCTAGGAGGCGGAGGTTGCAGTAAGCCGAGATCATGCCATTGTATTCCAGCCTAGGTGACAGAGCCAGCCTATGTCTCAAAAAAAAAAAAAGAAAAGAAAAGAAAAGAAAAAGAAAAAGAAAAGAAAAGAAAAACTGTAAAAAACCTACAACCTAATTGCATCAATTAAATTGGTGTTCCCATCTCCCAGTAAAAAACTGGCACACTCTCTTCCAACTGCCCAAGTACAGGTCCTGACACTGAAACCACAGTATTCACATGGAATGTTTTTCCAAAGCAGCACTGATGCTCAGTTCTGAGGGGAAAAACATTTGTCTAAAATTCTGAGAAGCTTGTGGTAGTTCAGGGAAAATGGAGAATGATGGCAATTCTCTTCAATAATATTTTTATTAAATTCCATGGTGGCCTTCTCTCAAAATTAGTAATGAAATGCTGAAATGTCCATTGATTAGTGAGGGCAATGTATGTAAGCCAGAAGAATGCAATAAATAAGGGTTATGTTTCTTCTTGTCAGACCCAGAAGGGAGATCTTTGAACAACAGTGCTTCAAATTGAGAATTCAGTCCCAGGAAGGGTCTCTCTGCCCCACAGACTGTGGTGGACAAACACTGGGTGTAACACTTTATCTTCATCCCCAAGCCCCAGAAAATTAGAGGCAGAGTCTTTCTGACTTGGGTACCAGTTTAAGTCCTTATTAAGCAGCAAAAATTAATTCAAAATTTGATGCTGCCTTGGGAAGAAGCATACAGGAAAATGAAAGGGGTAAGAGTAATACAGCAGCCCATCTGTTGGTTCCTAGGTCCTCCATCTAAGAAATCGTTCTTTTGGCTGGGCACAGTGGCTCACGCCTGTAATCTCAGCACTTTGGGAGGCTGAGGCAGCTGGATCACTTGAGGTCAGGAGATCGAGACCAGCCTGGCCAACATGGTGACTCCCTGTCTCCACTAAAAATACAAAAATTAGCCAGGTGTGGTGGCATGCACCTGTAGTCCCAGCTACTTGGGAGGCTGAGACAGGAGAATCACTTGAACCCGGGAGGCAGAGGTTGCCGTGAGCCGAGATTGCGCCACTGCACTCCAGACTGGGCAACAAAGTGAGACTATCTCAAAAAAAAAAAAAGAAATCTTTCTTTCACCGAGCCCTGGTCATCATGGTACGTATCTCATGGGTGTAAAGGAGTCATTATGGTACTGATTTTCACTGTTTAATCTGTAATGTCACACTTTTCCCTACTCTTCCTCTTCCAACCACTTCTATCAATCACAAAGAGATATTAACCCAGAAAGCTGCTACAATAAAATGTCAAATGTCTAATGGAGGAAGTGAAACCTAACCCAAGGCCAGGTGCAGTGACTCATGCATGTGACCAGCACTTTGTGGGGCCGAGGTGGATGGATCATTTGAGGTCAGGAGTTCAAGACCAGCCTGGCCAACATGGTGAAACCCCGTCTCTACTAAAAATACAAAAATTAGCTGGGCGTATTGGCACATGCCTGTAATCCCAGCTACTCGGGAGGCTGAAGGAGGAGAATCGCTTGAACCTGGGAGGCAGAGATTGTGGTGAGCCGAGATCACGCCACTGCACTCCAAGCTGGGCAACAGAGTGAGACTCCCATCTTAAAAAAAAAAAAAAAAAGGAAACCTCACCCAAGTATTCCATGAGTTGTTGATGTTGTAAATACTGCAGAATTGAAATCAGTGGCCAATTCAGGGAATAATACTAGGAAAAGAGATGTCCAGAGCTGTGCAGTAGAAATCACTGGAATTTCTGTCTGCAATCTTATTGCATTGATTATGAAAGAAGGAAGGATCATTGGCTGGAGTGTCAATTCCAACTTTCAGTGCTAGAAACTTCTCAAAGCAGTCTCAATGTAGATTTTGGCACCTTTGATGGTGTTAGCTCTCCAAATATTTGAAGATGCTTCGCGTCAATCCTGAAGTGCTATCATCTGTTTTGAGGTGCTTAGGTGAAGGAGAAGTCATGAAAGATGGACCCCTTTTCTTTACCTAGAGAGCAGAGAGGGAGTCAGGGCCAGCTAAAGACCTTCATACAAGTATTTACCTTCAATTAGCTCTCAAGCAACTCATAAATTGTGGATGATTAACAACAGAAAAAAAGAAAGAAAGATAAACTTTCTCGGCAAGTTTAAAAGTTGATTACCGACTGGGGTAGCAATTCTCTTGTACCTTATCGGGGAGTGCAAGATTTCAACATTGCAGCATAGAGGTTAAGCCAGAATTTTTGTTTTTAAATTTAAATAAATGAATAAATTCTGGTTTGGGAAGCCACCATATTAGTTCTCAAATTCCATACCTGAGACTTAGACGATTCCTTTGCCGCCTCAGCCTTGACAGGAGAAAGTGTATGAAAGACAAAGTTTCTTGAATTTCGAGGAGCACTGGGGTTATGGTCAGAGAGAGCAGCCAGTTTCTGAAGCACAGCTTTGGGCTGGTTTAGCAGTGAGCCTGTCTTCACCTGAGGAAAGAAGAGTCATCTGGTATCAAATCCCAAGTGCCAACTAAAGAATGAAAAGTCCTTCCCTCCCTGCTTCCCCCTAGATATTGAGGGTACATATGCCTACCCTATTCAAATAGAAAAGAAATAGCAGACTCCTTTGACATTAACTTTTTCCCTGCAGCCACCTCCTTCCTCTAATGACAGAGACTATTCTCTAAGCTGGACCTGGGCCTTTATAACCTGTAGACTATGATGTCAGATTAACAAGGTTCCCAACCAACCTGTTGAGCACTTCCTGGTCTGATGGCTTCAAAAGGATTTCTGAGCAAAGACTTTGATTCCTGAATAACCATAGGGCGACTGGCTGGAAAGAAAAGACAGAGAGGCCTATTCTGGGAAAAGCTGATTAGAATTACTTTTAAATCTAAACAAGCTAAGAAATCTTGTAACTAAATCAATATGCTAAAGCCATGGGAACTCTGTTCTATATAATGGTGACTTTCAAACTATAATAATTGGCTCCAAGAAGAGACACAACTAAGTTGAACAGTAATCATTTAAGAAAAACAGAAGTGGTCAGTGTAGGGAATAGTGAAGAGCTTCATTTCTGGAGTTAAATATTCCTGGATTCAAATCCTACCTCTAACACTTAGGTATACAATCCTGGGCAACTAGAGAAAGCCAGAATTAACTACTCTGAGCCTTAGAACATAAAGTAAAACCAGCCACATATACTCATGAATACAGTCTCTACTGCCCAATAGTCTAAGATCTAAGTACACTGTCTCCCACCACCTCTGTGAAGCCTCTTTAAGACAGTATTAGACACAAGCTTATGATTAAGCTGCAACAGCTCCTGAAGGTTAGAGTCACCTCCAAAGCTCTACCACTAACAATCCAGGGGGCTAGACCCTAAGGAGAAACAAGAGCTCACCATTCTTCTGCAGTGCTTTGGCTGTAACTTTCTTGGCCAGTATCATAAACTGACTGTCCTCCCCAATTTCTTCTTCTTCTTCAGCTGTAATTTTCCCCTGCTGTGCCTGAAAAAAAAAAAAAATATATATATATATATATATATATATACAGCATTAAAAGTCTATAACCTTCCTAAATAGTTAGCATGGCCTGGATTGTGAAACTAGAGTTCCTGGGGTATTTGTTTTCCTTTTTGCAGCCTTTGCTGCTTTAGACAAAAAAAAATTAATCTTAGACAAACATGAAGAGAACTGTCTATGGTATAGCCTTCTCAAAACACAAAAGATAGCTCAAGGATTAAAAGAGATAGCAATATGTTGCCTAAGATTTTGAAACTATCATGACAAGCTAAGATTTTGAAACTATCATGACAAGCTAAGGGACAGTCTCATAAACTAGGGTCAGAGTAGGTGAACTCCTACCATGTCCCGAAGCCACTGCTCTCGTTCAATTCGCTCCTTCCTCCACCTGGCTTCTGACTCATCAAGCTGTTCTTCAGTCTGATCATCATCAGAGTCTCTGTGGAACAAGTCCATCTGGGAAGCATCATCTAAACAAAGAGTGAAGGTAATCAGCATTCGGCAGTCCTCACAGGAGAGGGTGCTTGGACAGACAAAAAATAAACCCTTATCATTTACTATATAATGATGTAAACTTTTCCCATCCATTAACAGAAAACAGTTACAACTAGGTCTTCACATAGCCTGTTATAGTTTTGCTTGCCATTTGCCATCTGAAACTCGACAAATATGCATTGTAACTGTTTGCTTTTTTTTTTTTTTTTTTGAGATGGAGTCTCGCTCTGTCGCCCAGGCTGGAGTGCAATGGCATGATCTCTGCTCACTGCAACCTCCGTCTCCCGGGTTCACGCAATTCTCCTGCCTCAGCCTCCTGAGTAGCTGGGATTACAGGCGCGTGCCATCACAGCCTGCTAATTTTTGAACTTTTAGTAGGGACGGGGTTTCACCATGTTGTTCAGGCTGGTCCTGAACTCCTGACCTTGTGATCCACCTGCCTCTGCCTCCCAAAGTGTTGGGATTACAGGCGTGAGCCACCATGCTCAGCCCGTAACTGATTGCTTTTAAAGACAACAACCAAGATACCTATGTTTTTCCATCGAAACTTCCTCATTCGCCCAGGACCATCGCTGTGCAGATCCCCATCAGCAAGGTACCTCTCTTGGTATAAACGTAGCTGTCGCTTATCATCATCCAACATAGTTTTCCTGCAACAGGAGAAATAAGGTGTTCAAAACAAGGACCATTCTGGCTGGTTACAGGGCTTGTCTTAAGATGTACCCTATTACTCAGAAGGGCTTATTGGGATACTGACATGTGTATTTTCTTGATTTGACTCTGCAGTTCCTCATCAGAAGGAAGTACTTCATCAATTACGTCCTCTTCATATTCATCAATTTCTTCCCCATCATACTCATCTTCGCTTCCCACATCACTTCCTGACACCTCTGCCTCATCCTCCAGGTATTTCCTCAACCTCCTAGAAAGCAATTTTGAGGATTAGAAAATGCAACAATGAATATACTCACAGAATATGGAAGCAAAGAAAAGCAGAACAGAGTCACTTCTAATAATAATAAACATAATACATTTGATAATATTTAAATTTTTTTGTAATAGTCTCCACTTATGATGGTTTGACTTAATGATTTTTCAACTTTACGATGACATGAATGTGATACGCACTTAGTATGCTTCTCGATTTACGATGGAGTTATATCTGGATAATATGAAAGTGCATTTTCAACTTATGATGGATTGATCAGGATATAGTCCCATTGTAAGATGTGGAGCATCTGTATTTAAAAGTTGATCACTTAATATGTCTTGTGTGCTAATAACTGTGCTTTACAGGCATTAACATATTATCATAGGAATGGGTACTATTATTCTCTTCATTTTACAGTTGAGGGAATTGAGCCTCAGAAAGATTACATTTACCCAAGGTCACATAGCTAGAAGGTAGCAGAGCCTGGATTCAACTTAGATTGGGTGATTTGAAAGCCAGAAAACTCTTAATCTCTTTTACATGTATTAGAATACCTGCTGGAAGGTTCAAACTATTTCATTTTGCATTTGAGCACACCAGCTTTAAGAGACAAACTAGAGATGGTGTGGTGTAGAAAGGTAATAAACTGGGATCTTCTTACAGCCTAACAAATCTTGACCCCCACATCAGAAGGAAGACTAAGGCTCAGAGCTCCTGGTAATCAAAACGACTAGTTACTTCTTATGACTTCAGCTCCCCCGGAGAATAAATCTGGTGTCACCCTGGATTCAAAGTCACCTTGGTCCCATGTGGTCCAAAATGGCAGAAGTTTGGTGGCTTTCTGAAAACTGATTTTTATCGAAGACCTATACTGTATTTTCTCTTTTTTTTTTTTTTTGAGATGAAGTGTCGCTCTGTCGCCTAGGCTGGAGTGCAGAGATGCCATCTCGGCTCACTGCAACCTCCACCTCCTGGGTTCAAGTGATTCTCATGCCTCAACCTCCCGAGTAGCTGGGATTACAGGTGCGTGCCACCATGCCTGGCTAATTTTTGTTTTTTTAGTAGAGATAGGGTTTCACCATGTTGGCCAGGGTGGTCTTGAACTCCTGACCTCAGGGGATCTGTCCATCTCAGCCTCCCAAAGTGCTGGGATTACAGGCATGAGCCACCACGCCCAGCCTATACTGTATTTTCTTAAAGCTAAGTTGTTCTAAATCCTAGAGTTCCTGGAAAATTCCTTCAGAGGCCACTAGTCACTAAGTTTCCCAAACTTCCCACTTACCATCTTTGAACAGTTCAACTTTTATCTGTCATTCTTTAAAAGATTTTATTTGAACAAAGAGCTCTGCAGAGAAGAACCACTACCTTAGAAAAATCTATGGATAACCTAAAGCTGTATGAGAGTTAATTTGATAGGTGATAAATTAGAACCCAAAGTGAATCTTAATAGAATGAAATGATGGGATAAAAGCAACCATATAAATCTAATAGGGATCAATATGATGTCCTATATGTGAATTCCAAATCATTCACATACAATATAATATTAAATACCTATTAGAATTATCTTTATAAAACTTTTTTTAACATCATAGGAAAATGTTTCTGGATATGCTAAGTAGAAAAAAAAAGATGCAAAATTATACATATAGAAAGATTGTACAAATCTCAACTATATAAAAATATATGCATAAAAAAGATTAAGGGGAACAAACTAACTTTCATTTATATCCTGGATGGTGGACATGGATAAGTTTTTATTTATATCTTTCTGTATTCTTTTTTTGCGGGGGTCGGGGAGAATGGAGTTTCTCTCGTCGCCCAGGCTGGAATGCAATGGCACAATCTCAGCTCACTGCACCCTCCACCTCCCGGTTCAAGCGATTCTCCAGCTTTGCCTCCTGAGTAGCTGGGATTACAGGCACTGGCCATCACGCTTGGCTAATTTTGTATTTTTAGTAGAGACGGGGTCTCGCCATGTTGGCCAGGCTGGTCTCGAACTCCTGACCTCAGGTGATCCACCCGCCTCAGCTTCCCAAAGTGCTGAGATTATAGGCGTGGGCCACTGCACCCAGTTTGTATTCTTTTAAATATCCTAAAATAAATATTTTACTTTCATGACCAGAACAGCATATCAAAAAAATGAGTTGGGCCGGCCAGGTGGGGTGGCTCACGCCTGTAATCCCAGCATGTTGGAAGGCCAAGGCGGGTGGATCGTGAGGTCAAGAGATCGAGACCATCCTGACCAACATGGTGAAACCCCGTCTCTACTAAATATACAAAAATTAGCTGGGTGTGGTGGCACGTGCCTATATTCCCAGCTACTCAGGAGGCTGAAGCAGGAGAATCGCTTTGAACCCGGGAGGCGGAGGTTGCAGTGAGCCGAGATCATGCCACTGCCCTCCAGCCTGGGCGACAGAGCGAGACTCCGTCTCAAAAAAAAAAAAAAAAAAAAAAAAAAAAGCTGGGCCTGGTGGCTCATGCCTGTAATCCCAGACTTTGGGAAGCAGAGGCAGGAGGATCACTTGAGGCCAACAGTTTAAGACCAGCCTGGGAACAAAGCAAGGCCCCATCTCTACAAAAAATAGAAAGAATTAGCCAGGTGTGGTGGCACATGCCTGTTGTCCCAGCTACTTGGGAAGCTGAGGCAGGAGGATTTAAGTTAAAAAGTGGCAAACTATTAACTGACTGTTAGGGGAGATTTCACCTAATCTAAGTTGAATCCAGCCTCTGCTGCCTTCTAGCTATGTGATCTTGGGTAAATTTAATCTTTCTGAGGCTCAGTTCCTTCAACTGTAAAATGAGGAGAATAATAGTACCCACTCATAAGATAATTTTTTTGAGATGGAGTCTTGCTCTATCACCCAGGCTGGAGTGCAGTGGGGCAATCTTGGCTCACTGCAACCTCCGCCTCCCATATTCAAGCAATTCTCCTGCCTCAGCCTCCCAAGTAGCTGGCACTACAGGCGCCCAGAACCATGCCTGGCTAATTTTTGTATTTTATTTTGTATTTTGTATTTTTAGTAGAGAGGGTTTCACCATGTTGGTCACGCTGGTCTCAAACTCCTGACCTCAAGTAATATGCCTGCCTTGGCCTCCCAAAGTGCTGGGATTACAGGCGTGAGCCACTGTGCCTGGCATAAGATAATATGTTAATGCCTGTAAAGCACAGTTATTAGCACACAGGACATATTAAGTGATCAACTTTTTTTTTTTTTTTTTTTTTGAGACAGAGTCTCGCTCTGTCACCCAGGCTGAAATGCAGTGGTGCGATCTCGGCTCACTGCAACCTCCACCTCCTGGGTGCAAGCGATTCTCCCTGCCTCAGCTTCCTGAGTAGCTGGGACTACAGGCACCTGTCATCACATCTGGCTAATTTTTATATTTTTTAGTAGAGACAGGGTTTCACCATGTTTGTCAGGATGGTCTCGATCTCTTGACCTGTGTCACCAAGACCAGGCTGGTCTTGAACTCCTGACCTCAGGTGATCCGCCTGCTTCAGCCTCCCAAAATGATGGGATTACAGGCGCAAGCCACCATGCCTGGCCTAGTGACCAAATTTTAAATACACCTGAAGGAATGGACATATTAATAACACGTACATTTGCCTTTTCAACTTCTCAGATCGCTTCAGGAGTTCTTCTTCATCATCATCTTCATGGTCTTCCAGTGCCAGATCATTACCAGAGTCACTGTGTTCATCCTACAAAATCAGCATCATATCCAAATTAAGCAGAATAAAATGCGTCCTCAATGAAAAAAGGATTTATAAACATCTGCCCAAATACCTCATTCTAGGAAATTGTTTCTGATAAGATGCCAAACTTAGAATTCTCAAGAACTGAGGGGAAAAAAACACTTGAGGGCAGCAATACATGGAGCTCAGTTATGATTACTTTGTTCCCTTCATACTCACCTCATCACTATCAAACTCATTATCATTTGAAACAAGCCGAAAGTCTCCAAATTCCTCCTCCTCGTCTTCCTCTTCCCTAAAATGTAAATCAATGAATCAATAAATAAGTTGTTGAAAGCAAACTACAAGTAGTCAGCCAAGTTATGAATTAAAAAAAATTTTGTGTGTGTTAATTTTTTTTTTTTCTCTGAGACAGTCTTGGTCTCTTACACCACCTGGAATACAGTGGCACCATCTCAGCTCACTGTAACCTCCACCTCCAGGGCTCAAGTGATCCTCCCACATCAGCCTCCTGAGTAGCTGGGACTAGAGATACAAGCCACCATGTTCAGCTAATTTTTGTATTTTTGTAGAGACAGATTTCACCATGTTGCCCAGGTTCATCTTGAATTTCTGGATTCAAGCAATCTGCTTGCCTTGGGCTCCCAAAGTACTGGGATTATAGGTATGAGCCACCTCGCCCAGCCAAATTTAAAACTTTTATTATCACCAATAATCTCTTCAATAAACAGGAAGAAAATTTTTTAAATTTTCAATTGTGGTAAAATACACATAATATAAAATTTGCCTTTTTAACGATCTTTCTATAGTTCTGTAGTGTTAAGTACATTCATATTGTTAAGCAATCTCCAGAACTCTTTTCAGCTTGCAAAACTAAAACTCTATACCCATTACACTCTCCATTTCCTTATAACCTCAGTCTCTGGCAACCACCATTCTACCTTCTGTCTCTATGCATTTGACTACTCTAAGTATCTCATGTAAGTGGACTCATACAGTATTTGTCTTTTGGTGACTGGCTTATTTCTTTTAGCATAACATTCTAAGGTTCATCCATGTTGTAGCAAGTGTCAGAACTTCTTTTTTTTTGAGACAGGGTCTTGCTCTGATGCCCAGAGTGCAGTGGCACAATCATGGCTCAATGCAGCATTGACCTCCCAGGCTCAAGCAATTCTCCCACCTCAGCCCCCTGAATAGCTGGTACTGCCGGCACACGCCTAGCTAATTTTAGTATTTTTTTTATAGGGATGGGGTTTTGCCATATTATCCAGGCTGGTCTCAAACTCCTGAGCTCAAGTGATGCGCCCACCTCAGCCACCCAAAGTGTTGGGATTACACGTGTGAGCCACCATGCCCAGCCAGAATTTCCATTTTAAGTTGAATATTCCTTTGCATATATACCGCATTTTGTTTACCCATTCATTTGCCAATAAACATAGGTCGCTTTCATGTTTTGACTACTTACTGTGAATAATGCTGCTTTGAACATGGGGGTGCAAATATCTGTTCAAGTCCTGCTTTCACTTTTTTGGGGTACAGACTAAGAAGTGAAATTGCTGGATCATATGGTCATTCTATTTTTATTTATTTATTTTGAGACGGAGTTTTGTTCTTGTTGCCCAGGTTGGAGTGCAATGGCATGATCTCGGCTCACTACAACCTCTGCCTCCCGGGTTCAAGCAATTCTCCTGCCTCAGCCTCCCAAGTAGCTGGGATTACAGGCATGCGCCACCATGCCCAGCTAATTTTTTGTATTTAGTAGAGACGGGGTTTCACCATGTTGGTCAGGCTGGTCTCGAACTCCTGACCTCAGATGATCCACCGTGCCTGGCCTCTATTTTTAATTTTTGAGGAGCCATCATACTTTCCCTGGCAGCTGCACTATTTTACATTCTCACCAATAGTACACAAGGTTTCCAATTTCTCCACATTCTCACTAACACTCTTGGGGTTTTTCTGATAAAAGTCATCTTAATGGGTGTCTCACTATGGTTTTGATTGGCATTTCTCTATTAATGATATTAAATAGCTTTCATATTCTTGCCTTTTTTACCCTGTTCTCCACCAAAGCATTATAATTTGCTTACTAGGCATATATGAGACTCAAATCCACTGCAAGATTCTCAGAAAAGGTGCAAAGCCCTTAAGATGATCAGTTATTTTGATTTTATCAAAAGGCCAGGCCTTCCCAAATTCCCAGCAATCTGAGACTTACTTGTCTGTGGGAAAAGAGCCTGAGCAAAGAGCAAGTGCTTCTTCCATTGGATCACCCATGCTGCTCTCCTTCTCCTGTTTATTTAACTCTGATGAGGCTGGAGTGGAGGCATCTACATCACAACAAGGAAAAGATGTGTCACCAAGGAATGATAGCTTTATACTCTTTTCCCAGCCATCTAAAGTCATGCCAGCTCGATACAGTTCTAAGGTAAGCTTGCCAAGAAGAGCCTACCATCTATTCATTCAACAAATCCTTATTTAGTGCTTACTATGTGCCATATGTGCCAGGCCACCAGGGATACAGTAATGAACAAACCACTATCCCAGGTCTCATAGAGCTTATGTTCGATCTAGCAGTTGTGTGTATTGGGGGCAGGGAACAGGAAGTAAGTTAACATTTATATGAAATTTATTATACATCAGACACTGTTCTAAACTTTGTACATACATTAATCATAAATGATATATGGGCAAAGCTAAAGCAGTCTTTTTTTTTTTCAAGACTTTTTTTTTGAGACAGTCTCTCTCTGTTGCCCAGGCTGGAGTGCAGTGGCACAATCTCGGCTCACTGCAACCTCCACCTCCGGGGTTCAAGCAGTTCTCCTGTCTCAGCCTCCCAAGTAGCTGCGATTACAGGCACGGGCCACCATGCCCAGATAATTTTTTGTATTTTAGTAGAGACGGGGTTTCACCGTGCTGCCCAGGCTGGTGGCGAACTCCTGAGCTCAGGAAATCCCCCGCCTTGGCCTCCCAAAGTGCTGGGATTACAGGCGTGAGCCACTGCGCCCGGCCTAAAGTAGTCTTAAGTTGATACTTTACCACTCTAAGAAAGTAAGAGTTCTAAATATCAGGGCACTAAGCAGTGAATTCAGTTTATACACAGATTCCATCACAGCCCTGTTTTCTGTGAACTTTTCACCTGAGGGTAAGGGGCTTCTTTTCTTTCTTTCTTTTTTTCTATTTTTATGCAGGGTCTCTGCCACCCAGGCTGGAGTGCACTGGTGTGATCTCAGCTCACTGCAACCTTCATCTCCCAGGCTCAAGAGATCCTCCCACCTCAGCCTCCCAAGTAGCTAGGACCACAGGCACGTGCCACCATGCCTGGCTAATTTTTTTTTTTTTTTTCGTAGAGATGGGGATTTGCCATGTTGCCCAGGCTGGTCTCAAACTTCTGAGCTCAAGCGATCCATCCAACTTAGCCTCCCAAAGTTCTAGGATTACAGGCATGAGCCACCCCACCCGCCCAGGGAATTCTTTTCAAGGGCACTGATACTTGGGTGTGGTAAGCTTGATACTCTCGGTTGGATATTTACCCTGAGAAGTGAATTTTCCTGAACAAAGGTTCAGAAGTTCCTCCATGTTCTCTTTCTTGTCACTCTTCCTGGGTAGATGTTTTTCAGCCTGAGATGTGAACTTTCCAGTACACAAATCCAACAGCTCATCCATGTTGGCATCCATGGCATTCTCATCCATACTGGCCAATGGCAATCGAGGCTTCAAAGCTTGGTACTGATTCCTGTGGTTTCTAACATTTAAGAACCTAAGAACCAATGAGCACAACGAATAGTGTAAAAAATTCCTCAGAGAGGGCCGGGTGCGGTAGCTCACGCCTGTAATCCCAGCACTTCGGGAGGCCGAGGCGGGCGGATCACGAGGTCAGGAGATCAAGACCATCCTGGCTAACATGGTGAAACCCCGTCTCTACTAAAAATACAAAAAATTAGCCGGGCGTGGTGGTGGGCGCCTGTAGTCCCAGCTATTCGGGAGGCTGAGGCAGGAGAAGGGCGTGAACCCAGGAGGTGGAGCTTGCAGTGAGCCGAGATCGCGCCACTGCACTCCAGCCTGGGCGACAGAGCAAGACTCTGCCTCAAAAAAAAAAATAAAAAAAAATTCCTCAGAGAAATGGCAAAGTAGGGGGTGAAAAACCTCTGAATTCATTTCCTACACCAGTTAAAAGCTGAATCTCAAACCAGAAAGCAAAAGATTCAAACTTTAGGCTTGTGTTAATCTAAAGAGGGAGGGAAAAGTTTTGTGAAAGAATAAAATGTTACTCAGAAGGTAAAGTGTAAAGGATAACTTTTAGCTTCAGATGATGCTAGAGCAGGGCTTGGCATTATGTCCTGTAATGTGCCACCAGTCTGTGAATTCTCAACCTTACCCAACAATAATAACATAGCAGGATGGATACAGGGAAATTTGATGACCTTACAATACAAGATCTATGCATTTCAAATAAGACAGAAATTGAAGGACCAGAATGTTAGCAAGAGCTATTTATGTTTATTTTCTGGACAGACTTTGTTCAAACTTATAGAATGTAATACTAATGGTCTGTACACCTTCTCTTTCTCAGAAGAGAAAGCACAGATGGAGTGACAGAAGCTCACTTATTTTTAAACAAAATTAAGCAGTACCCAGCACCATTCCCGCCCACAGAAACACAAAACTACCTACCCATCTGCATCCAACAGTTGGCTCTGAGTGTCATCTTCTAAACAGAACTGGAAGTCTCCTGCTCCTAGGAAAAGTGTCTTAGGCTCTGGGGAGGCGTTATACAGATCCTGGGAATCCTCTATGGGAAGTGAAGGCTCAGACAGTTTCCCTGAACTCTGGCACACAAACAAAAACAAACAATAACAAAACATTTTACAAATGTCAGTCATTGTCATGACAACCACAAAAGTTGCTATTTGCAATATTTAAGCTACTCTCAGGAAATTGTAGTTGAGGGGGACAATACACAGCCATGAGAAGCATAAAGAAAAATACCTCCAAGAAAGTAAGAATACTGGATGAAGCTTGTTTTTAATACACAAAGGGGGTGGATTTTTTAAACTGAACACACATAAGCTCAGTACCAACGTGGTGGGAGTTGGTTGGCTGGGACAAACTTTATTTAGCAATGTGGGAAGCAAAGAGAGGAGGAGATTAGAAAAACCATTACCATCTTACCTTAGAAGCTGAGCTGACCAAACTGGCTCGAAATAGCCCAGGGGAAGGAGATCTGAATCCTCCTGCTGTAGGGAAAAAACTGGTCCCACGGCCTGTTTGTCTGTTGCAAGGCTGATAGGATGGAATCGTGGAGCCAATCAGCTCAAAGCTGCTATTGTGGCTGCTCTCCTTTGTTAGCAATGAACATGAATCATCCTCATCTAAAGAAAGAGAAACACCTTTTAAGCACATGATTACAGAAATAAGGTGGATTTGTTTAGGAAAAAGAGTTGAGGATGAAACTGTCAGATAAAATTCATAGGCAAACCCCTCAAGTTATATGTTCCAAAACATTAAGTTAAAGGTAAATTACAGTACTAAGATAGCATTATATAATCAGGGCTTATTACTCTGAGCTAAGTGACACTTGAAAGTTCTTTTTTTTTTTTTTTTTTTTTTTTTGAGACAGTCTCGCTCTGTCACCCCAGCTGGAGTGTAGTGGCGTGAATTCGGCTCACTGCAACCTCCGCCTCCCAGGTTCAAGCGATTCTCCTGCCTCACCCTCCCAAGTAGCTGGGACTACAGGCGCGTGCCACCACACCTGGCTAATTTTTTATATTTTTAGTAGAGACAGGGTTTCACCATGTTAGCCAGGCTGGTCTCGATCTCCTGACCTCATGATCCGCCTGCCTCAGCCTCCCAAAGTGCTGGGATTACAGGCGTGAGTCACTGCGCCTGGCCGAAAGTTCTCTTCTTTCTCTTATCCTTCCTAATGCCTATGATCACACTCTTCATTGTCCAATCAATTATACGTCTTCCTTTGATCTACATACAGAAACATTTCATTGCTCACTCAATCAACACACATTCACTAAGGACATTATGTACCATGGTCTACTATAAATAAACTGCAAAAAATAGACCAAGAAAAATATTCTAATTCATAAACCCTTTTCATAGCTACATATGAAACTGGGAAGTGACCAGATTTAAAAACATGGAAACTTACCGTACTGCAGTCCTTAAATATCAAAGCTGAGGGACAAAAGAAATGTTAAGTTCTGCACAAGAATCACTACTTACCCAGTTTGCTAGGCTGCTTGCCTGAGTTTTCATCTGTTTCTGATTTTTCTTCAGTAGGAAAGTAACTGCAAAATAAGAAAGTAAATTGGTTCAGTATCTGTTCCTAGTTTTTACAGGAGGGGCAAATCCAAGGCAATTTTAAGTTTTCTTAGAGAGAATCACTTACCCCATCTTGGAAGAGCTGTCCTTAAACAGAAGTAAAGTAGAATCTGATGAGAGAGACTTGGGAACAGAGAGGAAGCCAACTGCCTTGCCAATTTCACTACTGCCATCATTATTTTCTTTATCCATTTCTTTTTCATCTTTTGTTTCTATTTCTTCACTACTAAGAAGGAATTCTGCAGTCTTTACCAATCAGGCCACCACAAAACAAAAAATACAAGTCAAAACATTTAAAAGCAAATACACTGGTAGCCTGAAATATGGCTGATTGGTTACAGATCACATCTTAAATTCAAAAAGGTAAACTTGAAGGAAGTTCCATATGACCATTATCAACATAATTTTCCCTGACACTTCTAGAACTTTTTTCTATTTTTTTTTTTTACCTTCTACCCTCCCGAAATTGCTAAGATTATAAAGGACGACTGGATTATCATTTTATTGAGGCAGTAAGAGGTTAATTAATCAGTCTAAGATTGCAGGCTGACTACTGATCTCAAACCAAGCACAGACTGAGACAGGCTGTATAGCTCAGCCATTGCTTTCTTTCTCCTTTACCCAAAATTAAATAATAACTCAAGTTGCTGGGCATGGTGGCTCATGCCTGTAATCCCAGCACTTTGGGAGGCCACAACGATGGGAGGATCACTTGAGGCCAGGAGTTCGAGACCAGTCTGGTCAACATAGTGAGACCCTCATCTCAAAAAAATTTAAATAAATAAATAAAATAAAATAAAATAAAGTGATCCCAGCATACAAAAAGGAAAGTTTTTTTTTTTTTTTCTTTTTTTGAGATGCAGTCTTGCTCTGTCGCTCAGGCTAGAGTATAGTGGCACAATCTTGGCTCACTGCAACCTTCACTGCCCAAGTTCAAGCAATTCTCCTGCCTGAGTAGCTGGGATTACAGGTGTGTGCCACCACACACAGCTAATTTTTGTATTTTTAGTAGAGATGGATTTTCACGATGTTGGCTAGGCTGTTCTCAAACTCCTGACCTCAGGTGATCCACCTACCTCAGCCTTCCAAAGTGCTAGGATTACAGGCATGAGCCACCCTGCCCGGCCCAAAAAGGAAAGTTTTTTAATACTTAACAATCGTATCATCACCTGTTTTCCCTAGGCAGAAAACAGTACTACGGAACAAGGGCAAGAGGCCCTTCTACAAATGCCTTCTTCTACAAAGAACGAAAATAACTCAGAAAGGCCTCTACCTCCCTAAGAATTTACTCCAGGCCTCAATCTAGCCAAGGTTAGGACTGCTTTTTAATCTGCTAGAGAAACCTAAATAAACAACAAAGATAAAATTTCCTACGAATACAAAGCCATTTTTAATATTAGCATTATTATATTAAAATATATAAACAGGTGGAAGCCCAGGCAATGGTATTCTGTCAGTACCACTGAATATCTGTATTCAGATATATAATGATGATCTACAGATATTCAGTGGTACTGACAGAACTGAAGTTCCTAAGATTTAGGGATATATGAGGTAGTTACCCTCATCATGCCCCTAAAACCTCTTATACAATTGAACATGCTTATTATACTCTTTTTCAAGTCTGACTTTTTCTCTCATATTCACCATGACAAGGTAACAAAACAACGTAATTGCCAGAAACCTCCTGATTTCCTTCTTCTTCCTCCTCCTCTTCTTTCTCCTCCTCTTCCTCTAGTTCTTCCTCTTTCTCTTCTTTCTCTACCTTCTCTTCTCCATCTTCCTCAGACTCATCTGTCATTTCTTCCTCTTCCTCCTCCTCTTCCTCAAACCCATCTTCATTATCTAATTTAAACAGTGCTTGGCGCTTCTGGCGCTCCTCAAACCTTCGGAGTTTCATTGCTTCTTGCAGTTTAGCTTTTAACACCTGAAGCTTTTCACCTGAACAGAAATATGTAGAAATGCTTTAGACATAATACAATAATTAGGTATGCATTTTAGGCAACTCCAGAAATATTCTAGTCACATCCCAAAAGGAAAATCTGAGACTCTAGTATTCTGGGCTTTTTTGTTATTTGAACACAAGAGTATTATTATGAATTGAAGTATCAAAGAGAACTTCTGCACCCTAGATAGTATACTACTCAGGGATTATAAAATAATTGTTCAAAAGAGAGAAAAGGTGGGTAGGGAGTAGAGCTTCAAGTCTGTGGCTCAAAAGCCATGAAGAAAAACATTGATAAATTTACCTATATTAAAGAAAAAGAGAAACGACTCGAGTAAAATGAGCTAATGATATGAACTGGCAGTTCACGAAAAATAAACATATATTGTTAATAAATTAAAAGTAATGCTTAATCTCACTTCTAATTGAAGAGCTACAAATCAAAATAACGAGATACATTTTCGACATGTTAGCCTGGCAAAAATTAGAAGGTTTGATAATACCTATTGAGAGGAAACAGGAACTCATACACTGTGATTCAGAGTGGTACAACCATTCTGAAAGACAACTGGATGATATATATCAAAATGTGATATATATCATGACAATTCCACTGTAAGGAATTTTCATCTAATATACCACCATATATCTGGCACTATAATATAACACTGTATGCAATAGCAACAACTGGAACAAACAAGACATCTGTCAATACGAGTATGGTTTAATGAGTCATGTTGTATTCATTCAATGGAATATTATGCAGCCATTTTAAAAAAAGCCTCAAGGCCGGGCGCAGTGACTCACGCCTGTAATCCCAGCACTTTGCGGGGCCAAGGTGGGCAGATCACGAGGTCAGGAGTTCGAGACCAGCCTGGCCAACATAGCGAAACTTCATCTCTACTAAAAATACAAAAATTAGCCAGGCATGGTGGCAGGCACCTGTAATCCCAGCTATTCGGGAGGCTGAGGCAGGAGAATCACTTGAACCCAGGAGGTAGAGGTTGCAGTGAGCTAAGATCGTGCCATTGCACTCCAGCCAGGGTGACAGTGCAGGACTCTGTCTTAGAGGAAAAAAAAAAAAAAAAAAAAAAGCCTCAAAAGCAATATAAAGTAGATCTGAGCTCTGGAGTTAGGTGGTCTGGATTAGACTACTGGTCCTACCATTTATTAGCTGTGTAAACTTGAGCAAGTGTCTTAAGTGCTCTGCATATCAGTTTCTTCATATACAAAATAAGGATACTAATGTTATTTACCTCATAGGGTTGTAAGGATTAAATGAGATAAAACATATAAAGCACCTAGAGCAATGCCTGACAGGGAGTAAATGTTCAATGTCACACACATTCACAAAATACGGTATATGGATAAAAATACTCCTATAAAGACATACAAGAAATTGTTAATAGTTATCTTTGGGAAGACTAGTTTTTCATTTGATACCTTTTTTCAGTGTTTAAAACTGTTTTCCATGTGATATATTACTTGTGATTTCAAGGGAGGGGTGAGAGCTGTCCTTAATACATTTCTAAAACACAAAGCAGAATGCATGTTATGATCACATTATAGGTGGGTTGTTTTGTTTTGGGTTTTTTGTTTTGAGACAGGGTCTCACTCTCTCGCCTAGGCTGGAGTGCAGTGCCACAATCATGACTCATTACAACCTCAACCTCCTGGCTCAAATGATCCTCCTGTCTCAGCCTCCCAAGTATCTGGGGCCACAGGTGCAGGCCACCATGCCTGGATAATTTTTTTTTTTTGGTAGAGATGAGGGCTCACTATGTTGCCCAGGCTGGTCTCCAACTCCTGAGCTCAACAGATCCTCCTGCCTTGTCCTTCCAAAGTGCTAGGATTACAGGCATGTGCCACTGCACCCAGCCTGTTTTTGTTTAAATTACATATACATATGTGCAAAGAAGAGAGTTTAAAAGGATACACGATATGGTTATAGAACCTGTCTCTGATAGAAGATTAAGTTTTTCATTTATTCTATATATTTGTCTATAATGGGGTTTTTTATAATAAGACAAATGATATCTAAAAAAAAAATAAAGCCAGCTTGTCCACCCCACACCTCTAGGTGTGCTACACGTGAATCATGCCAGAGATACTGCTCTGCAAAGCCTCCAAGGAAAAAGATTCTATAACTTTTCATTATAAGGTTTTCAATAGCCTTGAAGATCTGTTAGAATACAAAGCAAAAAGCAAAAAACAAAACCTGTGGGCTCAAATACCTGGTTTTGTGTGGCTTGCTCCATCCAACTTCTTAGGTGCTAAAGTCACAGGTACCACATCTGCTTTTAGCTCTTCCTTTCCATCAGTGCCCATGTCTTTCACTATGACGTTCACATTCACTGTCTGACCAGCCCTGGGTTTGGCTGCTGGATTAGCATGCTTCCAGAAACGCTGCTTCAAGGCTTCCAGTTCTAAACCCAAACGCCAACCAGTGTGTCAGTTTGCCATGCTCAAAACTCTTTCCTTTAAGACTTATAAGCTAAGTTTTTTTTAGCTCAACAATTATGAGGGAAACCACACATACACAGAGAAACCAAAAACCCCTTGCTACTAACTCCTGAGTCAAATTCATACAACTTAACCCAAACTAATTGACTGCCACAACTGTTCTTCCTCAACGTTTCAAAAATCAGACTTTAAAAAATCAGACAGAAATTTATACCTGAAATTTCTAAATATGTGCAATTCTTTTGAACATTCTTTAAAAATTCTTTAAAAGTATTAAACTGGTAGGAAAAAAGATTATAATCTCATCTATTCAAGGGCTTAATTTTTCATGGGTTTTGGTCTCCTTTTAAAATTCCCTATTTGTTATTGCTGTTTTTTGTTTTTGTTTTGAGATGCAGTCTCACTCTATTGCCCAGGCTGGAGTGCAGTGATGTGATCTCAGCTCACTGCAACCTCCATCTCCAGGGTTCAAGCGATTCTCCTGCCTCAGTCTCCTGAGTAGCTGAGGTTACAGGTGAGCACCACCATGCCCAGCTAATTTTTTTGTATTTTTAGTAGAGACAGGGTTTCACCATGTTAGCCAGGCTGGTCTCGAACTCCTGACCTCAAATGATCAGCCCACCTTGGCCTCCCAAAGTGCTGGGATCAAATTCCCTATTTTGAATGTTTCATTATTGGCAATCTTACTAAATATAGGCAAAGTCAATTTTTTTCAAGAAGGGAAAATAAAATGACAATCCAGTCAGTGATATAACTAAGCAGCAGGACTGTAAAAAGTTTTTTGGTGAAAACTGTTACACTAGTACAATTGGTACAATGAGAAAGAAAATACTGCAGCCCCAGTACCACATGCTCAACTTGTATACAAACGGAAATATATATATACTGGGAACAGTAAGTTCAGCAATCCAATAGTGATATAAACTTACCCCTCTTCCCCACTGCAATATCTTAGAATTTCCTTCTCCCTCAGCTAGCTGTTACCTGGAACCAATCCCTACTCACTCTGCTTAACACTTCATATCATAATGGAATCTGTGATGAGAGCTGGCAGTTTTAAGGAGAAAGTTCCTTTGGAGTTGATGCACACTGGATATTTTCAGGCGGCCTTCTCGTCCATGATAAAATGGTTTATTTTTAAATGGAGTCTCGCTTTGTCGCCCAGGCTGGAGTGCAGTGGTGCAATCTTGGCTCTCACTGTAGCCTCAATCTCCCCAAGCTTAGAGGTGATCCTCTCACCTCAGCCTCCTGAGATAGCCAGGACTATAGGCATGTACCACCATATCCAGCTAATTTTTTTTTTTTTTTTTTGAGACGGAGTCTCACTCTGTTGCCCAGGCCAAAGTGCAGTGGCATGATCTCGGCTCACTGTAACCTCCACCTCCTGGGTTCAAGCAATTCTCCTGCCTCAGCCTCCCTAGAAGCTGGGATTACAGGCATGCGTCACCACACCCAGCTAATTTTTTTATTTTTATTTTTAGTAGAGATGGGGTTTCACCATGTTGGCCAGGCTGGTCTTGAACTCCTGATCTCAGATGATCCACCCACCTCGGCCTCCCAAAGTGCTGAGATTACAGGAGTGAGCCACTGCGACTGGCCGATTTTTGTATTTTTTGTAGAGACCGGTTTTGCCATGTTGTCCAGGCTGGTCTTGAACTCCTGGACTGAAATGATCCACCCTCCTCAGCCTCCCAAAGTGCTAGGGTTACAGGTGTGAGCCATTGTGCCCAGCCACTTTTCATTTGTCTTTTTAGAGACAGGGTCTTGCTCTGTTGCTCAGGCTGGAGTGCAGTGGTGCGATCACAGCTCACTGCAACCTTGACCTCCTGGGTTTAAGCATTCCTCCTACCTCACCCTCCCAAGTAGCTAGGACTACAGGTGCATGTCACCACATCTGGCTTTGTTATTTTTTGTAAAGACAGGAACTCGCTATGTTGCCCAAGCTGGTCTCAAACACCTGGCCTCAAAGCGAACTTCCCACCTTAGTCTCCCAAAGTGCTGGGACTATAGGCATGAAACTTGACTAATTTTCTAAAATGCACTCAAATCATACTTCGGTGTTTTTGTGACTAGCATCTAGATGTGTTTTTTTCCTCTAGACGGTCTTACTAGAAAAAGAGAAAAATGAAGGAAATCTTTTTATCCTGAAACCCCAACATTATTAGCAGCAAAAACCCAACTCTAAAGGATGGTATGTTTACATTGCAAACAAAAGAGTAGAGAGACAAGCTGTAAGTCTGCCTCCTATTTTGCAGTGGTTCAGTAAAGCTGAAAGCAACAGGTGGTAGCAGGGAAAAGGGAACAGAAATAGGCAGGTTATTATGGGTGCCACTAGGGTAAGAGAAATGGTTGGGTGGGAAGATTACCTGGGACTTAAAATAGTAGTCAGGCAAGAGGTATCTTCATTCATAACTGGAGAAAGCTAGGATCCTCAAAGCTCTTCCTCCCCCAACCCATTGGAGCAACCACTTTCTTTGGCCTTTATTACATGATGCAACCATCACTGTCTTCATCCTAAAACCCCTGTTCAAGTTCCTCTACCTCCATTCATCTCTATTAGTCCATCACCTCTCATCCTCCATCACCTCTCATCTCCTCTCTTAAGTGAAAAGTCTCTTTCCTAGCTTATCTCTATCAGCAGCATAAGAACTGTTCTCATTCACATTGCTCTTGTCCAGAAAGTAGAGGAATTAGAGGCAGGGATTATTCCATATGCTATTGCAAGCAACAGAAATAATGTATTTCTGACATCACAAAATTTAAATTTACATGCATTTTCTCATGGAAACCTTATTCTATATGAGGTAAAGAAACTGAGCTGTTCCCACTGTTTTTACTCTTAACCCCTTCCAATGCATCCACCACAACAGCTACCAGATTTAACTTCCTAAAGTGAGTATCTGATTGAACATTTCCTTTGCTGAAAACCTTTCAGTGGTCCTCTACTTACAAAGAGCTAAAGTCCAAGCTCCTAGCATGGCATAAAAACCCTGAATGATCTGGGCTCTGATCACCAATGTCCTTGCTATCTTCACTTCAGCCAGGGAGATCACCCTGTGCTTTCCATTGTCTCTGACATCTGCAGGTCCAACCCCTCCACCAAAAAAGCCCTCCCTCACCTCTCTGCCTTGGTATCTCTACTGAGCTCATTTCAGAAACTTCCCTGACTTCTAGGCTCCAAGTAAGGTACCCTTCCTCTAGGTTCCCAATGCACCCTCAATTATATACCTTGATCGCAGCACTTACCATCCAGTATTGTAATGGTCTGTTTGCCTGTCTATCACTCCTATTACACTTCAATTTCTTTGAGAGCAGGGAGTGTTTTACGTGTATACACAGCACCCAACACAGTGCTAAATAAAAGTTTATTGCATGAATGAATGAATGAATGTTGATTCTAACTTCATGTATATTATGGCTGGTCTGGAAACCCAAATTTCGTGTCAATTATTTCTAAAGGAAAACATGTTCCAAGTTAAAAAATAAGTGCTCATTATATGCCAGCCACTGTGTAGGTCCCTTTATAAGCCAAGTATAATGCTGGAAAAATTACCTAACCTCTCTGAGCCTCAGTCTCTTCATTTTGCAAAATAATACCTGGCACTGTGAGAATTAAGAAAGACAACTAACAAAGAATGTACCAGTGTCTAATATAGTTGGTACTCAAAAAATGTTTCTCCCTTTCCTATCAGTCTAGGACTGTTTAGGTAACTTTTAGTCCCATATAACAAAAACTTTCCCTCAGTGTTCCGGACAACAGCTTATTCTCATGCTTCTTTGCTAATGGAGCTATGCTAGTTCTGTTATACAACTCTGCCACCTGAACCTCCAGCCCTGGTCAAAGTGACTTTCACATCTTCCCAATACGCACCACCATGCAGAGTTCTTTCTGTCCTTCTCTCCATCTCCAAAGTCAACCCATTCAATTATCAGACTCACTAAGCATATTTTACACACCAGATACAGTGGCTGACATAGCACTTGCCAACAATAAGCTGTTTAATGAAACAGAATCTTTTTTGTGTGTGTTTTGTTTTTCTTTTTGTTTTAATGAGACAAGGTGCTCTTTCTATCCTCTCCATCTCCAAAGTCAACCCATTCAATTAACAGACTCACTGAGCATATTTTACACACCAGATATAGTCACTGACATAGCACCTGCCAACAATAAGATGTTTAATGAAAGATAATTTTTTTGTGTTTTTTTTTTTTTTATGAGACAGGGTCTCGTTCTGTCTCCCAGACTGGAGTGCAGGAGTGCAATTTCAGCTCACAACTCACTGCAGCTTTGACCTCCTGGGCTCAAGCAATCCTCCCACCTCAGCCTCCTAAAGTGCTAGAATTACAGGCATAAGCCACTGACTATGCTTGGTTTAATGAAAGAGTCTTGGCTGAGTGTAGTGGCTCACACCTGTAATCCCAGCACTTTGGGAGGCTGAGGCAGGCAGATCACCTAAGGTCAGGAGTTTGAGACCAGCCTGGCCAACATGGTGAAACCCTGTCTCTACTAAAAATACAAAAATTAGCTGGGTGTGGTGGCGGGTACCTGTAATCCCAGCTACTTGAGAGCCTGAGGCAGAAGAATTGCTTGAACCCAGGAGGCGGAGGTTGCAGTGAGCCGAGATCGCAGCATTGCACTCCAGCCTAGGTGGCAAGAGCAAGTGAAAGCCCGTCTCAAAAAAAAAAAGTCTTGATGTGAACCATTTCACTAATAATAGTAGAAGCAGCAACAACTTTTTGAGTGCTTGTTTATACTATCCATTTGCATGCATTATTTCAACAAATCTTCACCATAGCCCACAAGTCATATAGTGCTTTTTTCTTTTTCTTTTTTTTTTTTTTTGAGACAGGATTTCATATGCTGCCCAGGATGGCCTTAAACTCCTGGGTTCAAGTGACCCTCTTGTGCCTCAGCCTCCCGAGTAGCTGGAACTACAGGTGTGCACCACTGTGTCTGGCTTTCTTCTCTTTTTTAAACAAAAGATGCTTGAAGAGGTCAAATGGCGTATACAATGTTAAACAATTACTATGCTAGTTCAGATTCAAATCCTGGTCTTGCTACAAAGTCTAAGCTCTTAACCACCATTCCATACTGCCTCAAGGCAGAGTGGGGAGCATCCAGCTCTATCTAAGAGTCAGGAAATTTATTCAATGTGGTAATACTTGAGTTCAGTGTTGAGGGATCATTCATTCATTTGATAAATACAAGTGCCTACAATGTGTCGTCCACTGAGGAAGCACTAGGGATAGAGTAGGGAACAAGGCAGAAGATACCAACTCACAGTATAAAGGGAAGGCAGTGAACAAGTAATTAATCCACCTATTCTTCAGGCTGTCTTTTAACTATTCATTGGAAGAAATTTATGCTTCTCTGAATTCCCACAGTACTTTATTCTAAATGTTCTTTAAGAAAATACTTTTCCTTTTTCTTCATGTTATTTATTTTCCAATTATCAATGACATATTCATTATCAAAGACATCATTTACCATTTTCTCCTTTGTACTTCTTATTTGCATACTTCTTATCTCGCCCATTAGAGTAAAAGCATCTTAAGTATACCTTAAATGTCAGATTTATCTTGGTATGCCCCACAGCAACTTACTCATAGTAGATACTTTAATATTTGTTGAATGAGTGAAAACAAAAGAAATTCGGTTTCACAGATAATTTAAGTGAACCAAAATGTTTCTCTTTAGCAGTAAAAAACTAAATGATGTTTTCATCAATGTCTTAAGATTTGACTCAGGATTACAGAAAAAACTTAATTTCAGATTGGAAAGGCAGAAATAATAAATTCCTAAATACCATAACACAGTAGCAATGTACCTCTTTTTTATATTAACTATCAACAACCTTTTTTTTTTTTTTTTTTTTTTGAGACAGAGTCTCGCTCTCTCACCCAGGCTGGAGTGCAATGGTGCAGTCTCGGCTCACTGCAACCTCTGCCTTCTGGGTTCAAGTAATTCTCCTGCCCCAGCCTCCCGAGTAGCTAGGACTACAGATGCGTGCCACCATGCCCGGCTAATTTTTGTATTTTTAGTACAGACGGGGTTTCACTGTATTGGCCAGGCTAGTCTCAAACTCCTGACCTCGTGATCTGCCCGCCTTGGCCTCCCAAAGTGCTGGGATTACAGGCGTAAGCCACCGCACCCAGCCAACAGACTTCCATTTTAAACATGGCTTAGATCATTCTGATACCCTGCCAAATTTCTCTAAAAAAGACTCTGCCCATATCTGGAACAACTGCAGGATAAGATCAAAGTGGTTATTGGTTCCTCCTGTGTTCTCTGTCCTCGACAGTAGTCAATAATCAAAAGCTACCAGGATAATCACTCCAGGGAGGCTCCCCACAATGTAAAGGATTACCTCTGTTGGTTTCAGGTTCAAGTATCACAAAGGAATCTTCATCAGCACCTAGCCGTGGTTTAATGGAAACATCTACTCCCAGTTGCTTAAGTCTATCCAGAGTAAACCGTCTCACTTTTTCAGGTGGCCCAACTGCTGATGATTTATTTTGCTGCTCAGGCTCTTCCACTTTCTCATCTGTTTCTTCTGGATTTTGGGGGCCTTCACCCTCCAGGGCATGAGGTTCAAATGCTACAAGCCCTCCAACCTGACATTCCTCACTGTGATTGTTCCCGAGGAAGTTGGATTCCTGTTGCAACACTGAGCTGTCCCCAGGTGAAGGTCTAATGTCACTCTGCTTCTGTTTCTCCTGAATTTCTAGCTCTTCATTTTTTACCAAATCCTTCCTGCAAGACTCATCTGATCCAGTAATGATCTGGGTTTCCTTTGAAACTACAGGGAGTGCATTAGTTTCCACTTCATTTTCTGCACCTGTTGTCTGCTCAGAACCTTTACTATGGTGATCACTGTTCATTTCAGTAGTATTTGCAGTGTCTATGATTTCTTTGTGATGGCTTGACTGATATTTAGATGACCTAGAGAAGAGAAATTGAGCTGGAGTTGAAAATTATCCTAAATGTGAAACATTCTCATCCCTTAGTATATATCAGTTAAATCAGTTTTAAGGGAGTGAGAAATCTGAACTTTTTATGCCAGATGTTTGCTACAAAACTAAATGTTCATGAAAATTATAATAAGGAAAGAGGGTTCTTACTTCAATAGTGCCATGGCATTTCCGTGGCAAGTGGGCCGGGGTTTACGTTTGAAGAAATCATGAATGGTTTTATTCTCAGGCATATGATATGGAAGGTTCAGTGCAGACTCTATAAAATGGAATAAAACAAGCAAATATATATACTGTATATTCTGAAATGTCACTTCATATTCAGTTAACTAAACATAATAACCAAAGCCATCACTAGAAATAGAAAACTCCCCTTTAACAAAGGCAGAGGAGCTAAGTACAAAAAAGCTCCCTGAAGACCAGTGGCTTTTAAACCTAGATGTGAAATCAAAATGATCCAGGAAGTTTTTTAGAAATACAGATTCTTGGATCCCATTTCGAATCTACTGAATCAGAATCTCTGTGGGACCTAAACATTTATATACAGTAGTCCCCGCTTATCCAGACAGACACATTCCAAGACCTGCAGTGGATGCCTGAAACTGCAGATGGTACTAAACCATGCAGTGTTTTTTTGATCTGATAACTGAGAGGGCTACTAACGGACTAACAGGCAGGTAATGTATACAGCGTGATACTCTGGACAAAGGGATGATATTTTTAAGTTCCATGGACCATGGCTGACACAGGTAACCAAAACTGCAAATAGGGAGGGATTACTACCTCTCCAAAGAATCCTGACACAATCAGTCCATAGACAACCATTAAAAAATTTCCTCCTTACCTGCACTACAGTTCTGAAAATTTCTTCAGTTTATACTAATGTTCCAAGGGCTTTAGAACAATGGCCTTTCACCAAGATCAATTCTAAACTTAATATTATAACCTGAGTTCACATTAGAAGTGTTAAAAAAATAAAAGTCCCCAACATCCAAGTTGAGCTTACAAAGAAATGTTGTGATTTTGCCTCAAAGTTTACTGGGTTGCATTACCTCGAATAAGGCGCTGAGTCTCACTATGCAGTTGTTTTAATGCTTCTTTACTTAATCTGGCTGCCTTTCTTTCCTTAAAGAAAACAAGAAGTGAGACTACATTAATTATATGAATATCCAGAAAGATAGATATTCATCACTCAAGAGTTTGCTCTCTCCAAGAAAAGAGGAAAGGAAATAGTAAGCATGAGTAAGCCCAAATGCAGTATAAACTCAAGGAATTCATTTATTCCCAAGTCTCAGAGAATTTGTTCAATCCAATCCATATTTTGTTCCTACTATGTACAAAGCAATATGATGGGTAACAGAAAAATATGATAGACAAAATAAAATATTTATCCCTAAGAAATCTATAATCTCCTGTGTAAAGAGATCAGTGTGACTAATATACAGGGCTCTACCTCACCTTCCTCGTGGTTCCTTTTGATAACTCACTTCCTTCCTCAAATGAATGGACCCCACTCTCCAAAGATGGTTCTTTTTTCTAAAAGAAATGGCAGGTTGATTAGGACAAAAACGAAATTCAAATAAGAGGATGCTTTAGCTGAAGACTACTTTTGTAGTCCAACACCACATCATGCTACATTAATAAATCAATAATCATCAACTAGAAATTATTAAACACACAGCATCCTATTATGCTTAGAAAACAGATACCTCAGATGGAGTCTGGACCCTTATTTCTTTTACCTCTGCTTACATCTTTCCCTAAAGAGGGATAATAACTCGCAGGAAGCTAAAAAAAAATCTTAGGAAGAAAAATTATGCTTCCAAACACTCGGGACAACAATGTTTTGACTGATGCCTCTCTTTGATACCCTTCCTGAAACCCTATAGGGTTCATTTCTCAAAGGCTATAGGATTGCAAAATTTACATCTCTTCCCTATTATTTACCTGCATCTTACTACACCATCAAATATCTTAGTGGTTTTTTTTTTCAGCATTCCTAAAAGGGTAATAACAAAACACTAGTTTCCAAAGAAGTTAGCATGTCTATCACTTGTACTGCAAGTCTCCAAAATTAACAGCTGAAACACTTAAGTCAACTGACACAAGTTTTTCTTCAGTTAAAAAAAAAATTAAGGTTCCAACAGTAAATTAAAAATATAGCAAAGGTCAGAAGCAGTTGATTAACTCTTATTGCAATCATGCTTTACTTGCCTTGTGCTTTTTTACTTTGTTTTTTACAGCTGCTCTTATTGATTCTAATGACTCTTCATCTTCCAATGGAGAGTTATTTTCATCCTCCAACCCAGTTTCAAAAAGGTCTTTATCCACAAGAAGACAGCCACTGTCATTAAATGGCTGTTCTACATCATCTTCCTAAGTAATACATAAACAAAAAGCATAATCCAATCATTTAAAAATCCAGTATTTCACAACATCATATGGCAATTTGGATCAGGCCAGAAAAAGCCCATGTTTCATCAACAGACAAGCATATAAAATCTAGAACATTCTTACTGGTTTCTAACTCACATGTATCCTTTGAAGTCCAAGTTGTGATTTTATGCAACTGTCTAAAACTAACTTAATAAACAGTAAATATTTTTTTGAAGTAAAATACTTGTTAAGCAACTAGTTTATAAATTTGAGGATGGTTTTTCTAGTTAGCAAACAAGACTACTGACTGATAGATGCATAAAAAAGCCTTCTTTCAGTTAATTTTCATCAGCTCAGAGACAGCAAAGAATTACTCCATGTGCTCATAAAGAAAATCAGAAACCCATTTATTTGGAAATGTCCTCTGCATACCCAAAATAGAATAAGACCAATAAGTTTTGTTTTTTTGGTTTTTGTTTTTTTTTTTTTTGAGACAGGGTCTCACTCTGTCATCCAGGCTGGAATGCAGTGGTACAATTACAGCTTCATTGCAGCCTCGACTTCCTGGGCTCAAGTGATTCTCCCACCTCACCCTCCCAAGTAGTTGGGACTACAGCTGGGACTACGGCCACCACACCCAACTAATTTTTAAATTTTTTGTAGAGATGGGATCTCACTCTGTTGCCTAGGCTGTTCTCGAACTCCTGGGCTTAAGTGACCCTCTGGCCTCAGCCTCCCAAAGTGCTGGGATTAGACGTATGCACCACTGCACCTGGCCAAGACCAGTTAGTTTTAAATCACATACCTATTGAGAATAATTCTCAACACAAAATAGTCAATTCAAAGCAATAGTCAGAGAGCAGAAACAACCTCAAGTACTAACAGCAACCTTTTCTAAAATGTTAACCTACCCAAGCAATAGCAAATTATTCTTTAAAATGTACCTGGTTTTTTGTTTCCTTCTTTTTTAGCTGTCTAATTTTTTCCATTTTTCTCTCCTCTTTCTCAAGTCTTCTTTTTGATTTTACTTTTGCTTTTCCTGCAGTTCCTTCTTTATCATGTATGTGCTTTTTGGAACTCTTTCTGTCAGTGGTAAAGTCTGTAGAGTTTCCAGACTGAAGACTCAGCTCTAAGCAAGGTTTCACTTGCGCTTCAAGATTTTCCTGATACAAAGACTTTTCCATGTAACTTTCATCACTGTCTGCCACAGTTTTGTAAATCCTTTTGATTTTTGTATTTTTCCCAGCATATAAATTCTCTTTATTTTCCTCCTCGGCACTGTCATAGGTAGTTTTCTCTGGAGAGGCATTTGTGTCCTCTGTTTCGGAATCACTGTCTTGTAGAACCTTCCTGTTTTTCAACTTCTTACTTACAAATATCTCTTCATCTGAATCTGGAGGAAACAATTTTCTTTTAATTATACCATCATTTGATCTTCCTCCTAGTCCCACTACTCCTCAAAAATATATTTTTATACAAGTGATATATAACATTGTGAAATTACGTGACTACTGTTAAGAACTGATTGTAGCAAAGCAAATCTAAAAATACATTTTGAAAAACATTTTCCCTGGGAAAAATGTCTCTTACTGGGAAATGTAATTTTACGTATATTTACAATGTGTAAAGTTGTTCTAACCTCCGGCAGGTGTTAAAATTCCTTTTATTATAGGATGAATGCAATTAACCAGGCAATATGGTAGCTATTAGACATTCAACAATATAACATAGTTTCAAAAAGGTACAAGCACTGTTATTTTGCTTTTATAATAAAACAAACAATAAGGATGGGGCATTAATAATGTAATAAATCAAGAGAATAATGAAATCAATCCAATCTACTTACAACTGAGGCTCCCGCAACCTATTCCTAAAAATAAAAGTACTATTACAAACCTCCTTCACTCAAGGGTCCAATTGTTTCATAGCTGCCCTGTCCACTATCTGAAGGACTATCTGCTTCCTCTTGTGAAATGACGTTTGGGTCATTGATTTCTAGGTGAACCTAGAAAATGACAATATACTTTATATCAACCAGCAGGTGACCGAAAGCTCCAAGTACATAATGACACACAAATCATCGTGGGATCATCAACCTGAACTAAGGAAAGAACCAAATACAATGGTTCCTTGAAGGGATGACATTTAGAATTACTGGACAACAAACAAACAAAAGTTCATTTTTCACCTTTGAAGGATGCTAACAGAACCAACTCTTTTAGTAACGGTAAAAAAAAAAATGAAAAGAATCAAGCATTTATTATGCCTTTTCTGTGTGAACTGTTCCCCAATATATCCATACAATTGATGAGGGGAAGTTTCTATTTAGAGAAATATCCTAATGAATTAATAAATGATAGAATTAGATTATCACAATTTTATCAACCCTCAATTAAATAACAGACCTAGGCAATTATCATTAATGGCTGCTAACATCACCAAAAGAGAAACAACCAGACATTATGTGCTGCCTAATAGAAGTACCCAATACTAGCCATAAAGTATTCCTGACAGAACAATCAAATTTGAATCCTATCAAGTCTCTAGATCTAACTAGCAAGTTATAGGAAATAGAGGGAATAGGGGAACATGTTGAATAATACCACAGATATGCAATCTAGACGTGGGAAATTCTACAAGTCAAACTGGGTGGTTTCTTTCTCTCTCTCTCTCTTTTTTTTTTTTTTTTTTGAGATAGAATCTCGCTCTGTCACCCAGGCTGGAGTGCAGTGGTGCAATCTCGGCTCACTGCAACCTCTGCCTCCTGGGTTCAAGCGATTCTCCTGCCTCAGCCTCCTGAGTAGCTGGGATTACAGGCGCACATCAACACACCCAGCTAATTTTTTCTATTTTAATAGAGACAAGGTTTCACCATGCTGGCCAGGCCGGTTGCAAACTCCTGACCTCAGGTGATCCGCCCACCTCGGCCTCCCAAAATGCTGGGATTACAGGTATGAGCCACTGCACCCGGCCGGTTTCTTTAACAATATATTGCAAAGAAAAAAAAAAGAGAGGGAGAGAAACCTATAAAGAAAGTTAACACATAAGTGAATGTATATATGTGTGTACGTATGTATATTTCTATATATTTATATATGTATGTATATTTCTATATGCTATGTGTATATTTCTTTTTTTTTGAGATGGAGTTTTGCCGTTGTCGCCCAGGATGGAGCGCAACGGCGCGATCTCGGCTCACCGCAACCTCTGCCTCCCAGGTTCAAGCGATTCTCCTGCCTCAGCCTCCCGAGTAGCTGGGATTACAGGCATGTGTCACCACGTCTGGCTAATTTTGTATTTTTAGTAGAGATGGGGTTTCTCCATGTTAGTCAGGCTGGTCTCCAACTCCTGACCTCAGGTGATCCGCCCGCCTCAGCCTCCCAAAGTGGTGGGATTACAGACGTGAGCCACCACGCCCGGCTATATGTATATTTCCTTTTTTCTTTTTTTGAGACGGAGTTTCGCTCTTATTGCCCAAGCTGGAGTGCAATGGCACGATCTTGGCTCCCTACAACCTCCGCCTCCTGGGTTCAAGCGATTCTCCAGCCTCAGCCTCCCGAGTAGCTGGGATTACAGGTGCGTGCCACCATGCCCGGCTAATTTTTTGTAGAAACGGGGTTTCACAATGTTAGCCAGGCTGGTCTCGAACTTTTGACCTCAGGTGATCCGCCTGCCTCAGCCTCCCAAAATGCTGGAATTACAAGCGTAAGCCACCACAACCGGCCCTGTATATTTCTATATACATAAATGTATGCTTTATATATGTATGTATATCTTAAAATACATACATATATGCATATATACACATATATAATATAAACAATTACAAAATGCCAACTTCGGATGATGATTCAAAAAACTAAAAATGTAAATAATTATGCTAAAGTGGCATATAAAAATAAATGAAATATCTCTGAGTCAAAGAAATCTGAACACTGACTAGATACTTCTTAGGTGTGGTAATAATATCGTAGTATCTATTTTTGGAAAGCTCTTGTTTGTTAGATATGCACACTAAAATCTTTGTGGTTCAAATAATATGATATCTTGGATTTTCTTCCAAATAATCCTGTGAGAGGAAAAATGGGTAGCTGTATGAATAAAACAAGATTGGCCATGACTTGAAAATACAGGTTGAACATCTCTAACCTGAAAATCTGAAATGCTCCCAATTCCAAAATATTTGAGCACTGACATGATGCCACTAGATGAAAATTCCACACCTGACCTCATATGATGAGCTGCAGTAAAACCTTTGCTTCATGCACGAAATTATTTTAAAATGCTGTATAAAATTACCTTCAGACTATGTGTGTAAGGTATATATGAAATATAACTGAATTTCATGTTTAGACTTGGGTCCCTCCCCCAAGATATCTCATTATGTGTATGCGAATATTCCAAAATCCAAAATGAATCTGAAATTCAAAACGCTTCTGGTCCCAAGCATTTCAGACGAGAGATATTCAAACTGTAGTTGAAGTAAGGTGATGGGTTCATTATACCATCCTTTCTACGGTTGTATAGGTTTGAAAATTTCTAAATAAGACAGTTTAAAAAGTCGCAAATAAAAACCTAAGGAGGAGGGGTGTGTTAGGTGACTTGATCAGTTAGTGACCTTAAAGCTAACCCTAGATGCCAAGTCTACCTCCTTAGTGTTCTCAGGGCTCTGAATCAACTTATTAATAAAGGGAGAAATATGAACATCAGTAATGTAACAGGGCACAAGGCCTCAGCTGAGTGGTTTCTCAAAAAATTATTAAATTGGTCAGGCATGGTGGCTCACGCCTGTAATCCCAGCACTTTGGGAGGCCGAGGTGGGTGGATCACAAGGTCAGGAGTTCGAGACTAGCCTGGCCAATACAGTAAAACCCCGTATCTACTAAAAATACAAAAATTAGCTGGGCGTGGTGGTGTGTGCCTGTAGTCCCAGCTGCTCAGGAGGCTGGGGCAGGAGAATCGCTTGAATCCAGGAGACAGAAGTTGCAGTGAGCCGAGATTGTGCCACTGCACTCCAGTCTGGGCAACAGAGCGAGACTCCGTCTCAAAAAAAAAAAAATTATTAAATTGATTTGAATGCAAGGTACAAATTTTTTTTTTTTTTGATACAGTGTCTCACTCTGTCACCTAGGCTGGAGTGCAGTGGCAGGATCATGGCTCACTGCAGCCTTGACCTCCCAGGCCCAAAGGATTCTCTCACCTCAGCCACCCGAGTAGCTGGGACCGAGTAGCTGGGACCACAGGCGACGCCCGGCTAATTTTTTTTTTTTTGTAGAGGCGGGGTTTTGCCATGTTTTCTATGCAGGCTGGTTTCGAACTCTTGAGCTCAAGCAATCTGCCGGCCTTAGCCTCCCGAAGTGCTGGGATTGCTGAGAATTAATATGTATGCACTGATGATCCTCTCAACAATCCAAAGCAGTAAAACTATTACTTCTGTTTGTGAGTGTGGAAACCGAATTTAGGTAACCAGACAGCTCAAGGAATAGGGCTGCTTTGAATGACGATTATCTTCTAGGCAATTTGCAGCAACGTCAAAGGGCAGGGCCAGTAACAGGGTGGGGTGAGGTCTCAAAAAATTCAGTAATCAAAATGAATAACATTAATGCAATATTTTTTAAAAAATTAAATCAATAATCTACAGCTCATGAGGTAAATAATATGCCCGCTTTTGTAAATAAAGTTTATTGGAAACAGGGATGGAATTAGGGTGAGGTGATTGAGGCAAGGTCGTGCAAATGACTGGTCGGATCTCGTCTTTGTTTAAACGTCTGATATTTTGTTCAATATCAAATCATAAAAAGTTTTTGCATTAATTTTGGTTTTTTAAAAATATTGCATTAAAATATGAGTTTGATTGAGGGTTTTGGCGCCCCTTTAAATTTTGCTCCTAAGGCGGGAGTGCCTTGCCCGAATCCGGCCCAGAAAGGACACAGCTCTGGAAACATCTGTTTTCTATGCCCAATTTCGCCAGGGAGCTGCCAGCCACCAGCCAGGAGCCCCAGCGGTGACTTCCCCACTCGGGGCCCGGTCGGAAAACGCAAAGGGCCTGCGCGCGATGACCTCCAGGGCCCCTCCCAGGCCCAGTGTGGAACTCCCTAACACCCTCGCTCGCCCTCTCTCTGCGGAGAATCCCCCCGCACCGCTGCGGCCGGGTTCGGCTAGAGCCTCCCGGCTTTCAGAGCACCCTGAGGGGAGGAGCTTCCGCGACAGGAAACGCGCCAAAGGGGAGGGCTGGCGGCAGGAACCGGCTGAAGAGGGGCTGGGCTGCCGGCAGTGCGCGCCGCAGAGACCTGGAGCTCTCCGGCCACGGAGCCCGAAGCGCGGGAAGCCCGGCGGCGGGACGGGATGCCCGGTCGGAACCCATCCCGGCCGAGTCTCGAGGCCGCGGGAGCCGGCGCGGCGAACGCCGGGAGCCGCAGTCCTCCCGCCCGGGCGCCTCGGGTCAGCGGGGTCTACCCCGGCCCCACCTAACCTCTCGGTGCCCGGCCTTCTAAGCCCCCGTGGGGGGCGTGTGCATAAACTCACCTCAGAACCCACCTCGCCTGTCATGACTTCTGCCTCCCCTGCGCTCCACTAGGGACGGAGCTGTCTCTGATTCCCTCAGCCGGAGAGCAGCGGCTCCCGCCGTCTCCAGCCCAGCAGTGCTGTTCTTGCTTTCCCGCCCAGCCAGAGTGGAGGTCCCACCCAGATGGTTTGCACCAATCCAGAGGGGGCTTTCCAGCGAGTCCCCGCCCCCTTCCGACCCACCAATCACGCAGCGCCTCTGGCCGCCCAATCTCCTATTACCCAGGCTGAGTTGGCGGGTCGCAGCTGCTGGTAGCGGAGCCTGGGGGAGCTGGAGGTGCACGGGGGCGGGGCAGTCGGTACCAGGCGAGCCGTGGTCTTTGACCTTTGACACTTGCCAAAGCATCGAGTGCGATTGGAGGGGTGAGTCTTTCGGGGGGAAGTGAGCTGGGAAACGGTTCCTGGGCACCTGGGAGTGTCCTGTACCTGAACTTTTTAGAGGAATTCCAAGGTTCCCGTGGGGATTTTCTCCACTGACTTCATTTCTGGAGCAGCTAGATCCTGTGTGCCTCTTGTACATGACACTTACCACTGAATATATATATATATATATATATATATATATATATATATATATACACACACACACACATATGTACACACATATATACATACACATATATACACATACACATGTATGTGTATACACACACACTTTTTTTTTTTTTGAGATGGAGTCTCCCTCTGTTAGCCAGGATGAAATGCAGTGGCGCGATCTCGGCTCACTGCAACCTCCGCCTCCCGGGTTCAAGCGATTCTCGTGCCTCAGCCTCCTGAGTAGCTAGGATTACAGGCACCCGCCACCAACCCCTGGCTAATTTTTGTATTTTTAGTAGAGACGGGGTTTCACCATGTTGGCCAGGCTGGTCTCGAACTCCTGATCTCAAATGATCCTCGCCTCGGCCTCCCAAAGTGCTGGGAGGCCTCATACCCCTCACAGGCGTGAGCCACTGTGCCCGGCCCACTTTTATTTTTTAAAGAGGGCCGGGCTCCATGGCTCACGCTTGTAATCTCAACGCTTTGGGAGGCCGAGGTGGGAGGATGGCTTGAGTCCAGGAGTTTGAGGTTAGAGTGAGTTATGATCGCACCACTGCACTTCAGCGTAGGCGATAGAGGGAGACCTTGTCTCTAAAGAAAAAAGTTTTGTGGGCTGCTCAGATACCAAAGAATATGGTTGGATAATCTTTATAATTCTCTGTAGAGTTAATTTGAGGATGTAGAAAGCACTCATCACTCCTAGAGGGCATTCTACCTTTAAACAAGGCTGGAAAAAGAATTGAAGCTCTGAAATCAGGTTTATCCCAGACACAGTTCTTTTTTTTTTTTTTTTTTTTTTGTTGAGACAGAGTCTCTCCCTGTCACCATGGCTGGGTGCAATGGCGTGATCTCGGCTCACTGCAACCTCCGCCTCCCGGGTTCAAGCGATTCTCCTGCCTCAGCCTCCTGAGTAGCTAGGATTATAGGCATGTGCCACCACGCTCAGATAATTTTTTGTAACTTTAGTAGAGACAAGATTTCACCATTTTGGCCAGGCTGATCTTGAACTCCTGACCTCGTGATCCGCCCGTCTCAGCCTCCCAAAGTGCTGGGATTACAGGTGTGAGTCACCGCACCTGGCCTATCCCAGACAATTCTAATCCCAGTTTTGCCACTGTGCTGGCCATTATTTTTTGCCTCTCCAGGTCAATTCTCTGTCCTTCCTTTACCCTGGTGTGTGTCAAGGCAAGGCTGACCTCTCTAGACTGTATTATCCCAGCTCCCTTGCCCTTCTGGTTGGGTCAGGCCCCTGTAAAGACACCTTATAAGGTTACTGTAAGGAGATGAGAGGCCACCAGGAAAGAAAGGTCAGAGTATTTATTGCTCACTTCACCCTCCATGGTCATATCCACTGCCAGTGTGGCCAGCTTGGCCCAGCTTGCCCAGGACTTTCCTAGTTTTAGCACTAAAAGTCCTGCATCCTGAGAACCTCCTCAGTCACAGGTATACCAAATGGTTGGTTCTTCACCCAATCCACTGGCCTCCTCTTCCAAGTTTCCACCTTTAGCTGGGTTCAGAAAAAAGCTCCCTCTCCACATCTTCATTTCTTTACTTCCCCACCATCTCTCAATCCACTTCTGTCCCCACCAACAAGAGCCCATCATCCATCCTCTTCTCTTTTTGTGTCTTGGTTTATCCACCTTTTCATCCATTTACTATTAATTTCTACATCAACGATTCCCAGGTATACATCTATGGCACTCCCCATCATATATGGAGGGCTAACGTTTATTGAAGCCTTACTCAGTGGCAGAAACAGTTGCAAGGATTTTATAAGTGTTATCTTATTTAATCTTCAGAGTAAACTTGTAATATTATTATCTCTTTCTTAGAAGATGAGGAAACCAGACTTTTAAAAGGCTAGAAACTGGTGGAGCCAATTTTCAGACTCTATGTGACTTCAGAGCTCATACCCCTCAGAAAGACCCTGCCTGAGCATCCTCTGTGTTCTGCCTCCTTATCCTATGCTGGTTTCCCTGATAACACTTTCCTTTGCCTGAAATTTTATTTATATCTATTTGTCTGTTGTTGCTCCAAGAGAACAGGCGTTTTGTTTTCTTGGCCTCTGTATCATTGCAACCTAGAATTGTCTTTCTTAAACTTGAGCATGCATCAGAATAATCTGAAAGGCTGGTAAAAACAGCTATTGTTGGGTCCTAGTGCCAAAGTTTCTGATTCAGTATGTCTGAAGTGGGGTCCAGAGATGTATACTTCTTTCTTTCCTTTTTTTCTTTTTCTCCCTGAGTGCAGTGGCATGATCACAGCTCACTGCAGCCTCAACCTCCCAGGCTCAAGCAACCCTTCCACCTCAGCCTCCCAAGTGGCTGGGACTACAGGTGTGCACCACCATGCCCAGCTAATTTTTTATTTTGTAGAGACGGGGTGTCACCATGTTGCCCAAGCTGGTCTCAAACTCCTGGACTCAAGCAACCTGCACATCTCGGCCTCGCAAAGTGCTGGGATTACGGGCATGAACCACCGTGCCCCACAGGAATGTATATTACTAACAAATTCCCTGGTGATGCTAGTGTTGCTGATCTGGAGACCACACTTTGAGAACAAAGGACTTAGAACATCCCAGGTTCAAGGTAGGAAAACTGATAAATATTTGTTGAACTAATTAATTCATTCACTTGACAACTTCTTGAGCTCCCTCTGAAAATGAATGAGTGAAATAATATTCCTTATATTAGTATTTTAAAATATCTTTGGGGAGCACCTTTTCACTCATCACAGAAGCTAAGAGAGAAAGCTCCAATTTGAACAATGGGTGGACATGGGTAAGCTAGGAAAGGAAAACCTTTCATTCAATTTTTATTGTGGTAAAACATATATAACATGAAATTTACCATCTTAACCATTTTAAAGTATGCAGTTCAGAAGTACATTCAAATTGTTATGTAACCAATCTACCAATCTTCAGAATTCTTTTCTTTTTCTCTTCTTTTTTTTTTTTGAAATGGAGTTTTGCTCTTGTTGCCTAGGCTGGAATGCAATGGTGCTATCTTGGCTCACTGCAACCTCTGCCTCCCGGGTTCAAGCAATTCTCCTGCCTCAGCCTCCCAAGTAGCTGGGATTACAGGCACCTGCCACCACGCCTGGCTACTTTTTTGTATGTATTCTTAGGAGAGACGGGGTTTCACCATGTTGGCCAGGCTAGTCTTGAACTCCTGACCTCAAGTGACCCATGCACCTCGGCCTCCCAAAGCGCTGGGATTACAGGTGTGACCCAACGGGCCTGGCCTAGAACTCCTTTCATCTTGCAAAACTGAAACTCTATGCCCATTAAGCAACAACTTCATACTCCTCCCATCCCCAGGAAACTTTTATTTTACACATTAACTTGTGCCAAGATAAAGTGAGTCTGTATTTAGAATTAGCAACCTGTATTCTCAATTTTGGTGAGTGGAACCATATCCACTCACCAGTTTAGAAACCTGTGAATCACCTTGACCTCTCTGTCCCTTCATTGTTGTAGTCATCCAACAATCCTTGTTTATCAAGTTGATAAATGGCAACAAAGGAAACATCTGGAGTGCTCACTTTACAGGGATTAGTCTGAACCTGTCCCATAGAGGGCTTCATAAACTTAGGTAACTAATTTAGTTTCTCAGAAATGTGTTCTTTTTTGGAGGTTGGGTGCAGTGGGTCATGCCTGTAATCCCAGAATTTTGGGAGGCTGAGGCAGTCAGATCACTTGAGGCCAGGAGTTTGAGACCAGCCTGGCCAACATGGTGAAACCCTGACTCTACTAAAAACACAAAAATTAGCCGGGCGTGGTGGCGGGCACCTGTAGTCCCAGCTACTTGGGAGGCTGAGGCAGGAGAATTGCTTGAACCTGGGAGGCGGAGATTGTGGTGAGCTGAGATCGTGCACCACTGCACTCCAGCCTGGGTGACAGAGCAAGACTCCATTTCAAAAAAAGAAAAGAAACTTGTTCTTTTTTGTAACTAGAAAACACTGGATGAGATCATGATTCTCAAATAGGTTTAATGAGTAGGGCACCCGAAAGTATAGCACTTCATAGGAAGCATTTTGCAGTACTGATGCTGTTAATCTGGTCATTTGAATGCGGAAACATTTTAACTAGTAGGATATATTATTATATCACAAAAAAATATTTAAAAAGCAATTCTGACATTACAAGTCTGGGAAAAAATCAGCCATGGAACTTAACATGCTCAGCCAGTTCTAAAAGTGCTCTATTTATATTGTGCTCCTTGGCAGACAAAAGCAGAAACCAAAGGCTTAAGAAAGTTTGGAGGAAGATAATTGACTGAATTATGTCTTTTATTTCTTTTTCTGCAAATTGAGGAAGATTACCATGTTACATTTTTAGTACTGCTATTCCTCTGGAGTAAAGTTTAAAACTACCTGCTTTTCCAAAGTCCTGGGCCGCTAAATTACCTTCGTCCCTGGGGAAACACTGCCACTGTGTGGCAGACCTTGGTTATGCCACTCTATCCTAAAACCATTTGAGACGTGGGGGTCATTTTAAGATTATTCAAGTTATTTAATTTTTCCTTTGGTGGGGTAAAATAACTGCATCTCCCAGTATCTTATTTTAAAAATAATTTCGGCCAGGTGAGGTGGCTCACGCCTGTAATCCCAGCACTTTAGGAGGCCGAGGCTGGTGGATTGCCTAAGCTCAGGAGTTCACAACCAGCCTGGGCAACACGGTGAAACCCCGTCTCTACTAAAAATACAAAAAAAAAAAAAATTAGCCAGGCGTGGTGGTGTGTGCCTGTAGTCCTGCTACTCGGGAGGCTGAGGCAGGAGAATCGCTTAAACTCGTGAGGCAGAGGTTGCAGTGAGCCGAGATCACACCACCGCACTCCAGCCTGGGAGACAGAACGAGACTCTGTCTCAACAACAACAAAAAAATCATATTGTCATTCCATACAGTTATGAAGCTTCTCTTAGAGAGTACCCTGCTTGAAGGTCAGAGCTGTTTTTCTTGCTTATCATAGTAGCCTCTGACTTTTAAAATGGTACAGGGCCTCGGTGCAGTGGCTCAGCCTGTAATCCCAGCACTTTGGGGAGGCTGAGGCAGGTGGATCACTTGAGGCCAGGAGTTCGACCAGAATAATAGGAGCTAGACCAGTTTTTTAAGTGGGAGATTATGGGAACCTGAACTAGATCAATGGTAGTAACAATGAAGAGGAGAGGATGGTGAAACTCTGTCTCTACTAAAAATGCAAAAATCAGCCCAGTGCGGTGGCACATGCCTGTAATCCCAGCTACTCCGGAGGCTGACACACAAGAATCACTTGAACCCAGGAGTCAGAGGTTGCAGTGAGCCAAGATTGCACCACTGCACTCCAGCCTGGGCAACAGAGTGAGACTCTGTCTCAAAAAATAATAAGACACTGGACACGGTGGTTCATGCTTGTTATCCCAGCACTTTGGAAGGCCGAGGCAGGTGGATCACTTGAGGCCGGGAGTTCAAAACCAGCCTGGCCAACATGGTGAAACCCCGTCTCTGCTAAAAATACAAAAATTAGCCGGGTGTAGTGGCAGGTGCCTGTAATCCCAGTTACTCAGGGAGTCTGAGGCAGGAGAATCGCTTGAACCTGGGATGCAGAGGCTGCAGTAAGCCAAGATCGCGCCACTGCACTCCAGCCTGGGTAACAGAGTGAGACTCGGTCTCAAAAAAAAAAAAAGAAAATAAAAAAAGGAAATAATAATAGAATAAAAGAAAACAGCACAGGGCTGGACACAATGGCTCATGTCTGTAATCCCAGCACTTTGGGAGGCTGAGACAGGAGGAGGCTTGAGCTCAGAAGTTCAAGACCAGCCTGAGCAACATAGTGAGACCTCATCTTTACTAAAAATTTTTTTAAAAATTAGCTGAGAGTGGTGACGAGCACCTGTGGTCCCAGCCACTTAGGAGGCTGAAGTGGGAAGATCACTTGAGCCTGAGGCTGTAATGAGCCATGATCGCACCACTGCACTCCAGCCTGGCCAACGGAGCGAGACCGTGACTCAATTTTTTTTTAAAGGTGTAGGGCCTGAAATATAGTGGGTGCTTAATAAATAATTGTTAAGGCCAGGCGCAGTGGCTCACACCTATAATCCCAGCACTTTGGGAGGCCAAGGCAGGTGGATCATAAGGTCAAGAGTTCAAGACCAGCCTGGCCAAGATGGTGAAACCCAGTCTCTACTAAAAATACAAAAAATTAGCCGGGCATGGTGGCAGGTGCCTGTAATCCCAGCTATTTGTGAGGCTGAAGCAGAGAATTGCTTGAATCCGGGAGGCGGAGGTTGCAGTGAGCCAAGATTGCACCACTGCACTCCAGCCTGGGTGACAGAGTGAGACTCTGTCTCAAAAAAAGAATAAACAAATAATAAATGATTGTTGAATAAGTGGTTAAGATACTAGGGACTAAACAAAAACAAAAACAAATAATGCCAGGGCCTTTTCCCAAGGTATATAAGCACACACCGTCAGCTAGACTGTGTGCAGAAGCTCCCTTCCCATGACACTGGGGAAATCTAAAGTACCTATAAAATATTCATCCACTTGAGCACCTATTTTAAGCCCCTACTAGATACAAAGAATATAAAGACAAATAAAATACAATCTTGTTCTCAGAGAGCTTCCCACTGCAGTCAGAGACAGGCAAGCAAACAAGCATGTGTGATATGGAAGTGTGTACAGGTAGCTTCAGGAGTGAGCTATTTGTCCTTGAGGGAGGGACAACTGACTGTGCCTGGGGTAAGTAAGTGGGGAGATGACTCCTGAACTGAGTTTCAAAGATGAATTGAAGTTCTCCAGGCTGGTACAGGGAGGAGAAGGCCTTCCAGGTATGTGAAGGGGCTTGAAAAAGCATGTTGTGTTTGAGGAACTAAAAGTAGGTCAGTATGACTAGAGCATGGTGTAGAGGTGTGGCCAGAATAAAGGCTAAACAGGTTATGAACAGGTTAGATAATGAAGGTTAAACCAGGAACAAAAGGTCTGTAATGCCATGCCTAAAAGTTTAGCTTTTAGACAGTATGAACAGAGCAGATGGGGTGTGGGGAGGGACTTTGTTAAGGAGAGCGATATGACCAGATACATGCTTGAGAAAGATTATTCTAGCAGCATATGAAGCATGGATTGGAAGGGGATTAGACTGGAGGCAGGAAGACCAGTTGTCTAAGTGGGAGATTATGGAAACCTGAACTAGGTCAATGGTAGTAACAATGGAGAGGAGAGGATGGATTGGGAAAAGAGGCAAAGCTGACAGGGCTTGATGGATGATTAACCTTGAGGGGCGAGGGACAGTGGAGCCAATGTGACTCCAGTGACACCCACATTTCTGTACTGGTGAGTGATGGATTGTGATGCCATTCACCAAAATTAAGAATGCAGGTCACTAATTCCAAATACAGACTCACTTTAGCTTGGTGCAAATTAATGTGTAGAATGAAAGATTTCTCCTTCCTAGCTCTCCCCGGTCTACTCATTGTCCAAATTGGAGTCACTTCTGGTGACTAAAGAGGTGGTCCCCAGGCTCAGCCTTTCTCTCCATTCTATTTCCAAACTGCTATCCCTACAGCACCCCAAACCTGAACTCTTTTGTATTCCATTCGCATATTTTCTTTTTCTTTCTTTTTTTTTTTTTTGAGACAGTCTCGCTCTGTTGCCCAGGCTGGAGTGCAGTGGCGCAATCTCGGCTCACTGCAAGCTCCGCCTCTGGGGTTCACGCCATTCTCCTGCCTTAGTCTCCCGAGTAGCTGGGACTACAGGCGCCCACAACCACGCCCGGCTAATTTTTTGTATTTTTAATAGAGACAGGGTTTCACCGTGTTAGCCAGGATGGTCTCGATCTCCTGACCTCGTGATCTGCCCGACTCGGCCTCCCAAAGTGCTGGGATTACAGGCGTGAGCCACCGTGCCCAGCCTAATTTTTGTATTTTTAGTAGAGACAGGGTTTTGCCATATTGGCCAGGCTGGTCTTGAACTCCTGACCTCAGGTGACCTGCCCACCTCGGCCTCCCAAAGTGCTGGGATTACAGACATGAGCCACTGCGCCCGGCCCATTCCTACTTTCTATTACATTTCAGCTCCTGCTTATAGATTGGCTAATATTTGACCCCCTTCAGGAATGCCAGATAATTCAACTATACCTAGAAGGGTAGAGCCTTATGAGAATATAGTAACTCCTTCAAACACAATATAGTTGGCATAGGGGAACACTTAGGAACTTCTAAGACAGGAGGTGTTATTGGACAGACAATATAATTTTGTGCTTACTATAGGCCCGAAGGATGGTTTTACCAGTGTTATTCAACCAGGGGATTTATCATGATTGTCAGAATGGCCCAGAATCTCTTGGCATTTTGTGGATAAGACCAAGGTTGCTAAATGTCAGTGAGAAACATTACAATAGGCAAAGAGGAAAAGGAGAAGTATTTTAGGCAGAGAAAATAGAATGCGTAAAGTCATGGACACAGGAATAATAGTAAGATATTAAGGGAAATGTCCAACTAATGACTTTAGAGGGGACTAGTAGGTGATGATGGTAAGGAAAGTAGGGAATAAGATCTAAAGATTGTTTAAATTCAACTCAATAAGCATCTACAGAGTGTCTATTTGGAGCCTGAATATCTGCTAGACTCATGAGATATAAGAGAAAACAAAACAAGTTATCTTTCTCTGAGGATAAACTATCATTACAAATAAATAAATTGTGAAGTAGATTGTGATGAGTGTTATAGAAAAGATATGAAATTTGTGCTCCAGAAGCACGATCATAGCAGACCTTGAATATGAAGAATAGAACTATAAGACATACAGTCATTCATTCACCACACAAACCTTTATTGAACATTGTGGTAGACTGAGAGAATAATGGTGACTGTGCCCTCTCCCTTTTTCAATGTGATTTTGCTGTACCTCCCATCTAATTCAACATCTCTTAAATCTGGGCTGTCCTAGTTATTTGTATTAATCAACAGAATAAGCTGAGTATGGTTGCTCATGCCTGTAAACCCAATACTTTAGGAGGCTGAGGTAGGTGGGCAGCTTGAGCCCAGGAGTTCAAGACCAGCCTGGGCAACGTGGTGGAACCCCATCTCTACAAAAAATACAAAATTTAGCTGGGGCTGGTGGTGCATGCCTGTGGCCCCAGCTACTCAGAAGGGTGAGGTAGGAGGATCACCTGAGCCCGGTGAGGTCAAGCTACAGTGAGCCATGATTGCACCACTGCACTCCAGCCTGGGCAACACAGCAAGACCCTCTCCCCCACTCCCCTGCCCCCCCAAATCAACAGAATATATTGCAAGTAGCTTTGTACTGGGCACAGTGGCTCATGCCTGTAATCCCAGCTACTCAGGAGGCTGAGGTGGGAGGATCACTTGAGCCCAGGAGGTCAAGGATGCAGTGAGCTATGATCACACCACTGCACTCCAGCCTGGGCTAGAGAATGAGACTCTGTCTCAAAAACAACAACAACAAAAAGAAGGTAGCATTGTATAGTTTCTGAGGCTAAGCCTTAAGGGATTTTGCAGCTTTCAGTTTCATTATCTCAGAACACTGCGGCCACTATTTTTTTTTTTTTTTTGAGATGGAGTTTTGCTCTTATTGCCCAGGCTGGAGTGCAATGGCACGATCTTGGCTTACCGCAACCTCTGCCTCCTGGGTCCAAGCAATTCTCCTGCTTCAGCCTCCCAGGTAGCTGGGATTACAGGCACACACCACCACGCCCGGCTAATTTTGTATTTTTAGTAGAGACGGGGTTTCTCCATGTTGGTCAGGCTGGTCTTGAACTCCCAACCTCAGGCAATCCGCCCACCTCAGCCTCCCAAAGTGATGGGATTACAGGAGTGAGCCACCACGCCTGGCCTGTGGCCACTATTTAAGAAACCAAGTTATCCCATTGAATGGGCCACATGGAAGAGAATCAAGACACCTCAGCCAACAGCTAATTGCCAGACATGACCATCCTGGACCACCCAGCCCCATTTAGCCACCAGATGAATACAACCATGTGAGTGACCAAAGATGAGACCAGGAGAAGAATCAACCAGCTAAGCCCAGCCAAATTACAGAATTATGGGCCGGGCTCAGTGGCCCACGCCTGTAATCCCAGCACTTTGGGAGGCCAGGGCAGGCGGATCACCTGAGGTCTGGAGTTCGAGACCAGCCTGGCCAACATGGTGAAACCCTGTCTCTACTAAAAATACAAAAATGAGCTGGGTGTGGTGGCGCATGCCTGTAGTCCCGGCTACTTGGGAAGCTGAGGCAGGAAAATTGCTTGAACCTGGGAGGCAGAGGTTGCAGTGAGCCAAGATAGTGCCACTGCATTTCAGCCTGGGCGACAAAGCAAGACTCCGTCTCAAAAAAAAAAAAAAATTACAGAATTATGGGCAAATAAATGATTGTTGTTTGTTGTTTAGTATGGTTTGTTATGCAGTAATGGATAATTAAAAGACGCTCCCATCATGGGTTAGACATTGTTTGAATGAGGCCTTCCATATATATTATTTAGCTGACACAACAAACCTATAGAGTGGGTAACTCTTACTATCCCCATTTTTATAAATGGAAACTGAGGTCCAGAGTAGGAGAGAGGGTTTATTATTCAGGATCACAGAGCTAATTAATAGCTTAGCTGGGATTTGAATCTCACCTCTCTAACTCCAATTCCAGTGCTCCTTTCACTCTTCCAGGATGCTTCTTTGCTGTATTTACAGATGCATGACCCTATTATCTTCTTAAAAGATAGATATCAACTCTTGTTAGGAATGCCAAGTTTTAAAAGGTGTTAGATATAAGAGTTCCCAATATAAGACTATGTATTTGATCAATAAGCCCAGATGCTACCAGTAATACTCAGAAAATCACCAAATGTAATGCCTGACACAATGATGCTATAATTTTTCCTTCTAATGGAACCAAATGAGACTTACATATTGTGACCATTAAATACGGTATTGTTATCACAACCTCTCTGCCATTTCTTATATCTACACGTCTGTATTGAGAGAGAAGGATAAATGAATGCAAATGCCCTTCTTTTTTTCATTTTTTTCTTTTTGAAACAGGGTTGCCCAGGCTGTAGTGCAGTGGCACGATGTAGGCTCACTACAACCTCCACCTCCTGGGCTCAAGCCTGCCTCCTGCCTCAGCCTCCCAAGTAGCTGAGACTACAGGCACGTACCACTACATCTGACTAATTTTTGTGTTTTTTGTAGAGACGGGTGTTTGCCATGTTGCCCAGACTGGTCTCAAACTCCGAAGCTCAAGGGATCCTCCTCCCTCGGCCTCCCAAAGTGCTGGGATTACAGGCATGAGCTACCGCGCCCAGCCTTTTTCTTTTTTATTTTTATGAGTACATAATAGCTGTACATATTTATGGAGTACATGTGGTATTTTGAGACAAAAGTACAATGTGTAATAATCAAATCAGGATAATTAAGTCTGTCATCTTGGTATTTGTCTTCTCTTTGTTTCATCTGTTTCTCCTTTCCTGCCTTTTTTGGGTGAACTTAATATTCCACATATTTTCTCTATTGATTTTTAGCTATATTTTGTTTTGTTTTGTTTTGTTTTTTTTGAAACAGAGTCTCACTCTCTTGCCCAGGCTGGAGAGCAGTGGCATAATCATGGCTCACTGCAGCCTCAACTTTCTGGGCTCAAGTGATCATCTTGGTTTAGCCTCCCAAAGTGCTGAGATTACAGCTGTGAACTACCGCATCCGGCCTTACACTTCTTATAATAGCCATTTTAATTTCTCATAGTTGGCTGGACGCAGTGGCTCACAGCTGTAATCCCAGAACTTTGGGAGGCTGAGGCACGAGGATCACTTGAGCCCAGGAGTTTGAGACCAGCCTGAGCAACATAGCTAGACCCTGTCTCTGAAAAAAAAACTTGCCACAGTCTACTTTCAAATAATACTGTGCTCCTTTATAAATAATATAAGAAACCTTACAGTGGTATTTTATTTACCTACCTCCTGTCCTTTGAATCCTTGTTATATATTTATTCTGTAAATCTCACAATATATACATATATAAATATATAAAACATACTTTATTAAAGATCATTTTTGAAAAGGTCTTTTATATTTATTCAGATATTCACCATTTCAAGTTTTCATTTCTTCCTGCAAATCTGGACTTTCATCTGGTATCATTTCCTATCAGTTTCTAGAACTTACTTTAGCATTTCTTATAATACAAGTCTGCCTGGAACAAATTCTCTTAGCTTTTGTCTACCTGCAAATATTTTTATTTTATTTTTGAAGCATTTTTTTTTCTTCTAGCACTTTAAAGGTGTCATCCAGGCCGGGCCTGGTGGCTCACACCTGTAATCCCAGCACTTTGGGAGGCCAAGGCAGGCAGATCACCTGAGGCCAGGAGTTCAAGACAAGCCTGGCCAACATGGCGAAACCCCGTCTCTACTAAAAATACAAAAATTAGCCAGGCGTGGTGGCGGGCACCAGTAATGCCAGCTACTTGGGAGGCCGAGGTGGAAGAATCACTTGAACCCGGGAGGTGGAGGTTGCAGTGAGCCGAGATCACGCCACTGTACTCCAGCCTGAGTGACAGAGCAAGACTCTGTCTCAAATAAAATAAATAAAAAATAAAAGTGTTATCCATTGTCCTTTGGTCTCCCTTGTTTTTTCCTCTGTCTCCCTTCCTCCCAGACCCCAGTTTTCTGGTCTCCGTTTCTGATGTCATTCATTCTTTGTATCGTTGTTTTCCTAGAGGCACTATGTCCATTTTCACTGGCTACTTTAAAAATGTTATTTTTAATATTTGGTTTCAGTAGTTTGACTATATGTCTAGGTGTGGTTTTATATGTAGTTATCCTGCTTAGGATTTGCTAAGCTTCTTAGATCTGTGCATTCTGTCTTTCATCTATTTTAGAAAAATCTCAGCCAATATCTCTTTAAATACTTCTTTTGCTGATTTTTCTCTCCCCTCTCCATCTGGGACTCCAATTACACATATGTTAGAATGCTTAATATTGTCTCCATTCTTGGACACTCTGTTCCATATTTTCACTCTTTTTTTCTCTTTGTACCTTAGTTTGGATAATTTATACTGACCTGTCTTCAAGCATATTGATTCTTCCCTCTGCTGTGTTCAGTCTGCTAAGCCCATTGAAAAACATTTCCTTTCTAATTTTTCATTTCTAGCTCTTCCATTTGGTTCTTTTTTATAGTTTCTACCTCTTTGCTGAAATTTCCCCATCTGTTCATGCATTTTATCCACCTTTTCCACTAGAACCTCTACATATTTATCAGAGCTATTTCAAAGTCCTTCTCTGATAATTTAAAATCTCAGCTATCACTTCATCTGCTTCTAGTACTGTTTTCTCTCTTGACATGGCCATACTTTTTTTTGTCCTTTGTGTGTCTTTGTGTGTTCTTTGTGTTTTTTATTATATGCTGGGATATTTTATGTAAAAGAACTGTAGAAACTAACAAAAATTTTAAAAAAAAGGGAAGCCCCTTTTTGTCAGATCACTATTGTGGGGGAAATTAGTCAATGTGATCTGTAGTAGAGCTGGATCTGAGCTTTGTTGCAGCTTTAGTTAGATTCAGTTCACCACTGGCTTCACATGTTTTGAGGGCATATCAGGATTCCTTTCAGCAGGGCTTAGACTCTGAGCACCAGCAATATTCTAGTAAACTCTTTATGCTTTAAAGTGGGTTGCCTGTGTGGGAGGATGGCTTGAAGCCAGGAGTTTAAGACCAGCTGGGCAATATAGTGAGACCCTATCTCTACAAAAAATTTTATAAAATTAGCCAGGCATGGTGGCATGAGTCTGTAGTCCTAGCTAGTTGGGAGGCTGAGGAAGGAGGATCTCTGGAGCCCAGGAGTTTAAAGTTACAGTGCGCTATAAACACACCACTGCATTCCAGCCTGGGTGACAGAGGAGATCCTGTGTCTAAAAAAAAATAGGGCCGGGCACAGTGGCTCATACCTGTAATCCCAGCACCTTGGGAGGACAAGGCAGGCGGATCAACCAAGATTAGGAGTTCAAGACCAGCCTGGCCAACGTAGAGAAACCCCGTCTCTACTAAAAATACAAAAAATAGCCAGGTGTGGTGGTGTGTGCCTGTAATTCCAGCTATTCAGGAGGCTGAGGCATGAGAATCACTTGAACCTGGGAGGCGGAGGTTGCAGTGAGCCGAGATTGCGACACTGCACTCCAGCCTGGGTGACAGAGTGAGACTATTTCAAAACAAAACAGCAACAACAAAAAACGAACCAAACAAACAAAAAAACCAACAGGCCGCCAACTTTCTGAACTGTGGAAGATCTCTTTCTACTTTATAGCTCAGCTGCTAAATTTGGGGATCACCTGAGATTTATTCTCACCCCCAATTTTCTGTGCCTCAGGAAATCCCTCTCCACCTTGCTGCCCTGCATCTAGCTTTTGCAAGGTAGCTTCTGTACCCCTGGCTAATGCCTGCAGTGCCCCTACTAATTTATTTTATATTTTATTTTATTTTGCTTTTTTGAGACAGAGTCTTGCTCTGTTGCCCAGGCTAGAGTGCAGTGGAGTGATGTTTGCTCACTGTAGCTTCTGCCTTCCAGGTTCAAGTGATTCTCCTGCCTCAGCCTCCCAAGTAGCTGGGACTACAGGCGCGCACCACCATGCCCAACTCATTTTTGTATTTTTAGTAGAGACGGGGTTTCACCATGTTGGCCAGGATGGTCTCGAACTTCTGACCTCAAGTGATCCGCCTACCTTGGCTTCCCAAAGTGCTGGATTTGCAGGCATGAGCCACTGTGCCCAGCCCCACCTTTTATTTTATTTTATTATTTATTTATTTATTTTGGATGGAGTCTTGCTCTGTCGCCCAGGCTGGAGTACAGTGGTATGATCTCTGCTCACTGCAACCTCCACCTCCCAGGTTCAAGCAATTCTCCTGCTTTGGCCTCCTGAGTAGCTGGGATTACAGGCGCCCGCCACTAGGACTGGCTAATTTTTGTATTTTTAGTAGAGACAGGGTTTCACCATGTTGGTCAGGCTGGTCTCGAGCTCCTGACCTCAGGTGATCCACCCACCTCAGCCTCCCAAAGTGCTGGGATTATAGGCGTGAGCCACTGTGCCCGGCCACCTTTCATTTTTTAACAGATGCATCCATAAGTAGATTAAGACTTTTTCCTTCATATCCCCAATAAGAAAAAAAGGAAATTGTAATAGAATTCACTATGGACCCACAGACTTTGTCCACTGGGAAAATCATGAAAATGAGAATGACCCTTCCTTCTAGTTGGTACCACAACTCAGACCAAGCGCTGAAGTACTCAGAGACTCTTCTGCAAGGGTGCAGGCATCTCTATCACTAACCCCAACTACAAAGAAGCAATACGACCTCTGGGATTCAGAACTATTCAGATAGTGGAAGAATCTCATTTTTAAACAGAGGGCTAAAATCAGTGAGGGTACTATCGAGATATGGTATAGGTGTTAAATATGTAGAAAATAAATAGTATATAAAAGCCTTTGATTGGTTTCTGAGACTTGGTATCCTAAAATTTCATCTTATGAATTAGACAAAACAAAATACAACCTAAGAAGAGAGGCAGCATAGATTAGGGGTTACGCACATGGACTCTGGAGTGACAGCCCCTTGCCCTAGGCTTGTATTTAACTCCTTTGTGCTTTGGTTTCTTTAGCTATAAATTGAAGATAATGGCAGTACCCCCTTCATAAGGTTATTGAAGATTATATAGTTAACCTATAATTATTTATTTTATAAATTAATAGACAAGCACATAGAATATTACTGGCTTATAACAAGCGTTATGAAAATGTTTTAAATTATTATCAGCACTAACTTTGGCAGATTTAGAAACACCAGGATGTGTATACAATAATGTAAGTTAAGATTTGGGGCCCAGGGCCGGGCACAGTGGCTCATGCCTGCAATCCCAGCACTTTGGGAGGTCGAGGCGGGCGTATCACTTGAGGTCAGGAGTTCGAGATCAGCCTGGGCAACATGACAAAACTCCATCTCTACAAAAAATACAAAAATTAGCCAGATGCTGTTGTGCACGCCTGTAGTCCCAGCTACCTGGGAGGCTGAGGTGGAAGATCACTTGACCCTGAGGGGTCAGAGGTTGCAGTGAGCTGAGATGGCGACACTGCACTCCAGCGTGGGTGACAGAGAGGGACCTTGTCTCAAAAAAAAAAAGCTTTGTGGCCCAAATTGCCTTCACCCACTCCATACACACGTTCTCAGCCCAAAGTTTCCAAATATTTTCTCCATATAACTTAAAGATGACTTTTCCTAACTACCCTCACTTTAAGGACTTAATACAGTTGTACATATATTTCTGCTATGTGGATCTCAGACACATAAGGCTTGGCAACAGGGAGGAGACAACCTCAGTTGGCTCCTCGGGAAGTAGGACATGCCTCCACAGTCAGATAGCTGGAAAACAGATGGATGGACCAGGCAGAAATGCTTCTGGACCATTTCTAGCCTCTGGGAAAAAGAAAACAAGGAATACTGTGGAGCTCCAGAAGTACCAAGAACTCCAAGGAATGTGGCTTCTACAGGGAAGAGCTTATATCTTTCCTGAAATTGTGGTCCCAGAACTTTAAAAATTGCTGGATATTTGATAATCTGGATATTTGATTCCTCCTGTGAAGGAGGAACAACGGTGGTTTGAACACATATATTTATCTCCTTTCCTGGAGCCCCAGAAAAAATGAGAGCAAATGAATAAAACCAGAATAAACCCACAAGAACAAAGAGAGTGGGAGAAAAACATCAGAGGATGAGAAGATGGAAAGCTAAGTGGAAAAATCAGCTGTGGTGAGAAAGCTGTATACCAAGTGTCTGCAGAGGTGGTGCTCATGAGAAGCTAGCCATTTCCTGCCACAGAATTCCAGCTAGGCTCAAATACTAGGGGATCCAGGAACCCAGGAAGAAGAATGGGTGAAAGACAAGAGGATTGGTTGAAAGTCTCTAGGCCGGGAGCGGTGGCTCACGCCTGTAATCCCAACACTTTGGGAGGCCGAGGCGGGTGGATCACGAGGTCAGGAGATCGAGACCACCCTGGCTAACACGCTGAAACCCCGTCTCTACTAAAAAAAAATACAAAAAAAAAAAAAAAAAATTAGCCGGGCATGGTGGCAGGCGCCTGTAGTCCCAGCTATTCGGGAGGCTGAGGCGGGAGAATGGCGTGAACCCGGGAGGCGGGGCTTGCAGTGAGCCGAGATCGCCCCACTGCACTCCAGCCTGGGTGACAGAGCGAGACTCCGTCTCAAAAAAAAAAAAAAAAGGAAGTCTCTATAAGGATTAGGTAGCCTCTAGAGCCCTCTATGATCTAGAACCTTTCAGGAGTCTGGCAGGAGTCTAGAGGTTTAGTCTGTGGAGCAACTGAACCAAAGGGGAGCCTTAAGAGAGAGAGCGAGCCACTGGAAGTCTACATATTGAACCATGAGACACACCCTTCTCTGTCCATTCCTACCCCAGCCCCCACAGTCTCCTTATCCTGGTGGCTAGGCTGCTCCCTCCCTAGGCATGCAAATGGGGGAATTTTCAGGAGAAACTAAACAGCCCCAGAGAAATGACCTAAAGTTGGGGCTTCCATTATGAAAAGCTACCAACGGACAAACCTCATACATAGATACAGAATTCAAATCAGTCTTTTAATACCTACCTCTTTGATGTGAATGGACAAAAAAGGATCACCAGACTTTTAAGGAAAGCCCGAAAATAAATGAGGGAGACGAAAAGAAAAAGAAAAAGAAAAAGACTAATAGAACATGTAACTCCCTTTGTTTCTGGGGTTTCCCACACTCTTCTCTTCCTTCTACCTCCCTGGCTGATCCTCTCCAATCACCTTTGCTGGATCTCCCTCACCTCCTTGACCTTTACATGTTGCAATGCCCAGGACACAAGGACCTCTTCTTTTCTCCATCTACACTCACTCTTTTAGTAAGCTTATCAGCCTCGTGGCCCTAAATATTCTTTATATGCAGTTGACTCCCAAATGTATATTTTTAGAGCAATTTATCTTCTGACTCCAGACTGTATATCTCTATGCGTACTCAGCCTCTCCACTTGGTGACCTTACAGGCACCTCAAAACTAATGTGTTCAAAATATATTACTGGCCGGGAGTGGTGGCTCATGCCTGTAATCAATCCCAGCACTTTGGGAGGCCAAGGTGGGCAGATCACCTGAGGTCAGGAGTTCGACACCCGTCTGGCCAACATGGTGAAACCCCGTCTCTACTAAAAATACAAAAATTAGCCCGGTGTGGCGGTGCATGCCTGTAATCCCAGATACTTGGGGGAGCTGAGGCAGGTGAATGCTTGAACTTGGGAGGCAGAGGTTGTAGTGAGCTGAGATCATGCCACTACACTTCAGCCTGGGCGACAGAGTAACACACTGTGTCAAAACAAAACAAAACAAAAACCCAAAATATATTACCAATCTTCTCTCCAAGAATCTGTATCTACTAAAGTCTCCCTCATCTTAATAAATGTCAACTTATTAATAATTTTTTTTGAGACAGAGTCTCTCTCTGTCCCCTAGGCTGGAGTGTAGTGGCACAATCTTGGCTCACTGCAACTTCCGCCTCCCAGGTTCAAGCAATTCTCCTTCCTCAGCCTCCTGAGTAGCTGGGATTACAGGCACACAGCACCATACCTGGCTAATTTTTTTGTATTTTTAGTAGAGATGGGGTTTCACCATGTTGGCCAGGCTGGTCTCGAACTCCTGACCTTGTGATCCATCCACCTCGGTCTCCCAAAGTGCTGGGATTACAGGCGTGAGCCACCGCGCCCGACCAATAAATAAATATTAATAAATATCTTTCCAGTCGCTCAAGCCAAAAATGTTATGTATTAGTTTGTTCCCCTAAAAGTGTTCAAGTAATTTATTTTAGAAGTACAGGGACCACTTGAAGGAGAGTGGGAAATGACATGTGGAAGGGACAGCAGCCAATAAAGGGTGTGTTATTAAGCCAGCTACCACTGATTGACTGGATCTCAGTCCTGCAGGGAAACTCCAGGAAATAGTGTAGAACACATGCCTCAGAATTATCCCACCTGAGGGAGAGAGAGCCAGGAGTATTTATACCTCAGCTCCTGAGAATCACTGGTTGAGGGCTTCCCCCAGGCAGGATAATTTTTCAGCACTTTCAGTCTAAGGTAGGAACCGTTAGAGTGGCTTTCCTTTTGTACTTCTGGCAAAGGCCTCAGGCTCAGAAATGCAGATGTCTGGGGCACTGACAGCACTGAAATTTTTGAATTATTTTTAATGCCTCCCCTTTTCTCATACCCCATATTTGGTCTGTTATCAAATTCTACCTTCAAAATGTAGTTAGATCTATAGTGACGACCTTCACTCAGGCCACCATCAACACTGAGCTGAAGCCAAGCACTAGTTGGCCTTGTGGTCTCCCTGCTTTCACTCTTGCTCCCTGGATAGTTTCCTAGGACTGTGTAACAAAGTACCAAAAACTAGGTGGCTTAAAACAACAGAAATATATTGTCAGACCGGGTGCTGTGGCTCACACCTGTAATTCCAGCACTTTGGGAGGCCGAGGCTGGTGGATCACCTGAGGTTGGGAGTTCAAGACCAGCCTGACCAACATAGAGAAACCCTGTCTCTACTAAAAATACAAAATTAGGCCGGGCGTGGTGGCCCATGCCTGTAATCCCAGCACTTTGGAAGGCCAAGGCGGGTAGATCACGACGTTAGGAGATCGGGACCATCCTGGCAAACGTGGTGAAACTCCGTCTCTGCTAAAATTACAAAAAATTAGTTGGGCATGGTGGCGCACGCCTGTAGTCCCAGCTACTTGGGAGGGTGAGGTGAGAGGATCACTTGAGCAGGGAGATAGAGGCTGCAGTGAGCCACTGTCATGCTACTGCATTCTAGCCTAGGCAACAGAGTGAGACCCTGTCTTAAAAAATAAAATGGTAGGCTGGATGCAGTGGGTCATGCATATAATCCCAGCACTTTGGTAAGCCAAGGCGGGTGGATCACTTGAGGTCAGGAGTTCGAGACCAGCCTGGCCAACATGGTGAAACCCTATCTCTGCTGAAAATACAAAAATTAGCCAGGTATGGTGGTGGGCACCTGTAATCCCAGCTACTCGGGAGGCTCAGGCACAGGAATAGCTTGAACCTGGGAGGCGGAGGTTGCAGTGAGCCGAGATGGGACTATGAACTTTTTTAAAGTATCATTTTTGTTCTTTGTAGTTTCGATTGCTGATTGCACACCTTTTCATGCCTTCTTATGTGAATTCCCATTTTTTCTACTGCATTGTTAATCTTTTACTATGGACTTGTAGTAACTATAGTTAATTTTATGACAGTTTTTGGGAGAAGTTTTAATTTTTCGTGTAATTAATATATTAGGTTTTTTTATGGTTTCTAAATTGTAGGTCTTGTTCAAAAATACCTCTCCTTCTGCTACCCTAAACTTGAAAATATTCTATATTTTCTACTATTATTTTATTATTTTATTTTATTATTATTTTATTATTTTGTTTTTGTTTAATCAAACTGGAATTTATTCTGTATATGATATAAAGAATGACTGGAACATATAATTTTTTCCAAACGGATAACCAGTTGTCCCAACAATATTTACTATAGTCATTCTTTTCCTTTCTAATGTGAAATGCCATGTTTATCATGTACTAAAGTCCACCAGGAAAGTAGGTAGGTATGTAGGTAGGTAGCTAGCTAGATAGATGGGTAGATAGATAATCTGGATTTGGAGATTTAACTGTTTTTTTATGTTTATTTAACTTAAGCCAAAAAATTCTATTTGAGTAATTATAGCTTTATTACACATTTTGATATCTGATAGGGTTTCTCCTCCTGCTTGGTTCATATTTTTGGCTATTTTAACATTTTTTGTCAGCTTGCTTAATTTCACTTTAAAAAACACATTAATAGATTAATTTGAGGATAAATGACTTTTTTTTTTTTTTTTTTTTTTTTTTGAGACGGAGTTTCACTCTTGTTGCCCAGGCTGGAGTGCAATGGCACGATCTCTGCTCACTGCAATCTCTGCCTCCCGGGTTCAAGCGATTCTCCTGCCTCAGCCTCCGGAGTTGCTGGGATCACAGGCATGAGACATCACGCCCATCTAATTTTGTATTTTTAGTATAGACGGGATTTAGCCGTGTTTGTCAGGCTGTTCTTGAACTCCTGACCTCAGGTGATCCGCCCATCTCAGCCTCCAAAAGAGGTGAGATTACAGGCGTGAGCCACCACACCCAGCAACATCTTTAAAAGAAGTGGCTTTCTATGTGTTATTTGGGTCTTATTTATATCTTAGAGTAAAACTGCACAATTTTATTCATGGAGGATTTTCACACTCTTAATTTATTTCTTGGTTCTTTATAAATTTTGCAGCAATTATGAATTGATATTCTTTAATGACATAGTCTAATAAATTATCATTGGTCATAGGAAAGCCATTGGTGTTTTGTTGTTGTTGTTGTTTTGAGATGGAGTCTCGCTCTGTCCCCCAGGCTGGAGTGCAGTGGTGCGATCTCAGCTCACTGCAACCTCCGCCTCCCAGGGTCAAGCAATTCTCCTGCCTCAGCCTCCTGAGTAGCTGGGATTACAGGTGCCCACCACCATGCCCAACGAATTTTTGTATTTTTAGTAGAGACGGGGTTTCACCATGTTGGCCAGGCTGGTCTCGAACTTCTGACCTCAGGTGATCCACTCACCTCAACCTCTCAAAGTGCTGAGATTACAGGCGTGAGCCACCGTGCCCGGCCAAGCTATTGATTTTTATACGGTAATTTTATATGGTAATTTTATACATAATCATTGTATTAACTGTCATTCATTCTAGTAATTTTCAGTTGATTCACTTGGAGTTTTTTCTTTTCTTTTTTTTTTTTTTTTTTTTTAGACAGGGTCACTGCAGCCTCTACCTTCCAAGCTCAAACAATCCTCCTGCCTCAGCCTCCTGAGTAGCTGGGACTATAGCTGTGTGCCATCATGCCCAAGTAATTTTCTGATGTTTTGTAGAGATGGGGGTCTCACTGTTGCCCAGCCTGATATCAAACTCCTGGGCTCAAGTGATCCGCCCCTCTTGGCCCCTCAAAGTGCTGGGATTACAGGCATGAGCCACTGTACCTGGCCTCTTTTTCTTTTCCTTTCTTTTCTTTTTCTATTTGTTTTGTTGTTGGTGGTGGTGTTGTTGAGACAGGGTCTTAGTCACCTAGGATGGAGTGCAGCAGCATGATCATAGCTCACTGCAGCCTTCAACTCTTAGGCTCAAGTGGTCCTCCAGCCTCAGCCTTCTGAGTAGATCGGACTACAGGAGTGCACCACCAAGCCTGGCTAAATTTTTTAAAAAATTTTTTATAGAGACAGAGTCTTGCTGTGTTGCTCAGGCTAGTGATTTGCTTGGATTTTCTAGGTAGCATCTTTAATCTTCAAGTCCAGCTACTGGGGACTTGTATTATCTCTTTTTAAAAATATTAATACGTCTTCTTTTACTTGTCCTTAGTCAATATAATGTTGACTAGTAAAGATGAAAAATTGGTATGTGTTTCTTGTTCTTTATTTTAGTGAGGTTTGCGGTTTGCCTTTTTTTGTGTGTGCGTGAGACGGAGTCTTGGTCTGTCACCCAGGCTGGAGTGCAGTGGCGCGATCTCGGCTCACTGCAAGCTTCGCCTCCCGGGTTCACGCCATTCTCCTGCCTCAGCCTCCCGAGTAGCTGGGACTACAGGCGCCCGCCAACACGCCCGGCTACTTTTTTGTATTCTTAGTAGAGACAGGGTCTCACTGTGTTAGCCAGGATGGTCTTGATCTCCCGACCTCGTGATCTGCCCACCTCGGCCTCCCAAAGTGCTGGGATTACAGGCGTGAGCCACCGCACCCGGCCGCGGTTTGCCATTTTTATTATAACATAATTTGGAGGATTGACCCTCATTTATGAGAAACATGCATGCATTATCCAATCAAGCTGTTTACTTAGAGATGCCTCATTCAGCAGATGGCAAGACATCATGGAAGAGATATTCTAGGTCTCATACAAATGTCCTGGTCAGGTGACCAAGATGTTAACAGTTTATATGAGGTGAGTTTCATGGAGACTAAGGGGCTGCCCAAATACTTTCTCAGTTACCCCTTATACCTTGTTCTTGCATGGGTAGGACAGCTTGTGCATATTACAGTAACATGTGCAACTTAGCAGGATGTATCTGTATTTAATGTAAAATATTTAATAGAATACATTTGTATTTAACATTTAGATACTTATTTAACCCTGAATTATTGCCTTTGTGGGATTCACAGTGTAGGCATTCCCTTATGGGAGACCTCCACTACAAACATAATGTTTGCTTTTGGTTTCTGGTAGATACTTTTTATTTTGTTTTGTTTATTTACTTATTTTTTTTATTTACGTATTTTCTTTTTTTTTTTCTTGAGACAGAGTCTCAGTTTGTTGCTCAGGCTGAAGTGCAGTGGCATGATCTCAGCTCACTGCAACCTCCGCCTCCCAGGTTCAAGTGATTCTCCTGCCTCAGCCTCCAGAGTAGCTGGGATTACCGGCATGCACCACCATGCCTGGCTAACTTTTGTAATTTTAGTACAGACGGGGTTTTACCATGTTGCCCAGCCTGGTCTGAAACTCCTGGCTTCAAGTGATCCACCCACCTCGGCCTCCCAAAGTGCTGGGATTACAGGTGTGAGCTACCGCGCCCGGCCTATTTATTTACTTATTTATTTTGAGACAGCATCCGGCTCCGTCACCCAGGCTGGAGTGCAGTGGCACAATTATAGCTCATTGCAGCCTCAATCTCCTGGGCTCAAGTGATCCTTCTGCCTCAGCTTCGTGGCTGACACTACAGGCATGCACTACTAGGCCCAACTAATTTTTTTTTTTTTTTTTTTTTTTGAGATGGAGTCTTGCTCTGTCACCCAGGCTGGAGTACAGTGGAACACTTTCAGCTCACTGCTACCTCCACCTCCTGGGTTGAAGCGATTCTCCTGCCTCAGTCTCCCCAGTAGCTGGGACTACAGGCATGCACCACCACACCCGGCTAATTTTTGTATTTTTACTAGAGACAGGGTTTCACTATGTTGGCCAAGCTGGTCTCGAACTCCTGACCTCAGGTGACCTTCCCACCTTGGCCTCCCAAACTGTTGGGATTACAGGCGTTAGCCACCGCACCCGGCCATTTTTGTTTGTTTGTTTGTTTTCTTTTTTTTGAGACCGAGTTTCGCTCTGTCGCCCAGGCTGGAGTGCAGTGGCGCCATCTCGGCTCACTGCAACCTCTGTCTCCCAGGTTCAAGTGATTCTCCTGCCTCAGCCTCCCAAGTAGCTGGGATTACAGGCGCCCACCACCATGCCCGGCTAATTTTTGTATTTTTAGTAGAGATGGGGTTTCACCATGTTGTCCAGACTGGTCTCAAACTCCTGACCTCAAGTGATCCACCCGCCTCAGCCTCCCAAAGTGCTGGGATTACAGGTGTGAGCCACAGTGCCCGCCCCGCTGCCTCTCCTTTTTTTTTTTTAAGACAAGGTCTCACTCTATTGCCCAGGCCAGAGTGCAGTGGTGTGATCATGACTTACTGCAACTTCTGACTCCCGGGTTTAAGTGATTCTTCCTGCTCAGTCTTCCACATAGCTGGGACTACAGGCACATGCCACGATGCTGGGATAATTTTTGTGTTTTTAGTAGAGATGGGGTTTCACCATGTTGGCCAGGCTGGTCTCAAACTCCTGACCTCAAGTGATCCACCCACCTCGGCCTCCCGAAGTACTGGGATTACAGGTGTGAGCCACTGCACCCGGTCTCTACTTCATCTTCCTCTACCTTTAACAACATTTCTGATCTGCTTAAAGATCCATATTCTCTGTTTTTTCCCCGAATCCTCTCTGTCTGATTGCGTTGGTATCATGGGGACTCCTGTTCCTTCTCCTCCTCATCAATCTTTTTTGTTACCCTTTCCATCTCCTCCTGCTCTGCTTTCTCATTACCTTCCTTTGCCTCCTCCTCTTTACATCTTTAAGTCATGTTTTCACTCATTTATACTTGCAGGAGGGTGATCCAGGACTGGGAAAGGAAAGAAAAATAAAGTGTTTTGTTTGCTGTTATAGTTATCTATTGCTGGGTATCAAATTACCCCCAAAGCTTAGTGGCACAAAGGAACGACCGTTTTATTATGCTTATGGATTCTGGGAGTCAGAAATTCAGAAAAAGAACAGTTGAGGCCGGGCGCAGTGGCTCATGCCCATAATCCCAGCACTTTGGGAGGCCGAGGCAGATGGATCACGAGGTCAGAAGTTCGAGACCAGCCTGGCCAACATGGTGAAACTCTGTCTCTCCTAAAAATACAAAAAAAATTAGCTGGGAGTGGTGGTGCACTCCTATAATCCCAGCTACTCAGGAGGCTGAGGCAGGAGAATTGTTTGAACCCAGGAGGTGGAGGTTGCAGTGAGCCAAGATCACGCCATTGCACTCCAGCCTGGGTGACAGGGAAAGACTCTGTCTCAAGAAAAAAAAAAGAAAGAAGAAGAACAAAAAAAAGAACAGTTGATATGGTTTGTCTCTGCTCTGAAACATTTGGGGCTTCAGCTAGCAAGACTCAAGTAGATGAGGGTAACTCAACTGGGTGGTGGCTGGAATCATCTGGAGGCTTTTTTATTCACCTATCTGGCTCCTTAATCAGGGAGAGCTGGAAAGCTGGGCTCAGCTGGGACAGTCGACTGGATCACTTATACACGGCCTCTCCAACATGGTGGCCTCCAGTGGGGTAGTCAGACTTTTTTTTTATTTTTCTGACGGAGTTTTGCTCTTGTTGCCCAGGCTGGATTGCAATGGCGCGATCTTGGCTCACTGCAACCTCCGCCTCACGGGTTGAAGCAATTCTCCTGCCTCAGCCCCCCGAGTAGCTGGGATTATAGGCATGCGGCACCATGCCCGGCTAATTTTGTATTTTTAATAGAGACGGGGTTTCTCCATGTTGGTCAGGCTGGTCTCGAACTCCTGACCTCGGGTGATCCCCCCGCTTCGACCTCCCAGAGTGCTGGGATTACAGGCGTGAGCCACCATGCCCAGCAGTCAGACTTCTTACATGACAGCTCAGGGTTCCCCTGAGAGAGTGCTCTACTGAGCAAGGTAAAGCACTAGATGGCCTTTTATCACCTAGCCTTGGACATCACATAGTATCAATTCTGCCATTCTCCATTGGTCAAAGTGGTCATAAGCCCATCCATATAAAAGGAGAGAGGACATAGACCCTACCTCCTGATGGGTGAAATCTCAAATAATTTGTGGCCCTGTTTTAAAACCACCAGAAGTGCTCAGTTCAAATCAGTGATACAGCCTCCCTATATCAGAGAGGCAATCCCTTTCTACTTTTTCTAAAATTGCCTCCCCTAGGTAAACTCTCTCATTTAGTTTATTTCTGCTACAATGCTCATCACACTTTGTAGTGATCTTATTCGGTTTTTTTTTGTTTTTGTTTTTGTTTTTTTGCCTTTTATTGTTAGTCTCATTCAAGACTGTGAACTCCCAGAGGACAGGAACCCTGCTTCTCTTGCTCACTCTTGGATTCCCATTACTTACCACAGGGTCTGGCACATGGTAGATACTCAATAAATAGTTGCTGAAAAAACAGAATAACACGTTAGTCAATACATATCTTCACACAACTTAATAGATTCTATGGAACCACAAAAGTCATCTGACTTTACCTTTTCATCATCTCAAACACTCCAAACATAATCTCAAGCCCCTCAAACATCATGCTTGAACACCCCCTAAACTTGGAGCTCACTACTTCCCAAGACCCCTTCCTTCTTTGAATCACTCTGGGTATTAGAAAGGTCTTTTTAAAATTATAGCTGGGTGCAGTGGCTCACACCTGTAATCCCAACACTTTGGGAGACCTAGGCAGGAGGATCATTTGTGCCCAAACAAAAATTAGCTGGGCATGGTGGCGCACGCCTATAGTCCCAGCTACTTGGGAGGCTGAGGTAGGAGGATGACCTGAGTCCAGGGTGGTCGAGGCTACACGAGCTGTGATCACACCACTGCACTTGAGTCTGGGTGACAGAGTGAGACCCTGTCTCAAAAAATAAAAATAAAAAAAAAATAAAAATCAGTCATTTTTCCCAACCTACAGATAAAAGAGGCTTGTTCAGCACTAAGGAGGAAGTGAAAGGGATTGGGCACTTTTTGAGCCCATTCAAAGTCCCAGGCACTCTGTTAGACGCTTTCCATTCATCTCCTTTAATCCTTTCAATAACCCTATGAAACGATTGGTGTCATCTCCATTTTACAGTTGAGGAAGTTGAGTTTCAGAGAGGTGAGGAGACAACTTAAAGTAACATGGCCTATAAAATTGAAATTGGAGAATTAGAATATAAATCGGAATTTGAATGCAGGCTTATCTCATTTCATAATTCATTCCCTTTACTTCATCTTAAGGAAGAGAAAGAAAAATCAATTGGTGTGGTTAAAAAGTGAGTAGAAATAAAGGCTGAAAGTAAAAGCAAACATATTCATTGATTGTTTATCAATGCCTGAGGCATTGCTCTCCTTGCTAGCTATGCCATCTCATTGACAAAGATGGTAAAATCAAATACAGTTGCCAAGTCTCTTTATTCCTGGCGTTTATGAACATGCAGAAAGCTGCCTATGAAATACAAAAGAGACATTTCTGTTCAACCTTGTACTGGAGGGTAATTAAGCAAGAAAAATTTTTTTGAAGTATCTATTTTGAAAAGGAAGAAGTGAAACTATCTCTATCTCTATTTGCAGTTGACATGTTTTTATATATATATACTTTAAGTTCTGGGATACATGTGCAGAATGTGCAGGTTTGTTATATAGGTACACATGTGCCATGGTGGTTTGCTGCACCCATCAACCCATCATCTAGGTTTTAAGCCCCGCATGCATTAAGTATTTGTCCTAATGCTATCCCTCCCCTTTCCCCCCACTCCCTGACAGTCCCCAGTGTGTGATGTTCCCCTCCCCGTGTCCATGTGTTCTCATTGTTCAACTCCCACTTATGAGTGAAAACATGCTCTGTTTGGTTTTCTGTTCCTGTGTCAGTTTGTGGAGAATGATGGTTACCAGCTTCATCCATGTCCCTGCAAAGGACATGAACTGATTATTTTTTATGGCTGAATAGCATTCTATGGTGTATATGTGCCACATTTTCTTTATCCAGTCTATCACTGATGGGCGTTTGGGTTGGTTCCAAGTCTTTGCTATTGTGATTTTTTTTTTTTTAAGTCAGAGTTTCACTCCTGTTGCCTAGGCTGGAGTGCAGTGGCACCATCTTGGCTCACTGCAGCCTCAACTTCCTAAGCTCAAGTGATTCTCCTGCCTCAGCCTCCCAAGTAGCTGGGACTACAGGCATGCACCCCCACACCTGGCTAATTTTTTGTGATTTTAGGAGAGATAGGATTTCACCATGTTGCCTAGGCTGGTCTTGAGCTCCTGGGCCCAAGCAATTCACTCACCTCGGCCTCCCAAAGTGCTGGGATTACAGGCGTGAGCCATTGCGCCTGGCTGACATGATCTTATATATAGAAAACCCTAAAGAATCCACACAAGGCCGGGCGCATTGGCTCACACTTGTAATCCCAGCACTTTGGGAGGCTAAGGCGGGCGGATCACAAGGTCAGGAGTTCGAGTCCAGCCTGGCCAACACAGTGAAACCCCATCTCTACTAAAAATACAAAAAGTAGTTTGGCATGGTGGCAGGTGCCCATAATCCCAGCTACTTCTTGGGAGGCTGAGGCAGAAGAATCACTTGAACCCAGGAGGCGGAGGTTGCAGTGAGCCAAGACCGCACCACTGCACTCCAACCTGGGCAACAGAGCTAGACTCCATCCCCACCTACCCCCCAAAAAACAAAAAAAAGAATCCACACAAAAAACCTGTTAGAGGTAATAAGTGAGTGCACCGAATCCTAACCAGTAGACTACCAGGGAGCGTCATGTTAGATGTAATAAATGAGTTCAGTAAGGTTGCAGATGCAAGTTTAATATAAAAAAATCAGTTGCATAATATTTCTAAACACTAGCAATGAATAATCCTAAATGAAATTGAGAAAACAATTCCATTTACAATAGCATCAAAAATAAGAAAATACTTAGGAATAAATTTAACCATAGAATTTTTTTTTTTTTTTGAGAGATGGAGTCTCACTCTGTTGGCCAGGCTGGAGTGCAGTGGCGCGATCTCAGCTCACTGCAAGCTCCGCCTCCCAGGTTCATGCCATTCTCCTGCCTCAGCCTCCCCAGTAGCTGGGACTACAGGCAAGTGCCACCACAACCTGCTAATTTTTTGTATTTTTAGTAGAGACAGGGTTTCACCGTGTTAGCCAGGATGGTCCCGATCTCCTGACCTCGTGATCTGCCTGCCTCGGCCTCCGAAAGTGCTGAGATTATAGGCGTGAGCCACTGTGCCCGGCGGTTTTTTTTTAAACACTGAAAATTATAAAACATTGTTGAAATAAGTTAAAGAATACATAAATAAATGGAAAGATATCCTGTGTTCATGAATTGCAATACTTAATATTGTTAAGATGGCAATACTCCCCAAATTGACTTACAGATTCAATGTAATTCATATCAAAATTCCAACAAAAAGGCTGGGCTCAGTGGCTCATGCCTGTAATCTTAGCACTTTGAGAGGTCGAGGCGGGTGGATCATCTGAGGTCAGGAGTTCAAGACCAGCCTGGCCAACATGGTGAAACACCGTCTCTACTAAAAATACAAAAAATTAGCTAGGCATGGTGGCACGTGCCTGTAATCCCAGCTACTCAGGAGGCTGAGGCATGAGAATCACTTGAACCCGGGAGATGGAGGTTGCAGTGAGCTGAGATCGTGAGATGGCGCCACTGCACTCCAGGCTGGGCCACAGAGTGAGACTGTCGCAAAAAAAAAAAAAAGAAAAGAAAAGAAAAACCACACACACACATACACACACACACACACACACACACACACACACATACACACACACAAGTTCCAACTGCCTTTCTTGCAGAAATGGACAAGCATATCCTAAAATTCATATGGAAATGCAAGGGACCCAGAATAGCCACAACAATCTTGAAAAAGAAGAACAAAGTTGGATGACTTGCACTTCCTGATTTCAAAATTTACTACAAAGTTACAGTAATTGAGGCAATGTGATACTGGCATAAGGATAGACATAAGATTGACGGGATAGAATTAACAGTCTAGAAATAAACCCTTACATGTATAGTCAACTGACTTTCTTTTTTATTTATTTTTTGAGATGGAGTCTCACTCTGTCACCCAGACTGGAGTGTAGTGGCGCAATCCCGGCTCACTGCAATCTCCGCCTGCCAGGTTCAAGCAATTCTCCTGCCTCAGCCTCCTAAGTAGCTGGGATTACAGGTGCCCGCCACCATGCCAGCTAATTTTGTATTTTTAGTAGAGACAAGGTTTCACCATGTTGGCCAGGCTGGTCTCGAGCTCCCAACCTCAGGTGATGCACCTGCCTCGGCCTCCCAAAGTGCTGGGATTACAGGTGTGAGCCACCGCCCCCAGCAGTCAACTGATTTTCTTTTCTTTTTCTTTTCTTTTTCTTTTTTTTTTTTTTTTGAGATAAAGTCTTGCTCTTGTGCCCCAGGCTGGAGTGCGATGGTGCGATGTCGGCGCACTGCAACCAAGTTCAAGAGATTCTCCTGCCTCAGCCCCCCGAGTAGCTGAGATTACAGGCACCTGCCACCATGCCTGGCTAATTTTTGTATTTTTAGTAGGGACGAGGTTTTACCATGTTGGCCAGGCTGGTCTAGAACTCTTGACCTCAGGTGATCCACCTGCCTCAGCCTCCCAAAGTGCTGGGATTACAGGCGTGAGCCACTGCGCCCAGCAGTCAACTAATTTTCAACAAGGGTGCCAGACCATTCATTAGGGGAAAGAATAGTCTTTTCAACAAATGGTGCTTGGACAACTCAGTATTCATATACAAAAGAATGATTTTGAACCCCTACATCATGCTGTATACAAAAGTTAACTCAAAATGGGCCAAAGACCCAAATGTAAGAGCTAAAACTAAAACTGTTAGAAGACAACATAGGAATAAATCTTCATGATCATGGATTAGATTTCTTAGATAATAACAAAAAAGCACAAGAAACCAAAGAAAAAAATAAACTGGACTTCATCTACATGAGAAACTTTTGTACTTCAAAGAACACCATTAAAAAAGTGAAATAGTTCAGTGTGCAGGAAGGAACGTTAAAAACAAAAAGAGGAAAGTGAAATATCCAGCAGAACGTAGGAAAGTTTTGCAAATCACCTGATAAGGGACTGGTATCAAGGATGTATAAAGGACTCCTGCAGCTCAATAACAAAAGAGATAAATTATCCAATTTTTAAAAGGACAGAAGATTTGAATAGACATTTCTCCAAAGAAGACATACAAATGGCCAGTAAGTACATGGTGTTCAACATCATTAGTACTTAGGAAAATGCAAACCACAAGGCGATACCACCTCACATGCAGAAAGATGGCTATAATATTTTTAATCTAAAAATAAGTGTAGGCAAGGTGCAGTGGTTCATGCCCATAATCCCAGCACTTTGGGAGGCCAAGTCAGGAGGATCAGTTGAGCCCAGGAGTTCAAGACCAACCTGGGCAGCAGAGTGAGATTTTGTCTCTACTCTCTACAAAAAGTACAAAAATTAGCTGAATGTGGTGGTGCACGCCTGTAGTCCCAACTACTCAGGAGGATGAGGTGGGAGGATGAGGTGGGAGGATTGCTTGAGCTGGGGAGGTTGAGGCTACAGTAAGCCATGATTGTGCCACTGCACTCCAGCCTGGGAAACAGAGGGAGACCCTGTCTCAAAGTAAATAAATAAATAAAATTAAGTGTTGGCAAGAATATGGAAAAATTAGAACTCTCATACATTGCTGGTAGAAATGTAAAATGATACAGCTACTGAGGAAAAACAGTTTGGCAGTTTGTCAAAAGTTAAACATAGTTACATATGACCCAGGAATTTTACCTCTAGGATTATATCCAAAAGAACTGAAAATGTATGTCCACACAAAAACTTGTACATGAATGTTCATAGCAGTATTATTATAGCCAAACAGTGAAACAACCCAAATGTCAACCGACTGATGAATGGATAAATAAAATGTGGCATATCCACACAGTGAAATATTATTCAGCCACAAAAAGCAATGAAGCCCAGGCGAGGTGGCTCATGCCTGTAATCCCAGCACTTTGGGAGGCCAAGGCAGGAGGATCACTTGAGCCCAGGAGTCTGAGACCAGCCTGGGCAACATGATGAGACCCCCATCTCTTAAAAGAAAGATGCAAAAGAGCAAAGCTGCCAATTGAGTAGGAGCAGGTGGGCCAAAATTCTATTCAGATGCTAGGTGGTGGCTCGTGGCGAGCTGGTCTAGTTCAGTAGTGTTCAATGAAGGTCTCTGTCCATCTCTAACAGAGTGGCTCCACTTCAGTTTACATTGAAGATTTTTATTTGAATAACGGGTTCCCCAGCTAAAGAAGAATTAAAACCCCTGGCCCAACTGATAAACCAAAGAAGCTCCACCTCAACTCCTAAGCTCCACACTTTGAGGAAAGCTGGGGTAAGGAAAGGCTGGGGAGTCAAAGCACTGACAGAGACCAGTGGCTCAGAGTGCCCCATGCAGCACTGGTAGCTGGCGCCCTGCTTTCTAAAACAGCTTTCTAAAACAGCATCCACTAGTAAGGCTCCCCCTGGCAAGGCCTAGCTTCAGGCAAGCATTGATATATTCAAGAAGTTCAGTTCCACTTATACACCTTGATCAAGGATGTTCTTTGTGCCTGGCTCTCACCCCAAGAGGGGTGAGCCAAGGCCCTGTCTTCAGGTGGCTCAGGCATAAGACATGTAAACATGCTCAGTTCTTGGGGGCTCTGCTCTCCTCTTTTTTTTTTTTTTTTTTTGAGACGGAGTCTCACTCTGTCACCTAGGCTGGAGTGCGGTGGCACGATCTCGGCTTACTGCAACCTCCACCTCCCAGGTTGAAGTGATCTCCTGCCTCAGCCTCCTTGAGTAGCTGGGATTACAGGTGCCCGCCACTACGCCCAGCTAATTTTTGTATTTTTAGTAGAGAAGAGGTTTTTTCATGTTGGCCAGGCGGGTCTTAAATTCCTGACCTCAGGTGATCTGCCCACCTTGGCCTCCCAAAGTGCTGGGATTACAGGCTGCTTTCCTTTCTTGACTCAGCTGAGATCTTGAGCTCAGTGTCTCTCAAAGGACAGCATGACAGCAGCATGGGAGAAGAGAGACATCACATTGTGACTTTTTGGAGGGGGAACAGTAGGAAGGAAGGAGAACTAGTAACTATCTCTGTGCCAGATACACAGGAGCAGGCACATATATAATTTAACTTCCTCCTCAAGACATCCTTAAGCAGTAGGTGATGAGACATACCTGAGACACTCAGAGCTTGTGCATTAAGGA